>NC_000004.12:147671381-148296381 GCF_000001405.40 Homo sapiens | reverse complement strand
ATTACTTGTTTCTGTTTTTCCCAATCTAAAATATTTTATGGTTCTTAAAGAATAATTGTGACTACTGCTTTTTTTGGGTCAATTCCCAGAAATGTGGTACCATCCTTAAGTGATGCTGGAGCACAGATAAGTAAGTTGACAGTAAACAAAAAAAAAATGTACTTTCATTCTTAAAATAATCTTTTAAAATGATAGACATTAAATAAATACATTTTGATCATTGATTTAAGAAGGATGTGAGTCCAGTGAGATATTTTATGGCCTTCCTAAGTTCACTCTTGGTCTGCCTAGCCCTGTCTTGATGAACATTCTCTCTTTTTTTTTTTTTTTTTTTTTTGGCCTCAGCTCATATTAAGGACCTCTCTGCATTAAGCAAACATTGACTTGAATAAAATTGTCTTCTGTGTTCCATGTTTGCCATGTTTCTGGATGAAATTTGTTGACTCTGTAATAAAAAATGCAATTATTAGAGCTCCTATTGGGCTGCAGTCTATATGTGTTCCAAATTGTGTGGGTAAGGTAGGCAGGATCACGTGACCTGCCACTGTGACATCTTCATGATTCAGTGATTGCACCCTTTTTGCAAGGGCCTCTGTTGGGAGATGTGGTGATGTGAAGAAGAATTAGTCTACATGGATTAATTCCCATCCTGATTGAGCTTAGGTTCTAATGGGAGGCAGTAGACATGTGTTAGACAAAGTTACAGTAATGCCAGTGGTGAGAGTATGAGAAAGCATGAGCTCAGGTATCTTGGAAGCACAGAGATGGGCATGTGGAGAGGCTGGCAGTGAGGCATGGCCTTACAGGCTAGGCAGGAGTTTTGGTGGGCAGAGATGGCAGAAGAAGACATTCTAGATGGAGGGAATGACATACATACCAGCCCAGAGACCAGTTATATCAGAAATATCTGTGGATTTAGTCTCTAGAGTGTAGCATGCACACAGAGAGGTAGCACTGGATGCGGGGAGTTGGATATTGCAGAGGGAGCCTGATTGTGAGGGTTCTCAACCAGGGCTGGCTGTGGCTTTTGAATTTTATTCAGGACAGTGTTTATTTACATACTTAAAGGTAGGTCTCAATTCATTATGTTTTCTTCATTTTTCTGCAGTTTTCTTTTCTTATTACATTAGTATATCTTAAATATTGACTTCCAAAAAAAGATCTGACAGTGTAGCTTATTCTGAAGAAAAACTTTCATTTTGTAGAATGTCTAAGATCAGGCAAAATACAAAATCCTCCCCATCTTTTTTACCTTTGTAGTTTTCATTATTTTGGTAGATATATCTAAATAAATTTTTAAATGTCATATTTTATTAATATTTAAGGTGAGAATGCTTATTTCATCATCATCTGATTAATGGTACTAGAAAGTAGATTTTTATTTTTATTTTTTTAGAGACAGGGCCTCACTCTGTCTCCCAGGTGGGAGTGCAATGGCGTGATCATAGCTCATTGTAACTTGAACTCCTAGGCTCAAGCAATCCTCCTGTCTCAGCCTCTTTAGTAGCTGGGACAACAAGCATGTGCCACCACACCCTGCTGACTTTTTATTTTTTTTATTTTTTTTTGTAGAGACAGGGTCTTGCTGTGTTGCCCAAGCTGGTCTTGAACTCCTGGGCTCAAGTGATCTTCCCACCTCAGCCTTCCAAACTTCTAGGATTGTAGGTGTGAGCCACTGCACCTGGCCCATGCTTTTTTTTTTTATATCAATGAGGACTTTTAGAAGGAATTTTTGAGCTAGAATGAAGGTACAGGTACTACAATATCAGAGTGAAATTTAGTTTATCTGCAGTTGAGGTACTTGCATTAAATTACTATAGAAAATAGGAAAAAAAACTGTTTTGTGAGGGAGTAGGTAATGATTATGGTTAAGAAGTTTCCAGATAATTTAAGTTCTATACTGTTAAAAATAGTAACACATAGGTTGTATATATACAGAAAAAAACCTATAACGTATAAATGTAAATATAATAATGTCTAATATAAATGGAATCACCTGAATTTTATTAAAAATAAAGGATGGAACTACCATGTAGTACTTGTCAAAATTTATGACATGGATTTGGGGATTAATATTGAGCACTGACCATGTTCCTAATACTGTGCTAAGCATTTGTCTCAGCTAGTCCTCAAAACAACCATGAGCAAGTACTGTCCCCATTTTGCAGATGAGGAAACTGTGGCTGTGAGGTAGTACATATTTAATTCAAGATCACGTATTGCTAAGTGGAAAAAATGCAATTCGAACCTAGCTCCTTTTGCCCATGGAGATAGTGCTTGTACTCACCAGTAATTTCTCAGGATCACTGTTTGAGTGAATGTGCAGGTACCTAGGAGGATACCCAATAGGGCCAAATCCCTTGGGAAGGATATGTTGAGAAGAGCAGCTTTGAGTACAAGACAACTTTATGATTTTGCATGGAAGATGGGCCCTGTCCCCACAGAGAGAATTTCCCTCTGATGCAAAGAGCAAATTATAGGCACCCAACAAACCGTGGTCATGTATGCATAGGTCACTGGTGGGTGGTAAATCTTGTTTCTGGGAAGACTTTTGTAACCATTACCTCTGGAAAATCTGAAATGATGATACCAAACATGTTGCTTACCAAACTGACCTCTTCCACCCTTAGAAGCAGTGAGAAAGTTCAGTGTCAAGGACTGAGCTCTGCAGCTTCTCTTCTGCCTCTGAAATTTATTAAGTCAGTAGGCCAGACCCTAAATGATTTATGACACAGAAAGCACTCACATGGAATACAAATGTCTCATAGTGAAGAGCAAGACCAGTTGTGATTGTAAGAAAATAACTATTAAAATGTGAGTATTTTAGGAGTATACATATTGTTGTTAAGGCATTTCTAGTCAGTAATGAATTGAAGGAGGTAACATACCCACACTAACCAAACTTAGCATTTGTAGGCCCCATCTATAAGATAGCAGAGTCACTGCCTGGGAGTTTCTGAATAATTACTGTCTCTAAATTTTTAAAACGTTCACAGAACAATCTGTTTAAATGCCCTTTAACGTGGTTGATTCTGGTGCTGAGTTTAGTCTGAGGACTACCAAAGCAAAATAATTTCCCTGCACATGCCCAAGTGAGAAATTTCATCTTCTGAATGAATGGTTATAAAATGACTTAGCTTCTTCTGTGTGGGTGCTTATATCTAGTTTGATTTTGCCTGTGGTCAGTGTTCTGATATTATTATATATACATGTATATTATTGGAAAGGAGCATAAAACTTTCCTTATATAATTCCAAGTTAAAAAGAGACAAATGCTTGCCATGCATTCAGATGTTCTTACTTCAAGATTTTTCAAGGTCTTCTAACCAGAGTTAATTGTTAACTTTGTTTCGTATCATGCATTTTTTCAAAAGCTCTAAGTATTGTAGTGTTCTGTGCAGCTATTACTCAATATCATCTCTGTGTCCCCTTTCCCTGTGCTAGCCTTGGTGTCTAGAAGGCCTTGAGTATAGTTTGCTTGTTTAACAGGGTATACAGAATAGGTGCATTCTAGAAGGTTATCTATCAAATCTATTTTTCTATAGACTTTAACCTCTCATATCAGAATGATGACTGGTTCTATTGCCTAGTTCTGGTAATAGCTCTGAGTAGTCCAAAGATCTTTGACAGGTATAGTTGGGAGATAGTCAAGGACCTTGCTGTTTGACTTTTTTAAAGACCTGATTAATACTCTGTATTCTGATTCCTTACTCCCCGTCAGACCATAATCTGAGAGAAACCTCATAACCTGGCCACCAACATGGAATGGATTGTTTTGTACTGTAATGATGGTCAGATAGGGACTAAGAGGAACTAGTTTTCTTTCATATGTAAGTCTTTACCTTCTAACTGTATAAATTGTTAGCAAAATGTTGTATAAAATATTAGAATTTTTCTTTTCGATCTATTTTAATATGTGTTATATATCATAAGGGTTTTAGCAATATTAACATGACATCCTACATTTTTCTTCTTACCATATAATTATATAAAGCAACAAATATTTAGTGGACATTAATATATGCCAGGTAGCATTTCAATTAAGAAAGCGTAAGAGGTAAATCTAGAACCAGAATATTTCTTACAGAAAATATCAGGATGACAGCTGATTTTATGTGTATAAAGTGATTTATCTCTCTGTGCTATAAATTACACCCAGAGGTAGTGGTAGTCAAGTATAATAAAGACCAAAAGAAGAAAAATTTGGAAACATAAAAAAAAGACATAATAGGAAAGTATTTTTGAAGAAAAAAGGCAACTCCAGATTAAAAAAAAAAGAAATACAATCCTTGATTTACAGAATTTCAACTTATTACCTCAATGGTGCAAAAGTAATATACATTCAGTAGAAGCTGTACTTCAAGTGCCCATAAAACCATCATATTTTTCACTTGCAGTACAATATTCGGTAAATTACATGAGATATTCAACATGCTGTTATGAAATAGGCTTTGTGTTAGATGATTTTCCCCACCTGTAGGCTAATGTAAGTGTTCTGAGCATATTTAAGGTAGCCTAGGCTAAGCTATAATGTTCAGTAGGTTTGATGCATTAAATGCACTTTCAGTTTACAGTGTTTTCAATTTATGATGAATTTATTAGGAAATAACCCCATTGTAAGAAGGGGGCATCTATACATTAGTAGAAATAAAAGAGAGTAAAGTTGAGAATGGAAATGCTTCTGTAGTATTTGCTCAATGGGAAACTCAGCTTTTAAAACAATGTTAAGAAAGTAATCAGACATCAATTATAGTATAGTGAACAAGTCAAAGAGAAAAGAATACAAGCAGAATCTCTTCACTGTATGTAAATACTGGTGGGAACTGAATGAAAGAGAATTGGATTTCATTGACTAATGTTCAGTAACATACTGACATACTGATAGTAAGAGGAAAAGATACAAATTGTCAAATTCCAAATTAATATCAATAAAAACAATACAATTAAAAATAACATACAAAGCAGTTCTCTAAGATTTCATTGACTAAAACGTAAGTACAGAGACATTTTTGGAAATCAGTATATCAAGTGGCTAAATTTGTGATGTCATTCATATTTGTTCCCTTATATAGCAAACTAAAAATCTTTGATGTAAAGATTTAAGTGGTAAAGACCTTCTTGGAATGGTTAGGGAAAAAAAAATCCTAAGTCATAATCTAATTACAGGTTTGTAATTAGGAGGAGGGAAATGAAATCCAAATGGAAAGAAAACATGCTTTTTGGCCTTTAAATAATGTGGATCATTCATTTTAAGTAACAAGTGGAATAAAGAATAGATGTCAGTCTAAAGGGCTGATGTGTTGTGGGTACCATCTTGCAATAAGAATACTAATTCACTTATATGGTTGTTAAGTAGACGAGTGCAGAAGATGGAAGCAAATTTGTATACAAAGGTGAATGAAAGGAAATAGATAACAGATAATTAATTTGTTTGCTCATTCTAACAGGTGATTATAAATCTAAAACTGGAAAATATTTTTCAAATATAGAACAGAGATGACGACCATCTTCTCTTTAAACTGATGAACCTCATAGTTTTCCACATATTGCATGTTGATGATTCAGGTGTGAGAAGTAATATCAGAAGTGATGATAGACTAGAACCCGCTAGAGAGGTATTTGAAATTTAGAATTGGTATTTATGAGATGGTTATATTTCAGGTTCATGTATGACAGCTAAGCAATTATTTGCATTCAAAGGACATTGACCATTTCAGGTATATATGCCTTCAAAAGCAGGAAGATATGGAATAAAATTTGAGTTGTTGTGTGTAAATTCATTTGAAAAATTGTAATAAAGTTGTTTTTTCCTGGGCCCAGAAAGTGAATGTGATTAACGGTTTTACCTGGTACATTATATTAGTTATCTGTGCTGCAGAATAAATTACCTCAGAACTTAGTGGCTTGAAACAACCTTTACTATCTCACATTTTCTGTAGTTCAAGAATTCAAAAACAAATTAGTTGGGTCCTTTGCTTTAGGGTCTGTCATGGGGTGAATTTATGCTTCTCTCTTTGCCCCCTCCCCACCAAATTTGTATGTTGTGGTCCTAACTCTCAGTACCTATATTTGGAGATAAGCTCTTTAAAGAGGTAATTAGGTTAAAATGAAGCTGTTAGGCTGAACCCTAATCTAATATGGCTGAAGTGCTTAGCAGAAGAGGAAATTTGGATACAGCCATGTGCATCCTCTGTGTATAGAGCGGACCATGTGGGGGCACAGAAAGAAAGCAGCCATCCTCAAGAAGACAGAGAGAGGCCCCGGAAGAAACTCAGTTTGCTAACACCTTGGCCTTGCATTTCTAGCCTCCAGAAATTGTTGATTTAACCACCCAGCCTGTGGTAGTTTGTTATGGCAACCCTAGGAAATTTACATGGAGTCTGTCACAGTCTAAGTCACTCAAGGCTTCCCTGCAGAAGGATCCTTTTCTTCAAGCATGCTCCTGTGGTTGGAGGCAGGATTGATGTCTTTGCAGGCTGTTGAACTGAGGCCTCATTTCCTCATAAGCTTTTGTTTGCCACTCGAGCCACTCCATAGGGCAGCTCGCATGTGACATGTTCCCTCGCATTATCAGAGCAAGCAAGCAAGAAGGAAAAGAAAAGGGAGGAAGGGAGACAGAGTCAGGAAGCTGTAGTCTTTTATAATATGATATCCAAAGTGACAGCTGGTAACTTTTGCTCTGTTCTATTAGTTAGAAATGAATCTCTCGGCCCAACCCAATTCTCAAGGGGAGGAGATTAATTTCTGTTTATAAATTACCCAGTCTAAGGTATGTTGTTATAGTGGCCCAAACAGACTAGGACACCATCTATTGTCTTTATGATTGTCAGTCATTTTGGTATTTTAAAAATACTATAATTGGATTATGTAGTTAAGTACAAATGTAACAACCTGTGTATAGTTTTAATGTGTCGCTGTAGGAGGCTTAAGGTATATTAAGGCCTGTGAATGCCAAGAGGTATTGAGCATACCAGACTTTTAAAAATGTTCTTTGATGAAAAACATCAAATATACAGAAAGCCAAGAGAAGTATATAATGCACACTTATCACTAAGATTTCAGAGTTGTTGGCTGTCATATTCACATCATGGTTTTTTTTTTTTTTTTTGGCTGTAAATATTAAAAGTAAAGTTCAGACATTGTGACTTTTTTACTTCTAAATATTTCAGTAGTCATCTTGTTTAAAAAGCATGTCTTACCACATAACTTACTATCCTAGTGATACCTAAGAAAATTAACAATTATTGCATATCCAGTTTATTTTAAAATTTTCCTTGGTTGTCTCAAAAACGCCTTTTAATAGCTGACAAAGACCCACTCAAAAACCACATATATTCTGTTTGGTCTTTATGTCTCATAAGTTTCTTTTAATATACTGGATTCCCCTATTGCACCCTCATTTCTTTTTTCTGTGCATCAACTTGTTAAAGAATGGGGCATACTTAAACTGGTGTACTTTTCTGCCTCCAAACATTCCTTTAGCACTAAACTTATTCCCACCAGAAACTTGCACTGGAAGCCTGGAAGTATATTAAGCAGGGGGCATAACACTGATAAAATAGAGACAGCTGCTCTGATTTGGGCATGGCTGAGTGACTGTTTTTCCATGCCTGCCCCCTCCCTACTCCCAGCCACCTTCCTGGCTGAATTCCAGCGTTTGGCACAACTTGAAGCATACTATTTAAAATCATAGATGGTTGAGACTGGAAGACGGTAGGAAAAAAAAGGGAGCAGATAAAGTATATAAGAGAGAGGTAGTAAAGCAGCTGGGCAGGATTCAAATACAACCTTTCCTATGCTCCAGAGCAATTGGCTGGCGCCCAGCAACCCTGTGCTCAATGGAGGGGTGAGGACAGGTTGATTGAGGGACCTCTCATTGGCATTTATGTCACCAGCCAAACTCTTCATTGTTATTTTTACTAGAATGACAGCTCCATGAGAGTAGAGGCATTATGTGGGTTTTCCACCCTGGTGCCTAGAACAGTGCCTGGCATTTAGGCATGCAGAATTAGTACTGGCTGAATGAATTTAGAAATGAATTATGAGTGAACTAACATTTACAGAGCATCTATCAGTTGTGCTTTGTGCTGCTCACATAATTTATAAGAAAATAGTCATGTATTAGATCCTTATGAGGTAGGTATTATTGTCACAATCTTACAAGAAAGACACGGAGCTAGAGAGTAGTTTGAATTTACCTAAAATTATTCAAAACAAGGTCCAGTGACCTCTAAAATGTGTATCACTTATACCGTGGTATCAATGGGACCAGAAATAGCCAGCAGTAATGAGAGCTGGGTTTTAATTTTCTATGTGCTGTTTGCAGACTGTTTTTTTATGGAAATGATTTTATGGAAATCATTTTGGTTTTCTGTTCTTCAGTCTCTTTATGAAGAATATAGTTAGTTAAATGTTTTCATGAATCATTTTGAGGGTAAGTTTGATATAAGTGTTTTTAAAAAGTATTTCAGTAGGTATTATCTACTATCTACTTTAGCATGTAGTTGGCACCTTTATTTTGTCTGACGTTAAGAACTTCTGAATGATGCAGTCGAGACAGTTTGCTCATGCTATATTTTTTAGAGTTATGTAACCAAAAACTATTATATACTTGTCCAGGAGTTACTATATATAAAAAATATTTACAATACACACTCAAGGCATTGTGTGACATATTTCCTACTAGAACTTGATTGAATGTAATAGTGAACCAAAATGAAAATAATATGGTACCTGATTGTTTTATCAAATAGTTTTCTTTTAATGGTATTTGCCTTAATAGAATTTGAATTTTTTAAGTATAGTAATTTATAGGAAAACTTTGACAGTTTAAGTTGGCAATTCCAAATCAGCCCACTCATTGTATTCACTAAAGTGTTCTTCCAAAAATAAATGAGTAGGCTGGCATTGTGTTTTAAACATCGAGCTAATTTTGGTTAATTATATAAATCTAAAAGCCATGGGCAAGGCAGCAATTCAGTCTTACTAGATGATGATCAGTGAAATTGTAAGACAGCTTGCTGAATGATGCACATCAAGCTAATAACCTGAATGCATTGTGTCCAAAAGGACAGTGTCTGGCAGAGCATCAGATAGGAAGCCTTCCCAGAGCTTTAATAAGGGGCTTGTGAATGCTTGCAAAAGAGGGTACAAAGTTAGAAACAGTAGTAATGGCTCTGATCAGAATTCAAAAACATTAGAGAAAAAAATAGTTAACAGTAGAGAAAAAAAGTGGTTTCCATGCATAGCTAATAATTCTGTTACATGGTAGAAAGCTGGGGTTGAGCAGCCTCATGGGCCATCCCTTACTTGCTGCTTATCTCTAGTTTTTGTTTAAATAAAATTAGAGTGCTACATTATGTGGGGCTTTCATTTAAATTAGTTGAAATTAGTATTCTGCCACTAGCAAACAGGAAATACAGATGCAGAATAAGAATGTGGTGCCGCTGGAGAGTTTAGAGGACTTGACTCTCTAACGACATTCCCATTCAGAAAAGAATTGTGACTCCCTTTGTACATGATTGTAAAGTAATGGCACAAATTATGTTATGAGAATTTTTTTGCTGTTATTGTGTTCAGTTGGTATAGTTATGTTGATGTATATAAAATTAGAGTTTGAATTTATTGAAATCTGTGTACAATCATAGAAGCATTTTTTTAACCCTGTATCTCATCCCTTGCCTTAAAAAAGGCTGTGACTATTTAGAAAACATCTTTGTACCTGAAAGTTGTATGATTTCTTTATCCTGGTTAAACTGATCTGTGATTGTCTCTTGGATTTATTCAGGAAAGAGGTGCATCTCTCCTTCATCCAGATTCCACCGGATGAGCCAAGAATGACTGTTGAGGCTATTTTACTTAATGAATTAACAGATTTGACTGAATTTTCTTTTTGCAGTGACCATATGGTTATTGTGAAGATCCATGTAATTATTTGTAGAAGTGAATCACAGGGAATTTTGATTGCTGTAGACTCTAAACAACTGATCCATTTAATCAGATTTTTTTTTCAATTCTGTACAGCCTGATTTTTACTAGCCTATACAGTCAGAAGCAATTAAATAAAGTCCTACAAAAGACAGCAGAGACTGGCTTAAAGCTAAGTTGAATAACACAGCTGGGTTTTTACAGTGTTTCCTTTGGTCTGTTACTCTTATCAGTGGGCTTGGTTTAGCATATCCCCAGAAAATTATATTCCTGTAACTGCCAGAGAAGTTTATATAACAAAATGATTTGTGCCACACACCCAGGCTTGTCCTGCAATATCACTTTAGATAAAGCAAACATTTTTCAACTATTTCTATTTAATACATTGCTTCCAGACTGTTCTAGTCATATGTTAATTACAAAACAAATGATGTATAAAATTTCATTTGTTTTTAATTGTCTTTTTAAACACATATTGCAAAATCATTCTTTGAATAAAACTAACATGTTAATATTTTCCCTCTAGAATGAATTCTGTGAAAGATAAATGTATTTTATAATGTATCACATATGTGAAATAGAACATTGATAGGAATTATGCAAGAAAGCATCGCACTTTTTAAGGTAACAGTACATTTGACTGTCACTGAAGTTACTTTATCACATCTCCACATGTACAAGACAGGGAAGCAGTTGCATTGTGTGCCAATGGAGGAAGTTTTTTTTGTTTGTTTGTTTTTGTTTTTTTTGAGACAGAGTCTCACTCTGTCACCAGGCTGGAGGTCAGTGGCACAATTTTGGCTCACTGCAACCTCTGCCTCCTGGGTTCAAGCGATTCTCCTGCCTTAGCCTCCTGAGTAGCTGGGACTACAGGCGCACGTCACCACGCCCAAATAATTTTTGTGTTTTTAGTAGAGATGGGGTTTCACCATGTTGGCCAGGATGATCTCAATCTCTTGACCTCGTGATCTGCCCGCCTCAGCCTCCCAAAGTGCTGGGATTACAGGCAAGAGCCACCACGTCCGGCCTGGAGGAAGTTTTTAAATTTCAAAAGGAGAAGTATATTTTCTGGACTTTTCTATAAACCAGTTTGTTGCTTCTCTTGTTGATGCCAGTAGAATTTATACAACTCCAGCAACATCGTTTGGGAAAGAGCCAGTTTTTCCTGTCTTTCACAATAGAAGTTACTGATTAGAAGACCCTAAATATTTTTTAGCATTTTCATGTCCATGATAAAGGCTGCAACAAGGGGTAAATAACTTTCCTCTTATGGCAGAAAATATTCTTATGAGACCCCCAGTGCACTTTTTCAGTATGGTGTAATCACATGACAGTTGTAGGGTAGGACCCTCAGAACTGCAGCTCACATCAAGAGCTGTGGGCTCCGAAAGTGAACCATATGTTGCTGTAGTCCAGAGAGATACCAAGAGAATTGGCTTCTGAGTCCAGCAAACCTAGATTCAAGTCTGTCCCTGCCAGTACCTGCTCTGTAACTAGAGGGGAGTTATAGTTAGCTTTTACTAGCCTGAGTTTTTTGTATATGAAATGAGAACAATGACCAATAGTGAGAAGACTTTTTTGTAGGACTGAGTAAAATAATACATGCAAAGACCCCAGCCCCTCAGTGCTCTCAGGTCAACACATATTAATTTCCTTCGTCTCTCTTTGAAGGTCAGAAAATTTGGACAGTGGCGTAGAATTACAGTGCTGTGGGCCAGTGTGCCATCTGATGGCAGAAAGCACTAATTGGATCTCTCTGCATGTCAGTGTAACATAAAGCTTGGCTCACAAGATACAAAGTCATAGATCCTTTCTCACCCTCCTTTGCTGGTAAGAAGGCTCTAACTGAGATTCTTGACAGCAAAATGGATGATTAGGAGTTTTTATAGTAACTTGAATGTATTTATTCTTTTACCTGATGTGTTTTAAAAAAAGAAACCTATCATTTGTATAGGTAAAAGTAAAATTGCTAGTGTTACTGAACACAGCGTGAGTACCTAGTCTTGACACTGTCATGAGCTATCGACACTCAGACATGTTCTTTTATCCTTTGATTCACACCTTCATCAGCAAATGTGTGTTGAGTATTAATATATGATACCCCTTTTGCTGGAGACTCAAAAATTAGAAGACCAACCCTCTATTTATAGGCTTATAAGCCTATCAACTCCTTCAGAGTAGAGGGTTGGCCTTCTAATTTTTGAATCCCCAGCAAGAGGGGGGAGCATTCCATACATAAGAGTTATGTTCCATACATAAGGCTCTACTCTAAAGAGTTATGTTCCATACATAAGGCTCTACATAACCCAGAGGAATACATGTTGGTAGAGGCAGATCCAGGCCAGACCTCCTGCGTGCTCCATTAGGCCCCCACCCCTTTGCTGTTGCAGTGTCTCTTTCTTCTTTATAGACTTATCTCTCCCGTGGGACAAGGTATGTGGTAGAAGGTCAAGAAAATCTTTCCTGAAGTGAATCGAATTAGTATATGATACTTTGAAAGTGGTCATTACGAGGGTGGGGAGAGCCTGGTAATCACTCGCAGTCTCAGTTGTCTCCTGTGTGTTATGAAAGAGTTCATGTCCTTTTGAATCTGTGGCAACCACTGGTAAACATCAAATAATAATTTGCCAGAAACTGGTGAAATCAAATATAAATCAATGTACAATGTACTACATTCTTTGTTGCCTAAGCAGCATTTATGAATTAACCAAGTAATGAGTTATGTTATTTTTTATTATATAGGTTGCATAATTTTTAGCACTTTTCTTACCATATTCTAAAAACCAATAGAGGGATTGTAAGGGCCTTTTGCCAACTGAACTATGAAAAGGGTAGATAAGGCACTGAATATATGACTATAAATGAAGTTCAACTGAAAACAACCTCAGGTTCAGATGATTGTTGTTTAACATTTTTTCAATTTCTTGAGCCTTTCAGGGTTTTTAAAGCACTTGCAAGCCTGGTGATCACCATGGGAAAAACACTGAGAGTTATTGGGGTCACCATTGCTCTTGTGATTCCTTTATCAATAGGTTCTTTATGAAAATAAACTTGGCATGAAGGGAACACTGTAAATTCTGAGGGTTGTAACTGGGTATCATTTATTTAAAAGTTTAGTGATCCTTTGAAAAACCTCACCAATTTTGTAATGTTGTAATTTTTAAGACTAACCAATGGTGCTTATGTTTTTCCTGATCCATTCAGTTCTCTGTAATGGCTAAAATTGGCTTACCTGACCCCACTCTTAGGCAAGGTTGTTTTCATTTTTACTTACTTTTATGAAAGCTATCTTATTCCTTTGATTGCTGCTGCTTATCTTTAAAATGACCCAATTAGTCTGATTGTTTACTTCTTCAAAGTGCTATATGTTTGCACTTATAACACACAGATTATTTTAAATAACGTTTCCTTGTGGTTTTGCTGTATGTGATTTTTCCCCCTCAGCTCTGTTTCCTTCCCGTTCCTTCTAACCTCATCTCTGATTTCATTGTGTTTTGTATTCCTCATATTCCCTACCAGTCCTTTAGCTTGTATTCTTCCCGCCATAGCCTTTGCCTCTTTTTTGCAGTCCAGTAAGGCCCACTCTGCCTATTGATGCCATGTTTTGCTTATGTCCCTCTCTTATATCCCTTCCTTGGTGTTCTGCCTTTTTACCTATTCTCATGTTTTCTTCACTCTTATTTTCCTTCTCTCATCAACACTCTTGGAATTCTTTAGTCTGCTCTTGCCAAATGAGTTTTAGGCAATATCAGGATATTTTTGTCCCCTGGGACTGCACCCCCTCCAACTCCCCCACTCCCACACACCCTGTGTTTAACTGGGACTTTCTTCCTTGTTTTCTTGCTCTTTCTCGTTGGAGACTTTGTCACTATCCTCTCTGCATTCTGCTAACACAACTTGTTCAATGAATGTTTGTTGCAGGAATAGACTGACTTTTCTAATTTTATCCCTACTTTTATGCACATACTCTTATGCTGTAAGATATATTAGGCTGGCCTGTAGGATTTATCTTGAACAAATTTCCATTTAATTTTCCTATTACATAAAATGGTTTTATTGCTAATTGTTTTCTGAGCCTACCATGTAGGAAATAAATAATCTATAAGAGATACTCAGAAAAATTATGGCCGGGCACAGTGGCTCACACCTGTAATCCCAGCACTTTGGGAGGCCAAGGCAGGCGGATCACTTGAGGCCACGAGTTTGATACCAGCCTGGTCAACATGGTGAAACCCTGTCTGTACTAAAAATACAAAAATTAGCCTGGCATGGTGGTGCACGCCTGTAGTCCCAGCTACTGTGGAGGCTGAGGCAGGAGAATTGCTTAAGCCCTGGAAGCAGAGGTTGTAGTGATCCGAGATCACACCATTGCACTCTAGCCTGGACAACAGCGAGACTCTGTCTCAAAAATAAATAAATATATGAATAAGTAAGAGATACTCATAAAAATTAATGAAAACTTTTAGATGTTAAAATCTTACCAATGCTTCAAGGCCCACTTCAAGTATCACTGCCTCTGCAATGAATTAATCTCTTACCAGACTGTTTCCATGACTCCATTTCTATGTATTTTGTAGCACTCATGAATATTATACATGGTTATCTTTACATATGTTTGTACTTCTTATTAGTTCCTCCAAAGGACAGGAGCATCTTTCCGTCTCCTATAGCATTTAGCATGATGCCCTGCACAGCAAGGATACTTGTTGACATAACATAACACAGATGTTTGCTAGACTGAATCGAGAGGTATAATGAGTATAGAAAATGAAAATTCAGAGAATGTGGTTATTGAGCTAGATCTCCTCATGAGGCAAAAAGAAGCAGTGAAGCTCAGGCCAAAGATTGGACCTTAAATAAGAAAGCACAAAGTACAGGGTATATCTTAGGAAACACTGATTTTTGAAGCTTTAAGATATATAATGAGTATTTCAATGTTTTGCAGTCAAATTTGCTAAATTTGTGAAGGAAGAAATGTAAATATATTTGGTAGTGATTGAAATTATGGAAATATACATTATTTGCCCATTTTGTTTTTCATTGAAAGGACGTAAGTCACTGTGTTAGTTCCTAGAACCATAGCGCTCAACTATGTTTGAATAATTTGAAACTTTTATTTCAGTTACATGTAAGTAACTACAGTTTAAACGGTTTTCCCTGCATTTACGTATAACTGCAGATACTGGTTTCGTGGAGGAAAATAAAATATGCTTTCTCTTATCTTTCACCCGCTTTTTCCCCAAGTCTGCTGCTCTTAGTACCACAGTCTGCTCCTCTCCTTTGGAGGTTATAACTAGAACAGGGATAAAGAAAAAGCAGAGAGGGGTCCTTGTGAACTTAGAGAACTGGGGAAAAAGAATGAAGTCTCAGGAGATGAAGGGAGGGACAGACACTAAGTGGAATTCTCAAGAAAATGTCTCTAGCAGGTGCCACAGCTCTAGCCCAAGGAGCGGAGACTGGGACTCAGTTTCTCTTTTTGCTCCTTGCTTTCTCAGCTAAGCTCTAACTGTTCTCTCAAACATGGTTTAATAAAGATTCGTCTAAAAGAGGAATTAGTACACACATTAATCTGTGACTGTTAGCTTTATATAGAGTTTACCAGAGGAAACAGCTCATGCACAGGTGTATACGCATTCTAAAACGGAATTAGGCTAGGTGCAGTGGTGCACACTTGTAATCCCCACATGTGGGAGGCTGAGGCAGGAGGATTGTGCTTGAGCTCAGGAATTCAAGACCAGCCTGGACAACATAGTGAGACCCTATCTCTACAAAACATAAAAATAAAAAAATTAGTTAGGTGTGATGGTTCACATCTGTAGTCCCAGCTACTTGGGAGGCTGAGATGGGAGGATTACTTAAGCTTAGGATGTTGAGGCTGCTGTGAGCCCTGATTATACCACTGCACTCCAGCCTGGGCAATAATGTAAGATCTTGTCTCAAAAGTAAGAGAATTAATTTTATTATTAATACATACTTGATATGCTAAGGCAATGTGAAAACTCCCATTCTTGTTATTTCTGTGTACACTGTTTTCTTTTTCTTTACTGTAATTGACATTCTTTTCGGTATTGCTTGTAACTTTCTTCCCATGTTAACCCATCTAGGTGAATAAGTAACTGTATTTATAAATTGAAAAATTGCAGAACAAGTCATTTTTATTTCTCCAGGGAAATAGGATCACATTAAGTCTGATAGTAGTTAGCCAAAAGTGCACTTCAGAAAAATTATGAAAATATAGCATGCTTTAAGATTTCTTTTAACAGTTGTTGAAAACTAGATTTATTCTCCCATAGGAGCTCAGTGAAATTTTGTTAAAGGCTAGGTTTATTTACTGTTATTAAGTTTACATTTTCCTGATGCAAACAGATTATTTTAGGGTAAAAATAAGATATTTTTGTCAGTTTTAAGCCAACTGAAATTACTACTTTAAGGCTGGGCACGATGGTTCATGCCTGTAATCCCAGTACTTTGGGAGGCCGAGGCAGGTGCATCACCTGAGGTCAGGAGTTCAAGACCAGCCTGGCCAACATGGTGAAACCCCGTCTCTACTAAAAATACAAAATTAGCCAGGTGTGGTGGCAGGCGCCTGTAATCCCAGCTACTCGGGAGGCTGAGGCAGGAAAATCACTTGAACCCGGGGGGCAGAGGTTGCAGTGAGCCAAGATCACGCCATTGCACTCCAGCCTGGGCAAAAAGTGAAACTCTGTCTCAAAAAAATAAATAAAATAAAATAACTACTTTAAACAGTGTAGTACAGAATGTATGCAATGCTTGATTTGATTAAAGTTAAATTCTTACTTCATCCTACCTCAAGGATAATAAGTGCATTTTATGTTTATATTCAAATTTGTTAACATATGCATTGCTTTTATGTAAAGACTTTGAATCTTTCTGGTTGATACTGTGAAATGGAAGACCTAGGGCTTGGCTTTGCTCATATTTTAATTTTGAATTGTTAGTCATGAATTTTTAGTGTCTTGTTTCCTCTTTCCATAAGCCTGGCATAAAATGCATATTCTCGATAGTTATCGCTCATCCAATAATGTGAAGAAAAGGAATTAAAGCTTGCCTTCATTTAGTGTTCTGTCCTCCACCAAGTTTCGGTCTAATTTAATCACTCATTATTTTGTCTTCAGATAACAGCTTCTGCAATTTTTCCTCCACATGTTAGGGTGAAATTTACCTATTTCACAAGCCAAGAAATCAATCTTGATTTTTTTCACCCTTTGACAGTACTTGTGTTCAAAATTCAAGACTAGTTTCAAAGCCAGAACTTTATTTATTTATTTATTGAGACGGAGTCTTGAACTGTCACCTGGGCTGGAGTGCAATGGTGAAATCTCGGCTCACTGCAACCTCCGCCTCCTGAGTTCAAGCAATTCTCCTGCCTTAGCCTCCCGAGTAGCTGGTATTACAGGCGCCTGCCACCACGCCCAGCTAATTTTTTGCATTTTTAGTAGGGACGGGGTTTCACTATGTGGCCAGGCTGGTCTCGAACTCCTGACCTCAGGTGATCTACCCGTCTCAGCCTCCCAAAGTGCTGGGATTACAGGTATGAGCCACCATGCCCAGCCACTTTTTTTTTTTTAAGGGTGGTTATTGGTGAGTAGTTTGCATTTTAGTAAATACATACTTTGTCTCTTTACCTAGTAGTGTGAAATATAGTAGTCTGCATATGTTAACGAATGTGGGTATATGTGTGTTTTAAAATTAAGAATCTAGTACGTTTGTCACCAAAGTTTCTTAAGGAGGAATTTCTTGACAAAGCCATAAAAACTGAGCTTTCTTGAAGGGTAAGGGATTTGGAGTGTGGTAGGGGAGAAGAACCAGGCATTATCCAAAACTTAAAAATGGGTGTGGGTGTGGGTGTGTGTGTGCGCGCGCACGCACGTGTATTTATTTATGTTTATGGTCATGCATTCCTATTTAGTCTTCTTGAGTTACCATTTGTAATCAGACTAGGGTCCTGGGAAAGTTTTTTGCACATCATTTAGTACATATGAATGTGAGCTGTGTTTACTTTACAAATAGGTTATATTTCAAAACGTGATTCTGGGCTGGGCGTAGTGGCTCACACCTGTAATCCTAGCATGTTGGGAGTCCAAGGCTGGCAGATCGCTTGAGGCTAGGTGTTCGAGACCAGTCTGGGTAAAATGGCAAAACCCCATCTCTACTAAAAATATAAAAATTAGCCAGGCATGCACCTGTGGTTCCAGATACTTGGGAGGCTGAAGCATGAAAATCTCTTGAACCTGGGAGGTGGAGGTGGAGGTGGCAGTGATCCGAGATCACACCACTGCACTCCAGCCTGGGTAACAGAGCGAGAACCTGTCTCAAACAAACAAACAAACAAACAAACAAAAAACAGACTTGACTCTGTAAGTTCTTTGAGATGTATTCTTAAAAATATTTCCTTTATGAAATAATGTTATTAATAGCATAGAATTCCATCTTGGGATGCTAGGAATGTATTCTCCTTTTGGAGAATACATGTTGTTTCCCTGGAGGATAATTCATTTCGTGACTCACATTTTGGGCCTTCTTTTCCTGAGGCCCTATAGGTGAAGAGCTGTCTCCTGCATTTCTGGGTCTTGGCCTGTGCATTTGGCTTTGGGTGCTGATGACTAGTATGGCCCTTGATACAAAGCTAGCAGGGTGTCTGGCATGAATGCTGGTGTGGGGTGGGGTCATGGGAGCAACCTTCCTGAGGTACAGATTATTTTAAATTTGGTCACCATTTGTGTACAACTTTTATTCCCTGTTACTTGCTTGAACTTTAGATTGCAAATAAAAGAACACATCACTTTTTATTTAATACTATTTTTTGTTTATTTTAAAAATTTGTTTTAATAGAGATGTGGTCTTACTGTGTTGCCCAGGCTGATCATGAACTTGTTTATTTTTAGAGATGGGGTCTTGCTGTGTTGCTCGGGTAGGACTTGAACTCCTGGGCTCAAGCAATCCTCATGCCTCAGCCTCCCCAGTAGCTGGGCTACAGGCATGCAGCACTGTGCTTGGGCTTACATATGTTTTTGATGTAGATCAATTTGCTAGAGATTTGAATAGTTTAACTTCATATTGCCTATGAGGATGATCTGTAGCCATGAGGATTCGAAGGTGCATTATTTTCTATACAGCAATGATTCATGTTGTTTTAATAGTTTATGAATATCCTCTTCAGGTATTCGTTATCTTAATATTGCAAAGTAACAGACTTGAACTTTTTTAGAGATGAAATTTAAGCTTTTATTTATGAGACTATTCTGATTTGTAGAATTTTATGCCAACATTTACCAAAAGAAAAAGATGATCTCGATCTTCAGTTTGCTGCTATATATCCAGTTCCCGTAAAATATTTTATTTTTAAAGACTAGTACAGAAGATATTGAAAAATATTTTGATTTCTTTTGTTTCTAAAGATCAAGTGAAATAAATGTGATTAAATGTTACTAAGTTACTGAACATACAGTAAATTGTGTTCAGAGTTTGCTTGAAATAATAAACAAATGTAATCAGGCATTTTAACTGGAGTAAAAGACAGCTGTCAATATTCTTGAAACTTTATAAAAGACATTTATCCCTAGGTTATGGTATTCATGTTATAAATTAGCCATGAAGGATTTCATAGTATAAAAGAAAAATAATAAAACCATTGTCTCCCCTTATACTTTGGAAGTGCTACCGCACTTTTCTCTTGAACAAACAATAGGAGACTGTAGTACACATTTGAATGATTGACGTTTGTTTCTCGGGAACAGCCTATTACTGATTGTGGGAAAAGGAGGTTGCCCATACTTACCTATTTTCATTCAGTTCCACTTGCTAAATGAGCACCATTATGTAACTGTTGTTATCAGACAATAGCCCTTTTTCTAGATTTTGGGTAAAGTTTGCTGGGACTGTACCTATCATTAGAAAGAGGAAATCTCTTTCTAAGGTACTGTAATACCAGTATTAGTTTAATTTTATACTAAGTCTTTTAACTTCCTGTAACTCTTTTGAGTAGTAAGGATAAACTCTCCTACCTTTGGTCTTTCATTAGTGTATTCTGAGTCTACATCAAGATCTGTAAAATGCAAATGATAAGATGCACATCAGAGTTGTAGGTATATAAATAACATTGAAAAAACCATACAGGCAAATATATCCAAATGAATCAGAACCTGTAATTCCTAATTTATATGCAGAATTCTAGTATTTAATAGGAAATCAACAAAATAGCACCTCACTCTTCTGGTGTCCCCCACTGCACGTGCCTTCCTTCTCCTATTCCAGGAAATTTTCAGGGTCAAACATATTAAGACTCTCATAAAAGGTTCACAATAAGGACTCCAAGATTCTGAGTCAGGTGAAAATCTTACATTGGGCTCACTGTGCTCTGTACATTTTGGAATGATTTTAACACATTGTAAGAGTAAGGGGGCTTATGAATAATATTTAAATAGTACTATGGAATTTTGTAACCCAGATCATCCCATCTTTATTATGATGGCATTTTATGTTAATACATAATGTGTCATACATTATGTTTGTTTTAAAAAAAACCCTAAGTTGAAATACTTTTCCCTATTTCAGGAATTGAATTCGAAATTTCTTCAAAATCGCTTGATGTCCCCTGACTCTTGGGAACTCCAGTTTTTTTCCCTGATGGTTGTATAGCATATGATAATATTAGTTATTTTCATTATGGTTCATATTTTCTATTATTTATAAGATAAGATTGGCATCTGGGCACTGTGGCTCACGCCTGTAATCCCAGCACCTTGAGAGGCCAAGGCGGGTGGATCAACTGAGGTCAGGAGTTCGAGACCAGACTGACCAACATGGTGAAACCCCGTCTGTATTAAAAATACACAATTAACCATGCTTGGTAGTACATGCCTGTAATCCCAGCTACTTGTGGGGCTGAGGCAGGAGAATCACTTGAAACTGGGAGGTGGAGATTGCAGTAAGCCGTGATCACGTCATTGCACTCCAGCCTGGGCAACAAGAGTGAAACTCTGTCTCAAAAAAAAAAAAAGATAAGATAAGATTGGCTTATCTACTTTATAGTAAATTGAATTCCTCATAATGTCTTCTTTGCTTTTATGATTTATATTTTGGAAATAAAAGTAAGCCCTTTTAGACTTAATTTTAGACCTCAACAGATTTTCTTACCCTACAAATGTACAGTAGAAAGTTTTCTTCCACCCTAACAAATCTATTTCCTACATTTAATTCCTTACACTTATTAGAAAAAGTCATCAACTGACCTGTGTACTTTAAAGTAACCCTTTGCAACTGTGTCATAAGCAAATTTCTAATGATCTTTCCATTTAGTGTGGCTATAATTGTTTAAGTTAAAAATAGTTTTCTCTGCTTAGAAGATAAACAGTGAAGTTAGATGTGTACTTTAGAATTATATGCCCTTTATCTCTGTATTAGTCCGTTTTCACACTGTTATAAAGAACTACCTGAGGCCAGGTGCGGTGGCTCATGCCTGTAATCCCAGCACTTTGGGAGGCGGAGGCAAGTGGATCACCTGAGGTCAGGAGTTCGAGACCAGCCTAGCTAACATGGTAAAACCCCATCTCTACTAAAAATACAAAAATTAGCTGGGCGTGGTGGTGGGAACCTGTAATCCCACCTTCTCAGGAAGCTGAGGTGGGAGAATCACGTGAACCCAGGAGGTGGAGATTGCAGTGAGCCGAAATCACGCCATTGCACTCCAGCCTGGAGTGAAACTCCATCTCAAAAAAAAAAAAAAAAAGAAAAAACTACCTGAGACTGGATAATTGACTGAGTCCATTAAGCAGACTTAATCTACTCACAGTTCTGCATGACTGGAGAGGCCTCAGGAAACTTACAATCATGGCAGAAGGCAAAGGGGAAGCAAGGCACGTCTTACATGGCAGCAGGAGAGAGAGAGAGCAAGAGCGAGGGGGGAGCTGCCCAACACTTTTAAACCATCAGCTCTCATGAGAACTCACCATCAGAACAGCATAGGGTACACCACCCCCATGATCCATACACCTCCCACCGGGTCCCACCCTCAACCTATGAGGATTACAATTAGAGATGAGATTTGGGTGGGGCACAGAGCCAAACCATATCACTCTCAAATTTATCTGTGCCATTATTTTTCTTGAAAATACATGCCATTGTGAGGTAAATTTGCTGACTAAACCTATATACACCTGTCTTTCTAAGACTTCAATAAATTATTTGCCATTTTTCTTTTTGAACACCATTTGTTCTTAACGGGAGATCCCGTAAAACACTTACTATGTTTGGAAAGTTTTTGCTGCTTCTGGCTACTTGTTATTTTTACAAAGATATTATTTCTCTCCCTTTCTTTTCTCACCTGTATTACCTTTTTTTTTTTTTTCTCATGAGCTGCCTTTTATTACCTGTCAAGCCCACTGCTTTCTCTTTTGCTGAGTGTACGTGGCCAGGGCTGGGTTCCAGTGCTCCTAGTGTGAAGCTGGCTTCTACAGACCTCAAAGTTTATCTGCCCTTGACATTGTTATCCACATCTTTCCCCCAACTCCACCCCAGCTGCACCAGCTGCCTTATCTCTTGCTCCACAGCGTGACCCCCCTGTGCACACTGCAGGATCACCGTGATTCTGTTGCCTGGTTTCTGATAGCCCTTCCAACTTGGAGCTTTGCCTTAGTCATGCTCTGTGCCCACTGGCTCTAGCTAGTTCCTAGCCTTGACCTGGTGTGTACCTTCTCTGCTTCTGGTTGTCTTTCTGCTTCCTGACTACCTTGCTGTCTCAGCCCTGTGTTCCTTCTCGTGTCTGTGTTGGCTCTTCTAAGTTCCCTCCTGTCCTTGTGATACACTGTGCTGGGAAGACAGCCAGCACCCCTGGGGCTGACTCCCTTGTTTTTTGTAGCTCTTTGAAAATTATATTTCAGTTTGGGTAAGTTTTACTAAATTAAGAAAAAAAACCCAACATGCCATCTGATCCCTTAACATTATTTTACTATATATAAAAAAATTTAGCGACCATAATCTTTAAAGCTTGGTAATTGTTGCTTAGGTATATACATGTGTGTATACATGTGTGTTTTGTCACTTATGTTTCAAAATATTAATCTCTTTCTCACAAAGAGTAAATATTCTGTATACATTGTTTCAAGCACAAGAAAGGGAATATTGCCATAGATTTCAAAATCTTCATCATAAACAGGCATTGGTGGTACAGTTTTAATAGACGAAGATATAATGTCCTTGATATAATGTCCTTGAAATCTAGTCGAAACATTTAGCAATCCTAATTTCATGTTCCAGTGGCATTGAAATCAAACATAGGAGATTTCATCCATCTGACTTTAGGTATTTCCATTTAATAAAATGGAGGGAGAAAGGCCAGGCTCACTCATATCTTTGTGGTGGGTGGTCAGGTGGTATTGATGACTATCCTTCTTTTTCTCATCTGGCCCCGGTACATGGCACGAAGACATTTGAAGCAAGACTGATCAAAGGTACTTCACTATTTCTTGCCTTCTTGCAGTTAAAACGAAAGAAACAGCCTACTTCAACTTCTTTATCTTTTTCTATCACTATTTATAGGTATACTGAAGTCTTTTTCTTTTTTTTGCAAATGCCAGTGGAACTACTTACTTCTGACCCCTAAACAATATCATGTTTGCTTTGATATGTATCCCATTTGCCTTGTTTTCAAAACCTTTTTCATCTTTTCTCAGACCTGCGCCAAAGACAAAAGCCTAACTTTTATTTTAAAAACTTCTGAAAAAAACATCCGTAATTGCTTTTAAGAGTGTTAGGCAAAAGATGAAAGTTATTTTGGTATACTTAACAGTTATCGTTTTTAAGTACAAATTTTTGTAACCTTGGAAAATACTTAAATTGAGCAGTAAAGCCAGTAGTAAAAATATGGATGTCTTTTTATTTGAAGGACTATCACATGTCACTGAAGGCAAGAAAAGACTAGAATATAGACTTAAATAAATTCCAAGGGTCCTTTCACACACTTATACACACACACCACAGGCTTAAATAATAAAGGTATCTAATTCAATCCTCACTCAGTACTCCTGAGAGCACTTTCTTGAATCTACATGATTTTTATCTCATTTGTAAGAAACAGATGTTACATTGAGTTAACTGAATTTGGAACTTTCATTTTGATTTTTCTTGCTTTCAAGAAAAGCTATTTTAAACAGGCTTGATACATTTTTGTAAGAGTGAGGAGGTAATGCGGAATTGTCATAGAAGTTAATGTATATATTAATATTCCTTTACTTTCCAGGAGGGATTTGTCTGCAAACCGCCACCACCCCTTGCTATTCCCTCATACTAGAATATGAGTTCTAATTATCAGGATTTTTGTGTGTTTGGTTAGTTGATACATATCAAGAGACCTAGAACAGTGCCTGGTATACATTAGTTGCTTAGTAGTTGTGTTGAATAAATAAATAGAGGGAGAAGATAACTGTTTCAATACCTGCTTATTGCTCATAATATATAATCTACAGGTTTAGGTGGATATTTGGAAGTAACTATCCTTATTCTTTAATACCAGGACAGCAACAGAAATCAGGTGAAGAGGGAGGTACTAGTTAGCTAATGAATGAGCTAGAAAGAAGCCAGGCCCTGATTAGTTCTTTCTTCTTCCACTCCAACCACTGGCAAATATCTAAATAGTCCTTTTAATTTAAATTAAATGTTTAAATAATTTTAATATCTGTTCTAATAAGGGCCAAGTATACCCACGGCTCTAATAGTGATAGTTTTTTTCTCAAAGCCAAAATATATATGAGAGGAGGATGCGGGCAGGTGGAAAGGGGACAGAGATGGAAAGAGGTAGAGTATTTGGTAGTTTTTGCTTTTTTTAAAAAAATTTTCCTTAAAAATAGAGTAGCGTGCAAGACATCTAGAAAAGATGGTGGCTAAGGAAATAAATATTATATTTTTATGTACTTTCGTGTGGCCACATGGAGCAGCACTAGTTCAGTGTGTGCCGAAAATCTTAGTGGCCAAAAAAACAGCCTTTCTGAAACCTTAGGCTTCAAGTATTTGTGGAGGGAGGAAGTCAAAGAAACAACCCCAAACTTCAAACCCTGAGAAAAACAAAGACCCAAAGAAAGTACTCAGGATTCCTTCATTGTTCTGGTCATGCCAAGTCAGGAAATGAGCATTCAGTTTGGTTTATTAAAATCATTTTTAAAGGAGCATTTTCCCTTGAAAAGTGGAAACAGTGAAATGGATCAGAAAAAAAAGCAAAGCATATGAAAATAATAACAACAATAAGAATTTTAAAAATAACAGCTCAAATTCGTGGAGAATGTGATCATGGAAGAGAACTCTACTGTCTGGGAGTGGAAGAAGCAGTTTCCAACTTCACCTCCATACTTTAATGTTTGCGCTTGAAGACCTATGACCACCATACTTAGTAGAGCACTATTGCCCACATAATAGTAAAGAATAATTTTTATCTAATTGGAAATGCTATCCTATAGCAGAATCTGGTTTTATCATTAAAGCCAGAGGTCAGAAATGTGTTAAAATGAACCATAAGGAATTCCTGATTTTGCAATCAGGATTTGAAAACAGGTAGGAAACAACTATTTCCTGTGGCAGCTCAGTTAAAAGTGAGCATAGGAAACCGTTTTTGGAATAGTACAGCAATGATTCATCAGTCCTGAAGTATATTGGGGCTAGACTAGAAAAGGTGGCTCTGAATTTCTTTGCAGAGTCAGTCATCCAAATCTACTGACTAGTGCCCTATTGTTGCTCTTATTTAAAGCCTCTACTGTTTTCTGCTGGGGGAATTCTTAATGAAAAAATACCAAAAGACTTCACTGATGATTTATTTGAACACATTCTTTGATGTCATCTTAACATACCATTTTAAATATTTTGAGGAGTGGTAATTCCACTCAAAGTCAGATAGTAGGTTTGAAATAAATATGGCATGGTGTCATGTCAGCAAAAGCACTATAACATTGCCATTAATTGTCATTAATGACTGTGAAGTATTTATAGATTTTTAGAATGAGCTTCTGTAAATGTGTTCTCATGTAAATTTCTGAAATAATAAAAGATATCCTTTTATCCTTTGTGAAAAACTTAGTGTAAGAGAAGTAGAAGAGAGGGTGCAAGT
Organism: Homo sapiens; assembly: GCF_000001405.40. Taxonomy (NCBI): domain Eukaryota; kingdom Metazoa; phylum Chordata; class Mammalia; order Primates; family Hominidae; genus Homo; species Homo sapiens. The sequence goes on along the minus strand of NC_000004.12, from coordinate 148,270,343 downwards.
GGACCGATGGAACAGTGTCTGTGTTCTTGTGTCTCAGTCACACACAGCATCAGTAAGAGGTGGATTGAGAGGGCAGTACCAAGGGCAAGGAAAATGATTATTTCTACAATGTGAGGAAAAACACTAGGGGAAAAAGATGTTTGAAGCTTTGATTTGTTAATTACATTTATAGAAAGAAGCCATATTTTGTTGCTGATAAAGGTCAGCATGATGAAGCATGTTTTACATCAACTTTTTGAAAATGTGGTAAGCAAAAAAAAAAAAAATGCTGAAATCAGTAACCTCTAAATAACTTGTGTTCAAGATTCACATTAGGTCCGGTACCCATCAGTCCTCAGCGTCTCATGCCATCTGTATCAGCATCTAAGTCTGTATCTTAATGTAAGGATAATATTAAAGGGGGAAAAGTTACATTATGTCACATACACATGTGTACATATATAATCTTTTTCAAAAGCAAAGCCACTGTATTTATGAATAAAAACATTCAAGTAAGCATTTAGTAGTCATTTTCTTAAAATATATGTTGTAAAGTACTGATCTACAGATGAGGCAGTAAGTTCATGATTCCTTCCCTGAGGATTCCGAATAACTTATAATAAATATAAGTATGCTCACACATGCCACAGATTGCAGAGGCAAATAAATTGTGCTCACAGGTGTTTTTTTTGTTTTGTTTTGTTTTGTTTTTTTGGGGGGGTTTTTTGTTGTTTGTTTTTTGTACATAGATATAGTCATTGTATCAGCAACCGCTGATTGGCATATGCATGCTCGGTAAATATTTCTAGAGATGATTTGATGTTAGATCTTTTTAGAGATTCTGTATATGCTCAAGTGCATACTATCGGATATGGTTTTATGACAAAGACAACTTCCCTGAGTATGGAAAATCCTTAATAGAAAAGATGTGGAGTGATTTTTTTTTACTTTAATATAGTTTACATATGCATCTTATACATGTGCATATATGCTTAAAAACTACCGTCGATAAGGTCAACAGTATCAACAATGACCACATCCCCATGGTGAGCCTTCAGTCTTGTCCTCTTGTTGGCAGTTGACACTACACACAGTCCACCATGGATGCTTTTTCCTCCCTTTGATTCCCAGATTCTGCCTTATCTTGCTCCCCCACTTGGACTTTTCTTCCTCAGGTTTGTTAGCAAGCTCTTCTTTCCCTGCCTAACTGGAAATGTTGGTTTTTTTGTAGATTTCTATCTAGGATCTTCTCTACCCTTCACTTCAGCTTTTGGGTAGGCTCAGTCAGTCATTGTTCCACAAACAGAACATGGAGTCCTTACTCTCTGAGGACAACCTATCTTTTAAGTTACATTCCAGCCTTTCTCTTGTCGAACATGTTTTTCAAGCTTGCCCTGTCCAATGGTCCCTGGAGTTTTCAGTTCACTAGGCCTTTATTCATTCATTGTCTCTATTGTGCATATTAAAAGTTGTAATCAGTCACTTAATTGTATCCTTTAACGTCGTAGATTTTTAAAGCTATTTCTTCATTTTCCATGCCACGTTGTTGGTTGCTTACCAGACATTTCAACTCTTTGTCCTAGAATCATTAACACTTAATCTCACATTAGAGACCCTCCATGATTTGGGCCATTTTCTGTGATTGTCTCTAAGGTACAGCTCCTTGAGTTTTGGATCTCAGTGTGTTTTGCCATCATCTGCACTTGGCATAATTTTTTCTTGACCCAGCTCCAATTTTATCTTGCACCAGTACCCCAAACAAAAAAGTAAATTGTGGAAGACTAATTGTCATCACTGTGCTTTAAATTATTTTCCAAGGTATTTTTAATTATTTTCCAAGGTATTTATCTCCTCGAACTTTCTCAGTTTAGCAGTAACTTTATTCAAACAGCTCAGGTTGTAAGGTGTACATCAATTCTTTAATTCTTATCTGTAGTGCATTGTGAATCATGGCTTGAGAGGATGAACCTTATTTAGTTAGGAAGTATCTTCCAAACATAAATGATTCATTTGTCAGCAAAGATAATATCATAAAAGAAAATATAACATAAAACAGCTCTCAAATATTCCCGCTAAATAATGAGAATATTAGAAGGAGCTACTTCAGGTTAAATATTGTGACTCAAGGCCAGGCACAGTGGCTCATGCCTGTAATCCTAGCACTTTGGGAGGCCAAGGCAGGTGGATCACAAGGTCAGGAGTTCAAGACCAGCCTGGCCAAGATGGTGAAACCTCATCTCTACTAAAAATATGAAGAAATTAGCCAGGCTTGGTGGTGGGTGCCTGTAATCCCAGCTACTCAGGAGACTGAGGAAGACAATCGCTTGAACTCAGGAGGTGGAGGTTACAGTGAGCTGAGATCACGCCACTGAACTCCAGCCTGGGCGACAGAGCAAGACTCCGTCTCAAAAAAAAAAAAAAAAAACACTGTGACTCAAAATATAAGCCTTTCAAAACAAAAGGAAATGCAGCAAAGAGCTTTTTAAAGTATGTTTTAAGTGTATTGAAAATAAGAATTTCAGTAAAACAGTTGTTAAAGGTTGATTTATGTTTGTTAAATGTATTTTTTAAAATATTGGTGGTTTCCAAATCCTTCTGTTTCTTAGATTTAGTGTTCTGTATATAAAAGAGTATATATTTGAATCTCAATAATTATTTATCTTAATGATATAATGTGGCTGTTCCCAACCTATACACTGCAGACACCAGGGGAGCCAGAATTCTTAGAAGAAATGTTGAAATCCATATGCACACAAAGTTCTGTTTACTGTATACAGTAAACAATATGGCTATTGTGGTATTATTTTAAATTATTTTTTTAAAAACCCTTTCTTCTGCTTACCATTGTTTTACAAATTAAAAGCCATACAGAAGAATATAATACAGAATGGTAGAATTACCTATAGGTCCACTATTATGGCAGCCACCATTAAGAACTACAGATCTAGCTGGGTGTGGTGGCTTGTGCCTGTAGTCCCAGCTCCTCGGGAAGCTGAGGTGGAGGATCCCAGGAAACCAGGAGTTCTAATTCAGCCTGGGCAACAGAGCAAGACCTTGTCTCTTTAAAAAAAAAAAAAATTAAAAAAAAAGAATTATAGATGGAATGGTAAATACTAATTAATCATAGCCAGAATTTAAATAACACTATTTGTCAGACACTGTTCCAAGTGTTCTTGAATATACTGAGTCGTGTAATCTACAACAATGCAATATGGTAGGACCTTTGCTATCACTACCTAACAGATAAGGAAAGTGTGGCACACAGTTAATAAACCTGACATATATGGCTCCTAGTTTTTCCTTTGGGTAGACTATAATTCTGTTATCTACAAAAATAGGAACATGTCATCCTCTATATACTGTTCTGCAACTATCAGGTCCAAAAGAAATTCCCCGTAACTCTCCAAACTGCTCTTCCCCCCATCTTAGATATCAGTTAATAGTGTCGCCATCCAGTATTTCTGCAAGTCCTGTTGATACTGTCTACTTTAAAAAAATTTCTCTGAATTAGCCACTTCTCACTGTCTTTACCACTTTTACCCTACTTCACACCATTATTATCTCCTGCCTGGACAACTGCAGAAGCTTCTTTGGCTGGTGTGCCCATGTCCAAGGTCACCGACTTCTGCAGTCCATTCTCCACCCAACAGTCACAGTAAGATTTTAAAATGTTAATAAGATCATGTGACCTGACTCCTTAAAACATTCCAGAGTTCACAGCACTCTGATGGCATGCAGGACAATAGTCTGCCTCCTTAGCCTTCCAAAGCCATGGGATCCAGCCCCACCATCTTCTTGGACCTCACATCCTGCACCCTCTCATCTTTCCTTCCTCCTTATTGACTACATTTTTGCCCCATTGCCCTCATTTTTCTCTCTGGAATGTGTTGCATTCATTCCTGTCTCAGAGACTTTGCACTTGCCCTTACCTTTGGCACCTTCACGTGGCTGGCTACTCTGTCATTTCAGTATCACCAGAGAAAGAGGCCTTCTGGGCCGGGTGCAGTGGCTCACGCCTGTAATCCCAACACGTTGGGAGGCCGAGGCGGGCAGATTACAAGGTCAAGATATCGAGACTGTCCTGGCCAACATGGTGAAACCCCATCTCTACTAAAAATACAAAAATTAGCTGGGCGTGGTGGCGCACACCTGTAGTCCCAGCTACTCTAGAGGCTGAGGCAGGAGAATCGCTTGAACCCGGGAGGCGGAGGTTGCAGTGAGCCAAGATCACACCACTGCACTCCAGCCTGCAACAGAGCGAGACTCTTGTCTCAAAAAAAAAAAAAAAAGCGGCCTTCTGGAGCTATTTTATTTAATGGATCCTGTCTCCCCCACCCTCCCCGTCCAATCTCAGTGTCTGTCATTTTCTTTGTAATACTTCCCTCTATCTGAAATTATTTGTTTACTTCTGTATTGTCTCTCTATTCGCCATGACTATAGAAGTTCCATGAGGATAAGGACTTTTCTCCTTCTAGTTTTTCTCAGTGCTTAGAACAGTGGGGCCCACCGTAGACTTTCAGTACTTGGCCTAGTTAATGAATAATTTAAACACACCAGCATGTTCAGATCAGTATGTGAGGATGTTTACTGATCTGCTGTTTATATGGTCCTCCAAATTCTCGCTGTGCTCTAAGATAGGTGAATGAATGTTTGAATTGATTACATATGGAAAAACAGAAAACACTGTAGCCGGTGATGGTGGTGGTAGAAGCTTTTATCTGATTAAGTAATAGTATAAAAGATAGGTTTGTTTAATTCATATTAAGTGAGTTTAAAAAATACGACTATTTTTTACATGAAGAATTTCTAATCACTGAAAGTGGATCAGTCGCTACTGTTTTGTTATGAAATTACTGTAAGGATGGGAAAGATAGTTTTACATATGATAATTCCTGGAACAACACGGTGCCTTAGAGATTCTCAATGAGCCAATTTCTCCAGGCATTTTTTAATTTGTAAAAAATCATTTTTTTTCTTACGTAGCTTCTTGTTACTTCTCCCCAAGCACCATTCTTTTGGGCAAAAACATAGCACACTAAGTGTTTTTGATGATTGGCTAGTGTATTTCCTCCTGACTGTCACCAAAATCAGTATAAACCTTTGGTTAATCTTTTCTATCTCTTTACTGAGTCATTAGATGGAGTATATTTAGTACTGAAAATAGTTGCAGCTTGCTTGTGTTTCCCTAAGAGAAATACTGTCTTTACAAATGGAAATAAAATTTTCACTCATTTCTGCCTTTATAATATTTTAACATTTGTATAAAATCCTCTGAACTACCTTTGCTGATGATAAACTTCTTTCTGTGAACAATGTTTCTTTGATTATTAACCCCCAAAATGATGAGTTTTCGTAGTTTTTTCTAACTCTTCAATATTAAAATGGTTTGGAGGGATGCAGAATACCATCTATTGCTTACATTTATTCAGACATTTTAACCAAAATCAGCAGCACAGATATTATATCAATGTAAAAAAGATTTTAAGTGTTATATAATTAGCTGATTTAGAAAGAATAATATTTTATTCATTTTTTATGTTTGATCCAGATCAAACAGTGTTTGCTGGGTTTCAGAATACGTTGTTTTTAATTTGAGTTTGAGCTCAATTTGGATTAAACTTGATCAGGACAGGCTATTCCATTTATTTTTATACTTTTATCTTAAAAGGATATCTTGGAAAGGATCTTAGCTATCATCTGTTGAACCTCTTTTTGCTGAGAATTATGGCCCAGAGAGGAGAGGTGATTTTGCAAAGGTTTCACCAGTTAATGGCAGAGCTAGAACTAGAGCCCAGGCCTCCTTAGTGAGCCTCCATTCCTGTCTTTGATCCCTGCATGTTTGGCCCTCAGTTTGGGCTTTACATGCTATGTGTAGATGTTTGGTAAATTTATTATTCTCTGAAGTTGAATTTTGACATACAAATCACTAAACATGCTTTGTATTTTAAAGACATTCAGTGTCTAAGAAGAAGGTGAGTTCAAGATCTGCCTCCCCCCATTTTGTGATATGTATAATCTAAATGTGTTTCTTAAAACTGGATGCAAACAATTTTCCAACCATGTGCCATCTTTTAGTTTCAAAGATAACCACATGATAGTGTGTCAATAGAGACTAGAGTTTTCCAAACCCATCTATTTTTGTGACCTGTCTCTTGTGTTAATAATGCATATGTTTGCAAGACAGCTGGCTGAGCTTTTGACAATAGTCTGTCCCTGGATTCTTTTTTTCCTCTGTGCAAAGCTAAATGAACCATATGGGAATTGAACTGATAACCTTGGCCTCATTAATTTACCTTCTGTAAAATTGACTTTTGTAAATTTATGTTCTACTGTAATGAGATTAGGAGTGTGATTTCATTCACTCAATAAATAGTACCAACACTGGGCTAAAGGCGTTGGGAACACAGAGATGCATACAATAAAATTTTTGCCCTCGAGGGATTAGGATAAGTGCACAAGTCACTAATACAAGAGCAAGAGTGGTAACTGCTAAAGGAGAAGGATTAGCAAAATGTGAAGGAGTTAGGAGAAGGGAGAGTGGTACTTCATGCTGGGGGAACATCAGGGCCCTTTAATGATGGACAGGGTTTCCAGTGGGAGTGAGGGAGAGGAAATGCTAGGTCCTGTAAATGGTGGTTGACCAGAACACTTCAACAGGGATGTTGGCATGTGCTGAGCATAAGGTTAAGCATTATGATTAGACCCTGAAGGAGAAGACTGATAGTAGGGAGAAAGACTTTAAGTGTCCTACTAAGATTTTTATTTATGGTGGCATTCGGAAGGGATGATTGAAGATTTCTAAGCATAGAAGTAATACAGTCAGAACCTTTATCTTCAGATTCGTCAGCAGTCACTGTAGAATGAACTGGAAGGAAAAGCTAGAGTTATGGAAGAACCCTTGGGAAGTAACAAGGGCCTGAACCAGTGTTACCAACAGTGGGATGCAGAGAAGCTATGTGAGAGTTTGCAAAGCTGGACTGAGCAGGACGTGGTGGTAACTGATTAGATTGGATAGTTGAGGAAAGAGTACAAGGTTTGAACCTGGGTAACTAGCAGATGGCAGTACTCTTTCACAACATCAAAATCTGGAGAAAGAAAGTAAATATTGTTTTGAGCATGATATGCTCAAGAAGCTAATAAGGCAGACTTGAAATTGGAACACGGGGTAGAGGTTGGAGCTGGCTGTAAGGATTTGGAAAGTCATTCACCAAGCGAGCTGTTTGAAGCTAGGATTGTGGATGAGATCATTAAGGGATAGAGTATAGAAATAAAAGAAAAGGAATGAATGCATAAGGGTCATTCTGGCAGGGGCTGTCAGGGAGTGGAGATGGTGGCAGGGAACAGAGCAAAGAGAAACCAGAAGATCAGCTAGGAAGCTTCTGCAGAATCCCAGGTAAGAGGTGTTGACAGCTCGAAGTAGATGGTGCTGGAGGAGTGTTTGGAGATTGATCAGAATCTGAATATGTTCTGTGGATAAAACGAATAAAATTTAACAGATTCAGGGCTAGGGGTGTTGTGTGAGAGAAAGAGAAGGGTCAGAGACAAGTCCATGCTTTTTAGCCCAAGCACGGACTCCCTGCCTTAATCTAAACATGGTGTTCTCCTCATGCAGGTGTCTATGTTCCAATTTCCCCTGTATATAATAACATCAGTCCTATTAGATTGGGGTCCACCCTATTCCAGTATGACCTCATCTTAACTAATTACATCTGCACAACCCTAATCCCAAATAATGTCACATTACAAGGTACTAAGGGCTAGGACTTCAGCATATGAATTTTTGGGGGACACAGTTCCATCCATAGTAGTTGCCGTTAACTGAGAAGAGGATATCTGTGAAATGAACACGTTTGGAGGCAGGGAAAGATCTGCAATTTTGCCCATGTTGAGGTTGAGGTGCGTGTTAGACACCCAAGTGGAGATACCACGTGGGCAGTTGAATAAATGGGTCTGAAATTCCAGGGAGGGGTCTGGGCTAGAGATAAATATTTGGAAGTTGCCAGCATATTGGTGATATTGAAAGCCAAGAGACTAGATGAGATCACCGAGAAAGTAAGTTGGGATAGAAAAAGAGGAGAGTTCCAAAGACTGAAGGTAAGATCCCAATAAAATAGTACTGGGATCAAGGCCCACAGAAATGTCGAATAAAAATCCCGCTTATGCTTATAGTTGTGAAAAAGCAATTACATTTTCATGATGATTTTAAGTTATATTCTAAATATTTACAAAACCGTGGCATTTTCTTGTGAAGTGTAAGATGAGTCAGACAGGGTATGGATTAAGTTTTACTGGCTAATATGTTGAAGAAGTTACTGGTGCAGAAATGGAATGTTTTGAATGCCATAAAGAAGTCAAAGGATACCAATAAAAATAATAAAGAGCACTTTTCTCAGAAGGAGAAACAACTTTGGAGAACATTATTTCAGTCCTTGATTTAAGAAGTCATTTTCTAGAAAGGCAGTCATGCTCTAAGCAGCTGTATAGCTTGTTCTTTCCTCTGTTTTTCGTGAGAGTATAGTTCAAAATACTTTAAACAAATATTAACGCATTATTATCACATTTTAGCAGACTTGAAAAATAAATCTTCACTGTAACATAACCATTTTAGCCTTTTCATTGACATTTTTCCATGTTTCTGCTGTTTGGCTTGGAGGCAAAAGCTTTGACAGCAAGGTGATAGAAGTGACATACAGCAACTCTATCCAGTTTTCTGAGCCCATCCAGCTCCCATTTCTCTGAGCCCCCTTCTGCACATTCTTCCACCTCTGCCCCCTTTCTTACTCTGGCTCTCACCTAGTCATGCTTCAAAACTCAGGTTAGCTGTCACATTTCGGGAAGTGTTTTGTAATTCCTTTATTCATAGTGTGCTGCCCCCGTTACCCTGCACCATAGTGCTTACCATAGTGCACCATAGCACTGACCGTAGCGCACCATAGCGCTTACCATAGCGCACCATAGCACTGACCATAGCGCACCATACACTGACCATAGCGCACCATAGCGCTTACCATAGCGCACCATAGGGCTTACCATAGCGCACCATAGCGCTTACCATAGCGCACCATAGCACTTACCATAGCGCTTACCATAGTGCACCATAGCGCTGACCATAGTGCACCATAGCGCTTACCATAGTGCACCATAGGGCTTACCATAGCGCTTACCATAGTGCACCATAGCGCTGACCATAGTGCACCATAGCACTTTCCCCAGTTCTACTTTATGAAGTGTTGCTACTAGATCTTCATAATAGTTTATGCCCCCACCAACTTTGAGGGCAGAGACTGGATTTTTGTATTTTTTCTCTTGGTATCTTGCACAGGATCTGCAGGTAAATATTCAAGAAATGTATGTGAACTGCAAATTGAAAAATCAACTTGTTTGCCTGCTTGGTACATATCTAAACTGTCACTGAACTATGATTCCTTATCAGAAGTTAAAACATTTTGTTTAGGGAGTGTCATCAACTAACACAGTACTATATAATATATCTTGAGAAGATTCCCCTTAAAAAGTATTCAAACAGATTGTTGCCTAAAGGGTTACATTTGTCCCTAAAAACTGTTTCCCAGAGAGCCCTTCAGTTTCTTACCATGAAAGATACCTGAGATATTTACCCTGTTTGGTTTTTTGTTTTATTATTGGCTGTGTCCCTTCAAATTAGAAAGCAAAATGAAATAATTAGAACACATCTATATAAGATAACATGAAAAAATGCGGGAGCTTAGAGGGATAAAATTACTGGCAGTTGAGACAAGATAAAATTTTTTTAAATTAGTGGATTATTTTGGAAAGGGGAGGTTTAAAATTTTTTTGGCATAATTGAGATCTGTGAGTCTGAAGAGTGTTGAGTAATATTATAATAGCTCTTTGATGCAAAAATAAAAGGACAGCAAATACATCCCTGATGACTTGGTTCAAGATTCTTTGCCCTGCCCACTTAAAGTGCAAATAGTGTGATTTTTTGATAAACCTTCTCCAAAAATAGGAAAAGAAGGAAAGAGATTTACATTTGATTATTTCTTATTTCTCAGTACTGAGAAGAGGCTTTGCTACACAATAACCTTGATAGCATTGCTCCACTCATCGGGTTTTACCTTTATTTTGCTAAGTCACATAGTATGTGGTCATTACACACTGAATTCTTGTATCGAACCATGATTATTGACAAATTTTGAGCTAAGCTGTGCAGCATGTTAAATGTGCCTTTACGGTGTAGTTATTTAAATCTCAATTTCTTTCCCCAGCTCTACTTTACGAAGTGTTTCTACTGGATCTTCAAGACCTTCAAAAATATGTTTGGTGTGTGGGGATGAGGCTTCAGGATGCCATTATGGGGTAGTCACCTGTGGCAGCTGCAAAGTTTTCTTCAAAAGAGCAGTGGAAGGTAAATGTTCATGTGGGTGTTCCTTTTACATATTTTTTCCTAGTGTGTAGTTTACTTGTACAGCTAATGCTATAGCATTATTGGGAATTCTTCAAAAAGATTTTTGATTTAATCTGTCAGTGATAAACAGTAATAGTGCCTTGTATAAAAACCACCTGGAGATTTTCCACAAAGCAATATTTAATGAGCAAAATTTGAAATTCTGAGCAAGGATCAACCAAAGAGGATTTTTTGTTGTTTGTCACAGTTTGTTTTTCAGTAAGACTCAGAAAAATAATTCCTTGTCATTGTAAATTTAATTTATGTGATCTGGAATAGAAGTTTTACTAGGCACACACAGAATACATGATTTCTGCCTTTTCTGGGTTTCTGTATAAATATGTGTTTGTGGCAAATTAAAACGTTAATATCAGAATCAAGTCTGTGATTTGTGTTTCATACAGAATAATTTCATTTACCAGCTGGTTCAAGCTCCAGGTCCCTGTGTGAGTCTCACCTTTATTCCTCCTGAAAGTTTCCAAATTTTGCATATTAAATGAAAAACCTGACTGAGATTCACTATGCACAGTTAGGCTAGCTTTTGCTTCTGCCCCAAAATCGTACTCCTTAAGGAGAAATGGTCTTTAATTTATTTTTACCTTTCCCCATCCTCACTTATAAGCAGTTAGTTACCATCAGACTTAGACCAGATGGTTTTATTGATGTTGCAAACTATGTCTGGTGAAAGTGTAGAATTTTTGCTATTAGTAAAAGATTCATTGTGTAATGGACAATTACATTCACTAAGGGGCTCCACATGAAGACTCCCTAAGGTTTATTTCTCAGAGAAGTTTTCTTAGAGATGACTTGGTGCTTCAGAAGCTTAAACATAAGTGGCTTGAATGTTTTCCCTGTGTTTTGCCAGAGACCACAAGGTCATATCTTTAGTTGTGGAATGAAAAAGTTAACCAAGTAATTATTCTTTCTCTTGAGATTGATTTTGCATTAATTGATATTACATGATTTTTACATTATTTACACAATTAATTATTTGGTAGTCCTCAAACCTAGCATTGAATTGGTAAAAGGAGCTCAGTAATTCTTTCTCAGGATTATGAGCTCTTGGTTACAGGTGATAGAAAATACAGCAAACTGGCTTAAGCACCGATGGAAATTCATTGGCTCACATACTGGAAAGTCCCAGCGTAGGCTTGGCTTCAGGCAAGCCATGGTCTTAAGCCAGGTCGTTAGAACTCAATCCCGCTCGCTCAGTCGCTTGGTTTTGTTCTGGCTCTGTTCTCATGCACGTTCTCTCATGGTGCTGAGACAGCTACCAGACCTCCATTAAAAAGAGGTTTTCTGTTCCTAGCAATTCCTATAAAAGCTCCCAGTGGAATCTCCTCAGATTGAACTTGGCTCACATGCCCACCTCTGCCCCAGTGCCTGTGGCTGGAAAATGTAGTGATCAGATAGGCTGGTTCTGGCTGGAGTCGGACAACCTGAACCATCTAGACCAAGAATGGGGAAGGACGTTTCCCTTAGGAAAATGTGGGTTCTGTTACCAGAAGGCCAATTTTTCAGAAAGTAGGAAAAATAAATTTGCACAATACTGAAGTCAGTTTGCTTTTGTGAGGCTTCCCCTGCCTCCTTCTCTCTTTCCTTAATTAGATGATTGGTTCAGTAAAAGATAAATAGGTGAGATTTACATCTGGCATCTTTCTAAGGCCACTTTGTGCTTTCCAATGTAAGAATTCCTCTTTCTGGCTCACTTAATTAGTAAACAAAGTAAGTGGTATGTCAAAATAAAGTGATGTGGAGAAGGACATTTTGGAGCAGGCAGTTGGCCAGCTGGCCCTACCTGTAGATCCACCTTCATGTCAGAACCCACATTTTGGCTGTTTGTAGAATCTGCCCCTTCTCTACTTCTGAAGCAAAAGGTTTCTAGAAGTTCTTGCTTAGTTTTTCTTGTTTTAAGTAGTTTCTGTGGAATTACCTAGGGAATTATTTTTATAACTCAGTTATAAACATACAAAAACCTAAATGCAGGTGCAACTTTTTCCTTCATTGGAAAGCTGATCGATCCATGGATAATGAAACTTGGTAAATGCCTTTTAAGACTTGTATTAATATAGTTTATTTTGTATTGATTTGGGAATTAGACTTTAATCATTCACCTGCTTGAAACAATGCTGTTAATTTAAAATCTAAAATTCATGAGAGTAAAGACCTATTTGTTTTTGTGTTTTTGTATTTTTTGTTAGTTTACTCTTTTATCCCATGTGTATGAGAGAGATTAAATATGTGAAAAAGATGGCTATCTTTATATAAAATATTTTTTAATTAATGAGATTATTTTTATAAAACTTTATAATATTTGTAAAACTCATTTCACAAAATCATGGTATATAGGTGTCATTTTATTTTCCTTTTCTAGATGAAGACATTTAGGATCAAACTTAGTCCACCCAATCTATTCCTAATCCTAAGGCCAAAGTTAGACCCTTACTCAAGTCATAGGACTCCAAACCTACACCTAACCTAAAGTCTGGATTCTAAATCTCATAATATAGCCTTGCTATTTTGCCATATCAGTTCTTGAGTTCATGAAAATTATAACCTATATGTTAGTCTATTCATGCCTCCTTGACTCTAATAAAGGAAGTGATCTAAGCACTAAGAAGGCACAGTTTAGTAGTCTTAGTCTGTGTATATATGTGACTTTGTATGTATATACATATATATGTATGGATGTATGTTTGTATATTTAAATATTTACTAAGTTTGTTTTCCAATGTCCCTTGACATCCCTAAGCCCCTCGTTAGATTACAGAAGCAGAGAATTCTGGGCAAAGTGGGTAGAGGGAGCTGATTTGAGGGAAGTCATTTAAAGCTAAAAGGAAATAATGGCACCAGGAACAGAACATGAAGATAATCCCTAGAGAGCAGACAAGAGGAAAAACACACCAGCCTGAGTTTTGAGTTGATGTCCTTAAGGCTTTATGATCTAGAGTGTGTCACCCTAAAGCTTGCTATAATAGCATAGCAGTGACTATGCAGACTGTAAATTATGATTTTAAAGTATAAATTTTTGTGTGTGTGTGCTCTGTTTAATGGGATGTATGTGTGTTCTTATTTTCTTCTTCTTAAACATTTAATATAAAAACACTTAGAACTGTCTTCCAAAATAACTTATTTGCCAATAATGTCAGTTAGTAGCCATATTATTGTACCTTACAAATGGTTTATACGTTCATTTTAAATTTGAATCACTTATTTGCCTTGAAGATTTTCAGAACCTTCCTGTCTTAAAGAAATAATAATAACTTAAAAAAAGGGTTCTCCCTTGTGGTGGAAGCTAGACTGGCTTCAAGGGTCAGAAACCTAGTTTTAATTTTTTACGTCACTCACTAGGTGTGAGATTAAGGCAAGTTATTTAAAACTTCTCTGGGCCTCAGTTTCTTTGTCTATAAATGGAGAAGTAGTGTTGCCCTACCCGAACATTGCTGTGAAAAATTACCTGAAAATGTTTGTACAGATTTTATAAATTATAAAGTAGCACCAAAATACTAGATTATTACTATCCTCTATGAACAAATGCCAAAGTTCCTGGTGATGTTCACGTAGAGAGATGATGTAAATGATACAACCACATTGAGTTGTTAGGTCGTCATTTTTCAGTCCTTCATTTTCCTTTGTTAGATCTTCATTATTCCTGTAATGTTATTTTGTCCTGAGAGCTGCCCTTTGAGGTGGCAAGATCCTTCTAAACTAGCAGTTCTCAAAGGCTGTGTGTGGAGAATGGGGATCTGTGGAAATGTCCTAGAGGGGCTTTTCCAGTGCAGACTGAACTGTTGAGATTTACTCCTGTAACAAGCCTCTGTGGCAGTCCCACAGTTGGGAGTCTCACAGTTGAGAAAATACTGAGAGCCCTCAACCAGGCTTTGCCTCTTCTGTTAGAAGTTTTTAGAGAAGGCAGAGTCTTATCTCAATAATCTAGCAAGGCTGTGGATATTTAGTAGCCACCAAATAAATGTTTGAATGAATTTCCATGTGACATAAGAGCAATCAAGGTTGGATGACTTCCCCCACCCAGTAAATTGTCAATTGAATTAGCTGAAGAATTTGTGTAGGCCTTTTGACTTCTAATCTGTAATTTCTCATTTTTGTCTGAATTTTGACTTTCTTAGTTTCTTTCCAACTGTAAATTGCCATTAGTTCCATCTCATCTGTGTTTTTTACTTTGTGATTCCTCAGTGAACAGAGTTGACTAGATTCAGCACACTATTTTATAACCTAATTTCCTTTTTGAAGACTCAGTATGTATGCAGTGTCTGGAAGACACAGCTACCACAAATCTCTAAATAGTTATATGGCTGTAAAAGAGAAAGAGAGCTCATTATTATGTAAAGTCAACTGGATTTAAATTGTTTAAGCAGACCTAAGAGTCCATATTTTGGTAAGGTCAGCCAAATTGTATGATGTCAGTTTCCACACTCACACATTTCCCTTGAAGGAAGAGACTTAGGTCTATATCTTGAAACTAAATGGCTGTAAAAGATACAATTACAAGTTAATCTTGGGGTTTTTCAAATAGGCAATATTTTCAGACAGCCAAGCCTGTGAACGAGTACCTCATTTCTTTTCCATGTAGTTCAGTTCACAGCATACATTTTAAAGATCTTTAAATTTATGATTGTGTATTCTATGAGAGAAAATATTTTTAAGGAAATGTAGTGGTTTATGAATCATTAGTTTTCTTTGGTTCTTTAAAATTAATGAGTAAACTGAACAGTTCCAGAGGAAAGTGTGTTTCACTGTGTCATAAACCACATTATCCCTGTCAATGCTGTGTGTGCACACACTCATGAGCAAGAGGGAAGAACAAGTGAGGGTGCCAGCAGGTGGGAGGTGTGTGTTGGGGGGGGGCAGTGAGCATTTGTGCCACAAAACAGAGAACTTCATTGTAGTGGACTCAAGCTAAATCAGAATGTTATTAATATTAATATTACGTAATAATTCAAATATAGCTATCTCCTTATAGCTGGCAATGTACAGTTAACTGATAAAGTAGGGGGAATAATTTAATGTATATTTATTAGATGTTTTTAATTAATGATTTAAGATACAGTCCCTGGTGTTTCCATGAATCATGTACAGGAAGCTTATGAGCATCTGAGCCTATTGTCACAACCACAATATTTGCTGTGTCAGATATAGGAAACCAAGGACTGTCTGCTTACTGCTTTCTTATGAAACACCTTAAAGATATTTTTTCTTTTCTCCTTTTTCAGAATTTAGGAACCAGGTAACCTGACTCTTTCTAATTATTTACTGTAAGAGCCTAAATAAATACCTACCCAGTAGGTTATATCTATGATTTTAATGAACACTCCTTTCCTCCTTCCATAAGCATAAGGCTGTCGTGCTAATGGCAAATGTTTGCCCAGATGTGTGATATCCCTTCAGTTGGTTGTTATGGGAACACATAGAGCCATGACATTTAGGCCACCCTGAAAGGTCAGGGAAGGTTTCTCCAACAATTGACCCCCATGCTGAATCTTGAGAGATCAGACTTGGCCTTGCTGAGGGACCTTAAGAACAGACTGTTGTTGCACAGGGCACCAGAAGCAATTTTGTGTTACCACTGTATAAACTTTCATATGTGAAGTGATAGGAAGTGAGGTTAAATGAGCAGATTGGGACCAGGTCCTGGACTCCAAGGAAGGTCTGAATTCATCCTTAAGCAAAACAGAACCTCTGAATGTTTTCATGCAGCAGAACGATAAGCTCAGTTTTGCACTTAAGATCTGGCTGTTGTGAGGTATACTTGTTTAAATGGTGGCTGTTTTCATCACTTGAGCTAGAAATGACCTAGGATGGACCTAGACCAGGGCTATCAGGGATTGAGAGGGCGGGCAGATAGTAAGACCATCTGAAAAGTAGCATGGACAGCTCTATATTGGAAGAGAAGAAGCAAAGATCTAGGATGACTCCCCAGGCTTGGCTGCTAACGCCGTTCACTGAGATAAGGAATACTGGAGCAGGGGCAGCTCTGAGGGCAAGGGATGAAAGGTTCATTTGCTCAGCAAACATTTACTCAATACCTACTAAATGCCAGGTACCTTTCTAAGCATAGCTGGAGACATCTTGGACAACGATCCCTGCCTTGGTAGAGCTTACATTCTAGTGAGGGGGTGATGAAAAGATTAAGCATAACAAATGAGTTATTTATGTAACATATGAAAAGGTGATTGGCTATGGGGGAAAAAAACCATTGTTAGGATAAAGGGGAGTTGGATGAGGTTTGGTTTAGGACAAGTTTGAAGTACCTATGGGACATTCAGGTATATCTAAGAGGTAGTTGGATATCTAATTTTGAAGCTTGGGAAACAAGGCAAGATTAAAAATAAGGATTTCAGAATCATCATCCATGAAAGTGGATGCAGATGGCCAAGAAATCAGTATTCAGAGAGACAGAGCAGGCCAACGTTAGAACCTTAAAGAACATAAGTCTAGAACATTGAGTGCATGCGTGGCACACGTGTGTGAATAACTAGTCTCTCTCCTTCTATTTCCAAC
This sequence comes from Homo sapiens, assembly GCF_000001405.40. Classification (NCBI taxonomy): domain Eukaryota; kingdom Metazoa; phylum Chordata; class Mammalia; order Primates; family Hominidae; genus Homo; species Homo sapiens. The sequence continues at coordinate 148,253,419 of NC_000004.12, read as the reverse complement.
TTGCACACAGAAAAGTCTTAGTTACTTTGATGATTCACCATTTTTGCTGAACTTCAGACATTATTGAATCTATGCAGTTTTCAATCCTAGGTTTGGTTCTTTATCATTATGCCTTGATTATTATGAATGTTAATCAGCCCAGAGCCCCAAACCAAACATGATATTGAGGGAATCTGGTTTGCAAACCAGTGCAGAGGCAACACCCAGCTTGCAGCAGGTGCTCAGAGAACACTGGTTGATGTGTTGTTGGTAACTACTTATGTGAATGGGGTTCGCCCTTGTTTCTGTCACCATGCCACTTGTTTCTCCAAAGTGGAAAATATGTTGAAGTAATTTATTAGAAAATGATTTGAAATAGGGATGTGTGAGCCAAAAGTAAATTAGTATTATCCAAAGACAGCTGCTTGTAGCTTAAATTTTAAATCAAGGTACAACTTCACATGGCAAATTTGAAAACTCTAAGTCAGGAGCACAGTATGTAATTTTGAAAATTATTTCCCAAGTTTATGTGTTTGTTTACAACCCATCTTGTTCCAGAAAATAATCCAAGGTGGCTCACAGATTTCCATGAGTCAAAATGAAATTTAAGTGAAACAAAAAAAACAACAGGAAGGGAAGATTAGAGCAAGAGAGGGAAAAACTGAGCCAAGAATGGAGATGATATAAAGAATATATGTCTCAAGGCCTTTGTCGAGTCTGGCCACTTATTTGGCACTCAGCTTTCTAGCAGTCAACCCAAAGCCAATGAACAGTCACCTGACTTATGATGTTCTTAAAAACTAGTTTAGGGAATTGCCTGTTTATAAGAAAATTTTCATGAGCTACTTTGGTTTTAATGTGCCTGCTCTTTTCATCTGATTTGTATCCTAAGATTTAAAAAGTAACTCTCCCATTGGTACTAATAGAATAGTTTGGTATAGACTTAAGTAGTGGTTTTGAGAAAAATACTTAGTTCTGTCTCCCACCTGGTCCTATAAGAATAGCTACTGAGTACTTACCAGGTACAGGCTCTGTGCCAAGTACTTCATATTTTATCTCATTTATTTCTCATAATAGCCTTCTTAAGCCAAAGTTTCATGAGTTTGGAAAGGTAATATCGTTGAATCTAAACTCCCTCAACAATTGTTGTCATAGGGAAAACATTGACTATTTCTTAACAAGACTTAAAGGTATGATCCTTTAATTTTTAAAAATAATAAGTATTTATTGAGGAGTTTGTGCTCTTTACGCTAGGAACTTGATTGTCTATTCACATTTTAATCCTCTTGATAATTCTATCAAATGTGTGGGGTTATTATCTATCCTCATTTTAGAGATCCATCCACTGAGTCGTGCATGTAGTAAATAACTTGTCCAAGGTCACCCAGTAAGAAGGAAGAGATGCAGTTGGGATTTGAACCCAGGCAGCCCAGGCCTTCTGATTGTATGTACTTAACACATCAGCTATATTGCCTCTCACAGAGTAATATCAGATACCAACTATTTTTACCCATCAAAAAGTAGGGCAACAACTCTGGCTTTAGAATACTCAGGAAGAGCACATTATAATTTAACAGTTATCTTGCTATACTCTAAATAATTAACTCTTACCCATTCCAAGTTGAAACCTTAATTTGAATTTCTGTTGCCTTAGTGGAAAAGAAATTGGGTAATCTCTATTTTTTCTTAAGGAATGAACTTCATATATAAAAAAAATTACCATTACTATCCTGAAGTACCTCTTTAACATCTTGATATTAATCTAAAGCTTTATTTAAAATTTTTATCTTCCTGTGTTTCATTTCCTGTGTGTGATAAAAATTAGATGTAGCCTATCAGGCTCAGAGAACCATTGGGAGAATGGCCTTCCTCATACAAAGCTGAATGCTACTAGCTCTCCAGCTCTTTGATGTCTGCTCTGTGCCTAGTGGCTCAGAAACCATACCCAAGAGTCCTAGGACATGAAGCTGCTCTCAGAGAACTTGCACTCGTGGTGTAGTTATGATCATATAACTTGTGTGATTTGATGTTACTGAGAATGATTTGACACCAGAAATGGAAATTGCTAAATTGACTGTCATCAAATACTAACATTGAGCCTTGGCAGGATGGGAAGGATGGGTGGGCATTTAGGTTGTCATGGAGAGGAGGCAGGTGATGGAAGACTATTAGATGGAGACTGTGTTGGGTGCGGTGGCTCACGCCTGTAATCCCAGAACTTTGGAAGGTTTAGGCGGGTGGATTATTAGAGCTCAGGAGTTCGAGACCAGCCTGGGCAACATGGCAAAACCCCATTTCTACAAAAAGAACAATAACAACAACAAAAAATTAGGCGTGGTGGTGCATGCTTGCAGTCTCAGCTCCTTGGGGGGCTGAGGCAGGAGGATTGCTTGAACCTGGATATTGTGGCTATAGTGAGCTGAGATCACACCACTGCACTTCGGCCTGGGCAACAAAGTAATACCCTGTCCCCCACTCCCCCCCAAAAAAAAGAAAAAGAAAAAGGTGATGGAGACTGGAGGCTGAGGACACCTGCTTGAGCAGACCCAGCTCTGTGAAAAAGGAGGAATTGGCAGCACTGGATGGTGGATCAGTTCTGAGGAATGATGGCAACCTTTGACAGACTCAGGAAGAAAATACTGAAAACAGTTGAAGAATAGGGCAGATGAGTGGGGTTTAGAACTACTGAGGCTTCAGAGATTAGTTTGCCAAAATGGATGAAGCAGTCTGGATAAACAGGAATACAAGAGCAGAAAGACAAAACTTTGAAAAAGTTTATCCTCTTCCTGGAGTTGTTTTCTTGCAAGTTTTAAAATAAAGAAACTACATAGTTAGCTACTAGGTAGTTTGGCAGTAGATTGGCTTAGCCAGATGTCCACGGCATTTGGGGTCATTTGGTGCAGTGTATGGGAAGTTACGTAATGAAATTAAAAGCCTGGGGAAGGTGTTGGGCCCTCAGTAGCAATGGAACAGGGCTGCTTGGTGTCGTGATCACTGGAAATTGTGTGCTGTTGTCAGTCCTCGTGTTAGAGCTACTAAATTATGATTCTAGCAGCTTATGACACCATATAAAGCCACAATATGAAGTTATTAATAATTGAGAAGGCAGAAAATTTCTGTGTAGCAAATAAAAAAAGATGTCAGTCTTTCAAGGCCCCTGGTTTTTTCATGTAATATTTTGCTCTTTAAAGACATACACATGTAGTGTAATAGTTCTTTCCTTTTAACCTTATTCCTCAATATCTATATATACTGCCCTTCTTGACTTGTTAGATAGGAAAAAGAGAAGCTGATAATGAGTTTTCTAGAGATAAGTAGTTATATGTAAAATATAAATACATTTTTTCCAGAGTCTGCCCCACTTAGACACTCGGCACTGTTCTGAGGCAAAGGAACAGAGGCAAAACCTTGAATGTTAGCCAGAAGACTTCAGAACCACCAGAAATTATCGTAAAATTACCTTTGCACATGCTCACATTGTCTCTCTCCCTCTCATCTTTCTGATACCATAAACCAAATCCACATCAAGAAAAGAACAGGCTGACACCAAAGAACGGAGCTCACAACTCTTGCAATGCCATTTTGCCCTCAGGTTGGCCCTATTTGAAGCTCTTTAATAAATGCTAGCTCTTAGAATTTGTTGACTCTAACATTACATTTACAAAAGCGTCACCTTCCTGTGTGTGCTGTCTTGCTAATTAACAGTGAATTCTTATACCTCACCTAGCAAAGAACAATCCCAAGGAAGAGAGAGAAATGTATTTTCTCCTTACAGGTATAAGACATTTAAACTCACACCTCTATGGAGTCTTTAATGTCTTTACTAGAGCCTTTAGCTTCATTAAATCACCGACATTCGACAACAGAATGCATCTTTATAAAAATGTTTACTTTTCTAACAGCGAAAACATGAAATAAAGCAAAAGATGAAAGAATACAAATCTAGGAGGGCATCATAACTATCAACAAGATTGAAAGGTCACTTATAGCAAATCAGCTGAAAAGTAGATGGTATGAGATTTTTGATAAGTCTGATATAAATTCATACTTATGTACAGTATTCTAGATCTAGTACAGGCTCATTAAGTTCTTTTTACTTGTTTCAGTGGAATCAAAACTATAGAATTTTTTTTTTTGGTCGGGGGGAAGCAAATACCTCCTCCTTCCTCTCAATCCCTTTTTATATTTTATTTTCTTCTTCAATTTGAAAGGAAGACCTAGGGCTTTAGTTTGGAGATTCATACCACCCTCTTAGAAGCCGTACTGACCATTTACTAGTATTTAGTGAAAGGCTGACTAACATTTTGAACCCTTGCTTTGAGAGTTTTCCAGTAAGTGTTATCACTGGTGTATAATAAAGGCGGCACCATTGTAGGTTCCAATATCATTTTTATATAGTGTTATACAGAATGATACTGCCCACTCAGAGACTCAGCAAATAAGTCTGTTTCCTTGTCTGTAAACAAAATGAAAATCTTCAAAGTATCTGCCCTGCCCATCTCTGAGTTAGAAAGATAAAAATTAACACACATACGTTTAAACTGCTTTAGAAACAGCAAGGGAGTGCTTTATAAACGTTATATTTTAAAGAGTTTTTCTTTGTTAAGTAATATTACACCTTGGTTCTCAATAAAATTTGGAATATTTAAACTGTGGCTACTTTATGTACATGTTAAATATTTGATTTGAAGGGGAAAAAGTAAAAATTGCAGAAAAACATATGTTACTTTAGGGAAGACCTGGAGTGTTTACTTCCTTGTCACTGGTTTAGGTAGATCTCTATTGTTTATGAATATTGTGCTAAAGGGCCAACTGAGAAAGCCGTTGCATTTAAGACCAGGATTTAAATTTAGTTTGCCCCAATACAGAACCAGACAAAGAGCAAAGATAGTTTTCACGCTCTTTCTGCATCTTAAACAATTTAGAAGATCACAACTACTTTTTACTTCCTTTTTTCCCTTTAATTAACTGTACCAAGATCTCTAAAACATATTGCATTCTCTTACCCTCCCACAACTTAATTGGAAAACCAGTGCAGGATTAGTCTAGGTTGGTCATTTTTCATCTGGCCTGCACCATCACATTTTCCCAGCTGAACTGGGCTCAGCAATTTGATATTGCTAAGATTACATAAGTTTTAATTGTTTTGTTTTTTAGAATACAATATAAACTGAAAGCACATTTGAAAAAGAATTGGAATGATAAGAGTATTAGCCATTAATTAGAAATCTTAAATAAAAATCACTGTTTCCAAGGAGAATGGTCGATGAAATTGTTATAGTCATGCCATTTCTAAATATTAGATCAAAAATCTCTTCAACCTCCCTTTCAGTTTTTTAAATTAAATATCACATGATTTAAATTTTTTAAATTACACATCAGATTAGGATTTATTTGAAAATCATAAGTTGTTATCACTAGTGATACTTAAAATTCAAAATTACTTATGTTGCATCTCTAAAATATTGAAATAGCTGACCTTTGCCTAATGTAACCGGCATCTGACAGACCAGAGCTATAGCAGTGACTGAGGTCAGATCACACTGAATCATGAAAAACCAGGTTCAGAACTTAGAACATCAACCCATGAGCAAGTGCTGAGAAGACACATGATGGGGTAAGGGACCAAAAGGGCTAGAGCCAATTTGGGATAAAGCAGTAACCGGAAATGGAAATGGAAAGGGCAACACTTCAAGTCCAGAGCCAGCAGAAACCAGGCACATTCATTCAATTCAGCAACAGCTGTGGAGTGCTTACTATGGACTAGGCACCAAGAATGTGCTGTGGTCCATTCCCACTAATAAAAAGGCCCACGGATACTAGATTCCACAATTGACTTTATTCTCAGCAGTGTGCTTCTATTTTTTAAATCATCTACTGTGTCTTGAAAATTACCTGTAGAGCAGACTCATCATATTGGGCCTTAGGAATTAACTTTGTCTTTTTCAGTAAAGCAATACAAATTGCACAAAAGTCAAATAGAAGCAGGAAAGATTTCCCATTTTACAAAGTTGCCCACTACTGAACTCAGTTCACTAGGCAGAAAATTGGAGTTTTCAGATACGGGTAGCTAGTTTCTTTATCAGACTAAGTTGTAATTTATAGTAGTGACCCATTGGGATGAGATGTGAACAAAAAAGAAATGATTTTAGTAGGAAAAATTAACCTCTATTGAGCCGTTAACACATTCTCTGTAAAACCAGAAAATTATTGCATTTTTAAAGTTACTTGAAAATTTGAGCAAATTACATTTCCCATCGTGAGGTGGCACATCGAAAAGTAACATGAAAGTATGTTTCTCCATTTATGCAGGAAACCAGAGTAGGCTTTCTGTTCTGTCTTTATCATAACTTACCATTACATAAGTACTAATTGTGCTTTTCTCTTTATCCTTTTTTTAACTATCAAAGATGACCTGACATTACATTTTAAAAAGGAATAGTAATAAAAGTAATGCTAATAGGCATTAATAAAAATCACTGTTTTTATAGGAGACTGGATTAAGAAATACTTATAAAATATCGTTACTAAATGGTTTTAGATATAAAGTTCCTTTAAGCAACTTCCCTTTTAAAATTATAAAATTAGGCCAGGCACGGTGGCTCATGCCTATAATCCCAGCACTTTGGGAGGCCAAGGCGGGGCGGATCACTTGAGGCCAGGAGTTTGAGACCAGCCTGGCCAACATGGTGAAACCCTGTCTCTACTAAAAATACAAAAAATTAGCCTGGCGTGGTGGTGAGCACCTGTAATCCCAGCTACTCTGGAGGCTGAGAAATGAGAATTGCTTGAACCCGGGAGACAGAGGTTGCGGTGAGCCGAGATCATGCCGTTGCACTCCAGCCTGGGCAACAAGAGCGACGCTCCATTTCAAAAAAATAAAATAAAATAATAAAATTAAACATACTCCTAACATTTCTGATTAGGATTTATTTGAAGATCCTCAGTTGCTAACTGGACTACAAGAAGAATGTGATTTCAGATACTTGTGGATATGATACCTTCAGTAGTGAATTTTTTTAAAATCCTCAACTCTGTATTAAATATTTTTTACAGTTACTGAAATTTGTTTAAGTTGAAAAATTAGCAAACATTTTCACCTTGTAAACAATTTTTTCTTTAGTAATTGTATTATGATATTCTACTATGCATTATAGGTGATTTGGACTTTTTGTTGCTTGAGGAAAAGCAATTACTGAAGACAATATTATTATGCAGAAAGGTGTGTACCTGAAATGCAGTCATTCTACCTGTTGTAGACCAGTCTTTTTAAAAATGGAAATGGCCTCATATAGTCTCATGGAGAGAGCCCTCTGTTTTGTTGTTGTTGTTGTTGTTGTTGTTGTTATAGCATCTGACCAGGGAACACCATTCGTTTCTTACACTTAGGCTTCTAGAACATATTGTGTGTACCCACTCATTCTTATTGGATGGCTAATTAAGAAATCAGTGGGAAATTAATCCCAGGCACTGATTTATTTTATTTTACACAAGTAAATCATAAGATAAGTATTCTTCCCACTGCTTAAGATTTGATTAAAATCTTATAGTAAAATAGTTCTGTCATATGTAATGTAGATCATACAAAATTTTCTTCATACAAAATTTCCATCGAAAATGAAATTCTTTCTACATACAAAATTTTCATCGAAGACAGTATTTCCAGGTTCAGTCTAATAAAGCTTAATGTTTAAAGGTTTTGCTTGACACCTGCTTTTTTTCATTTTAATAGTAATTGAGACTACAGGATAGTGTCTCATTTCCTAGGTTCAGTTTAGATGTACTGGGTTGTCATCAGAATCATAGCTTTAGGAGGCTATGTTCAAATTCCAGTGTCACCATTTACAGTAGTCATCAGTTAGCATTTATTAAATGCTACTGTAAGTCTCGCACCAAAATGGACATTCTGTGATTTTATTTTCTGTATAATTTCTGTAGAAGTTAAGCAATATTCTAATTTTTGATGAGGAAATTAGAGAAATTAAGCAGTTTGTCCATAGTTACACAGTGAAGGACAGAGCTAGGAATTGCACGCAGGTTTTTCTGACTTCAAAGTGTTTCTTATTTTATTTCATCATGTGACACTCCTGGCCCTAGGACTTTGGGCAAGATACCCAGCCTCTCCCTGATTCTTAACTATAAAATTAAGATCTGGTAATACTTAGCTTATCAAGATGCTTCAGTGATTGGAGATGATGTGTGCCAAGTACCTGGCACATTGTAGACATTAAATAAATGATCGCTGTTCACAGTGCTCTTATTACTTGTCAGACTGGACATGTGCCACATAATATGCAAAGCTGTTATTTGATGAAATAGTATATAAAATGTCAGGGGAATAATAATTTTTATGTCAGATTCCAACACTACCCGGCTCCTCCAAGCACTAAACATAAAATGTGCATTTGAAATCAGTAAGGGGCTGCTTCGAATCCTGGTGAGAAAAAAAAATCATTGAAATTGGATGCAGACATCCACAGGCAGCTTTTCCAGTTTCTCAGATTGCTCTGTTGTATTATCATATAGGGTGATGGATGACATTAAAAGCTATAACACTATTTTGTAGAAGAGATTCACTGCATGATATTAGGTATGGGCAGAGATCAAAAGTCCTAAATGTAATTTTTGTAAAAGGAGTAATTTAAATTCTAACTTGCAACAATTTTACCAAAATTCTGACCATGGATACTTAAAAACTTTTAAAAGAAAGAGAAGATAATGCAATAATTGATTTTAAAAAAATACTAGGCTCTTCCTCTCCCTTCAAGGCCAGGTCTTTAGTAACCAGATTTGTTGACAGCCTGTAGTAGCCTAAGTTAAGACCCTGCATGTGTGTTCCTGGGATGAAATTGCATAGTGAAACTCATCTCCCTTTCCTTATGCACAGTCGTATTTATGCATGTGGTCATACTAGTAAACACTTGCAGGTAAGTAATTTAGGCAAGATCTCACAGCTATAAATGACAAAACTTACACTCAAGCCTGAATCTGACTTCAGAGCCATTGCTGGTATCCTGACAAAGTAGCTACAATTTCGAGTGTAGCATATTGGAGAAAAGTGGAGGGGAGGGAGTGCCTTCGGTTAACAATTTTAAATTGAAGTTTATTTACATTGTCTAAAAACATATTTTTAAACTTTCAGCAGTTTTTCCTAGAAATACCTGGGATGGACACCCTTCTCACCCCAAAACCTATGTAGCTATCCGGCCCTCAAGAAGCCAATATGTACACTAAGATAAAGGGCGCACTGTTTACTGAGGATGGCTTTCGTGTTACTGGCGTTTTAAACAAAAGAAGTCAGTAAATGTCTCAGGATAGGATCATAGGCACCATCTGTTGAAGTGGTAGTTTTGTCAGGAGTTAACTGCCAGCTCCACCTGTACGTGGACGTCACTGCTGGTACATATTAGCCAGAATTTACTGTGATATAAACTCATTCTCTTACTTAAACCATTGTCTGCCTCTCAAGCCAACCTGTCTTGGTAACTTTGTACATAGTACCACTTGCAAATGACCTAACCACAGGAAGCTTTTCAGATGCAGAAATTATGGCAGCAATCATACAGCAGTTTTCTTAATGAAATGGTACCAAAGCCATACTTGGCATGATGTTGAAATCCACAGCTGATTTGCTTTTCATGGGTGCCAAATGCTCTATACTATGGTAAGAAATCATAGCGGCTGCACGTTTTTAATCTATGAATGTGTCATTGTATATTTTCTTTGACAGCAGGGTAGCAGGGAACTACTCATGAGCTCTGTTCTGAGCTGTTAAGTGTACCCCATTTAAAGAAAACCCACTATGTGGAAATTGTATTTGTTAAAATGAAAATTAACTAAATGAGTCTCCAAGTGGCATATAATATTCCTTAGTATATAAGGAAGTGTCATGGAGCCCTTTGAAATCCAGTGAAGCAAGTCTGGTCTCAAATGGAACTCGAAAGCATATTAGGTGGATATTGGAAAGCCTTTTAAAAAGTAATCATTGAGGCAGTCAAATAAAGTAAAATTAACTTCAGTCTGAGTTGTAATAAAGAGCATATTAGTGGTCTTTGTGGAGATCCTGTTTATCATGTGACCCTCTTTCCCAAAGTTAAAGAAATGTCTTTAGGGCTGAGCCACAGTGGTTCATACCTGTAATCCCCGTGCTTTGGGAGGCCAACAGGAGAGGATTGCCTGAGGCCAGGAATTCAAGACTAGCTTGGGTAACACAGCAAGACTCCATCTCTATAAAAAACAAAAATTAGCCAGGCATGGTAGCACACACCCATAATCCTAGCTACTCAGGAAGCTGAGGCAGGAGGATTTCTTGAGCCAAGAGGTTCAAGGCTGCAGTGACCTATGATCATACCACTGTACTCCAGCCTGGGTGACAGAGTGAGACTTTGTCTCTAAAAATTAAAAAAAAAAAAAAAAACCTGAAAAGTATGAAGAAATCCTGCCACCTAAAATAGTAACCGTCCTGTAACCAATTAACGTTCCTACCTTTATTAGAATCATTTTAATAGTATTTTTGTGTGTTAAGTTAGTCTCATTGAGTACACATAAAACTTTTGATTTGACAAAATGTCTTGGAAAATCAAATGTTTGAAGCTTAATGTGATAGCAGTTCACTCACTGATATACCTCAGCTTCTTATATATGCAAACTGTTTCTCTTTGTAATAGATTTTAAATTTCTTATCCTAAAGAGAAGTTGATTTGATGATACATTTGCATTGGTTAAACAGTTTTTAGTAAGTAGTCTTTCCCCTGCTTCTGTGAGAAAATATTTTCTGTAAAATTTTAGAGAAAAAGAATGAGGAAGAAAGAGAAAATGTCTATCCTTTAAGCATAGCAGGGAATTATATGACAGCTAATTATGTTGTGATGTTGCTTTACTTGTCCAGTAAATTCAGGGCCCACAGGAATCAAGAAATCTGTATGCTGTGGACCCCTCTCACATGTGGCTCACAGTTTAGTGGAAAGAGAGTGCTGCTCAGAAGATGCTTTATATGTATGCATATTCCTACATTTATTGCATTTAATAGGATTCTAGATTAAGATTCTGAGTCAAATTATTTTAAGAAATGTTGCCAGATTGCTTTCCAAAGATGGAAATAATTCACATTTCTTCCAGTAGTTTGAGGACCCTTCCTCCATCCCCACCAGCAACAGATGCCGCCATCTCCTTACTTTGTGCCTGTTTGATAAGTGTATATCATTGTAGCAGTTTTCAATGGTGATAAAATACACATTAGATTTATCATCTTAATTATTTTCAAGTGTACAGTTCAGCAGCATTAAGACATTCACATTGTTATGCAACCATATCACCACCATCCATCTCCAGAACTTTTTTCATCTTGCAAAAACTGAAAATCTGTACCTATTAAACACTTAAATCCTAATTCCTCTTCCCCCCAGCCCCTGTCATGCACCATTCTACTTTCTGTCTCTGTGAATTTGACTTCTCTAGGTACCTAATGTAAGTGAAATTATACAACATTTGTCCTTTTTTGACTGGCTTATTTAGCTTAGCATAATGTTCTTAATAAAATATTTTTATGATGAAAAATAACTCCCTACAATATGATTTGCTGTAGTAGTTAATGATGAAACTCTGTATTTTCATAGCATCCATTTATTCACATAATCATGAAATATTTGTTGAATATCTCCTGGGTGTCAGATGCTGTCATTGGCACTGGGGGCAGAGGCTACCACTGCCCTCACAGAGAATAAGTTCTAGTGAGGAAGACAGACAATTTGCAAATAAGCAAACAGGTAAAATAGAATGGGTGGGGGAAGGAAAAGATGATCCGATGGCGCAGGTAAAGTGCAAGGGAATGGTTATGTTAGTCAGTGTGGTCTGGAGAGGCCCAGTTGGAAAAGGAGCTTGAGACTTGGAATATGAGACACACGAGAGCTTAAAGTGTGCCCTGGCACGGTGCAAAGGCCCTGGGGCAGGAAGGAGGCTAGAATGCCAAAGAAAAAGGCAATGGCTAATGTGGTATGGAAGGGAGATAAAATAAGTGTGCCATTAGAGTTGGGGCAGAGACTTAAGTTTTACTAGATCATGTAGGGCCTCAAAGCCAATTATAGGGAGATTAGATTTTATTTTTCCCCTTTTTTTTTTTTTTTTTTTTTTTTTTTTGAGACAGAGTTTTGCTCTGTCTTCCAGGCTGGAGTGCAATGGCATAATCTTTGCTCACTGCAACCTCTGCCTCCTGGGTTCCAGTGATTCTCCTGCCTCAGCCTCCTGAGTTGCTGGGACTACAGGTGTGCGCCACCATGCCTAGCTAATTTTTGTATTTTTAGTAGAGACGGGGTTTCACCATGTTGGCCAGGCTGGTCTCGAACTCCTGACCTCAGGTGATCCTCCCACGTCTGCCTCCCAAAGCGTTGGGATTACAGGCGTGAGCCACCGCGCCCAGCTGGATTTTATTTTTTTCTAAAGGCGTTGGGAAGCAAGCCATGGAATGATTTTCATCCTTTATAGTTCCAGAGAAGTATGGCACCTCATCCTAACAGGAAATCCAGGAGGCAGTGAGAAAGATTACAAAGGCCCGTGGCCAGGCACAGCACTTAGCAGCTCTGCATTTTCCACCATTTCCCAGGTGAGGTAACTAAGGCTGAAGACTTGCTTCCTGCAATCTCACAGCAGCAAGGACGGGCAGATGTGTTCCTTTGTTCCCAGACCTTTAGTCTGGAATAATAGGAGTGGATGGAAAAAGTGTTTTTGGAAAGCAGACCTCAACAGATTTTACATCAGGAATAGTTCTGTTCCTATAATGGGGAGCTATAGGTTTAAGATACAAGTCCATCACTTCTGCCACCTGACCTCACCCTTGACCCCGCCCCTGTCGCTGTATATTTCATACTCTGCCCTGGGCATTCTGGCATGAGCCTGTTGAAACTAGCATCTCCTAGCAATGAGAGCCTCCCCTTAATCTAGGCTGGCTGCTTTTGCTACAAGAAAAATGTCTATGTATTCTGATGGCCTTATGATATAAGGCGGGTGGAATGTCTGGTTAAAATACTTGAAACATGCACTGTCCAATGTGGTAGACACTGGCCACATGTGACTTTTGAACACTTGAAATATGGCTAATCTACATTGAGATGTTCTGTAAGTGTAAAACGCACATTGGGGTTTAAAGACTTGTATGAAAAATCAATATATATAAAATATATATATTTATATATAAATATATATATAATTTATAAATATATAAAATATCTGATAATCTGATAATTTTTATACTGATTACATTTTTAATAACATTAAATTTAATTACAGATTAAATTGCTAATATTTTGGCTAGGTTGGGTTAAATAAAAATATACTACTAAAGTTAATTTCACCTACTTATTTTTACTTTTTAATGTGGCTGTGCCAGGAAATTTATGATTTGCTTCTGTGCTCTTCTGTTATTTGCCCCTCTGGCCCCCCACACACGCACACACATGACCTCCTGCTGTGCTTCCTCACTGCACAGCCATGTGTGCACTAACTAAACCCCATCATCGTGAAAGAGGAGGGGAGAAAACCAGACCCCATCATGATGTGTTCTCTGAAGCTTCCAAAGTTTGACCACCGAGGAAAACCACTTGAAAATGTGTCCACAAAAACTTCGAAAAGGTTCCATTCTCCCAGACAGCAGGGAGTCTTTCCTCACACCTCATTTTTCACATGGTGTTTTCTTCATCTTCCCATATACCAAAAAACTGACAAAATGTTTTCATAAACTGTGGACCTCATACCGCTTCTTACAGCCAGATATAATGAGCTTATTAGCAAGTTTTAAGAACTGTGCCTTCTGGTGGCCTGGTGGCTTCCAGGCACTTCCTGGCAACTCGCCAGTTGCCTGTCCTCTGCATCTTTGTAGTTGTGGTTCTCTTCACATTTTAGAAACTTGGAGTATGCAGAAGCCTCCAATGGTCCCTATTTAATTCTGGCATTACTGTCAGATAGCCTTCAACCAGAGGCAGAGGGGCAGATACTCTTCAAGAGTGTGGGTAGGTGAGAGAGCCAGAAGCAGCAGGCAAAGGAAAGGTAGCCCCAGTGCTGAACTGAAGACTCCATGCCTTGCATAGGCCTGCAGAAACCCAGGGTTACCAACTGTGCTGAGCAAACTCATTTTACAGACTGGGACCCTGGCCTTAAGAGAAAGGCCCATGGCATTTAATAATGTTGCTGATACATCACTTAGAATCACTGTGCAGTGAGGATGATGCTAGGGGACAGGTATCAGGGAGACAAATGAGCCCACCCAGCATTCACACATTTACTTGGCTTCACTTTTCAAGCTTCCTCAGAATACTTCAGCATCATATACGAACTTTGGAATCTGCCTGTCCCTCTCTAGTTTCATCACTTTTCACTCATGCCTCTACGTCTATTCTTCAGCTGTACTTGGTTTATGAAAGTACCAGCCTCTCCCATCTGTCTGTTGGGCTGCTTGCCCCACCTCCGGCCCTTGGACTCAGAGTTCCCTGTGTTTGATTACTCTTCTTTCCATCTTCACTTTAGCTAATTCTTCCTACAACTTCAGTACTCAGTTTAGAGGTGGCCGAAGCTTCCTTGACTCCTGTGTGTCCTGTGGCACCTGAATTTGCCCTATCTTAGGTTTTAACATGATTTATTAAAATTCCTATTTATTTTTTCCTACCAGACCCCTGAAAGCAGAGAGGGACTCTATCTTGTTTAGGCTTTAGTCTCTACAAATAACATAGTACCTAGTGTACTGTAGGTGAATGAATAAGTGAATGAGCTGTAAACCCAGATACAGAGTCTCCTCAAAGTCATAGGTAGATGCTGGACAGTTGTTAAATGTCTGTCTTTATCAAATCTTAGGGATTATAATATTTTAAAACTCAACAGTGAGAGAAAACATGGAAACTTCTTATCTTTTGAATTGGGTCTCTGTGGTGCACTGTAATTCAACATTTAATGATAGTCTTTTGATGCCATTTATATTTATTACGATTTTTAAATTGTTCTTGTACTTTTGATAGCTTACTTCAGGTCCATTTCTGTGTTGGTTTCTCTGACCTCTCGTTTGTCTGGCAAAATGACTTTTTTTTGTTGTTGTTGCCAGCATGACTAATAATGATTTGCTCAAATTTCTCCCATTCTTACAGATGATATTAAGAAACTGAAGTTATTTTTGTCTTACAGGATCAAACCAATGGTGAAATATAGCTCAGGGAAACATTGTTTTGGCTTTGGGAAACAAATACCATAGATAAATTTGAGTGTCATTTCCATCTGTAATTGCATGTGATTGCAGTCTTTCCTGCTGAGGGCTTCTTAAGCGAGGATGCCTGAAAATAGATACTTTTGCAAATAGAGTTGCTAATTTTAAATAAAAATATAAAATAGTAGTAATAGTAGTGATGAGTTAGGAAAAAAGAAGCATATTTGATGGCGTCCTCAGATGGTTTGCTTTAAATATTAGTTGAAAAGCTATATTGAGGTTTCTCATTTGGGTTCATCAGAATGTTTCTAAATTTCTCCTTGTGATATCTTATATAAATGGAATAAACTGTCAGAACCAGTATTTAAGTTGGTGTCATCTTGATATCAAAGTATTTAAATGAATGATGTTAATAGTTTTGGAAGTTCATTCAGAAATGGTTTTAGCATATATATTTCTCGTTTCTGAGAAGGAAATTCTATCACTACTATTCACCTATTATAAACCATTTTAGCTTCATACCATGTATTTTATTCAGTAATTTAATTTTCAATGTAAATCATTTTGGCTTCCAAAAAAAAAAAAAAACCCATTTTGTTTTTGGGCAGTGCTCCAACTTCTACAATTATTGAAGCGCTGCAGAATGTAAATTCATTTAGTTGGACTAATAAGTTCATAAAATTGTGCCATATTTCATCATAATCTCTTTACTAAAGTGGAAAATCCCTCTGGTTTATAAATTTCAGTGGTTTTTAAGTTTTTAGTTTGATTTTGGTTTTAACGTTCACAGACGTAAGTACTGCTGAGAATTTTAATTATGACATTTTTAGTGCGAAGAGACCTTAAAGAAAATTGAAGTGTTATTTAAATTCTAGGACTAGCTAAATGATATCAATAGTTTTGGGGAGCACCTCCAGGTGGACTCTTTCTATTTTGGATTTCTAATTTAAGTTACTCAGTAATCAAAGAGTCTCAAAATTGTTGATATTTTATAGTGATAAAGGTTCTTGGCACTGTCTCTTAAAAAGTTAAATTGTCCAGTTGCAAATGATGGTATGTCTTCCCTAGAATTTGATTTTTTCCCCCAAATTTCACAGTTTGGTGATTGTCATAATTCTCATTTGATGAATTGTAATCTGTTTTGCTAAATTCAGTATTCATTAAAGTTCATAGTTCAGTGAGATATAAATGTAAAGATAAGAATGTTTGTGGTACAAAGGTAAAATATTATCCCAGTTCAAGGGACAAAATTATAAAAGAGAATCCTTTGGCTTCTTTCCCTTACTAGTGGCTAATGCTTTCCAAAAGTAGGAGCTTGGGAAGAACAATTGAAGAATTGATGATAGCCCCTTAAGAACTGGGAATGTACTTCAATCCCATTAATCTTAAGTGTTTTTGCATCGATGTGTTTATAACTAGAGTTACCCTGTGTCCCAGTTAGCCTGGGAAAGTTTTGGTGTACACCTGTGTCCTGGCGTAATTTTTAATATCACCTCCTTTCACACACTGTAAAGTGTTTGGATAATGATTCTATGTATGATGCACATTCTATTGTGATACCTTATCAGTGATGACCATGAGTGTCCAGCTAGATACAATTTCCCAAAGTATTTGATTTAAGTGCATAAAACATTGAAATATGAGCATTATTAGTGATTGTAAATTCTCAAATATTTTATTTATGGTATGCTAAACCTTCAAACAAAACTTTTCTGACCTTTTTTTAAGTGTAAGAGTATCAGTTGCTAATTGTATATTTTATTTATTATATATTAATACTATTATGTATTAGTGTTATGCATCCAAAGTGAATTATTCTAAAGTTATCTTTTCACCCATATGAAAAGCATATAGGATTTCACTAAAAAATCAACTTTTCTTTTTCCATTGAGGCTGAAGATTTGAAAATGAAAGCACAAATGCTGATTTCTAGAGCTGACACTGAAGTAAACACAGAACAATTCCTATAGAAACATACCAGAAGCCATTGTTAGGTGGGGGATCACTTACCCCGACACCTTGAAGCCTGGGTAGAAATGACAGTGGAGCAGCCAAAAATCAGTTTAGCTAAGAGTGCAGTGGTATTCAGCCCTGCTTTAGGGATTCAGGTTTTTTCCCACTTCCTCAGAAATGGGAAAGATGAGTTATAATTCTGCCATTCCCAAGGGGACGTCAGATGGGTAGTGGGATCCCTCCCTGGAGCTGCACTGGCCTAGCTTTAGAAACACAGAAGAGTCAATTCAGATCTTGCATCTGCCCGCTGCTGCTGGCAGTGGCCGTCTGCCAAGGGAGAAGATATATGGAAAAGAGGAAAAAATGTTGGCAAGGAAGAAATATATCAGTAAAGATGGAGGAAGAAAGGTAGCTTTAGTCACAAAGTCTAGTTGCTGATAAATTTTTTTGTTTTAGAATTATTTTGGTATTTCAAGAAGAGAAAAATAGACATGGTTCTAAAACAGCTAAGCTGTTGTCCTAACCATTGTTGAAGTAGATCCTTGTTTCACAACAACAACAAAACACTCTTCTCCTAACACTAAAAAAAATTCTCCTGGTTTAAAATTAAATTATTGTTTCTATGATTGTACAACCATAAAACTTACTAAAAATCAATAGACTGTACACCTATAGTAGGTGAACTGTGTAGATGTAAATTATAGCCCAATAAAGCAGTTAAAAGTGAAAAAAATACAATCACATTTCAGAATGGTTGTGTTATATTTTAAACTTTAAGAAAAGTCCACCGAACAATTCTGCTTTTAATTCTTATTTTTATGAAAAGCTTTTAAAACTTAATACGCAGACTTTTACAAACACACAAAAGAAGATAAAATAGTATAATGAACCCTCAAATATCCATAACCTCACTTCTACAGTTAGCGGCATATCCCCTTTTCCTGCCTCACTGGATTATTTTAAGACATGTCCTACTCAATGATAAATTCTTCCATATGTATCTGTAAGAGATAGGAATCTTAAATATATATATATATATATATAATTGCCACTTAAATTTTTTAAATACTATTATTAAAAGAATAATCCTCAAAAATTTCCTTAGTATCATCTCATGAAGATCTTTTTACAGTTGTTTTTATAAGTGTTTACAATGCACTTTTTACAAATCAAGAACCAAGGAAGCACCACACATTTTAATGTCCTAAATAGTTTCTAATGAGGACCCTCCTGTAACCAGGAGTTGTCATTTTAAATGCGATTTATTGACCATTCCAAAGCTCTTTTGAATATTTTCATGACATAATAAAACAGCAGGTATAGTTTAGTGCAAAACATTGTGAAAATATTTTCATGTTTAGCAGTTGTTTCTAGTTTAAGTTTTAAACGCATCACCCAAAATAATCTGTACACCAAACCCCCATGACATGAATTTACCTGTATAGCAAACCTGCATATGTACCCCTGAACCTGAAATAAAAGTTAAAAAATAAGAAAATAGAGGGAGAAAACCCAAGTTAATCTCTGTTCCGCAATCCATTCATTCTCCCTAGTAACCCATGTATTGGCCTTCAGCAGAATTACCTATATTCCCCATCCCTCCCTCCTTTTTTTTTTTTTTTTTTAGTTGGAGTCTCACTGTGTCGCCCAGGTTGGAGTACAGTGGCGCAATCTTGGCTCACTGCAACCTCTGCTTCCTGGGTTCAAGCAATTCTCCTGCCTCAGCCTCCCAAGTAGCTAGGACTACAGGCGCATGCCACCATACCTGGCTAATTTTTTGTATTTTTTAGTACAAAAAATACAAATACGGGGTTTCACCGTGTTAGCCAGGATGGTCTCAATCTCCTGACCTCGTGATCTGCCCACCTCAGCCTTCCAAAGTGCTGGGATTACAGGCTTGAGCCACTGCCCCCAGCCTCTCCCTCCCCTTTTTAAATAAGGTTATATAAGTACTGGAGACCCATTGAAATGTTGGGCAATCACTCTGTGATTCTGCCTGATGCGCACTGATAAATTTTGATGGCATTTCTCCTCAAAATAAAAAAATTGTTTAACTTGTCACCTTCCTAACACCTAGCATAGAGAAACTGAACATATTGTTACAGTGTATTCAGTAGACAGAAAGCTTTATGTTAGGATGCTTAGCATGACAGAAACCAAACTTGCACATTGAAATTACTTTTGGGAGATTGCTTGTGGATGATGGTCACCCCATCATTATTCAGTATATGGGCCACTTATTTCAATGATCTTTAGATATAGGCATACCTCAGTTTATTATACTTTGTTTATTGTGCCTTGCAGTTATTGCATTTGTTAATTTCAGATTGAAGGTTTGTGACAACCCTGCATTGAGCAAGTGTAGTAGTGCCATTTTCCCAACAGCATGTGCTCACTTCATGTCTCTGTGTCACATTTTAGTGATTCTAGCAATATTTTAAACTTTTTCATTATTATTATTATTATATCTGTTATAGTGATCAGTGATCTTTGATGTTGCTATTGTAATTGCTTTGGGGTGCCACAAACCATGACCACGTAAGACGGTGAGCATAAATTACAAATGTTGTATGTGTTCTGACTGCTTCACCAACCAGCCATTCCCTCCATCTCTCTTCCTCTCCTCAGACGTTGCTGTTCCCTGAGACACAACATATTGAAATTAGCCCAATTGAGTTGAGCTCTTTGGGAGGCTGAGGTGGGAGGATTGCTTGAGTCCAGGAGTTTGAGACCAGCCTGGACAACATGGTGAAACCTCATCTCTACAAAACATACAAAATTATCCAGGCGTGGTGGCATGTACCTGTGGTCCCAGCTACTCAGGAAGCTGAAGTGTGAGGATCATTTAAACCAAGGGAAGTTGAGGCTGCAGTGAACTGTGGTTGTGTCACTGCACTCCAGTCTGGGCAACAGAGTGAGACCCTGCTTCAAAAAAAAAAACCTAAAGAAATTATTCCTATTAATAATCCAACAATGGCCTCTAAGTGTTCAAGTGAAAAGAAGAGTTGCACATCTGTCAAAAGCTAGAAAGGATTAAACTTAGTGAGGAAGACATATTGAAAGCTGAGATAGGCTGAAAGATAGGCCTCTTGCACCAGTTGGCCAAGTTGTACATGAGAAGGAAAAGTTCTTCAGGGAAATTAAAAGTGCTATTCAGTGAACACACAAATGATAAGAAAGAAAACCATGTGGCTGGTTTAATTTGTATGTTCACAGATTCGCACTTTTAAGGCTGGTATCAGTCTTAATGCTGATATGGAGAAAGTTTTAGTGGTCTGGATAGAAGATCAAACCAGCCACAACATTCTCTTAAGCCAAAGCTAATCCAAAGCAAGGCCCTAACTCTGTTCAATTCTGTGAAGGCTAAAAGAGGTCAGGAAGCAGCGGAAGAAATGTTTGAAGCTTGCAGAGGTTGGTTCATGAAATTTAAGAAAAGAATCTGTCTCCAAGTGCAAGGCGAAGCAGCACTTCACGTTGATGGAAGTGCTGATGGAGAAGCTGTAGCAAGTTATCCAGAAGATTGAGCTAAGATAATTGATGAAGGTGGCTACACTAAACAATAGATGTTCAATGTAGATGAAATAGCTTTCTATTGGAAGATAGATGCCACCTATGACTTTGATAGTTAGAAGAAGACAGTGCCTAGATTCAAAGCTTCAAAGGACAGGCTGACTCTCTTGTCAGGGGCTAATGTAGCTGGTGACTTTATGTTAAAGCCAGGATTCCAAAAATCTTAGGGCCCTTACGAATTGTGCTAAATCTACTCTGCCTGTACTCTATACATGATGCAATAAAGCTAGATGACAGCACATTTGTGCACAGCATGGTATACTGAATATTTTAAGTCCACTGTTAAGACCCACTGCTCAGACAAAAAGATATTTTTCAAAATATTATTGCATGCTGACAACGCACCTAGTCACCAAAGAACTCTAATGCAGATGTACAGGGAAATTAATGTTGTTTTCATGCCTGCTAACACACATCCATTCTGCAGTCCATGGATCCAGGAGGAATTTTGACTTTCATGTCTTATTATTTAAGAAATACATTTTATAAGGCAATCACTGCCGTGCATAGTGATTCCTCTGATGGATCTGGCAAAGTAAATTGAAAAGTTTCTGTAAAGAATTCACCATTCTATAATATGATACAATCCAAAACATAAACGATTCATGGGAGGTCAAAATATCAACATTAACAGGAGTTTGGAAGAAGTTAATTCCAACTTTCCATCCATCATGGATGACTTTGAGGGGTCAAAACTTCACTGGAGAAAGTAACTGCAGATGTGGTAGAAATAGCAAGAGAACTAGAAATAGAAGTGGACCGTGAAGATGTGACTGAATTGCTGCAATCTCAGGATAAAAATTGAATTAATGAGGAAATGCTTTTTATGGATGAGGAAAGAAAGTGGTTTCTTGAAATGGAATCTTCTCCTGGAGAAGATGCTTTGAACATTGTTGAAATGACAACAGAGGATTTAGAATATTACGTAAACTTAGTTGACACAGCAGTGGTAGAGATTGAGAGGATTGCCTACAGTTTTGAAGGAAGTTCTGTATTACATGCTACAGAGAACCCTTTCATGAAAGGAAAAGTAAATCTTTGCAGCAAACTTCATTGTTGTCTTATTTTAAGAAATTGCCACAGTTGCCCCAAGCCTTCAGCAACCACCACTCTGATCAGTCAGCAGCCATCAACATCGAGGCAAGACTCTACCTGCTAAAAGATTATTACTCACTGAAGGCTGATGATCATTAGCAGTTTTAGAAATAAGGTATTTTTAATTAAGGTGTGTAGATTTTTTTTGATGCAGTACTGCTGCAGAGTTTATAGACTTCAGTAATAGTGTAAACATAATATGCACTGGGAAACCAAAAAAACTATGTGCTTGCTTTATTGGGATGTTTGCTTTATTGTGGTGATCTGGAACAGAGCTCTCAATATCTCTAAGGCATGTCTGTTTGTTATTGGATCTTCACAATGAATATATTAGAATTTATCAATGGTTATAGCAAAAAGGCCGAATTGAAAGTTTTGGTTCGTTGTGAAATATCATCATTAGTTTTTAATCTGGACCTAGAATCTAGGTCCTTACATGCATTAGAGAATTTTATCCCTCTAAGAAAATGATACTTTTAGTCATCAGTTTAGAGCACTGCACTTTTAACAGAATACTGTTTGAAATGATTAATCTGTCATAGAGATTGGAATACTCACCAAGGGGTGAAAATTACCTTGACAAGTAGGACCTAAGCATCCTTTAGATGGTACTAAGAATAAAAAGCAGTCTTCTCTGTTAGGCCATGTGACCACCACACACATCTTAGAATTCATTTTGAGTTTGTATTACAAGAGCTTGTTTTCAGTAATCGATACTTAAATTTGGAGAATTTGCTGAGCATCTTTCTTGTTCTTTAGCTGTTGTTAACCTATAATGTGATACTAGGAAATCACATGGTCTGTTGGATTTAGAACTAAGACTTTAAAACATAAATACATTCTCCTGTTTTGTGTGTGAAACTTGAACTTCCGCTTACTCTTATTTCATCCCACTGCATGGTTATAACTGAGCATGAAAGCTTAAATGAAACAGAGGAAGAATTTAGAGCTAAGGTAAAGGCATTGGATGTTAAGTAGGATATTCTATTATTTAGGGTGCTTTGCCTATAATTTTTCAAAAATCCTATACAAATTGACTTCAATAATACAAAATATTACTGGCTCACATAATTGCAATTTCAGAGGGAAGGCAGCTATCAGGATTGGCTAATACAAGAGAAGAGCAATGTCAAGATCTTGGTTCTTGCCACGTGTGGTGGCTCACGCCTGTAATCCCAGCACTTAGGGAGGCTGAGGTGGGCAGACGACTTGAGGCCAGGAGTTCAAGCCCAGCTTGGCCAACATGCTGAAGCCCTGTCTCTACTAAAAAATACAAAAAAATTAGCCAGGTGTGATGGCACACACCTGTAATCCCAGCTGCTTGGGTGGCTAAGGCATGAGAATCCCTTGAGCCTGGGAGGCGGAGGTTGCAGTGAGCCAAGATCACACCACTGCACTCCAGCCTGGGCAACAGAGCAAGACGCTGTCTCTAAAACAAAAAACAAACAAACAAAAAGTGCGTTCTTTTTATCTCTCTGTTCTCCCCTGTAAGTGCCTGTTTTACTCCAAAGCTAATTTCTAGTACTAGAGCTTATGTGGCTTCTCAGTTATGTACTGGAAGAGAGAGAGAATTGTCCCAATTAAAGAAGGACAGCTTTCCCACCCCCACAGAAGGTCTCAGGAAACCTTTGACCTCAGAGTTCTATGGTCACTTGTGAACAGTTGGTATCACCTTAGATAACAAAGCATTTCCCTGGAGTTGAGATTGGAGTTAGCACCCTGGACATAAGTAAGCTGTAGGGGAAGGGTTGGAAAGGGGACAGACCTAGAGTTCTTTAGGGAAGGGGGAAAGGAGATGAGTGATACATAGGCTACAATAATGTCCACTACAATGTCCCTTTAACTTTAAGCTGCTTATAAAAAACGTAAACTATCTTCTGACTATTTAAATTGGTATCTTTGGCCAGAGGTGACATTTGGTGACTTTCATTTGGGTGTATTTTTGCTTTACTTTAGCAGATCTTAGAACTGGGAGACCTGGCTATCACAGGAGTATCTGTGGCCTGTGGTAACATGTATCTATGGGCTGAGAATGTCAGTACTCTCTAACTGTATCTCATCTCCTTCTGCCAAGAAACCCAGAGCCCACATATCATTTGTTTATTTAGAATTAAGATCCAGTACCCTTTCCAGTTCCAAAATTGGCATACACACAGGACTATAACCTTATTTTGATGCAGAATATTTTGCTGCTTAGTTCAGCTAAAATCCAGGTTCTGATCTCATGACCAGGAAAAAATAGACATGAGGAAATATTGAAGGGTGAGGAGGGCAGATTTATTAGGTAAAAAGAAAGTTCTCAGCGAAGAAAGAGGGGGTTCTGCCAACAGGCTCCCACCTCACTGTTTGAATACCAGGCCATCACACACAAGCTGAAGAGGCCAGGCTTCTCCCAGTGCCTAAGGCGTGAATTTCGGGTGGTTCCACTTTATTGTCCAAGCTTGCATGTGGGCCCCCAGTTCATTGCGGGCATGCCTGGGTGAGATCCTGTGCAGGTTCCCTTATCTGCCTCCTGCATCTATCAATTTGCTTTAATCTCCTTTCAGCAAAAGGCTGTGGAGATGGTTTCTTGGCCTAGACCTTGTGTCTTTGCTCAGTTGCCTTCTTCATGGGACCTGGGCAAGAATCTTTCTACTACTAGTCATCAGCTCTTTCACCATAATTGTTCATCCCTTCTATGCCTCTCAGCTCTTTTATAGGCATCATACAGGAGTTTGCCTTTCTTTCCTGCGGATAGTTTGCCTTTCTTTCCTGCCGGCAGTCTGGCTGTGGTGGAAGGATATTTTATGTTTTTCTGAACACCTTTATTATATGGGGTTGGATATAATGTTTCATAAACAGTAGTCTCCTGCTTTGCATATCCAGCCACTTTAAACAATAGATACTCAAATTTCAGTAGTTCTTTTGACTTTTAAATGTTGTCTTCTGCTTTACTATGTTTTCAAAATTTGGATGCATGAATCAGTTGGACTTCATTAAAATTTAAAACTCCACTTACCAAAAGATACCATTAAGAAAATGCAAAGGGAAGTCATAGGCTGAAGAAAATATTTGCAGCATGTATCTGACAGAGGACCTGTTTCCATAATATGTAATGGAGATATTTATATATATAGCTTAAAAGAAGAAAGACTACCCAATGAAAAGCTGGCAAAAAAATCATTGCAGCTTTGCTTTTTTATTGCAAAATATTAGGAACCTAAGTGCCCAAACCTAGGATAATGCTTAAATAAACCATAGTACATCCACACAATGGAGTACTGTGCAGCTTTATAAAAGAATAAGAAAGGTTTCTCTGAGTTGATATGGACGATGTACTGTCACTGGAAAAAGCAAAGTACTTGGGTGTGTGTGTGTGTGTATAAATAATGCAACTATTCATGTGAGAAAAAAGAAAATATATAATACACGTATATCTGCATATTTGTGCAAAGAAATACAGGGAAGATCAGCCAGGAGCTAATGGGATTGATTGCAAATTAGGAATGAACCCTGTAATGTTGGATTGCAATAGGAGATTGCACTATGATCTCCTGGCTTTTAATATGCATACATACCTATGTGTGTCTCTTTATGTGAACATATCTACATTTCCTTGTTCTGTCTACTGAGAAGGCCCAGATACAGTGACACCCAGTAACAAGAAGCATAGCTAGCACCCAGATCTTGACTTCTTAATACCATTCACCACCAAAAAGAGTCAGGATCTTTAAGCAGTGGCTGGATTTAGGACTAGGGGCAGAGAAAATACAAATGATCTTGGAGCAGCAATATACTGGGGCTCCAGAAAGTAAGGAGGTCTCAAAAAAGGATGGAGGTATTTCAAAAGGACACAAGAACTCATCTGAAGAAACTCCTGGTGGGTAAATCTGGGATACCTTGAACAACAAAATAAATAAATGAGGGTGAATAGATTATAATCCATAGCATGCATTAAATATCCATAATTTCATACACAATAAATCTATCAATGGTGAAAAAGGGACAGCTTACAGTGCAATGCCATCAATAAATATAGAAGAAATGAGGAAAATAGAAAAACACTACTTGGCCATCACCATGGTAATAATTGTTACAAATAAGAATGATAAATGGATGCTAAATTAGTAGGTGAAAATATAAGAAGCAGAATATTTGCCTAGTCTTGAAATATCCCCCCAAAAGATACTTATTAAGAACAGAGGAAAAAATAACACTATAGTAGGGAAACCTGGCGGGCACCTTAGCCAAGTAATCAAAGTTAGTATCACCAGTAATGAGAAATGTCAATATCATGTACCACCTGGAATTGTGCACTGAGAAGGGTAGAACGTCACTCTTGTTAAATTCTTGCCAAAAATGCCTAAGTTGAATTTAAGCAAGAGGTGATATCAGACAATTCAAACTCAAAAACATTCTACGGAATGACGGGCCAGTATTTTTCAAAAGTGTCAAGGTCATGAAAACAAAAACTGAGAGACTGTCGGTTGGAGACCAAGGATCCTGGATTGGACCCTGAACCACGAAAAGGACATAGGTGGACAACCGATGAAATATAAGAAAAGTGGATTTGTTAAGAGTATTGAATTATAATTCAGTGATCATTATGCTGTGATTAAGATATTTATGTAAGATTTATAATGTTATATAACATTTGGAGAAGCTGAGTGAAGGTTATACAGGAACTTTATGTACTTTTCTTAAACTTTTTTGTTAGTCTGAAATTATTTGAAAATCAAAAATTAAAAATACTACCCAAAGACTTAAAGACAGGCTTAACCAATGATGCTGGCCAATAAGCACATTTTAAAAATGCTCAACATCATTTGTAGTCAGAGAAATACAAATGGCAAATTAAAACCTGAATTAAATGCTATTTTATACCTCCAGAAATCAATGATAAAGATAGAAAACACCAAATATTGGAAAGGATGTGAATTAGCTGGAACTCGCATGCTTCACTGGTGGGAAGCATAAAATGGCACAACCACATTAGCAAATAGCTTGTCAGTTTCCTATAAAGTCACTGTATATATACCCTAGGCCTACCTAGTACATACCTATTGCTATGACCCAGGAATTCCACTCCCAGGTATTTATCCAGGAACATGAATACACATGTCCACACAAATATGTGCACATGAATGTTCATAGCATCTTTATTCATAATGTGGGTAAACTATGTATATGCATATAATGGAATACTATTCAGCAATGAAAAGAATGAACTACTGATGCATACAACCCAGATCTTAAAAACTTTCAGGGAAAAAAGACACAAAGAAGTGCTTACTGTATGGTTCATTTACATCAAGTTCAAGAAAAGGCAAAAACCAAACTATGTGACTGAAATTAGAATAGTAGTTTCCTAGTGGTGGGCGGGGATTGGCTGGAGAGAGCACAGGGTAGCTTTCTTGGCTCAGGGAAACATTTATCCAGACTTACTATATTGTACGATACATTTTACCTCAGTTAAACAAAAGGCCCAGAGTGGAGCATAATGTCTGGTTTTGATTAAGATCTTACTGAAATTTTGAGGTGTTAACATTCATGTGTACAAAGCTTTCAGCAACTTTTTTTGTGATAGGTGCCTTAAGGAAATTGTACTGTGTTATTATTTTCTGATTACACATATCTTAGGAAAGCATAAAGGCTTATATTTTATTTAAATGTTATTAATATATTATGCATTACAGATATCTGAAAATGTCTACTCTTAGTTAAGTAAACTTCTGTGTAAAGATAGGACATTTATGAGTAAGTCCTTGTTGAAAGAGGAAAAATGACCCAGTGAGTGATACAGTCGAGTGCCAGATGTTTGAGTAAGAGTGTGAAAACATTAGGATTATAATCTCCAAGATGAATCTGCTGTTAAGTACCTTGCCTTGATTTCATTTCCTTAGGAATGTGGTTTTTGTTAATAAAAAATGTTTTTCTTGTGTTTTTATAGTGACATTTTTCTGCAACTTAGTAACTCCATTACTAGTACAGAAGAGATATTGAGATTTTTCTTTTCAAAAAAGCTCTAATTATTTCAAAATTATTCAAATTTTAATATCCATAAATTATCTGTAATTCATTAGGAGATGATGGGAATAAATATTTTCTAAATGAATATTTGTGTCAGTTTCAGGAAAGAAAAAATTAAACTCCTACAGAATTCATAACATTGTTATGTATAAACTTGAAAACAAAGTTCTAAAGATGAGGGAATTTATGTTTTTATATGTGTCTTTTGAGGCATGATTTTATGTTGTTTCATAATGAATTATATTAGCAAACATTAACTCATATTTTCTGATAGGTAGGAGGTAGATAAACTTTTCTAAAAACTCATACAATTTTATAAACCACTCTTTCACCTGTCATTCAGCAGAAAGCGCCGTCAAATTCCCAAACCTCAATATGTTTCCTATAGTCCAGCCAGAACCATACAGATTTGGTAACAGGATTCTCTAGCTTCTTGAGTAAGCTAGGGTTGAGAGTCAGAGAGACTGCATTCTAGTTAAGCCAGGAGGCCTACAGGAGAAAGAGAGGAATAATAAATGGTTCATCTGCAGTATTTTCATGTCTTCTAGTTTGTCCAGGGAAGATTTAAAGTTCCAGTTCTTACATGGCATCCTCGCTGAAGTTATAATTCCTTAATGCTTACTTCCTAATAATAAGCTGCTCTTTGTTCATCAGTTTTGCCTTGCTGCAGCAGAAAGAGGAAATAACTTGAATAAAATGGAAATAAGATTTTGAAATCCCAACTCCAGGAGTTTTTTCTGGATGTAGCTTTCCTGAAATAAGAAGGAAAATAAACATTTGTTAATTTCCTTCATCCAGTCAGGCCTTATCAGATGTAATGTTTCTTCTACTCCTTATAACAATCCTGTAAGTTAGATATTGTTATCAGTATTACCATTTAAAAAATGAAGACATTCAAGTTGTTGCTTTCAGAAGCTTCACAGTTTTCTAAGACATGGCAGAGCTGGGATTCTAACCCGTATTGTTCCACTTCAAAGCCCAAACATTTTCCCACACACCACACTATTTCTTGAAGGTTAGAGTCTGCTGAAATTCATAAACAGTGAACAAATGTAAAATGATCTCCAGCTATGGAATACTAATACTGGCTTTGCCATAGACTTGAGAGAGCTTCGTTTTTCTGTGTCCCCACAATGTAATGCTGCCTCACTCGTTCTAACTGGAGAGAAACATTCTGCACACTTATGTGACAAACATTTATTTAGTGCTTGCTTTGAGCTTTACTGTGTGTAGCGCTGAGGAAATGAAATAGACAAAATCATTGTGCTTTGAATGTCATATCATGAAATAGTGTAACACATTCTATTTTGACTAATGTGTGTATGTATATAGATATTCTTTTATAAAATCTTTAAAATTCAATTTTTCTCTTAGTCATAAAATTCTTGACTCTCTAGCTCATTTATTTACTGCAAGATAACCTGCTTCTTCCTGAGATTAGGGATTTGCATGTTGTCTATGCTAGTTTGGTCTTTTTCCTCTGTTTTTTTTTTTCTTTTTCTTTGCACATTCTTTCTCTGATCCCTATTCTTCCCACCTAACTTGAGATTCTTGACTCTCTGGTCTTTTCCCTTTTTCACTTAATCCCTTTAGTACATTGAGTCAACATATGTTTGTGAATGTCTCCCAAATCAACATCGTCAACACCTTGTTCTCTCTAGCTTCAGTTTTTAGGTTCTATATGTTCATTTGCCTATAGGATCTTCCCATGCCTATATTTTACAGGTACCTAAAACATAACAAGATGAAAATTTAACTTCTAAGCCTTCCTGCAAACTTGGCAGTTCTTCCCAACTTTCACATCACTGTTAATGATAACATCACGATTATTTCAGGCACTAACATTTATAACCTTAAAGTAATTTGTGATTCATCTCTCACCTTTGTTCTTTATGAAAAATCAGCCTCTGAGTCTTATTAATGCTTCATTCAAAATATCTCTGCTCTACCTCTTTCTTTCTTCCAATTCAGGTTGTTTCTTCTCTTTCACTTGACAGACTCTTCTGTATCCCTAAACTAACCATACTACTACTCAGTTGGTATTTTACCAATACTTCTTTCTTTATGTCTTCCTTTAATAAAAGCTTATCATAGCTCAGTAACACCCTGACTTTGCTCTTAAGTCAGCTTCCACCTTAATCAACTACCAGATATTTATTGACAGTCTGCCAGGCACCGTGGGAAAGACACAGATTTGTATAATACACAGTCTGTGTGCTCAGCCAGTTTATGGTCTAGTTGGAGAATTAAAAAATCTGTATGAAAACAACACTAACAATACATGGTAGTGCTTAGGGAGGGTCAAACGAGTGGTTCCTTATGTGTCTTAATTAAGCTGAGTCTTGGCTGTAAGCGGAGAAGTAGGGATGCATTTGAGGCTGGGGAGAAAGAATGCATTGAGATTTGAAGGGGACGTGAGGAATATTCGGAGCTTGCTGCATAGCTCTGTATTGCTGAAGGGGAGTGTCAGTGTAGGGCCGAGTAGGTGGTAAGGTTGGAAAGTGGAGCTGGAACCGGAGTCCTTTTTATTCATCTATTCAATTTGTGTCGCTTTTAAAATATTATTTCTAAGAATTATAGTTTACATTGTTTCCATTTGCTCCATTGCCCATATTATCTTTACCACATTTTTGTTTTGTTTTGGTTTTTTACCACTAATATCTTGCTGTTTCTCCTCTCCCTCTTTCTCATATATGCATTTATGTATATAGGTCTTACTATATCTAATCTACTTCATGCGGCTCCCAAGAGCATGATGTTATCTGAAATGGCTGTGTAATCCTGTAGTATCTAAAAAGCTGGTAGGCACACAGTACATGATCAATAAACACTTGTTTAATTGAATTTCAGTAAAATAAATAGCAAACTTTTACCTTCTCTGCTCCTTCTCTGAAATGTAAACATTTCAAATGGCAAGGTGTAAACTTACCTGAATTAAATGAGGTGTCTCTATCCAACAGAATATATAACCCGCATTTTAAATTGTATTGCTTTTATTATGTTTTGTTAATTTCCTAAATGATTTTCCAGCAATTCAGTTGTTAATAATAAATCAGTGTATACATTACTAGGTGTATTGCTTCTCTTTCAATTATCATCTTTTGAAAATTTCAGGAATTATATTGCCATTTTTACCAGAGAGCAGAGTTGTTGTTGAAGAAAGTACAAATTTTTCATCTTCTTTTTCAGTAGCTTTGGATAACCAAGGTGAATTTTTTTCAGGCAATCATTATTGGCTAATGCGGGCTTTGAACTCATTTATTAAATCAATAGGCTTTTGAGTACTTAGCACAGGGCCCCCTCCTAAGTAAGAAGTCTGTTGGGGATTTTAATTTTTCATGCTGTCTTCATTCCGCATAATTGCAAATAATAGAAAATGTGTCATTTTGGATGATATTTTATGATTCTTCATAAGATATATTTGAATTCCAATGAGGCTTCATTTAATTTCAAGGCAATACAATGTTGGTGTTCCATAGATTAAATAAATGAAAATCCAATTTAGTATCAGTGAATTTGCTTTGGTGTCAATAACAGTCATAGTAATAATTAACACTTAATTATTGCTTATTATGTACCAGATATGGTACAAGATCTTTACATATTATATTAACTATTTTACTATATACACACATACATACACAGACATGTATGCACAAATTTATAAGTTAGGTTACTATAATTATTACATATTAGAGATTGAGATTGTAGCACTTTTTCTTTTTTTTTTTTTTTTTTTAAGACAGAGTCTTGCTCTGTCACCCAGGCTGGAGTGCAATGGTGAGATCTTGGCTCACTGCAACCTCCACCTCTTAGGTTCAACCAATTCTCCTGCTTCAGCCTCCCAAGTAGCTGAGATTACAGGCACCTGCCACCACGCCCAGCTAATTTTTTGTATTTCTAGTAGAGATGGGCTTTCACCATGTTGGCCAGGCTGGTCTCAAATTCCTGGCCTCAAGTGATCCACCTGCCTCGGCCTCCCAAAGTACTGGGATTACAGGCGTGAGCCACCGCACCTGGCCTGTAGCACTTATTCTAAACTGACTTCCCAGTAGAATAAAGATATGTTTTACCTTTAAGTCTTATAGTTAGTAGAGGTTTTATTCATTTCTAGTCTTGATAAATAGAAAAGAAGATAAACGTACATCAATTTTTTGAAGAGGTTTATTCAATCTAGTGCTTCGTTTTTTACCACCAGTTTTCATTTGTAATATTTCATGACATTATTATGATAATTAAAGAGTCCTTTTCTCTCTGACAGTGAAGTACAGTGAATGAGAAAGAATTGTTCTATGAGTTGTACGTCCACTTTATGTGACTTTATAAAGCTACTACTCTGGAAATCCTGAGATTTAACAGATATATTCATAAATAAATTATTGATAGGTTCACATAGTAATAAAGGCTTACAGTTTACCTTTTAAACGCTTCAGCCACTGTATTCTGACAAAAATGTCCCAGGAGATAGATGAGCAAGCTGACACTGAGGGAGATATAAGGAAACATAATCGCAGAGGCGGTCTGTTTGAGCCCCATATAATGTACAGAGTTTAACAGATTTTCAACAATAATCTCATCAGAAATTTGGTCTCACCCCCAGATATTCTTGGTACATGTTTCAGTTGCTAGCTTCTTCATTTTACTCCTCTTAGCATGTGATGGCAAGGGCCTCAAAGCCTTCAGAAATGTTGGTTGAGTCTGAATTAAGGAAGCAGATGTTAAAAACCTTGTGTGTTGCACCTCTCCTTGGATTCTACAATGAAGCTTTCATTTGATTTTTAGAGATTGGTTGATTGACTTTGGCATATGGAAATGTTTTCTCTTTTTTTCTTTTTTAGAGATAGGGTCTCACTCTGTCACCCAGGCTGGAGTGCAGTGGCACAATCATGGCTTACTGCAGCCTTGACCTCCTGGGCTCAAGCCATCCTCCCCCCTCAGTTTCCCAAGTGCCTGAGACTACAGATGCACATCACCTGGCTAATTTTTAATTGTAGAGACAGCGTCTCGCTATGTTGCCCAGGCATGTCTCAAACTCCTGTGCTCAGGTGATCCTCCCACCTTGGCGTCTCAAAGCGCTGGGATTACAGGCACGAGCCACCATGCCTGGCCAGGAAATGTTTTCTGATGGTTTCTATAATCAGAAGTCAGTCCACTATTTCCTTAACTTATGGTTTCTCTCCCTCTGTTGTTCTTAAGCCTTTTAGTTACAGGATTTCTTCATGCTTTTAAAAATTATTGAAGATCTGGCTGGATGCAGTGGCTCACACCTGTAATCCCAGTACTTTGGAAGGCTGAGGTGGCAGGATCACTTGAGGCCAGGAGTTCAAGACCAGACTGGGCAACATAGTGAGACCCCGTCTCTACAAAAAAATTAAAACATTATCTGGGTTTGGTGGTGCGTGCCTGTGGTCTCAGTTACTTGGGAGGCTGAGGTGGGAGGATCACGTGAACCCAGTAGTTTGAGACTGCAGTGAGCAATGATTGCACCACTGCACTCCAGCCTGGGGGACACAGTGAGACCCGGTCTTAAAAGAAAAAAAAAATTAGCTGGGTGTAGTGGTGTATACCTGTGGTCCTAACTACTTAGGAGGCTGAGGTGTGAGAGCTGCTTGAGCCTGGGAAGTTGAGGCTGCAGTGAGCTATGTTTGCAGCACTGCACTCCAGTTTGGGTGACAGAGTGAGACTCTGTCTCAAACAAAGAAAAAATTATTGAAAATCCCAAAGAGCTTTTATTTATGTAAGTTATAGCTATTGACATTTTTTGTGCTAGAAATTAAAAGACATTTTAAAAATGTATGTTAATTCCTTTAAAAATAACAATAAAACTCATCGCATATTAACGTATATTTTCTGAAATAAAATTTTTAAAATAATGAGAAAATGCCGTTGTTTTATATCTTTGCAAACCTTTCCAACATCTGGTTAATAGAAGACATCTGGATTCTTCTGTTGTTTTGAAGTATATGAAGAAAATTGGCCTCACACAGACATGTAGCTGCAAAAGAGAGGAGTATTTTAAGAGCCTTTTCAGATAATTGTGAACACTTCTTGTAGCCACTAGAAAACTCTATTGTATACTCATAAAAGCATGAGAATGAAAAGGGCAATTAATGTCTAAGTATAATTATGAAAATACTTTTGACTTCTTGAACCCCCATAACAGTCCCTGAGACCCTGGGCCACAATTTGAGAACCCTTGTTCTAGCTCACAAATGAAAGATCATTTAATTTTAGAGTTCCAGGCAAAGTTAAAGACATTAATTAGGAACTTGTATTCAAAATATATAAATTACCCCTAGAACTCCATAATAAGATGACAACTCTTTTAGATAAAAGATTTGAGTAGACGTGCATAATCTACATGTCACAAAGGAGATACATAAATGGCTAATAATCACATGAAAA
The DNA here is from genome assembly GCF_000001405.40 of Homo sapiens. Taxonomy (NCBI): domain Eukaryota; kingdom Metazoa; phylum Chordata; class Mammalia; order Primates; family Hominidae; genus Homo; species Homo sapiens. Next base: position 148,219,227 of record NC_000004.12, on the reverse strand, counting down.
GATATTCAATGTCTTTAGTCATTAAGGAATTACAAAATAAAACCATAATGAGATGTAATTTCACATACACTAAGAGGCTACAATAACAATACTTTTTAAACAACAGTACTAAGTTTTGGTGAGGTTATGGAAAAACACGTCATATATTGCTGGTGGAAATGTAAAATGGTGTAGCCAGCATGGAAAATGATTTGGCAGTTTCTTAAAATATTAAACATACACTTAACCTAAGATCCAGCAATTCCACTTCTACATATCTACCCAAGAAAAATGAAAATGTATGCCCATACAAAGATTTATATTCAATACAAGAAAAACTTGGGAACAATCAGATGCCAATTGGTAAATGTAAAAACAACATGGTATATCCACATAATGGAATACTGTTCAGCACGCACTGCAACATGAGTGAACCTCAAGCATTGTGCTAAGTGAAAAACACCAAAAACAAAATACTCCATATTATATGATTTCAATTATATGAAGTGTCCAGAAAGACCAACCTAAAGAGACAGAAACTAGATTAGTAGTTGACTGGGGAGTGGGAACAGGAATTAACTGCAGATGGGCAGAAGAGACCTTTTTAGGGCAATGGCAGTACTAAAAAACTGGATTGTGACAATGGTTATGAAGCTCTGTAAATTGACTAATTGGGCACTTAAAATGGGGAAAAATAACTTCTATGTTTAAAAAAAAATGTGTACTTGAAAAATAAGATGGAGGAAGTACACCAAAATGTTAACCAAACCAAAACAATAAAACCACTAGGTGAATATGGGATTCTTGTTGCCAGTAAGATAATATGTGTTTATGTTCTATAGCCTTTTGGCTATAGAGACAGTAGCATTTCCTATGATTTTGCAGACTCCTTCATCATTTATATGATAGACTATTCAACTATAATATGTTGGTTTTTAAGGCTTCTGTTTGAACTATGTTTTCAACTTTTTCCTGATATTGCCAAAGGTGTTCTTGTCACTAAGATCTTATTTCTATTTGTTCTCATTAATGCAACAGCTATCAACTGTAGCTATGATATTTACCTTTGTTTTCGTACTTAGACTTATAGCAAATTCACAGCCTTAACACACTGCAGACACTGGACTCCTAGTGTCTTAAGAGGTTGAAATCAAATGTTGGTAACTTTTTCTTTTATACTACTCTGCTGAAGTTACCTTTTAGAAAATTAAAACAAGACAACAAAACTATTTATCTGATGGAGTAAACCTCCCAGCGATTATAGACATGTAGTTACAGTAGATTTGCCTTGGTTTTAAAAGGTTTTCATTGTCCTTATGTTCAAAGATACCACTGTTGAAAGTTCTCACTAGTGGCTACAAGGGTTCATTACGAAGGCTGCAGTCCATTACACATGGGTTCTGCCTGCTGTTTAGAGTTCTTCTCCTTGTCTTCTCAGTTTATAGCTCTAGGCTTTTTGAGTACTTGATTTACAGCAAATACTCAAGCCCAGTCAGAGGGTGGAAAACTTTAGACTATTCTTTTTCGCAGAATTCACTATTCTGGATCCACATTTGGTGTTAGAAAAATGTAAATGGATAAGAGGAGAGAAACATCAACTGGGGTCAAAAGACAGCAGGGGCAAACCAGCATAGGTCAGCAAAAAGAAAAGATGGAAAGAGGAAGGACCTCCATTGGTAGGATGAGACTACAATAGCAGAGTGGATCTGTTTTGGGAAGACTTAATTAAATAGGACAGTCATGTCATTCCAGTGAGTTCCAAAGACTCCATTGCACAAGTAGCCTCTTAGGGAAGTTCAGGAAGGTATGACTGGCCCTGTCCCAAGGCTGAAAATCTCTGAGGTGTAAGTACCAGGTGGGGATCTGTGGGAAATGAGAGATTTTTCCTGTGCATGTCCTAAGAGTTTTCTGTATTCGTATTCTGAAATGGAAGCATAGTTCTCTGGACAGATTGCCTTCCTGTGTGGTTTCCACTAGGTTAGGTCTGGCAAGGGAGGTCAACAGAAGCTTCATATGGTGAGTTTTCTCCCAGCCAGAGACTTAAATACTTTCCAGAGCTGTAGCGGGGAACTCTGACCACGGGGAACCCATTGCAGTCATGCAAATAAGTGCTTTGCCACAAGTCAGGTTGGTTTATCTATGCTTATTCTGTTAAAACATACTATATAAAGTTCTTAAGTGTCATTTGTATTGTCTTTACTAGCTGTCTTGCCACTTTTTGCTCTTGATATAATTTAACTTTCAGTTTCAGTTCACGTTTGGCTTATCCCCAGCTCTGTGGTGGTGGCTTTCAGCAAATGTGGCTTTGGTAAAAAAGACTTTGGCCACCATCTAAGACTTAGCTGCTTGTGGGTCTGATCTGTAATTTGATACCTTTGGAGACCGTACCTCTGGTTGTGATCATGAGCTAGGTAACATGTTCAGATAGCAGGGTGATTTGACATTCAAGATAAATAAGTTGTTTATCAGTAGGACCATGTCTGATACTACTTAGTCAACAAAGCAAAGATCTGGGCATATAGTAGGTCCCAACTGTTCTCCAGAAACATTTGTGGGAAATGTCTTTTTTAAGTATAAAGATGCCTGGGTACCATGTCTGATTTAATAAATTGAAAGGATTTAATAAATTGAAAGTATTTTGAAAAGTTTCCAGTAAGGTTCTGATACCCAGCCAAGGCTAAGAACTGCTATATGCACATGTGGCCCTCAGAGTGTAGCAAGGGTGCCAGAGCCTGTCTGCTTGGGCTCAAATCTTGGCTCTTTCATTTACTCTCGGCAAACACTTAGGCAAGTTACTTCACTGCTCCCAGCCTCAGTGTTCTCATACGTAAAATGGAGATGCTAAGACTGTTTCATGGGATTGTTATCTTAGTTAAATGATCCAATAAAGTGCTTAAGCACACTTTTGACTTCGGCAGTTGACCAGGAAATGCTATTTCTTCTTTGGTCATTATCCTAGATCAGGGACCAGATCTGGCCCCCTGACTATTTTTGTACTGGGAACTAAATGGTTGGGGGGGTGGTGGGGAGTCAAAAATATTTTGTGATATGTTAAAATACATGAAATCCACATTTCAGTGTTAATAAATAAAGTTTTATTGGAACAGAGCCATACTCATTCATTTATATATCATCTATGGTTGCTTTCCCATTATAATGACATAGTTGAGTAGTTGTGACAGAAACTATGTCTCACACTTTGGGAGGCCAAGGCGGTTGAATCACAAGGTCAGGAGATCACGACCATCCTGGCTAATGCAGTGAAATCCCATCTCTACTAAAAACACACACACACAAAAAAAATAGCTAGGCGTGGTGGTGGGCGCCTATAGTCCCAGCTACTCAGGAGGCTGAGGCAGGGGAATTGGTTGAACCCAGGAGGCAGGGCTTGCAGTGAGCTGAGATCGAGCCACTGCACTATGGCCTGGGCGACAGAACAAGACTCCATCTCAAAAAAAAAAAAAAAAACTATGCCTCAAAAAGCCTAAAATATTTACTATTTAACCCCTTTGGAGATCTCCTAGATCTTTGCAGTGTTCAGAGCCTAACAGGTTAATTGTCACCTTTCTCAAATGGACAAAAGAATGAGGAAGACTTTTCACTTGATGTTCTCATGTTTTTGGTGCCAGTGTTACTTTCCAGGGTATGTTGAAGGGCACATAAATTCAATAGCTATTTTAACCTCAGTGTTACAAATGCATATCCTTGGTCACGTGTGGCATTGCTGTGATGCAGTTTAATGAATTACCTCCACCTTCTCCATACTGTTTATCCACAGCTCTCCATACTGTTTATCCTCAGCATTTGCTTCCTCATAAGGAAAGCCCGGATCAGCTTCTGTTAGCTTGCCCAGCAGTCACCACCAGCATGCAGCAGCAGTTCATGGATAAACGCCTCAAGGGCATTTAATAACATTGCAGTTTAGTGAACTAGAATAGTTTTCCAGAGAACTGAGTGTCAATTTTAATGTTTTTTTCCTGATACTTTATGAAACACCAGAGGCATCTAGCTGTGAATCCCAAGGACATAAGGGTAACACCATTCAGGGACATGCCTGTATTCTGGATGCCTTGTTTTCCCTTTTCATACCCCGAACAGACTTTGTGTTATTTATCCGAATGCCAGCTTCCAGGATTTGTTTTTCATGCTTAGGCATAAAGATAAGAATCCAAACACGGAGGGAAATAGAAGGCTAGAATCCTGCCCAGTAGGGCTTCGGTGGAGAATGTACTCCTTACCCAGGCCCCCATCCCCTTGTTGAAGGCTGCACGCAGCCCCAGGCTGCATGCCTGGGTGCTCTTGTCCTTTCAAGGCTCTTAATCTGATTTCTCCAGATTGAAATCAAGCCAGCCAAGATGTTTTGTTTGGCCTGCATAATTTTTTTAACGTTTTTAATTATTTGCCAATATTTAAAAATGGGGAGATTTCATATAAACTCTCGACGTCCAGCCTCTCCTGAAGTAGTGAAAGGTCTGGCAACACGGAGCCTGCATTCCAGCATGCCAGCCATTGGCAAGCCCTGAGCAGCAGCTGTAGCAGCTGCTCTTTCCTTGAGCCAGGGCGTGCAGGCTCCTGCTGCCTCACTCATTTCATCATCTCATGGCTCAGCTCTGTGGCAAGATGCTGGATCCCACATTTCCTAGATGCGGCTCAGGTAGCTTCTCAGGAGCAGTCTTCTCTTCCCTGTTTTCTTAGTTATAGGTAATTTTCAGTTGTCCATCTGAATGGCTAAATGGTCATGGAGCCAAATGCATTCATGGGGACCTAGATCATGATTTGGAAAATTTTTATTTTTGTTTTTAGGTTGAAAAGACAACCCAAATTGTGGAAAGTGGGTATATAACATAGTTGTTGTATTACTCTGTTTTCCTTTTTAAAAAAAAAAACTCTTCAAAAACACCAATAAAAACTGCCTAGACAATATGGTATGTAGACTGACAAACAGGAGATCTTTCTTAGCTTAAGGCCCAACTTTAGAATCAATATTAATAGCTAAGTTATTTAGCAACCTATTCTGCTAAGCACTGCCCTTGGCATCTGAAAATGTTTCTTCTGCACTTCTCAATAATCTAGCTAGGTAGACTATACTTTTACAATTGCACAGAAGTGGAAATAGACCCCTAAGAAGTAAAGTAACTTGCACCAAGTCATAGCTAGTGAGCAGATGAATTTGATTTCAACCCCAGGTCTTCTGATTTAAAGTCTGACATCTCTCCATTACCTCTGTGACCTGGGGTAAGTCCTAGTTAGAATGAAAACCCCTGTATTTTCTTCCATAAGAAGTGAAACTTTCTTTTCAATAATTCAAGTTAGTATTTAATATTCAAGCTTCAAGGAGAACCATTTGCACCATTTTTCCCTGCCTTTTGGAGCTCAAGAAAAAGGGGACTATGTAAGTTGTAAAGTATTCCATAGACAGCTACAGTGACTGTAGTTTCGTGGCGTATTCATTTTATGGCTTTACTGGATGAAACAGAATCAGATTACAAAGCTGTCATTTGCAAAAGTTCTGAGAACGTTGCATGCCCCATTGAAGAAGATTTTATTTTAACTTTAATCAGAATTCAATTTAAATAATTTAGAGTGTTTTTAGGCAGAATGGCTGTCTGAAATGTAATGTCTTCTTAAACTATTAGATTGTATTGACTTAAAGGTTGAGTACATGTGAAAGACCATAGCCTTTGGAACAGCCGCAGAATAATACTCAGCTTTAATTTCATATGGGATAAACGTATTCAATTCAGAATACTATAAATATGTAAGCAGAAAACTGAATTGTGAGTAAGTTATTAGGTAACACTAAACATACATAAAAATTCCATCATTATTGGGGGTCAGTTTCTCACCTTTTGTTTGACATTCCTTAGACTTTAACACCATGTCTAATGATTTCTACTTTTCCTTGGGTTTGCTGGTATGATTGTCTTTACTAAGATTTTTATTATACTGATTTTAAAATGAATTTCCATGACTTTGTTGAATTTTATTGTACAGCTATTTAATCAGTCTATCCTGAGTCATATGTAGAAGGCACTGTGTGTGCTGTGGCACTGTGTTGAGGCAGCTGTGACTCCTCCTAGAGAAGTGTGGTCTTGTCTAAAAAAAAAAAAACCCATCATTGTCCTTCCTCTCCTTCTCAACTTTGGAGAAATTGCATTTCTCCTTTAAGGTTCAGATGAAAGATGACCTCTTCACAAAACTTTTGTGATCACTATCTTCTGTCCTCCTCTCCTTCCCTCATTAATTTCTTCTTCCTCTGTGATCTCTTAACAGTTTTTATACCTTAAAATGCACTTAACACATTTTATCATAGGTAATTGTATGTAGTTCTGTGAACTTCTTGCAAGCAAATATTTTTATTACGAACCTTCATCTGCACAATAAACACGATGCCTATCACATAGTAGGTCCTTATAAAGAGGCAGAGGCTAAAACCACACAATAAAACTACTTTTGTTTTATCACAAATGGATCATGCGATTAAATTTTGATTAAATGAGAATCTATTTTTCTGCCCGTTGCAGACCAGTAAAAATATTTGAAATGTACTTTTCATTTAAATTTTCATTTTATTCAAAGGAACATCTCATTTACTTTTAGATATTTTCTTGGCTCCCTATATGTGTTTGCCTTGTTATATGGTGATACAATGGCTAATGACCCCTCTGGGACAAGGTTTTAAACAGTAACTTCTACTACTCTGCTAGGCAAGGCATTGACAGGTTTGGGAGTAAATTCCAGGGTCACAGCACAAGATTAGTCCTCAGCTGAGAAGGGACAGTTGATCCTGCCCCAGGCACTAGCCTGTTGCTAAACAAGAGGACTACACTGCTGAGGGTAGCTCAGTCCTAACTTCAGACACTAAGGGTGTAACTACTTGAGCCATGTAGGTTCCATGAGGCTCTATTGATGCATAAGATATCCCCACCTTGGAGAGGCTGTGATATAGATAAGAAGAAATGACATGCAAATATCAACCTTCACATAGAGAAGAAAGCAATCATTGCTACTAAGAACTTGCCAAAGCAATAAGAACAATGTGAAATGGGAATACTTTTAATAGCGGATGGTGTTCTTGCAAAGCTTAATTAAGATAATGCAGTGCTGCGGGGCCCAACTTGTGATAGTGCTCAGCCAGTGTTAGCTGGCTCCTTGAGGTTTCAATCAAGTGTGCAGGTATTTTAGAGAGAGGAGATATTTCTGACCAGGGTTAGGGAAGGTTCCAAGGAAGGTTGAGGTTCAGTGAGGGCCTTAGACTTGGTAGTGAGGATGTGAAATTTTCGACTCTAGTCTCCAGAAGGGAAAGAAGAATGAGCTGATGATAATTGACAAAGCCTCCATTATGTAACCATTTTTACAAATTCCATTAATTGATGGCTGATTATTATTATTACGAATAATAAAACTAAGTCCACCAGAAAATGATTGGATCAGTCCAGCTATATACACATTGCTGGTATCTGATGAATGCCATCCACCTTGTTTTGACAGATGGAATGCAGAGGCTGGGAAAACTAGGCTATTTTTGGCCTGCAAGCTGTATTTTGTTTATCTCCATCCTGCTTCATAGAGGCACATTATTTCACGTAACTTGATCTGAGGTGTTAACCAAACTCCCTCTTTCTTTAATATTCTTCCAGTGACGCCATGGTTTATCAAATTTAATAAGCTCCTCTAATTTTTCTTTGACTTAAAATATTACTTGTAGGCTTTTTCCTAATATATTTTTTCAGTTTTATAATTGCAACATAAAAATAAATACATAAGTAGCCTCCTTAAAAACATCTAGAACTGCAGTGAGCAGAGAAAAAGGGCAATGAGCCTTCCATGTCTGCATTTTATTATCTTACACCTAATGAAAAATTCTAAAGCTTTTTAAAGATTCTCGTGTGATCACAGTTTGGCTTTCAGCACTGTTGGAGCTGTTTAAAATTTGTGTTTTAATAGGTATCTATACACATGCATACACAATCTTATATTTTTCGGGTTTTATTTATCTCCTGGAGTACTTGCCTTAGAAGTATTCTTTTGTAAGTAATTTCCCTTATCTTTGACTGCCATTCTCATCAAAGACCATTGTGACTGCTTTGGAATTCTTTTAACTAGTTTGCAACTTAAGACTCTTATGTGGGATAAGGACAGTGATTACTCCCTTTCCTGTCTTCAGCAGTTTGCTCTGAGTTGGGCTTCATAGGTGTGTACCCTGGCCACAGGCAAGGCCATCTCTGGATTTACTACCAATTCATTCTAATGATCACTTTATATCTTTTCGTCAACCATTCCTCTTTTCAGGACCATAGAAGCAAAGAGATATACACACAGGGCAATAGAGATTAATCTCATATCTACATTGTACAGATGAGGGAAGAAACTTAGAAAGGCTTTAATTTCACAGGATGACCCAGCAAGTTAGTGATTTACAGATTGTGGTGGTTTTGTATATGAAAATATTTAACATATTAGTGTAATAATTTATTGGTACTTGTGGATAGAAAAGGCTTTTGAAACTTATTATGATTGCTTTGCACTTATTATGTCTCAGAATTTATTGGCAAACCAGCAATATAGGACAGGTTCCTCAGACAGAAACTCAGGATGGGAGCAAAGGCCCAACTCTGCCTCAAACCACAGGTTTTTTTCCCCTTTGGGAATATGCATAAAAGAACACTGACAAGTAGGAAAGGAAATTACCTTGTCTTAATTCACTGGGCTTGGGTCTGGAGCCCACTGGAGAGAACATTAGGAACCCAGAATTAGTGGCTGGGTGCAATGGCTCCTGCCTGTAATCCCAGCACTTTGGGAGCCCGAGGCAGGCAGATTGCCTGAGCTCTGGAGTTCGAGACCAGCCCAGGTGACACAGTGAAATCTCATCTCTGCTAAAACACAAAAAATTAGCCCAGCGTGGTGGCATGCGCCTGTGTTCCCAGCTACTTGGGAGGCTGAGGCAGGAGAAATGCTTGAACCCGGGAGGTGGAGGTTACAGTGAACCAAGACTGCGCCACTGCACTCCAGCCTGGGTGACAGAGCAAGACTCCATCTCTTAAAAAAACAAAAACAAAAACAAAAAAACACCTAAAATTAGTGAAGTATCACACCAAAACCGGCCTCTTTCTGCCCACCTTTATTCTCATTAGCAAAAAGAGACTGTCCTCTAGAATGTGACCCATCCAGACCCTCCTCCCAGGAGAGGAGGGAATGGAAGGGAAGGACCTTGCTGACATATAACTTGGAGCCCAAGGGAAAGTTGCACCTGAGAAACCCTGGACAGCAAGAGAACATTGCTCTGTAGCAAGGGCAGGCTGCAAGTTGGGAGAAACGCAGCAATGGTGCCCTAAGCAAATTGATCAGGCCAGTATCATGGATTGGGGGAGTGGGAAAAGGCTGGAACATTCTAGGAACTTCTAGCATTAGGATTAAACCAAGACTTAAGGCTGGATGGGATCTGGAGATGGCAGACCTGGAAGGGCAGAGGAAGGCGCAGGCAAGTAAGGGTGAGAAGCAACCGTCCTAGCCCTAATTGGCTTCTCCTGGTAAGCTAAAAATCAGCTGGTGGTTTTGTTATATAGGACTCTAAAATCAATGAGTCTTTCTCTTTTACGAGTGACTGAAATGATAGTTAGGCAATCAGTTATAAATCTATATGCTTTCTTAGGCCAGGCCGAGTGTCTCATGCCTGTAATCCCAACACTTCAGAAGGCCATAGCAGGAGAATCACTTGAGGCCAGGAGTTTGAGAGCAGCCTGTGCACGATAGTCAGACCCTGTCTCTACCTCCCACCCACCCCGCAAAAAACATCAGAAAATTAGCTGGGAGTGCTGTTGTGTACCTGCAGTTCTAGCTACTCAAGAGGCTGAGGCAGCAGCATTGCTTGAGCCCAGAAGGTTGAGGCTACAGTAAGCTGTGATAGCCCACCCGTGATTGCACCACTGCATTCCAGCCTGGGCAACAGAATGAGACCCTGTTGCATAAAGCATTTTTGGCTTTTTCTTTTTTTTTTTTTTTTTTGAGACTGAGTCTCACTCTGTTGCCCAGGCTGGAGTGCAGTCGCACTATTTCGGCTCACTGCAACCTCTGCCTCCTGGGTTCACGCCATTCTCCTGCCTCAGCCTCCAGAGTAGCTGGGATTGCAGGTGCATGCCACCACACCCAGCTAATTTTTGTAGTTTTAGTAGAGGTTGGGTTTCACCATGTTGGCCAGGCTGGTCTTGAACTCCTAACTTTAAGGTGATCTGCCCACTTCGGCCTCCCACAGTGCTGGGATTACAGGCATGAGCCACCGCGCCCGGCCATTTTTTGCATATTCTTCATGAAAAGCTGTTGCTTTTTGAGAGAGAGAAAAAAACACCATGTAATTCCAAATAAACTAAATTATTATTTTTCTCTATTGTATTATTTTATTATTATTTTCCTTCTATATACAAGAAATGGTGACAGGAAATATTTCTTTGGAAATTAAGGTAATAATGGGACAAACTGGAAAGGCCTAGGATATGAATCAGACCAAGGTGGGATAATATCTGGAGTATGGGTACAGGTGTCACAAGGAAGTCCAGCCCAGAAGGCAGAGTGCAGAAACTGCTGGTGGTCTGAGTAGGACATCATGAGAGTCTTTGGGTGTAGGAGGAGACTGCATTTAGAAATCTCAGCAGGTAGGCTCTCAAGAAAGGCAGGTGTCAGAGCCCCAGTCTTGGGACTGGGCTTTCGAGGGAGTCAGGGAGTTAGGAATTTTGTCCTGTAAGGACGGGGGTACTACATAGGCATTAACACAAGGAATGGGACACAGGGGAATGAGGCACAAAACCTATTAACAGAAATTGAGCCCAACATGCAAGCATAATTGGTAGAAAAGTAACTTAACACAGAGATCCCAGCTTTGGAATAGAAGGACTGGATCCTTCTGCCCAAAGTTGGGATTGACCTGAACAGGGCTGAATACAGTCCTGCAAGGAGGTACCATTACAGTGACCATTCTACGGATGGACGTACTAGAGCTTGGTGTGGCTAACTGTAGCTCTCACAGTCAGTGAGTGGTGAAACCAGACAGGAACCAAGCCATCTGCTCCCGGAACAGTGCTCTGCCATTGCACTAAGGTGCTTCCTGATCTCAAGGGCTGTGACCTTGGGGAAGAGTAGAAAGTTTGTTGAGCGCCAGTTGTGTTCCACACATGGTTCTAGGCATTTTAAGTGTACAGTAGTTCCCCGTTTGTCAGTGGTTTCATGCTCCTTGGTTTCAGGTCCCCACAGTGTCAACCATAATCTGAAAATAGGTAAGTGTAGTATAATAAGATATTATGAGAAGAGAGAGAGATCACATCCAAATAGCTTTTATTACAGTCTATTATTTAATTACTGTGTTATTATTAGTTATTAATCTCCTAGTGTGCCTAATTTATCATTAAATGTTATGGGTGTGTGTGTGTATAGGAAAACACAGTATATATAGATTTTGGTACTATCTGTGGTTTCAGGCATCCACTGGGGGTCTTTGGAACATGTCCCTCATGGATAAAGGGAGACTACTGTACTGTTGGCTTAATCTTTATAAGCCCCTGTGAGATAATTTTTGTTACTGACTTTATGGATGAAAAAATGTAAGGTTAAATGGCTTGTTCAGTGTTCCATAGCTGCTAAGTGACACAGTCTGCTATAACCCACTGCATCTGACCCTAAAGCCCATTACTGCCTTATGAATCGCATTAGGAACCTCTCTTGTCCTGAGTTTCAGCTGTAAATAAGAACTAAGCTATTTTTTAGATAGAAAGAGATTTTAAACAAATTTAGCCAAATGATCAAATATACAAGGTTAAAACATATGTTTAAAGCCTTCTTAGAAATTGTGAACTAGATGTTTTTCATGCATGCGAAGATTCAGTACTGCTTCTGTTTGACTGGCCAGGTGATTCTAGTGAGCATGGGCTTTTGTCAGACTTGAGTTTGAATCCTGCCATCACTGCTGGCCCTGTGAAGCACCATGGACAGCTACCCATTTCCTTGCTCAGGACATGAGGATAGTATCACCTATTTAAAAGGTTATCATAAGGACAGGAGTAGTGGCTCACACCTATAATCCCAGCACTTTGGGAGGATCACTTGAGTTCAGGAGTTGGAGACCAGCCTGGGCAACACAGCAAGATCACGTCTCTACTAAAAATCAAAAAAAATTGCCAGGCATGGGCGCATGCACCTGTAGTCCCAGCTACTCAGGAAGCTTATGTGGGAGGAGTGCTGGAGGCTGGAAGATCAAGGCTGCAGTGAGCTGTGATCATGCCACTGTACTCCAGCCTAGATGACAGAGAAAGACCCTATCTCAAAAAAAAAAAGATTATCATAAACATTAAACATAAGAATGTAACTTGCCTAACCCAGTAACCTGGAACATAGTTGGTAGCCCACAAGCCTGAGTCTTCTTCCCTTTCAGCTCATGCTGTCATATTTCCATGGCTGCTCCAGCACACTTATGATCTAGTCCCTTCTCCAACCCTGCCCTTCTCAGTCTCAGCAGATAGTCCTATTTCAGAGAACAAAGGCTTGCAGCTCAATATCCCACACAGTTCCTCTCCCTTCCACTCTCTTATCAGATTCTAATCTTCAACTCCACATGATAAAATAACCATATACAAAGTTCTAACGTATGCAGATTTTACCCCTTATATCACTTTTTCATCATAAGCATAAGAATTTTGGTTCAAACAGACTGAAATTTGTTATTTCTACTGGGAATAATGGGATAAAGGGGAAACTGGCAGGTTTAGAATATGAAAGCAGAAAATATCTACTCGGCTTTGACAAGCTAAGTAGGTAACTTGATGGCTGCCATTTTTATCTCAAACATACATATTATTTGCTTCTTTGAGACAATGATGGGGCCAAGAAGGTAGAAAACAACTTTGAGTTATAAAATTAGAAAAGTGTGAGTGTTTGCATAGAGGGCCACAAAGAAATGATTTAGGATGGCGTTGGCTTTTCTCATTTGGATGAGTGGGTGTGAAGGCAATTCAGCTATGGAAAAACAAGTTTGGAGCCAGAGAGTAACAGAGACAAGGATGATTAATTGGAATTATATCTCCCAATCAAAGTCTTCCCAAAGACTCTTTCTTTGGAAAGAGTCATCTGGATTCTGAGCTTCACTGGTCCCTTTGCCATTACTCTAGGACATCTTCCACTGAACTACTAGAGTGAACTCCCAAAACACAAATTAGACCTGGACTGGCTTCACCATTGCCTAAGATTCATGTCCAGACTGTGTCATATGGTCTAACAAGTCCTCACGGTTTTGCTCTTTCTCAATTCTACACATACACCCCACTGTGCACCAGCCACAAAACTCACCCATCCCAAAATATATGATGCCTTCTGACAACATTTTTTTTTTAGTGTGTTTCTCTGGGTAGGAAGACTTTCTAATTCCCTTTCCATCCAGAAAACAGTCCTCAAGATGCAAATCTATTGTTATTTCTTCTGTGAAGCCTTTTCTGATTTCTGAGGCGAAAATAGTTACTTTCTCTTCTGTATTCTCTTAGCACTTATTCATGTGCCGTTCTTGCCCCAGGGCTTAATTTGCTTAGGAGCCACTCTCCCACACTGGATTATGAGTCCCTAAAGGACAGGGATCTCTTATTCATCTCTCTTCCCAGTGCTGTAACTGGCATGTAATAGCCACCCGATAATTATTTGTTGAATTAATAAAAGAGCAAGCAGACATATTGAATTAATAATGCCTAACTTAACAAACAGAACATATTTACTGTGGTTAAAAACATGTATCCTAGAAAAACCTCTGGAAGGATACAGAGAAATTGATAACAGTGGTTTGCCTTGGGGGAAGGAAACTAGGTGGTTAGAGGATAGGAGAGGGGGAGAGAGAGAGCCTTTTCACCAGATGTCCTATAGTACATCTTGAATTTTGAACCACATGCATATATTATAGCATTATAGACCCAAAACTAGTCTAATTTAATATTTGTGCATGTGGCAAAACAAACACATATCAAATAATTTCATACTTTTCTTGCAAACATTTTAGATTGTTGGTAGAAGTTTATGATTCAGTTGTCCTTTGTTACCAATATCTGCTCTCATCTGGGTTTCATTTCGGTCTAGAGTTATATTGTTGTTCAGAAACTGGGCTATGCCTGAGATGGCAAATAAGGACCCACTGAACTGTGTTGAAACCTTCAAATCTTAACAAATAGTTTGAAGCCAGAGTGGCTGAACAACAGTCCCTTCTCTCTATCCTGGCCTCATTTCTACTTTTGAGGTCTTGAGGGATTAGCTGGTTGGGCAAAAATCTGATCACTGAGAACCCAGCATGTAGGATTTTTAAATTCTTGCAAGGGCTGTGCATATGTTGGCTTCCAGGTCTGGAGTTTAGAGGTATATTTAGATCAGGCAAAAAGTGGTGGATCAGGCAGTATGTAAATTTGGCATCCTACGTATGATGTAATTAGAATTATAGGTGCGACCAAATTCATATGGTTCTCTTTTCCCAGTGTCAGAGTGGTTAGTGATGTATTTGTCTGAATTATCCTTTTTAAGGTGGCCTAAACATGTCTTGCATTCCAGAGGTTCTGTTTCTGCACCATTTTGTCCTGTTGGTATAAGAATATTAAGTATACTTCTAACATGGATGGACCGTAGACAGAGTAAGTGCTGTAATGAAAGTGCTGTAAGTATGAATCCCAGCTAAGCTAGCCACATAATTTTACCACTCCGAATTTGTCTTAATTGACAAAATGGGGATAATATGACCAATCTCATAGGACTCCCCCCATAGGATTTTTAAAGGTTTAAATTAGGTATGATTGGTAAAGCACCTGTCACATAATAGGAATTCAACAAATGCTAGTTCCCTTTCCACTGCCCTGAATAACGTATTAGTTTATCTAGATAACAGATGTTTTTGCATAGTGAAGTGCAGCTATGTTAAATTCCTAGTATTGAATGTGTGAGAAATGTAAGTCACTCCTCCTGAAAAAAAAGTTCCTTGTTCCTTGTTAGTAACTTACTTGCTTTTTCTTACTGCGCACCATAATAAGTGTTTCTCAAGGTTAAAATCTTACATCACTTGGATTTTGTCATATAATATTATCTTTGATTATCTTTTACTAAAATATACATAAAAATTCTTATGATAATTAAAAGTACATTTTAAAAAATGAAAAACGAACACCTTTCACAACAAGAAGAATGTTTATGTGGGAATTTTGTGCTTATCCACATGGGAAGAACTCTTGAAACACCACAGGAAAAAAAAATAATGCTAATCTGACTTCTAAATTAAAATGTTAGAATCCTAAAAACATAATTTCAAAAGATTTGTGCTTCAAGGTGGCAAAGGCAACCTGTACTTACTTCTCAAGTCAGTTCTTTTTCCCCCTGGCATTTTAAAACATGTTAATCCAGGCCCACTCATAAACCTCAGCAGCAGGGGATCATTGTTCATTGGTTTATTATGGGCAGACCAAACTGGTTTTAACTGAGCAGAGGAAGTTAATTATCGAATGTTTTAGTTGGCTCCAACAATGAATAACCAGTTCTTGTTGGACACCGTCTTAACTCACCATGCGACATTATAAGAACGGGGGCGGGGCGGGGGGAGGGATGGGGGAAGGGAAATCGCCCATCAGAATCTGCAATGCGGGAATTTGCTGGGGCTGCTCTAATCTGTTTCCCAGGTTGTTCGAACCAGTTCAAGAGCAGTTAAACAAGGTTATGTAAGTGACATGTGATGTAGCCCAAAATAGTGACTGCAAACACAGGCTGCTGTTGCTGGGCAGTTGTCAACTGCTTAAAAAAAAAAAAAAATCTTGCAGCAGGACAACAAATGGATCTTTAAAAATGAAAAAGAGATTTAAGCACAAAGTTAATTTTAAAAAGGATTTGGAGAAATTGCCTTTTTGATACTGAAAATAAATGATTTTTTTTTTTTAAATAGGGAAACTTACATTGTACATAAGGTCTGGTTATTCTAGAGTATCGACCGGGGTAGTTAGTGAAGACGTACTTGCAGCCAGTTTGGTGCTCTACGAAACATATAGTTCCCATGTTTGAATGAACAGCAACAACAACCAAACCCTCAGATTTATTAATGGCTCTGGCATATAACAAATTATTAAGCAATAGATCATTCAGAGAGTGATAAATATCAAACGATTTTTATAAGTTATTGTCCCTTTTATTTAAATACTTTGTATCTTCAAGATATGAAAAAGAAAACATTTCACATAACATAGGGAGCATAAAAATAAGGTTTTAAAGGAAAACAAGATTCAGTGGTGAAATTTGTTCAAGAATGTTTTTTAGAAGGAAAACAAAAACACCAGAAGAGGGTTTAAACTATGCCTTCACTGTCATCAACATTTGGATTCCCATAATGACCACATTCCCTGGGTTCCCTGCCTTTTAATGAGCTCCAGATCTGGGAAAGTAGGAATTAAGGAGCAAGATACAGAGGAAGGGGGATGAGGGGGGAACCTTAGGGCCTTTCTTAGGATTCAAGCTCAGGAGCTCACTCTGTATGGGTCCGTATTTGTGAGATCTGAATCTCAGGGACTCTGGTGTTAACTTTGTCTCTCTTCATCTCTAAGCGACCTGTAAAATAGCACATTTCCCACCCGGATTCTGAACAAATTGAGTTATAAAACAAAGGAGTGGCTGGTGGAAGATAAAACATCAACATTTGGGAGTAAATAAGTTGAAATATATCATTTAGTGATAAGAGCCAAAAGGGCCTGTCATCTGAGCCCCCAGATTAGGTACAGGCAAGGGAACAGCTGGATCAGGACAGGCCTCCCCAAGACTGGAGGCTGAGCACCTGCTCCCAGAGGGAGCTCTCCCACAAAAGGATGAAGCCAATGTGGAGGCAGGCAAGCCAGATTAATTCTTCTCAAATGTACTAATGAAGGCAGACTGAGTAAAGGGGATGGAGAGAGGCCTGTGATGTAGCATCTTGGAGCTTCCTCCCCCTGGAAAAAAGATCAAGGGTGGGCAGAGGTGTTCGCCACTGGAGGCTCAATCTGAGGCCCCAGCACCACCTCTCTGTGGGGACGGGAAGGAATCTGGGTACTGGGGCAGGAGCAAATGTCAATGTTCAGTATGTTTTGATTTTCCATATTCAGTCCCCCATATGTAAAAGGCTATGTTCCCAATGTGTGATAAGTCAGTTTTTTAAAACATAAAATTTTGGGCATTCTGTTCATAAGATGTAATTGAAGCACCTCCTGCTCTGCAAATCCTTCTTTAAAGATTCTCAAGAGTATTTGTAGGTGTCTGCTGTGGTTTGGGGGCTTCCAGAACCTGGTTCTTTTCATATCTCATATCTAACTCTCCCTGAGAACCGCAGTGTCTTGCTTGATAAAAGGGTACTACCCTGACGATCAGCCATGTGTATAGAGGGATAGAATGTTTTCCAGATATAGGTAGAGGAGTGGGACACTGATGGGGAGTTGAAGGGGGTATATGGATCTGTAGATGTCATAGAACATGAAATTAGTGGAGCCAGAGAAAAACAGAAATGAGACTCCCTTCTAAGACTTAAAAGAAAAGTAATGGGGGAGATATGCCAGAAGTCCTGCCACCACCCATGACCAAACATCAGCCAGGGTTGGCAGGCAGAGGAGATGGTGCATGCTGACTACTGTCTATAGTTGAGGATGTCTGTAGCAATGGTGTTTGTGATTCAGGACCAACCTATATGTCTGTACTTGTGAAGAGAGATACAAGCAGGCAAAGGACCAATCTTCTGAGTTCTTTTATTTGTTAAAATAAACCATAAGCATATTGTCCTTCACATCCATAATAGGAACAATACATGGCAATAATAAAAACACCGAAACTAAAATCACCAATAAACATAATCCAATGTTATTAGGTCAGATGCCTCTGACCAAGCTTTGGTTCCTTTTTCTGAAATGGTTGTAAGTTTTGCTAAGCACATCTTTGAGCTCTGGCCTGCCCATCTCCCCTCCCTGTGCCACACTGGCTCAACTCACATTGAATATGGAGCTTATAAGAGCTCGGACTTGACAGTTTAAGCAGTGAAGGGCCCTAGAAGGCCTTTAAACAGATGATGTCATAATCAGATCTGTGATTCAGGGGGATGACTGTGCAGGCTCTACAGAAGATGGAGAAACTTCTGAAGAGGCCCAGGGCCCTAAGTGCCTGCCATAGAGGCCGCAGTTTCCTATGGAGTGCCCCCTACACCACTGACGGGTACAGATGGAGGGAAACACCAGGGATACCCCTTAGCTTCATTTCAGCCAAAATGTTTCTCTTTCTTTTTTTAACCTATTGATGTCTGTGTAAGAGTTTTTTTTTTTAATTTAATAACTTTTAAATTGAAGTTAGAATCATTTGATTTAGAAGTGGTGTATTAGTAGAGGCAGGTAGACTAGCTACAAGTCCATTGAAATTATACTGATAATATGCAGTAGTACATGATAATAGTAATAATGATAATCACAGAAATACAGCGATAACAGCTACCATTCATTTTATCCTTACTGCATAGCAGTGACTATTTTAAGTGCTTTGTGTGGTATATTATTTTCATGATAACTCATGAAATAGGCACTTTTATAATTCTTGTTTAACAAGTCAGGAAACTGATATATGAAAAGGCTAAGTAACTTCTCTAAAGTCAGATAGTAACAGGGATTCAAACTCCATGATTCAGAAGTTTAACCAAGAGATCCTGCAATGAGGAAAGTACTGATGGATATAGATGGGACACAGAAGACACTTCGAAGGGAGAATCATCAGTTCTTTGCCAGCAGTTGAATGTAGAGGATTGTGGGGAGAAGCGGTGTAAATCATGGATAACTTGTAGCTTCTAGTTCATGCAACTCCTTGTAGCTTTAAAATTGGGCATATAGCAGGCGGGAAGGGGGCTGTGTGGGGGGTGGGGATGTGGCATTTGATTAGTGAACAAGGAGGGATTGAAGTGTCAGAGACATTCAGGTGGGAGCATTCAGTGGACAGGTATATGCATGGGGCTGAAACCCAGAAGAGAGGAAGGGGCACTGGAGCCCGCAGGGCATTGGCGACCTCTGGAAGTGGCTGGGCTACCAGACTGTGTGGACACTGTCTGTTCCTCCTCTTTACCCATCCTGCCTGTGCTTCTGCCAGACCAGTTGCTTACTGAACACTTAACTGTGTCTCAGCCTTCCTTGGGCTTATTCTTTGTGTGGAACACCTGTACATCTGTCCTTTCCATGTTTCATTGTATGAACATTTCTCTAGAACATTCCTTAAGGCTTATGCCAGATGCTTTCCTTCTCCTTAAAGACCAATTCATCCCCCAACTCCAATATGGTCCCTTCCTTAAGTCAGAACATATCAAGAACACATGATATATCTTTTTTTAACTTTTAAGTTCAGAGGTACATGTACAGGTTTGTTACATAGGGAGATTTATCTTAATCATTTTAATTTCCCCAACCTACTCCTAACCCGTAGAATATAAGGTCTTGGAAGAAATGGACTATGTTTTACCTTTTTATATTCTGCCTTAAAAATCCTCGTGGAATGGAATTAACTCATTGTCTGGGAACATATGTTAAATCCTAGAACTTCTTTTTCTTGTTTTCCGAGGGCCTTGCTCCTCAACCTGCCTGTCTGTAAATATCAGTTACCTCTGCCTTCTCTCGTCTGCAGGGGTACAGTTTTCCTCAAGGCTCCTGGCAAAATGGAATTCAGTCTCCCAGGCTCACCTTTGCTTCTGCCCCTGAGTGTATGTGCCTACTTACTTTTAAGAATCTTGATACTAAGTAATAAATTAAAAAAAAGAGATAGCGAGAGAAATAATACAAGGAAGTTATAACTTTCCAGAATCTTATCCCATGCCTATAGTCTTGGGCCCTAGTCTAGAATTCTTAGCTGAGTTGCAGATAGGACAGTCCTGGCTTTTTATCCTGTGTTTACCCTGAAGATACAGTTCAACACGCTCATATCCTTGCCAGCTTTTAGAAAAAAACTAAAGACTTAAAGATGGGTTCGGAGCTGAATGGCGTTTGTCTTGGCTCAGCTGGACTCTTTTCATCTAGAGGCCTTCCTACTCAAAGGCGACATTCTGCTCCCACAGGACGCTCTTTACTCACTTAACTTTCATTACGAGTTGATTTTTGTTCTTTGGATTTTCTCATCCTACTTTTTTTTTTTTTTTTTTTTTTGAGATGGAGTCTCACTCTGTCGCCTAGGCTGGAGTGCAATGGTGCAAGCTCACTGCAAGCTCCGCCTCCCGGGTTCACGCCATTCTCCTGCCTCAGCCTCAGCCTCCCAAGTAGCTGGGACTACAGGCACCCGCCACCATGCCCGGCTAATTTTTTATATTTTTAGTAGAGATGGGGTGTCACCGTGTTAGCCAGGATAGTCTCGATCACCTGATCTCGTGATCCACCCACCTCGGCCTCCCAAAGTGCTGGGATTACAGGCGTGAGCCACCGCACCTGGCCCCATTTTTTTTTTAAGTGAGCTAACAAAATGTTCATCACTACCACCTCTACCACCTTTTTAAATTTTTTTTAGTTTTTTCTTTTTTTTTTTAGTTCTTTCTTCAGGCCAGGCTTTGTGCTTCTTGCTTTATGTGTATATTATTCATTTGAAACCATTTAATAATATAGAAAGTAGGCATTACTCTTTGCATTTTATAGATCAAGATACCAATGCTAGAAACATTGAGCCACTTGGCTGAGGCTCTGATAGCTCCTTATTGACTCAGGTAGGATTGAGACCCAGATGGACCCTGGTTGCGAAGCTGGTCCCCTTTTCATTGTGCTTTCTCCTCCCTGCCCTTCGTTTTTCTACTTTTCTGTTCTTATGCTATTGACGCTTAGAGACCTGCATGTCACATAATCTGTATTTTCTCAGTTGGGACCAGGCCAAGTATAACAAAAAGTTGCTTCTTGATTTCAAAATAATTGAAAATTGTAAAAGACAATTTTTATTGAATGCAGTAACTTTTAAAATAATGAGATTAACTTTTAAACACTTACTGAATTATTCTACAGTTAAAAGCAATACTATAGTTTAAAACATTAGAAAAAAATGATACCTTTGATTTATTTTTAAACTCAACTTTGTTATTGTTTTTTAAGTCCATAAGGCATTTTTGCTTTTATTTTCCCTTTAATTTAGTTCATCTGGTCTTCCTATAAGTCTTTCAATTTGTTTTACACGTGCACTAACTGACCTGAGCATCTTGCTACTTCATTCAAGTTTATCCTAACCTTGGAAGCTTTCTGTCTTCTAGAATGGCTGCCTTATGCCCAAAAAGCTGCCCCAACCTCAAGCAGGAGGTACACTGAACTCGAGTACACGGATGGATGACTAAAGTTCCCTGAGTCCTACTGGACAGATTTTGGTTGTGTGTTGTGTTGGTTTAATATGAATTAAGGAATGAGACACACATTATATATTTGTGTAGGTATAATTTAAATTGTTAATGTTTACACAACTAAAAATATAAACGACAAAATTTTCTGAAAATGACATGTCTGCAACAGTCTCTTACAACTCTCCTATCCTATATGTGGAAGATGAAATATTGTTTTCGGGAGAAAATCATCCTGGGTTGTTACAGTAACAAATTTTTGAAGGGTATTTTTTTTTAAAATCCTTTTAGAACAATCCTGGCATTTGAAGGTCTCTGTTTTTGAACACCCATAGAAGAAAATCTTCCAATGTGTTCATAAGACAGTGGCCATTTTTTTCCATTCTGTATGCCTACAATCTAAAAAGTCTTAGTTACATTTACTGAAAATTCACAGAAGTGAATCTTAGACTACAGCAGACCAACCCTTATGCAAATGATTCGTGACCTTGCAACATATTGGAGGTTCCCCATAAATACTTATTGAATTAAAACAAATTTAAATTACATTTAGTTATTTCTTTGGACTTTAAAGTTTATTCAGTTCAGTGTATATTAAAGATGAAACCTGTGGTTTTATATTCAATCTCATACTATGCAAAAGGCACATAATGTCAGTTGTCAGTAGAAATGCTGGCTAGTAGAGTGTGCTTCTCTCAACATTCTGTTGCTTCTCATTTCCAAAGAGCATCTTCAATGTCTTATTAGACCAACAGTAAATTATATTGCAAATTAGTATTTAGAAAAACCTCTCCTGGCCTTGAGGCACAGCAATGTTATCAGACTTCCTAAATTATTCTTCCAACTCTACCTTTTTGGGAAGTCACTTTATCAATTCTAGTATGAGTTTCTTCTGGTGAATAGCAGCAATAATAATCTCACCTATGTCATAGGGTTGTTCTGTGGGTTAACTAACATAGAACTCTAATGTGGCATTAAAATTTTATTTTAAAAGTGGAAACCTCTCTAAGCTGCTGTACAACATCATGAAACGTTATATTTATCAGTTACCATTTTTACCATGGATATTGATTGCCTTTGTGTAATTATCTACACCTACCCATATTCATTAAGAGCCTTCCATTTTTAGAAAAGGCATTAGATTATTATAATGGCAGGGTTTCATTTCTTCACTTTGATAGATTTCCCTATTCTGTTACTATTGTTTTATTGTTATTACTAAGATTTACTATAATATTAGAGAATATACTTTAGATTAAATTATTTTAATTACATTAAGTGATGCACATTATTTTTATTGAGTATTTACTGTAATTTACTTAGTAATTCTTAAATCAAGGGAACATGATGGTACTACACTGAAGGGAGTGGTTTGGAGCCTGTTCACTACTTTGCAGTAAACAGTGGGCCTCCCTCTCTTCTTTTCAATAACCCATGACTCTTCAGGCTTCACTCTCCAGTCTATGCTCACCCACCATATGATCTCACCCAGTTTTATGGCTTAAAATCACATACATAAGCTGATTACATCTCTAGCCCAGCCCTCTTCCTAACCGCAGACCTGACACCTCCACTTGGATGCTGATCAGGCTTCTCTAACTTACCATGTCCAAGACTGAGCTGGGGTCATTCCTCATAAACCACTGGCTCCTTCTGTCTTCCCCTTTTAATTAATGACAGTCCCCTTTTTCTACTTGTTTAGCCCAAGAATCTTAAGGCCTTCTTAACTCCTCATTTCCTCTGATCTGTCAGCAAACCCTTGCAGCTCTACTTTTGGAATACATCTAGAATCTCACCACTGCCACTGCTACCACAATGACCCAGCCCACTTTCCTCTCTCCCGTAGGTTACAATAATTGCCTCCTACCCCTGGTCTCTCTACTTCTGTCCTTAGTCCACTGCAGTCAGTTTCAACACAGCAGCCAGAGTGATGCTGTGAAATGTAAATCATATCAAGTGACTCCTCTGCTCAAAGCCCTCTAGTCTAGTGGCTTCATCTCAGAGTAAAGGCCAAAGTCTTGAATATCACCTCTAAGGACCTATGTGATGTGGCTCACCTTAGCTCTTTATCTCTGTCTTTTCTTACTCTCTTCTCATTCTCTTCTGCTCATTCACCCTGGTGTCCCTGCTGTTCCTAGAACATGCCAGGTAATCAGCCCTCACCTTCCTCTCTACCACATTTGCTTTTCTTTCTTTCTGGTGTATGTTCTTCCCCAGATGTCCACACTGTTAGACTGAACATCTATAGGACTGATAGATCTATAGACCTTTATTTAAAAATCACCTTCCATGTTCCCTTCATTTTTCTCCCTAGTGCTTATTATTATCTGACATCTTACACATTTTATCTAATTACCTTGTCTATTATGTCTCCCCCAAATCGAATGAAAGTTAAGAGCAGAGGCTTTTGTCTGTCTTGTTCATCACTGTATCCCTAGTGCCTCTAGTAGTGCCTAGTACGCTGTGGGTGTTTAGTAAATATTTTTGAATAAATACTAATAAAGCTAGGCTACAATTTCATATTTTGCCAATAGATGTCACTCTCTAAGCCTGTGCTGTGCCCACATCTGATTTTTTTTAGTTCCATATTGTTTTACAGAATGAAATAGTTTAACATTTCCAATTGTATAATTTGAAAGTGAAATTACTATGAAATCCCAGTGAAGTCACATGTATAAATGGTGGGCAGGCATAGCAGCTTAAACAGCTGCAGTAGGATTTTTGTTTAGATTGGTGCTGTTGTGATGTCTGCAGGAAATGTGCACTATTGCCTGAACCTATGCAGCTATCAAAAAATTCAAATAATGGAGAAATATGGCTCTACTTATATTAGAACATGTTTGAAAATAAGTGTAATGTTATCATATGTAATCTAAAGTCTCAGCTGCATTAAGCTGACCATCTCCTCCTCTATATTATCCACAAATCATGTACTTTTACTTTTTTGAGAAAGAGATTTCAAGGCAGGAAAGAAGTAGTTTTATATTCTGAGTATACATATTAATGTTTTGTACTAGTGTACTCTATTTTAACAGTTATTTTTTATTATTTTAATCAGGGCAACACAACTATTTATGTGCTGGAAGAAATGATTGCATCATTGATAAGATTCGACGAAAGAATTGTCCTGCTTGCAGACTTCAGAAATGTCTTCAAGCTGGAATGAATTTAGGAGGTAAGTTTTGTATTTTTAGTTTAATAAAAATTGTTAATAGGTAATGCAACAGCACTAAGATCTGTGTACTCTCAAAATTGAAAACGAAGCCAACAGGGAGCAAAGGTTTCTGAAAATCTGATGAGTTCTGTTTTCATGCTAAAACATTTTAGAAGAGAAATATTTATTAGCTGGAGTCAAAAAGAGGTATGTTTTATGGCTATAGTTCTAGTGAATTTTTCGAGCCTGAGTTTGCTAAGTTTCAAGAACTAGGCACTTAACAAAAAACAAAACAAAAATGAATGACTTTTATATAAACCCATAGCTAATAGTTCTTATTGCCACGTCTGTTTAGAAATTAGACCTATATGTGATAACATTACCCACATAGAGTACATACCTAACTTTAGAAGTATGTGTAATAAAGAAAGATATATATGAAAAAAGCTTTGAAATGTTACAGTGGCTCATCAAAAGAGGAGGAGAGGGTAAAAAACTAGAACCAAATGCGAAAGTATACAACATCCATGGATAGGAAGACTCAGCATCCTCAAGATATAAATTTTCCCTAAGTTAATCTGTAAATATAGTATAATTCTAAGAAAAATACCAATTGATTATTCTAAGTTCCTAAAGAAGAGCCAGGAATATTCTAGAAAAGACAAATAATGGGAGGAACTAGCTCTACCAGATAGGAAAGCATATTATAGCTACAATAATTAAAATAGTCCGTGGTATTTGCTCATCGATTATCAGACAGATTAACAGAAGGTCAAGAAATAAATCCAAATAATATAGGAATTTTGCACACAATAAAACTGGCTTTTAAGATCAGTGGAGGGATGGGAGATTATTCAATAGAAAATACTATGACAATTGGATAACCATCTGGAAAACAAGAAAGTTGAATACCAGCTCTTAACTATATACACCAAAATAAATGCTGATGCTTCAAAGATTTAAACTTAGAAAAATAGCCACAGAAGTACTAAAAGAAAACATGAATTTTTCTTAATACTCTCCAAGTAGAGAAGACCTTTCCAAATCCCACTATCTATGGGTTTCATATTGCAGATTCAACCAACCATGAATTGAAAACATTTGGTTTAAAAGATAAAAATACAAAAATACAAAATTTAAAATACAGTGTAACATATATATATAACATAGCATTCACATTGTATTAGGTATTATAAGTCATCTGGAGATGATTTAACACATACAGGAGGTTGTGCATAGGTTATGTGCAATACTGGATTCAGGGGATCATGGTGGACAGGAGGCAGGACTAGATTGCAGCTCCAGAAAAAGCAGCATGCGGAGGCTTGCATTGTGAATTTTAGCTCCAGATCCACTGCAAGAACAAACCAGCAATCCCGAGAGGACCCACAGACCCTCTGAAGGAAGCGGACTGCTCCCGGAGGACCTGGGAGACACCCCAGTTACTGTGAGTGCCCCAACTGCAGAAGTGGGAAAGGGAGACCCTCCTCTCCTGAACACACACCCCCACTGGAGAAGCTGAAGGTCTGTTTGTGGGAGAAGTTTCTGACTTCACCTGGAGCTGAGTCAACTTAGAGAGCCCAGTGAAATACAAGGGTAGAAGAAGCAGCAGCAAGGTCCTGGGAGCTCTCTGGGTCCCCAAGCAGCCCACTCCTACCTGACACCACAGGGATCCATCGGGAGGGTGGCCAGAGGAGCAGGGGGTAAAACTCCACAAGGAGAAGGAATTCTCTAGCTGAACTTTGTAACAATTTGAACAGGGTGAGAAGCCTCCTTGCCAGAACTCGGGGGATGGCCCAAATCAGGCCTGCAGACTTCACAGGCAGGGGAAGAACTAAAGCCCTTTTCTGTGGCTGCTGGGAGGCAGATAGCCTTGGGCAAGTGTTCAAGCCCCTCTTGCCCTCTCCCTGGAAACAGACTTGGGCTGTTGGGGTGGCTCAGTGGGAGTGAAACCAGCCCTTTAGTTTGCCTGGGAGCAGGGTGAGGCCTGTGACTGCCGGCTTTCCCCCACTTCCTTGAAAACCTGCATGACTCAGCAGAGGCAGCCATAATCCTCCTTGGTACACAACTCCAGTGAACTGGGAATCTCGACCCCACCCCCCACAGCAGCCACAGCAAGACCCACCCAAGGAGAGTCTGAGCTCAGACGTGCCTAGCCATACCCCCACCTGATGGTCCTTCCCTATCCACCCTGGTAGCAGAAGACAAAGGGCATATACTCTTGGGAGTTCTTAGGCCCCACCCATCACAGTTCCCTCAGCACACTACTACAACTGATGCTTTCTGGAAATTGCCACTTCCTGGCAGGAGGCCAACCAGCACAAAAATAGAGCGTTAAACCACCAAAGCTAAAAACCCTCACAGAGTCCATTGCACCCTTCACCACCTCCACTGGAATAAGTGCTGGTATCCCCACCTGAGAGACCCATAGACAGTTCACATCACAGGACTCTGTGCAGACAACCCCCAATGCCAGCCCGGAGCCAGGTAGACTTGCTGGGTGGCTAGAAGAGAGACAACAATCACTGCAGTTTGGCTCACAGGAAACCACATCCATAGGAAAAGAGGGAGAGTAGTTCATCAAGGGAACACCCTGTGGGACAAAAGAATCTGAACAGCAGCTTTCAGCCCTAGACCGTCCCTCTGACAGAGCCTGCACAAATGAGAAGAAACCAGAAAACCAACCCTGGTAATATGGCAAAACAAGGCTCTTCAACACCCCAGAAAATCACACAAGTGCACCAGCAATGGATCCAAACCAAGAAGAAATCCCTGATTTATCTCAAAAAGAATTCAAGAGGTTAGTTATTCAGCTAATCAGGGAGGGACCAGAGAAAGGCAAAGCCCAATCCAAGGAAATCCAGAAAATGATAAAAGAAGTGAAGGGAGAAATATTCATGGAAATAGATAGCTTAAAGAAAAAAACAATCAAAAATTCTGGAAACTTTGGACACACTTTTAGAAATGTGAAATGCTCTGGAAAGTCTAAGCAATAGAATTGAACAAGTAGAAGCAAGAAATTCAGAGCTCAAAGACATGGTCTTTAAATTAACCCAATCCAACAAAGACAAAGGAAAAAGAATAAGAAAATATGAACAAAACCTCCAGGAAGTCTGGGATTAAGTTAAATAGCCAAACGTAAGAATAATCGGTGTACTTGAGGAAGAAGAGAATTCTAAAAGCCTGGAAAGCATATTTGGGGGAATAATCGAGAAAAACTTCCCCGGTCTTGCAGGAGACTTCAACATCCAAATATAAGAAGCACAAAGAACACCCAGGAAATTCATCACAGAAAGATCATTGCCTAGGCACATTGTCATCAGGTTATCCAAAGTTAAGACAAAGGAAAGAATCTTAAGAGCTGTGAGACAGAAGCACCAGGTAACCTATAAAGGAAAACCTATCAGATTAACAGCAGATTTCTCAGCAGAAACCCTCAAAGCTAGAAGGGATTAGGGACCTATCTTCAGCCTCCTCAAACAAAACAGTTATCAGCCAAAAATTTTGTATCCAGTGAAACTAAGTATCACATATGAAGGAAAGATACAGCCATTTTCAGACAAACAAATGCTGAGAGAATTTGCCACCACCAAGCTATCACTAAAAGAACTGCTAAAAGGAGCTCTAAATCTTGAAACAAATTCTGGAAATACATCAAAACAGAACCTCTTTAAAACATAAATCACACAGATCTATAAAGCAAAAAAAAAAAGTTAAAAATCAAAAAACCAAAGTACACAGGCAACAAAGAGCATGATGAATGCAACGGTACTTCACATTTCAATAATAACATTGAATATTAGTGGCCTAAATGCTCCACTTAAAAGATACAGAACCGCAGAATGTATAAGAACTCACCAACCAACTATCTGCTGCCTTCAGGAAACTCACCTAACACACAAGGACTCATATAAACTTAAAGTAAAGGGGTATAAAAGGCATTTCATGCAAATGACACCAAAAGCAAAGAGGCGTTGCTATTCTTGTATCAGACAAAACAAACTTTAAAGCAGCAGTGGTTAAAATCCTAAACATATATGCACGTAACAGTGGAGCTCCCAGATTTATAAAACAATTACTAATAGACCTAAGAAATGAGATAAACAGCAACACAATAATAGTGGGAGACGTCAATACTCCACTGACAGCACTAGACAGGTCATCAAGACAGAAAGTCAACAAAGAAACAATGGATTTAAACTATACCTTGGAACAAATGGACTTAACAGATGTATACAGAACATTTCATCCAGCAACTGCAGAATACACATTCTATTCAACAGCGCATGGAACTTTCTCCAAGATGGACCATATGATAGGCCGTAAAACAAGCCTCAATAAATTTAAGAAAATTGAAATTATATCAAGCACTCTCTCAGACCACAGTGGAATAAAATTGGACGTCAACTCCAAAAGGAACCTTCAAAACCATACAAATACATGGAAATTAACCTGCTCCTGAATGAGCATTGGGTCAAAAACAAAATCAAGATGGCAATTTAAAAATTCTTCAAACTGAATTGACAGTAATGACACAACCTATCAAAACCTCTGAGATACAGCAGAGGCAATGCTGAGATGAAAGTTCATAGCCCTGAATGCCTACATCAAAAAGTCTGAAAGAACACAAACAATCTAAGGTCACAACTCAAAGAAGTAGAGAAACAAGAACAAACCAAACCCAAACCCAGCAGAAGAAAAGCAATAACCAAGATCAGAGCAGAACTAAATGAAATTGAAACAAACAAACAATACAAAAGATAAATGA
This sequence comes from Homo sapiens, assembly GCF_000001405.40. NCBI lineage: Eukaryota > Metazoa > Chordata > Mammalia > Primates > Hominidae > Homo > Homo sapiens. Next base: position 148,189,998 of record NC_000004.12, on the reverse strand, counting down.
AACAAAAAGCTGGTTCTTTGAAAAGATAAATAAAATTGATAGACCATTAGCAACATTAACCAAGAAAAGAAGAGAGAAAATCCAAATAACCTCACTAAGGAACAAAATAGGAGATATTAAAACTGACACCACTGAAATACAAAAGATCATTCAAGGCTACTATAAACACCTTTACACACATAAACTAGAAAACCTAGAAGAGATGGATAAAATCTTGGAAAAATACAATCCTCCTGGCTTAAATCTGGAAGAATTAGATACCTTGAGCAGACCAATAACAAGCAGATTAAAATGGTAACTAAAAAGACTGAAATGGTAACTAAAAAATTGTCAACAAAAAAAAGTCCAGGACCAGATGGATTCACAGCAGAATTCTATCAGACATTCAAAGAATTGGTACCAATCCTTTTGACACTATTCCACAAGACAGAGAAAGAAGGAACCCTCCCTAATTCATCACCCTAATACCAGAACCAGGAAAGAACATAACCAAAAAAAGAAAACTACAGACTGATATCGCCGATGCACATAGATGCTAAAATTCTTAACAAAATACTAGCTAACCGAATCCAACAACATATCGAAAAGATAATCCACCATGATCAAGTGGGTTTCATACCAGGCATGCAGGGATGCTTTAACATATGCAAGTCAATAAATGTGATATGTTACATAAACAGAATTAAAAACAAAAAAATCACATGATCATCTCAATAGATGCAAAAAATGCATTAGACAAAATCCAGCATCGCTTTTTGATTAAAACTCCCAGCTGGGCATACTGGCTCATGCCTGTAATGCCAACACTTTGGGAGACTGAGGTGGGAGGATCACCTGAGATTAGGAGCTCAAGAGCAGCCTGGCCAACATGGCAAAACCCCGTCTCTACTAAAAATACAAAAATTAGCCAGGGGTGGTGGCGCGCACCTGTAGTCTCAGCTACTTGGGGAGGCTGAGGCAGGAGAATCGCATGAACCCAGGAGGCGGAGGTTGCAATGAGCCAAGATCGCGCCACTGCACTCCAGCCTGGGTAGCAAGGTGAGATTCCATCTCAAAAAAAAAAAAAAAAAACTCAGCAAAATCGGCATACAAGGTATATACCTTAATGTAATAAAAGCCTTCTGTGAGAAACCCACAGCCAACATGATACTGAATCGGGAAAAGTTGAAAGCATTCCCTCTGAGAACTGGAACAAGACAAGGATGCCCACTGTCACCACTCCTCTTCAACATAGTACTGGAAGTCCTAGCCAGAGCGATCAGACAAGAGAAAGAAATAAACAGTATCCAAATTAGTAAAGAGGAAGTCAGACTGTCACTGTTTGCTGATGATATGATCGTTGACCTTGAAAACCCTAAGGACCCCCCTAGAAACCTCCTAGAACTGATAAAAGAATTCAGCAACGTCTCCGGATACAAGAATAATGTACAGAAATCAATAACTCTTCTATACACCAACAGCAACCAAGCAGAAAATGAAATCAAGAACTTATCCCCTTTTACAATACCTGCAAAAAATATAAAATCAAATGTGTAGGAATATACCTAAGAAAGGAGTCTAAAGACCTCTACAAGGAAGACTACAAAACACTGCTGAGAGTGTTTTGAAAGAAATCATAGACAACACAAACAAATGGAAACACATCCCATGCTCATGGTTGGGTAGAATCAATATTGTGAAAATGACCATACTGCCAAAAGCAATCTACAAATTCAACGCAATCCCCATCAGAATACCACCATCATTCTTCGCAGAATTAGAAAAAAATAATTCTGAAATTCATATGGAACTAAAAAAGAGCCTACATAGACAAAGCAAGACTAAGCAAAAAGAACAAACCTGGAGACATCCCATTACCTGATTTCAAACTATACTGTAAGGCCATAGTTACCAAAACAGTGTAGTACCGGTATAAAAATAGGTACATAGACCATTGGAACGTAGTAGAGAACCCAGAAATAAACCCAGATACTTAGAGCCAACTGATCTTTGACAAATAAACAAAAACATAAGATAGGGAAAGGACATTTCAACAAATGGTGCTGGGATAATTGCCTGGCCACACGTAGGAGAATGAAACTGGATCCTCATCCCTCACCTTATACAAAAATCAACTCAAGATGGATTAAGGACTTAAACCTAATACCTGAAACTATGAAAATTCTAGAGGATAACATTGGAAAAAACCCTTCTAGACATTGGCTTAGGCAAGGATTTCATGACCAAGAACCCAAAAGCAAATGCAATAAAAACAAATATAAATTGTTGGGACCTTATTAAACTAAAGAGCTTTTGCACAGCGAAAGGAACAGTCAGCAGAGTAAACAGACAAGAGAGTCAGCAGAGTAAACAGATGACCCACAGAGTGGGAGAAAATCTTCTGTACATCTGACAAAGGGCTAATATACAGAATCTACAATGAACTCAAACAAATCAGTAAGAAAAAAAAATCCCATCCAAAAATGGGCTAAGGACATGAATACACAATTCTCGAAAGAAGATATACAAATGGCCAACAAACATGAAAAAATGCTCAACATCACTAATGATCAGGGAACTGCAAATCAAAACCAAAATGCAATACCACCTCACTCCTGCAAGAATGGCCATAATCAAAAAATAAAAAAACAGTAGATGTTGGCATAGATGCGGTAAACAGGGAACACTTCTACACTGCTGGTGGGAATACAGCCACCATGGAAAACAGTGTGGAGATTCCTTAAATAACTAAAAGTAGAACTACCATTTCATCCAGCAGTCCCACTACTGGGTATCTACCCAGAGGAAAATAAGTCATTATTTGAAAGATATACTTGTACACGCATGTTTATAACAGCACAATTCACAACTGCAAAATTGTGGAACCAACCCAAATGCCCATCAATCAACAAGTGGATAAAGAAACTGTGATATATACATATCACATATATCATATATATATATCACAGTTTCTTTATATATATATATATATATATATATATATATATATATATATATATATACATACATACACACATCAGTATGATGGAATACTATGCAGACATAAAAAGGAATGAATTAACAGCATTTGCAGTGACCTGGATGAGATTGGAGAGTATTATTCTAAGTGATGTAACTCAAGAATGGAAAACCAAACATCGTATGTTGTCACTGGTATGTGGGAGCTAAGCTATGAGGACGCAAAGGCATAAGAATGATACACTGGACTCTGGGGACTTGGGGGGAAGAGTGGGAGGGGGGTAAGGGATAAAAGACTACTACAAATATGGTGCAGTGTATACTGCTTGGATGATGGGTGCACCAAAATCTCACAAATCACCACTAAAGAACTTATTCATGTAACCAGATACCACCTGTACCCCAATAACTTATGAGGAAAAAAATAGATTATGTACAATACTGTGCCATTTTATATGAGAGACCTGAGAATTCATGGACTTTGGTATCTCAGAGCAGGGGATAAGTTTTCCTGGAACCAATCCCCTGAGGATGCTGAAAGATGACTATATGAAATAAACTCAGAAGCTATAAAAGCAAAAAGTTGAGAAAATGAACATTACTTACAAATCAAATATTACTGCAAAGGCCTTAAACAATATGAAACTGGAGGAAATACAACTTATAGACAAAGGGTTAATTTTTCTCACAGATAAAGAGCTCCTATAATTTTATAAGAAAATAAAACCCAACTCATTAAAAAAATGGGTAAAGGATATGAACAGAACAATTGCAGATAAAAGAAATACAATTGGTTCTTGAAACACATGAAAAGATTCTAAATCTAATCATTATAATAGAAATGCAAATTAAAAATGTAATGAGATGTTATTTTTTTTGACAAGGATAAAACATTTTTATGACACTGTTTGATGAGAGTATGGAAATAAAGTTAAACTCATTGATGATCTCCTGCATTTCAGGTGGGAGAATAAATTGGTACAACCCCTATGGAGAGCAATTTGGCTATTTCAATAAAATGTTAAAAGGCACATGCCTTGGACTCAACAATTCCACTTTTAGGAATTTATCCTATATATATTCTTGCAATGCTAGAAATGATCTCTACATTAAATACTCATTGTGGTGTTGTTAAATATCAGAAATTTATTAAATATTCATCTGTTGAGGATGGATTAAATAAATTACAGAATACTCTTCAGACATTAATAAAAATAAAGGGAACTCTGTATATACTAATGTGGACTGATCTCCCAAGTAGTATTTAGTCAAAAAAAATCAGGTTGTAAAATAGATATACAACTCATAGCATACAAAATATGCTATTTTAGAAAGCATATTGTATAGAACATTTCTGGAATGATGTATGAGATGCTAGTAGTGGTGGTCATCTCTACAGAGAGGACTTGGGTAGCTAGAAGATGCGATAAGGAAAACTAATTGTCACTGTAGATCCTTCTGTGCCTTTGAATTTTGTATTGTGATGGAAGCATGTGTTGTGTACCCATATTGCCTATTAAAAAAAAAGTAGTTCAAAAAACTAATTAAATGAGACTTCATTCTTCTTTGCTTTGATCAATGAATTAACTGGCTGGCTGATCAGGACCAGGGAGTAAACAGGACTTCCTACAGAGTAGAGCAACTCCTAGAAATCAAGAGAACAGTGAGCTTGGCCTTACTGCTAATGTGAGGACGTGCTCCAAGTACCAACACCAAATCAGAGAGAGGGCCACACTGGCTAAGGGGGCATGCCCTGGAACTAGACTGTGTGGGTGGGAGCCATTGCTCTGTCACTCACTGACCTTGTAACCTCAGGCAAGTTATCCTTTCTTTGTGCTCCAGTTTCTTTTTCCTCACATTGCATTGATCAGCATACCTACCTCTCAGACTGTGATGAGATTTGATGAGTAAATGTATGGTGAGAAGAAAGCGATTACTGAGTGTGTGTTAGTTGGCAGTGGCGGAGGTGGTGAATGTGGGGTGGTTCGTTGTGGCTTCCGTAGTGCTTTCACACATTATCTCATTTTATCCTACCAACCTCTGAATCCCCAGCAAAGGCATTATGGCCCCATGTTTTGGTAATGGTGGGCCTCTGGTGCCCAGAGAAGTTAAGTGGCTTGCCCAGGCAGTGAGATAATTAAACTAGATTTTGAACTTCTGAGCTCCTTTTCTGGTGTCTCTAGTGCACCACCATGTCCCCTTGTCTGATATTGGAATCATTGCAGATGTGGCCCAAAAGATTACCCTCTGTAGTATGTGAGTGAGAATCAGGAGAGATTATTAATAATTTAAAATCTAGATGACACAAGGGTACAGCCATTGGTTGTAAAGTAAACTCAATCTATTTTATAAAATCCATCAGTTGATTTTTTTAAAAAAGCACTTGCTAGGAAGGTATGTTTTAATGTATCTTTATATAATGTGTAGAGTACTTTACAAATAATAGCATATATTACATAAAATATATAAATATTGTTGTAAATATGTATATGAAATGTATAGTCTTATTCACGCTGTAATATATGGTTACTATTGGTTACTATAAAAATAAAATGCCTATCCTTATCATTCTTTTTTTTTTCTTTTGTGAGACAGAGTCTTGCTCTTGTCACCCAGGCTGGAGTGCAATGGCATGCTCACTGCAACCTCCGCCTCCCGGGTTCAAGCGATTCTCCTGCCTCAGCCTCCCGAGTAGCTGAGATTACAGGTGCCCGCCACTACACCAAGCTAATTTTTTTTTTTTTTTGTATTTTTAGTAGAGTTGGGGTTTCACCATGTTGGCCAGGCTGGTCTCGAACTCCTGACCTTGTGATCCGCCCACCTTGTCCTCCCAAAGTGCTGGGATTACAGGCGTGAGCTACCGCACCCAGCCTATCCTTATCATTCTTACCTCATAGGGTGTTCTAAGGATTAACTCAGTCAGTAACTTAAAACAGGATTTCTTAATGTCTGCACAGTTGACATTTTGGGCCTGATAGTTCTTGTTGTAGAGGACTGTCCTGTGCATAGTAGGGTGTTTATCAGTGTCCCTGGTCTCTACCTACTAGATACCTGCGGCAGTTCACTCTCCTCCAGTTGTGACAACTAAAAATATCTCCAGACTTTACCAAATGTCCCCTTGGGGCCATGGAGCATTACTGGTTTAGCAATAATAGTAAGAAATTATTAGGTATTATTTTCTGTTGAACTATACATTCCATCAGAGGAGGAATTGTTTTTTATTTGTTGCCTTATCCTCGGTGACTGCAACAGTACAGGGCACAAAGTTTGGTGTTCACTGGCTATTGATTGAATACATGAATAAACAATTGGCATTTTTGAGGGCTTGCTGTGCTCTGAGCACTCTGCTGAGCCCATTATATGCACTGTCCCACTTAAACCTCACAGCAACACTATGAGATACATACTCTTCATGTGTCCATTTTACAAGCGAGTTAATGGAGGCATGGAGGTTAAAAATCATCATCACTGGTCATCAGAGAAATGCAAATCAAAACCACAGTGAGATATCATCTCACACCAATTAGAATGGCCATCATTAAAAAGTCAGGAAACAACAGATGCTGGAGAGGATGCGGAGAAATAGGAATGCTTTTACACTGTTGGTGGGAGTGTAAACTAGTTCAACCATTGTGGAAGACAGTGTGGCGATTCCTCAAGGAACTAGAACTAGAAATACCATTTGACCCAGCTATCCCATTACTGGGTATATACTCAAAGGATTATAAATCATGCTACTTTAAAGGCGCATGCACACATATGTTTATTGCGGCACTATTCACAATAGCAAAGACTTGGAACCAACCCAAATGTCCATCAATGATAGACTGGATTAAGAAAATGTGACACATATACACCATGGAATACTATGCAGCCATAAAAAAGGATGAGTTCATGTCCTTTACAGGGACATGGATGAAGCTGGAAACCATCATTCTCAGCAAACTATCATAAGGACAGAAAACCAAACACCACATGTTCTCACTCATAGGTGGGAATTGAACAATGAGAACACTTGGACATAGGGTGGGGAACATCACACACTGGGGCCTGTTGTGGAGTTGGGGGCAGAGGGGGAGGTATAGCATTAGGAGAAATACCTAATGTATATGACGAGTTGATGGGTGCAGCAAACCAACATGACACATATATACCTATGTAACAAACCTGCACGTTGTGCACATGTACCCTAGAACTTAAAATATAATAATAATAGTAATAAAAGCTTGCCCAAGGCCACCAAGCCAGGAAGTAGCAGAGCCAGAACCTAGATCTCTGTTGCTGGCAGCAAAGCCTATGCCTGGCCTCACTCAGCAGGTCCCCTGTAGGCAAAGTGGCTCAGCTATCTTTTAAAAACAGCCATGGTACAAGTGTTTAGCTGGCATCTGCAGTTATCTATAAGTGAGGTTTGGCACGGTATGTGATACAAAATTCACATAATTTGTTACTGTTTTCTGCCTATACAGGATAGGTTTTATGGGTTTTGGTAAAAAATCTTGCTGAAAAAAGCTCACTCTGAATCTTGAGGTCCTTTAAAAAAGTAGGTGAGTCAAAAATGGGCAGAGTGAAAACTGGTATTTATGAAAGCAATATTTACTTTAGGTTTAAGTTATAATTTAACCACTTCTGGTTCATGAATTAAATAATTAACTTTTATTAGTTGTCCAGTTGTGTACATTGTAATTTTTTTTCTTTTATGATTTATTTCGAAGTCTTGCTTTTAGTTTCAATTTGGGAGAAAGAAACACCAGCAATCTTACACTTAAAAAAGAGAATGTGAAGTTTAACTTCTAATGTGAAGCAATTTCTAAAATTAAAAACATGAATTAAAACCCTTTTATGCATGTCTCGATCTCACCGCTGTTTTCTTAGCAAAGCAAAGTGGTCCAGTTTCTTTTACCCGCCTTCTTCTTTACTATCTCTTTTGAGGCATATGGCAACATAGCGTAATACTTGGAAGACCTTTTCTTTTAGCAAATGATCATGACTCCTGGAATAAAATCCAAAATACTAGAGAATATTTTTTTCCTATCTGATTAGTTGGTTAGCATGTAGTCCTAATCATGTCCCCAAACTGGCCTCTCCTTTACAATGTGGGAGGAAGGAAGAATAAAGAGTGCATAGATTTGTATCTCTCAGAAATTAAAGCTATAGAATGTGCCTCTTCCCATTTCTCTAGACCCACTCCCTCCCTCCTGCCACTAGTACTATTCTTTTTCCTTAAAATCCTGCTGGGCTGTAGGCAGCATGCAAAGGAAAATACAGCAGAAGATGTGAGAATGTCAACAGATAAATTGAAAGGAAAATAACAGTTCTTTGACTCTAAGCTGAGCCTGCCACTCTTGCTATAGCCCACATTAGTGGATCTAAAAAAGCCCCGTGGCTCTCTGTACATGAGAATTTTCTGCTTTGTGTAGCTTTTTTCAAAGGAATTAATTCACTTCACTTTTACCAGTGTTCTGAAGGGAGTGGTCTATACATGCCTTTTAGAGCTTTTCCTAAAATATGTAAAGCATAGCACTAAATTTAGCCAGCCGTTAGACCAAGAATGAGTCCTTTGAAGGGTTTCTAGCTTGACTGCCCCCTGGCCATAGAATATAGAGGGGATCATAGAGTTTTTCCTATTCCAGTCCTCCCATTTTACAGATAAGGAATTTGGAGTCCAAGATAGTATCATTAGATACTTGAAAAATACAGTGTAAGGATCCTAATTAGTCCTCTTCCCTTCTTTCTAAACTACCCCTCTCACTTCACATTTCGATAGGACTTGAAGTCCTCTTTCACATTCCTTTAGTGAAGACACTAAAATACTAAAATCATGCTTCCTGTAACTTTAAAAAGGTAGACTTTACAAGCCACAGCATATTTCTGAAACTGGTTCCTAATTCTGGTTCCAATGTACTTCCAACAAGTATCTGTAGTTTTCCTTAATCTCAGAAATCACTGAGTTTAGCAGGATCCTGTAAAGGTGGCCATATCACGTTCCCCCTTTCCCTCCTAGAGTGGGACACGTCACAGGAAAAGCGAGAAGGATCTAAGACACAGGAAGCAGGAGCAACAGCAGACATCATGGTTGCTTTTGAGGGTTGGAGAGAAGGCAACTAGGGGAAGAGGGAAGGGAAACAACGCCAATACTGGGAATCATTCACTAAAACAGATGCTCTTGTACATTACTGATAACAATGGAACCACAGTGGGGAAAACACTTATATTAGAATACATCCACATAATGCAATATTAACGGGCCAATAAAATTATGGCCATGAAAATTTATAACAACATAGAACAGCTTCTGAAAAAAGAAACTAATAATACAAAATTAGTATGCAAAATTATTTAGGTCACTTACTCTGTGATTACGACCACACTAAAAGGTTTGCATGAGTCAAAAGACTAGAAGGAAATGTTAGAACACCAAAGATGGTTTGCTAGTGAAGTAACATTATGACTGCATTTTTTTCTTATCTCCTTTCTAGTTTATTAATAATATGAGCATATTTTATGAAATTTAAAGAAAAAAGCTCATAATTTTGAACTAAAAAGAGAAGCATTAACACTAACAGTGTTAGTAAGCAGAAGAGATAAAGACACACAGATGGCCAAAGGAGTTATCCCTGAACAGGAAGGAGGAAAAAAGATTTTTTAAAAAAGCCATCAGTAAGTTACCTGCTGTGCAATACTTTTAAAAACTGAAATGTAGAAGTGAGCAGAAAACAAAAGACCCAGAGACCAAAGAATTAAAGAATCATGACTGCCACACCAAACCCAGAGAGAGATCTTTTTACTTGAAGAAAATTGGCTTTACCTGCCAGCAACTTGTTACAACTAGTTGGCATGGTCACCTGCAAAACTCACAGTGTGGGTCTGGTGAGAGAAATTACAGGATCAACACCAGCAAGAGAATAGGTTTAATATCTGAAATCCAATAAGAGAAACAATTTTTATGTCTTTAAAGGGTCTCCCAAGGCAGGATATGCAGTAGTTGTAGAAGTTTAGAAAGCCCAAGTGTATTGAGTTTTATAAAAGAGATACTATTCCTCAGATTTTTTTTCTTTCCATTCTCCTTGCTTATAGACAATAAGAATTTCAATGGGACTTTTGAACAGTAAAGTTGGGAAAGAATAAATTTTTATAAGTCAGTGAAAGTGTGGTTTTTGCATCTTCACATATAAATTAAGCCATATTAATTGTCATAGTAATATAACTGTTGAATTAAACAACTGGTGTTTTTACACTGCAGAATTTCATGGAGGAAATTCAGGATTGGCTCTAAAGCAGATAGAATTTAAAAGAATTTGCTGTATCTCTTTTAAAGACTTTTTTTCTTTTAAATTTTAACTCTTGTGATTATAATTTGCGCTCAATATATACATCTAATTTTTGTTAGTTTCCTTCAAAACTCTCATTAAATTGGTGTCTTATTTTGTGAATGATGACATCTTAGAACAGAAGCAGTGCAGGCATTGAATGCCAATGTTCATCCCTCCCCAGAAATACATGCAGTTTTATGAACTCACTCATGCCTTGCTGAGCTTACCCAAGGAGTCTGCTTTTCTTATGTCTTTTTAAATATAAAATTCAGGGATGTTGGAAAAATTGGGTATACAGATACCCTCTGTTGCTTTCAGTTTTCCTTTACCTTTTTCACTGCAGTCTGTCCTGGTAGATTGTCATTCTAGCCTTCCTTAAAGGGCCTGAGAGCTTAGCATTTCAGACTTTTTGGGCATAGGAAATCTTGTCATTTGTCCTCGGTGGTCTCAAGAGACCTATAATCCGAACTGTCCTTTCTCTTTCCAAGTAGCATCCTCAATACACAGTTCTCTTTGGGCCAGGACCCCCAGCAACCTCCCAGTTTCACACACTCACTGATATTTTCTGTAATACACAACTGCTAACTCTGTTAAAATCGTTTTGTGGTTTTTGTTCATGACACCTCACATTGTTACATTATTTCAGGTCACTGCAGATAATGGAGTTTTATTACAGTATTAATAATTGCACAGTCTTTGTGAACTGCTGGAATATCACTCAGGATATAAGAGGCTTTCAATTTCTAGGACTTTCTCTTTGTTTTGTTTTGTTGTTTTTTTTTGTTTTTTTTTTTTTTTACCTGCTTCTTTCTGCTATTTTCACTCTACCTCTCTTTGTCCTAACATGTTGCTTTTGCATCCTCGTGGTTTTCAGTACAGGTTTCTACTTAATATATTCTCTCTGCCTATCTCTCAGTGTCATTGACACCTGAGTGTCCTGCATTCAAAATTCCCAAGAGGAGGGTCCAGATTAACTGGTCAGTCACCACCCAGAACAGGGCTTCCGATTGGGCTGAGAGAATATAGACAATGTCTGCCTTTGACCCCTTGCCCTTTCCTCACCCAGGCTGGTATGGTCAGATCACAGGGCCCTTTGGTAGAAAGCGGGAGAACCTTTTGAGAAACATTTTGACCCAATTTTTCAGAAAGGAACTGTGACTGTAACAATCAGAGTATAATAAACACATCTCTACTACAAACCCATAACAGTTACAGGCATCTGCTAATTGCAGAACATCCTTGAAATCGTGGCAAAATTTTCAATATCCTAATTTTTATTTACGTATTTTATGTTATCCATACATTTAAAAGTGAAAAAAAATCAGTTTTCAATAAGCAGATTATCAAAGCGAAATATTAGCTTCATGCTTCTTGGAACAGAACTACTGAAGGCTTTTTTCCAGACAGAGTCTCACTCTGTTGCCCAGGCTGGAGTGAGGTGGCGCATTCTCAGCTCACTGAAACCTCCGCCTCCCGGGTTCAAGTGATTCTCATACCTCAGCTTACCAACTAGCTGGTATTACAGGCGTGCTCCGCCACACCCAGCTAATTTTTAGTAGAGATGAGGGTTTCACCATGTTTGCCAGACTGGTGTCTAACTCCTGGCCTCAAGGGATTCCCCCGCCTTGGCCTCTCAAAGTGCTAGGATTACAGGCGTGAGCCACTGCGCCCAGCCCTGAAGGCTTTATTTTGGAGTCGAAAACGTTTTACTTATGCCTACTTTGAAAACACACGAACCAAAACAAGACAGAAAAGCATAAATGAAGCATATCTCGGAAGCTTTAAAAAATTACTAATTAATGTGTAAGGTGGACATTCTCTTGTAGAACATTATCTCTATAACTAAATTGTTCTCTGTTACTAAATGCCAGCACTGACCCCAGGCCCCAAGACTGAGGATAAGTTCTGGGGTGAGGGATGAGATGAGGGATATGGAGATATTAGGAAAGGGAGGACAGACCACTTACAACCAAGCATCATAGGTTAATACACTCAGTCATCTCAGAAAGGGATGATCAGCCATCCTAGGTAAAGTATCTGCTTGCTCCCTGAGAATTGACTGGTGTCATCCGCCTCAGACTTTTCTCAAAGTTGTAAACATTGCATTCACTTACTTTCTGTGAATAGGTGTGTCCACTGAGGAATATAACTTAATGTTTTTTTATTTGCAAATCTAGTGGCTAATGATCTGATTATTGTTGGCTTTCTGAACAGACATCCTATTTTCCCCATTTTCACACTGAATTATGTTATTGTGAAGATGGAGAAGCTGTTTATGTTACAATAAAGTCCTCTGTTCTCAGCTCTAGAATGTACCGAAAACCATTCAGCTAACTTTCCTTCAGCTAACAGTCCTTCAGTCTTAGTAGTAAATGTATGATATTCAATATCATTAGTATCTTTTCAGATGATGATTTTTCTGGACAGATAATATACCTTAAAAGGCACTAACCCAATTCTAACATATTTTAAAACTATTGATTTGTCAAATTATAAAATGCGTACTCATTACCATGATTAATAAAGGAGAGTAAAAGTTATTTGTAATAAATTGCAATAAAGATGGAGTAAGAGTCAAGTGTTTGCTGAGCACTTCATTTGCTGCTTAAAAAATGATGATTTACAGTTTGACAGAGAGGTTCTTAAAAGCCGAGTTAGTAGAGCTAATAAAAATGGCTTCACTAGAATGTGCTGCTTCATTATTTTGAAAAGAATACTTAACTACAATATGAAGGCAGTTTCTGATTTAGGTCATGAAAATAAGAAACTCCAAAATGTAATTGTTCTTCTTCCTTCAGCGTACTAATGTGAAATATTTTAAATGGGAATGAAAATAAGCGTATATTGTTATCATATAATTATTTTTCATATTAAGATTAATTTGTATAGGGGGATCACAGTGTTTAAAAAGTGTATCTCTGATGAATCCATTCATTTATTCAGCAAAAACCCATCACATGCCTCTGACATGCCAGGCATCCCATGCAATGCTGTGATGGTGATAATAAGAAGGTAGGCGCTGGCCTTGCTCTTTCTAGGAGCTAATCTTTAAAATGAAGAAATTTATTATAGATCTGATAAGCACTGGAAATTTAGCAAAGAGACTCAAAGAGTGCCTTCAGTGTTGATAATGGCCCAAATCCCCAGAGTTCTTTCTCTTTGCTTCAAAGTGATATCTGTAACTCCTTGACTTCTATCTACTGGGAAAAGGTAGAGGCATCTCAGGATGGCTTCATGTGACTGTGTCCCTCACTACATTGGTGGGTTCATCCCAGATGCTCCCTTTGTACATCTGTCCCATCAAATGGCCCTGTGCTATCTACTGATGCTTGCATGGGTGCTGTCTGGAAAGAGCAGCTCTGCCTCCAGCAGTCTTGCAGAAAACCCACTCACCTTCCTACCTGCAGACCACCTCAGTTATAATTTCAACATCTACAGTAGACAGAGTTGCTCCCTGAACTCAGAATATGAAAATCGGCCCCTCAAATTCTTACCAAAAAAATGAACCCAGTTTTACTGTAAAGGTTTCTAGCTCTTGTAAAAGATACTAGGAAATGCCTGGGAGGCAGGCTAAGAGTAGGGTAACCTCTTTCTAGCAGCTGACTTTCTTTCATCTCCCTTCAGCTCTGGAACCACCTTGACACATTACTGTTTCCCCCCAGAAACTCTTTGCATCTGATGGTCAGCAACTGCTAGAGAAGCTGGGAGGCAAGCTTTATGAACAATTTAAAATTTTTATTTTTAGTTTATTTTAGAGATGGAATCTTGCTGTCGCTTAGGCTGTAGTGCAGTGGTGCAGTCTTAGCTCCTGGGCTCAAGTGATCCTCCCGCCTCAGCCTCCCGAGTAGCTGGGACTACAGGCACATGCCTGGCTAAAAAAATTTTTTTAAATTCTTTCAGATTTCTTTCAATTCAGTTTTCTTACTCTAGCAGTCTTCAAATCAAGCCATTCTTAATTCTAAAATTAGACTAATTCACAAGTAAAAATTCAAACTGTTTCATCTTTATTTACATAGGAAGGCATAAAATATACTACAGTAGAAAAATAGAAAAATAAGAAATGAAAGACATGTTGGAAACATTTTCATATGTTAATTAGATATATAATGCATGCATATAAATATATATTTTTAAAGCAAAAACTTAAATTTCATGGCATTAAAAACACTTTTCTATCCTATATATACTCATATTTTTAGATAAAGTTGAGTCAGATTAGAAATTTTAAGCCAAATTCAAAAGCTTTTGTGGAAGAATGATGGGACGTCTAGGCTGTAAGTAAGCCATCCTGTTGAACAGTTCTCACTGCAGCTCAGAATCATCTGTCAAGTCTTTTAAACAGACTCACCCTTGCCCTCCTCCTAGAGATTCTCACACAGTAAATCTGAATGGAGCACGGGCATCCTTCCTTTTCTAGGTCTCTGTTGTGCACCAGTTCACCAGGGCTAGGAACCGCTGCTCCAAGGGTTGCTGACATTGGCAGCATTCTTCTTAGGATAAGAAGGTCCTTTCATTGGTTTTTTTAACCGGCCTTTAGTTGTTTTTTTGTGTGTGTTTTGTTTTGTTTTTTGATTTAGTGTTATTTTATGTTTTTTGAGGAAATCACTGATCAGCATTCTGTAACTATTTCTTCATTGGGAGAAGTCCCTGAATACGATGTTTCAAGTTAATGTATTTGCATTTTCCTTGCCAACCCTAACATAGCCTTACAAAGGGACTACTGACTTTACCAGTTTTGTAGTCTACTGACTTTACCAGTTTTGTATCTCACTAGTAACTTTTAAATATATTTGATAAGCTGTACATTTAAATGCTACAGACATTTGGAGTAGAGCACTTAAAACGTGAAGATTAAGGTAGGTCCGATATCGTTGGAGAGGACAAGCACTGAAACAGTGACCCTACTTCCTGGTATTGGGAAGTCAAGAGTGGGGAACAGTCTTAGGATGAAAACCGAGGAGGAGAAGGAGGGACCCTGGCATGGCTTGTGATTCATTAAGAGAGAGGAAACCAACCTGGAAATGCTACCCTAAGTGCTACTTCACTTCCACTCATCTGCCCCACCTCAGACCCTGGACGCATGTAGACATTTATACCCCCTGGGGAGACGCAGAGCAAAGGGAACTGGGGTTATGCCTTGCCCCCTACATGCTCCATGCCCCAGGCTCCCGCCATGGTTGCCTTTGCTCGTGCTGGTCATCAGTACAGTCAGACAGAAATGTCTGTGCATAGCTAGTGTCTTCAGGCCCCCAAGTAGATGTGTTCACCATTCTGTTTGTTCTTCAGAGGAAATACCCTCTGGAACCACCTCGTTGTCACTCCATAGAGGTGATTTGGGTCATGCCATTGAACTTTTTTAGATAATACCTGAGCGATGATGCTATTGTTGGTTTTCCAGGTGTTTTATGGGTGAAGAAAAGTCCTCATCTGACTTCTGAGTATTATATAAGAGATTCGATTAAAATACTCTAGAGTTGAAAAACAGATCCAGAACAAAGGGGAAATTTTTAAAGGGTTGACTTTATTTGCTTTATTTACTCTGAGACTCACTAACTGTCCCATTCCCAGGCAGGCTTTCATATCCATTAGCTCTGTTTTTGTCAAATCATTTGACTTATTTTTTTAATAAACAAAATCTGAAGCTTCCATTAGGTTGCTTGAAATTCAAAACGAATGGGATTCTATGACTGAACATAAAGCAGTGAACACAATGCTAGTTTGTTTTCAACCCAGAAACACACACACCCATTTTTGTCTTTGCCTTCTTCCTCACCCCTTGAAAGGTTCTGAGCCACTCCCATGAATCTTCTTATGCTAGGGATCCTAATACCTGCCTCCCCAGCCCTCTCCACACAGTCGGGGGCTCCTCCCGCCCACGCTCCTTCGCTTCAGTGCTGAAGCAGTTTCTGCTGTGTCAGCACTGCTGGTTTGAGTAACAGGGCCCTCTTTGTCAGCTACAACAAGGGCCTCTCATTTGTGCCAGACACATAGGAGGACCAAGAAGGAAGCCCCCTGGATTCCTGTGGGAATTAGTTTACTATTGCTGCTGTAACAAATTTACCATAAGCTTATTGGCTTAAAACAACACAAGTTTATTATCTCACAGTTCTGCAGGTCAGAAGTCCAAAATGAGTCAGCCTGGGCTAAACTCAATGTGTCAACAGACTGTGTTCCTTAGAGGAGGCTCTATGAGAGAATTCACTTGCTTACCCTTTCCAGTGTCTGGAGGCTGCCCACATTCTTTGGCTCGTGGCCCCTTCTATCTTCAAAGCCAGATTAAAGGCATCACTTACACCCCTGCTTCCATCATCACATCTCCCTTTCTCCTGGTCCTGCCTCCATCTTTCCCCAATAAGGAGCCTTATGATTACATGGCACACACCCAGACAATTCAGGATAAGTTCCCTATCTTCCAATCCTTGATTTAATCTTCAGAGTTCCTTTTGCCATGTAAGGTGACACATTCACAGATCCCAGGGATTGGGAGGTGAAGTCTTCGTTATTCTTCCCACCATACTATGTAATGACCTATGTCCAACAAAAACATGTTGCCACTCTGTCACCCACCTCATTCCCCTCTCTGTCCTTACTCCCTGACACCATCCCTCCCTTCCAAGAAGTCTCTCTGTATTCTTGCTAGTTTGTGCCTTTGTCAACACAGTTCTGAGATGGCCCCTACATATTCCCCCGCTGTGCTAATAAATCTCTGTAATCAACTCATCACCTCCAGGTTAAGTGTACTCCTCAGAGATCAACCTTTACACAGTGGGGAAAGCTTTCATTCCCTTTTAGACAGTTTTGCAATGTTATATATGTTTATAATTTGTTAAGACTTTTCCTATAAAGCTTTTAATGACTTCCTTAGATGGAGTTGATTAGTACCTTCTCTGTGCTTCCAGAGCCTTTATTATAGCACTCATCACATTTTATTATAATTATTTGTTTATAGGTTATTTCTTGCCAAATAGTCTGAACTTACAAGAACAGAATTGTCCTTTTGTCTTTCTCTTCAGAGCACTTAGCACAGTAGATGCTTAATAAATGCTTATTGAATGAATGAATGAATAAACAAACATGCCATTAAACCTTGCCTGTTTGGCCAAAAAATAATAATCACGACAAGGTTTGGCTCTACAGTTATTAAAGACACAAAAGATTTCATTATAAAACTAGTCCTATAACAGAGTCCAAACGATGGTATTTTAACAAAGTTTTAGTGTAATATTATTTTTTCCATCCCTGCACCAGGACAATGCAGTTTCCAAAAAACACGTAAGTCTTGATCCTTATTGTTGACTTACATAGCATAGTTTGGCAACTTCTTAAATGATAATATACTGCAGGAAAGGCTTATATCTCTTCAGTCCTTGGCGAGGAATTCTAAGTACTGTTTGAACTTCTTGATTATGCTTACTTAACTAAAATTTTTGTCACCAGAATGGAAGACAATGGGGTGTTGGGATAGCTGTTGCTGCTGTTAAGGCAGGAATTTCAATCCTGGTTTGATGGTTTGTAGTGAACTTTGAACCTCATTAGGTTTAAGGTAAAAGAAAATTAGGATGAGTTGACTTACAGTAAAGGAGGGACAAATAAGCCCCCGAGACAAATGTAAAAACACAAAGAATAAGAGGTAATAGAAAGAAAAGAAAACCAAGAATGAAGCAAACCCGACACGAGTAGGTTAAGATGAAAGGTTTAGTTGAGGAGCTTAGTGCAGTAAACTCCCAGGGATTATCAACTAAATTATTATTGGATTCCATAGTTTCTAGAATACATGTAATCCAAGGTCAGAGTCAGGAATCTGTACTGATTTCAGGTGGGAGGAACACCTGTCTTCCCAGGAACTTCAAGATTGACAGGAAGCCTCAGCCCTTGTCTGGGTGGCCACTTGAGTAGAGTGGAAATAAGCAGTGCTGTGTTTAAGACCGTGAACACAAAGACAGTGGTGTAGCTCCACCTCTGGGAAATAGAGAAGCCTTCCAGCTGAAAAAAGAGAGCATTATCAGGCAGGACCTATAAGGCAGCAATACTGGGTCCCTGACCTGTTAGGAACTGGGCCGCACAGCAGGAGGTGAGTGATGGGCAAGTGCCGCCTTCTGTCAGATCAGCAGCCACATTAGATTCTCATAGGAGCACGAACCCTATTGTGAACTGCACATTCAAGGGATCTGGGTTGTGCATTTCTTATGAGAATATAATGCCCGATGATCTGAGGTGGAACAGTTTCATCCCAAAACCATCCTCCCCATCGCTGTCCAAGGAAAAAATGTCCTCCACAAAACCAGTCCCTGGTGCCCAAAAGGTTGGGAACCACTGCTATAAGGCATTCATCCCTGATAAAAATGTGTGCCTAGATAACTGGGGAGTGTGAAGCTGCACTCGTGATTGAAGTAACTCTGTAGAGCTCATACCTGGAAATTCCTTCACATTGCAGTCATGTTTAATTGTGCACTTAAATTGGCATGGAATAGGGAAAGAGGTGCAACTTTCAAAGATGAGACATAGACCATAAACCTAGGGGTGTGGACCTTTTTACCTCCAGGTGGTGTCAGCAGGAAGTCGACGCTTGGGGACCAGTAGCAGCAACACAGCTGAAGGAAGTGTGCATTTAGGGGAAGCCCTGTTCTGTCACAGGAACAAATATTCTTTTTAACGGATGGCTAGTAAGGAAGCCTGTTGTGGAAATCCCAGTTTGAATTTTGATTTGAGTGTGAATGTTGAGATCAACCAGTCATTACTCATTTTTTTATGAGTGTAATAACATTCAGGATATGTGCTTGTCAGTCAGTACATACACCCTTTGGGTGTGGCAGGGTACTTGGCCATGTCTTGTGATAATAAACCTGATATTATGATTACACTAAACTTTGGATATTTCTCTAGTGGACTGTGTACTTGTGCTTGTGTTTCTTGTAAATTATGTTTGTAGATTAAAAGTGTGGCCCTACTACTAAGACTTTGGCGTCTAGGAAACTAAATGTAAGTTTTAAATAAACATATTTAAAACATATTCCAATCTCTTACAATACCCATGACATATTTATGGAATATTTTTATAGAATTCACCCATCTATAAAGCATGGGGGTAGGAAGTGAATGCTCCATCGAAGGGGAGTGGCCAGTCCAGGTCGAGCTGTTTGTTGCCATGCCAAAGGGAGTGGCCAGTTTCAGGCCTAGGCCTATTTGTTGCAGGTATTGCCAGATTCAAAAAAAATTTTTTTTCAAGCAGTGTCAGAAGTGCAAATGTTTGTGTGAAATATGCTAAATTTTGAAAGATGAAAATGAATTTTTTTATTATGCTGAGTTCACTTTTGAGTTTATGACTTCTGTTATTAAGGAAACTAACTTTAGGAGCATAATGAATTAGCATGCTTCTTATTTCAGTTTTCATTTGATTGTTTTTTATATACCCAAGATATTTCATGATCTTTCTAGTTCACTATTCTTGCTTTAACAACTTCCTTAGTATAGACCAGTGAATCTCAACCAGGGGTGATTTTACCCCTGGAAGGGACATTTGGCAAAGTCTGGAAATATTTTTTATTGTCACAATTGGAGGTTGGGGATTGCTACTGGCATCTTTTGGGTAGAGGGCCAGGAATGCTGCTAACACTGTACAATACACAGGACCATTTCTACACAAAGAATTATCCACCCCAAAATGTCAATGAAGTTGAGAAACCATGGTGTAGACCGAATTTTTAATATCTGTCCTTTCCCTCCCTCCCTCTCTTCCTTCCTGTTAACAAATAATCTTTTCTCAGTTTCTCTCTTTCTCCTGCTTTCTGTAATCTCATTCAGAACCTTTAGGTTGATAGTTCTCAATTCTAAAGTGCAGGAAAAATCACATGGGAAGTTTGTTAAAAATGAAGACTCCCAGCCTCCACTTGTAGATACTCTGCCATGTGTACTTTGGGCAGCCCAAGATTCTGCATCTTGAGTAAGCCCTGAGGCGATTATAAGGAAGATCACCCATTGACCAGAGTTTGAGAAGAAATATGATCATCTCTGTTTTCATAGTCTTTGGCTTTATGTGTTTCATCATTGTTTAGATCTTTTATCATTTGAATTTCTCAGTTATATCCCATTACTTTTATTAAGCCCTTAAAATAGCCATAGCTTTTAGTAGTTATTTACACTTTGGGAAGTAAGTAAATTAAAGCATAGTTGAGGATAAAGAGATGAATATATATATATTTATATACATGATTTTATATATATATAAAAAATCATAAATCATATTTGATCCTTATGAGTTGTTGAAGTAGCTACATAGTATATCTTACAGGGTTCCTTTCCCAAATTTCTAATTTCTTTTCTCAGTCTTTTTTGTAATATATCATATGTGTTTCTCAGAAGAAGTTGTTTGAGAGGAGCTCCCTGCAAATACAAGATTAAAATTTTGTTTAGCTTTTTAAGCATAGGAACCAAGTGAGAAAAAAAAAGTGTGGACTATAACAGCTGATAATATTGAGAATAATTTATGTAAGTGATTTCTTAACCATACTGATGTTAATGTTATGAAAGATTAACTTTCCAGAGAGATGAGTTTAGGCCATGTACAGTGAAGGCAATATGGTCATCGTAGATCTATTCATCCAGATGCTGCTTGGTACTTAGAAAAAACTGATGTTTATGCCACCGTAGTGACCTGCCTTCAGGGGCTTCAACTTGTATCTAACATTCACATGTTATGGTATATTGATTTCAATTCACAGGGCTTTGATAGTCAGGTCAACAACAATTCTTTAGTGTCTTCTTGAAATTTACAGTTAGAGTGATGCATGGTAATTATTGGGTACTTTATGAAGGCATATTTTTGGTACGTGATTACTAAACATAGGCACATTACAAACATAGGCACATCCCACACAGGTAAGACAACTCACTGGCTATCTGCTAAGGAGCTGGCCACCAAGAGTCATGGATAACTTTGTCATCTAACTTTGTAGCTTCTCACGGTAATTCTGAAGAAACTATTTTGTAAAAAGCTGAAATTCCATTTGGATGGTTTTGTGTTTATGCCAAATTAAACAGATATTACAGTGGTTGTTGGATGGCCTTGGGAGAGGTTTTTAGCCTTCCCCTCATAATTTTCACCAAATGCCTTCCAACCTATCCTAAATAAATATCAATAAATGTCTTATGAAGCAAATGTGTTTTCACACATTTCTCTAAGTCCCTCCTACATAACAGTTCTGGTGCTGACACCGCTAACAGGCCACTGAACTTGAAATGGTGAGTCTCCGTGTACATGCCACCTCTATCAGCTGGAACCCTGGCAAGCCAGTTCATCTTTCTGGAACTTTATTTCCTCTCATCTAAAATAGATTAAATTGGGTGTTTCGTGAGGTCCTTTCTGGGTCTAGAAGGCTCTCATTCTCTTAGAGTGCTTGCAATTTGGGTACTAAAACCTTGAATTGATGATGGGCATTTGGGGCAGGGGGAGATTAGTCTTTCTGTGCATCACTTGCCCCTTCCATAAGGAAGAGAGGGTCAAGGTCAAACACACTTTCCATCATTCAACCCACAAAAAGGAGCCCATGCTGCTGTGGCTCATTTAATGATGTTTATTGGGCCCTAAGATTAAGTATATAGACTGCCTCTTTCCTGGAGTCTATTTCTGGAGTATGGTTCTATGAAGCTAAAGGCCTCTTTTCTTTTTGGCTTCTCCCTGTTTCCTCTCTCTTCAGACTCTCTCAAGGTTAGAAGTGGCAGGACCGCCTGCTTGTTTGCTGCCCAGCCAGAGAAAACAGCATTAGGTCCCCCTGGCCACAGGGCTGTCAGGTCCTCTGCTCCTGTACTTGGCTTTGCTTCTTGGAGATTGCTTGACTTACTTTTGTTATCAGCGTGATGCTGGGTTGAGCCTTGCCTGGAATTGTTTTCTAGGTAGACTAGCCTAGTTCATTGGGGTTTGGGGTGAAACCCAACATCCTCTCTTTCCATTTCGCTTAACAGTGTTATTAGAAAATGGTGGCTGTGGTTATCACATCAAGAAAAGTAACCTGGTATAGAGGGTCAGCAAAGCATTTACTTATTGGTTTATTTGCTCTTTCTTTCCCTTGGTTCAGTAAGCACTTATTTAGTGCCTACTGTGTGCCATGCAATAAAATACTTAGATAAGTTCTAAGCGTAATACTTCAGAAACTGAACAAACGAGTTGAGTATAGAGTATATCATGTTGGGCATGGCCTTATGATCTTTATCCTCTATGATCATATCTGTGAAGGGAGAATATCTGACTATAAAAGAGAATGTCTAATCTTAACTGTGGGTCCGAAAAAAATCACTAAAGGCTAAAAATGCTCTAAAGGGAAGATTATATAGGCTTTTGTTAGCCCCATTTAAATTTGGGGGTTGAAATTATTATGAGGGTTAAAAAGAGAGTTTTACATAGTACATGACTTAGAACCACATCACCCATTTTAAAATCATAGCACAAGGTTGGCCTTATTCTAAGTCAGCAGTGAAGAGCTGACTTGAATCCTAGTCAAGAGCTTCACTGGAGTGACAGCCATGGGCCACCTTGTGACCCAGGAGCGGCTTGTCCTTACACTAACAAAGCCATCAGTGAAATCATTTGTTGAAGATCCATCATTGTTTGGACCTAGGAATATAAGTGTGAAAATCACCACATGCAGCAGACTTTGTTTTAAATGAAGGGAAACCTACCATTAGAACATAAGCAGAATAGTAACAAGGAAGTGGCAAACAATTTGAGAGAAGAAACGAAAACTGTTTTGTTTAATTTCTGTACTATCAATGTGATGTTACTTTAAAAATTAATAGCAATTTAAATGTGAATTGCAGCCCCCAGTCTCCCCCCAAAAAAACTTTCAGAAATGACCCAGCTGCCCTTCCTGAACTACCCCCATTAAAATTTCCGGAAGTCCTCCCAGGACGGGTCCTTCACAGCTTTGATGGATAACGGCTGACTGTTTCTATCCAAGTCTATTGTTCAATCTCGTATGAATGGAAAATACAGATTATAAGGAATCATGAAAAATAAAAAACCTTTAACGTTAAACTTTCCCCAAAAGCTTATTTTCAGTGAGTTGGTATCTTACATATTAAGAACTTTCTTAAATCCTCTCTTGGACCCTTTTCCTTTAGGGTGGTAGGGTATGACTAAATGATAGAAATATGAAGAATACTTTTGAAACTAAAATGGGAAGCACATTCTTTTAAAGAGGCATTTGTTCAGCCAGCTGTGCAGAATTAGATTTCGAGAGAGCCACCAAAGCTCTGGAATTTACACTGCGGCAGAATACCAAATGAAAAAACAGAAGTTAGTCCTGTAAACAGAGCTGGGCAGGGCAGGGCAGGCCTGTGTGTCTGCCCCCATTCTGGCCACTCTGGCGTGGCCCTGCCCACCACCAGGTCCTCGGCAGTGCCCTGAGACCTGACGGCACAAGACATCATCAAAGTGCCTCAAGATGCTGCAATACCAACCCTGTGTGCAGAGACTAGCTGGAATCCAAACAGGAGAAGCAACTGCAAGATAATCACTTATTCAAAAAAGGCGATTTTGTTTGGCTCTGCTTTATCTGGGAGTTTCCAGACCAATTCAGTCTGTATCCTGAAGAGATCCCAGCCTAGAAAAATAACTTTTTTTTGAAGTACATGCATCATTGGCTACTATTAATTCTTAATTTAGACTAGTTTTGATAATGTCAGTGGAATAAAATGTGGAGTAATATTTAAATGCATAAAAGCAATAACTATTAAGGTTTGCTTTCTCTTTCCTCGGGCCTATTTAATTTTGCCCTCCAACTTGCATGGCATCCTGTTAACTCATTAATATGTACTTACTATGCTTTTCCTTTTTTATGTTAGTACTAGCTTCTGACTTGAAGATTGTTTAAAAATTCTGCTTAGCTTCTTTTGTCTTGCATTTGTAAAATGTTCTTAATAATAGAGTGAAGATACTCAGAAATACAGACTGTTAAAACAATTGTGAAAAATATTTTTGTATCAATTCACAGGATTATTATTTTGTTTGGTTATCTGGCTCATCATTTCTTTTTCTTACTAAGCAATTTTAATAGTTTTTAATGGTTCAGTTATAATCGCAGCATTAGTATTCTTGAGTAAAACACAGTTTTCTTTTCATATAAATAATGTAAAGGATTACTTATGATTTGATTATAATTAAGGTAGTTTTTGATAATATATGTTAAGTAATAGTTCTTTAAGAAATAATTAAAATTATAATGATGTAGTCATAAGTAATTTATTTCACAGAAAGACTGTTGAACTAAGAGGGAAGAAATATTTTGAAGAAAATTAATAGTGGAGATAAAACTCTTTCCTGGTGTATATATTTTTTTATTCCTCATTAAAAGTTTTTATTTCTTAGTACACAAATTACACTAATCATAAAAAAAAATTCTGAAATTAAATTTAGGCAACTTCCTTAGCTGTCTTAGAAGTCTTGGGTACTTCCAAGTCACTGGGTATAATCAAGGGACCAAGATGTGGAAACCACTGCACTAAAGTAGCAACAAATGTTTAGAGGGAGAACAGAATAATTGAAACAGCCCTAAAAAGTGATGTGCAAGCAAATGTACATGTATTATAGTTTAAATATTCTTTAAGTGCTTATTCAAGGAATCTTTGGCTTAAATTTTTGTTTTTTAAAAAACTATTACTTAGTGTAACTGTTCCCCTCATCTATCTGTTTGGTAAGCTCTTATTTTTGTGTATCATATTTGCTTGATGTGGACCCTGCTTGAGTTGACTTGACAGTTTGAGGAGGTATGCACAGGGCCCTTCCTGGCACATTTCTACCACTGTAGGTTCCAGCGTTTAACTAGTTATTTTCAGCCCAAGCCTAGTGAAGATCATGCTAGAACTTGGGAAGGCCTAGTAAACTAAGCTGGGTGCTGCAGTCCATTTCCAGGTCACTGCCTTTTGTCTCTTTCTCATAACTTATTCACCCCTGTGACCTTGTTAGAACAGTAATGTTTCTTCATAAAACATTCTTAATGAGTCTATTTACCTTGCATGCCCAATGAGATCGTGTTTCATGTAATAAATTCTCTACTGAGACATATGCCAAGAAGGCAGCCCTTGAAGCTGTTAAAGAATTAACTTTTTAACTGAGGGAGGGGCCATTTGCTGTGTGACTACAGCTATCATAGTGCTATTTTTCTTATTTTAAATGTATTATAAAACTACTTAGAGGTTTTCTTTTTTGCTTGTTTGTTTTACACATGCACATACATCAGTCTTCAGCATAGTTATCCTCAAAGAATAAGAATTTACAAAGCAGATACTCTATTTTCTAAAGAATGTAAATTTGATTTAGATATTTACATCTAAATAATGATATATTTGTCTGAAGAAGTTACCAGTTGCAATGGAGCTCAGGAACTTTATTTTTAATAAAAGAAGTAGTAGGGTCTTTCCTTAGTAAGTTCTATTTTTTTATACAGACTGACTAGATTGATTTCTATCTAGTCAGATAAAATTGTTAAATTCTCCTCCAGTTAGAATCAAGGTGTCACAACAGGGAGCAAAAGCAAAAAGCCTGAACTGTCTGTAACAGTAAAATAACCTTCCAGTGTAAAGAAGTTGACTGTGCTGCCCAGGGAGTTAGAAATGAAAGCAACTTGTGTATTGATACAGGTTGTTACAAGCCTCCTATTTAAAAGACTAATCTCTGTCAACAGAGGTGATCCAGTGGTGACCTTATAGATAATTTAGAAAAGCCATTTTAGCTGTCGATCCTCTTCTCACCCCCTTTGACCTTCTGATTAGATGTCATTAGATGTTGTCTGCAAATGTAATGGGACTTCTCTATTGTAGTTTTTCATGTCATTACAATAAGTCACTTCCCTCTAATGCTACTTATAGTTATTGCATAAGTCACTTTACCCCTCTGTACATGGTGATAACACAGTACCTACCTCATAGTGTGCTTATGAAGACATTGAATGGGATATTTCTAAAAACTGTTATCTTAGTACCTGACATATAGATTCTCCATTAATGTAGCTCTTTACTATTTTCTCCACTAATAAAATAATGTAATCTCAAGATTACAAGAAACCAAAGAGTGTTTTTTACATACAGGACTGAGCAAACAGCTTGCTTTATAATGGTAAAACTACTTTCAAAAAAAGGAGGGTGGGGGTGGGATAGAGCGGAGAAGAGAGCACAGAGGACGTTAGGTGTTTGGTTTTTTCCCATGGTGCTAGACATTCTCTCAAGCAGGCATTCTGAGATCACAGTCTGCCCTTTGTGCATATTTTGGAAACGTATTTCTGAAATTATCTTTTACCACACATATAAATATAAGGGATTTATTCCTGTTTTTCAGAAAAGTATGAGCCAGAGAGATTTCTTTCAGACAAATGTTAAGTCAGGAATGTACATCAGAGGGTCTTATTTACTTGCATTGTAGGGCCACCAGATCTCAATAACTCATTTCATCACTTTCTTCTACCTTAGGGCAGAACTGCCCTCAGGCAAGCAGGATGCCTGCTTACCTATTATCTTAGAATTTTTAGAAAAGAATAGTACATGTTCTTGCTAGTAGTACATTCCAAGCTTTCTCCATAACACATTCCAGAATGCTGGGAGGAAATTCTCCTAATGTCTAATCTAAATCCCTTCTTCTGCCCTTTAAACCCTTCGTATCTTATCTTGACCTCAGTGGAAATAGAAAATAGATGCTCCCCATGATTTAGCCAATGTCTCTTTAAGTTTTTGAAACTGTTATTGGGCTTCTCATAGACCTCATCCTCTACTCTGGAATAAGTCAACCGCAGTCTTTTCTACCTTTTTTTCTTTCAGAAGCATGTTTTGTCCTGAGGGTAAAACATGTGGGTAGAGGATTTGTCATTTTGTTACTCCCTTCTGATACTCCTCAAGGTCTATATCAGCACAACAGTGACAGGGCCCAAGTAGGAGTTGTCAGGCGTAATCAATCCACTGTCCACCCACCCTGGCAGGGAGGCACGAGCCACCTCTCTGCCTCACCACTGCTGCAGCTCTTCCTAAGAGATGCCGGAGGGCACTTCAGAATTACAGGGCAGCCTCAGCCCCATGCGACGCAGTCCAGCAGTGGCCTATCTTGTTTTCATTCAAAACCAGCCAGGCCTTGAGCACAAGAAAGCTCCAGAAGCTTTCTCCATTGCCCAGAGATGATTACCAGAAGCTATTTAAATCTCTGATGTTCTGAGTTTCCTCTTCCCCTGAGGTTCTTTCTCAGTCTAGTGAGGTCCCCAGCCTGGCCAGACCTCGAAGACATGTTGTCTCACCTTGAAAACCCCTTCTGTGTGCACACATTCCTGAGTTTGATTGGCATTAAAAAGGGGAGGGGGGATGAAAAATGTACATATTAGAGGAGAAAAAAAGAATATAGCTACAGAAAATACAAATGCCATGAAAGTAATCATGCTCACCATCTGTCTAGCCCCAGAAGAACCTCAGAAGCATCTTCCCAGCTTTGTCCCTATCTGACTTCCTGTCTGTCTCCAGTGGTATATTTCTGTTGTGGGGAATCATCTTCCAGAAATTTGTTATTGTCTCTGTAAAATCAGAGAACCCCTATTCTGACTCCCTCAGATTCCCTTGAGCCCCTCTGCCCAGTTCTGGCTTCTGGCCTAAGGGACTTTCCTCTTAGGTGGGTCAATGGCACTTGACTCCAGGTGGATTCCCATACAGCAAAGTGTCCTGGTCCTCATAGGCCTTAGGTGTAATCTGCCTCACACCAAAAGCAAACCAGGGCTTGGTGGAAATTACCACAGAGGGGACAGGATAGTGTGCGCTCCCATGGAGAGAGAAAACAACTTCTCTCTGCCATTGTCTTTCTCTCCAAATATATTGTAAATGCCAGTGACCCAAAACTTATCATAGCCAGCTTTATAAACCTAATTACTTTATTATATATCGATTCAACTTCCCTAAGATTGTAATCTCTTATCAGGGCTCAGATCTTGTTAGTCAGCATTACATTGCTCACAAACTGGGTACTTCTTATACAATGGGTGGATATTAGTTATTTGCTAAGTAATAAACATATAACAATTGCAACAAATTTATATTTATTATAGATATAGATGCAGGTATCTGTGGATAGCTTTACACACACATTAAAATGTAATATATGAGGCCAAGGCAGACGGATTACCTGAGGTAAGGAGTTCAAGACCAGCCTGGCCAAACATGGTAAAACCCCGCCTCTACTAAAAATATTTAAAAAAAATTAGCCAGGTGTGCTGGTGGGCACCTGTAATCCCATCTACTTGGGAGGCTGAGGCAGGAGAATTGCTTGAACCCAGGAGACGGAGGTTGCAGTGAGCCGATACGGTGACACTGCACTCCACCCTGGGCAACAGAGTGAGACTCCATCTCAAAAAAAAAAAAGTGTAATATATGGGTACTCACTCATTTGGAATATCTTTTAAAGTGATCAGAGGTTGGGTTTGTGTTTGCCTTAGCATGTTTTCTATATCAACAAAATCAATAATGTGTGTTAACTTATTAAATTATGTAGATTAATCTGAGAATATTTGAAGACACTTTTTAAAAAACAACCTGTATTCAACTTTCTTAACCACTCTGAGTATTTATAAACAATTGAAATGCTACTTCCTTATAATCAATTGACAAGCTAATTATTTATTGCCCTGGGACCCAGTTCTACTGGTGTTTATTGCATTGGGATTGATTTAGATGATCTTTTTCCTATTAGTGCAAATTAGTTCTTAACCCTATAGAAGGATGACATTGCTTCCTTTGGTTTCATGGCCAGATTACTTAGTTGCCCCCTATCTTTGAGAGTACTCCTTCTCTGGCAGTCAAAAGGCAAAGAGAAGTCATGCAGATAAAGAGATGAGGAAAGAACAATTAGGGTTATTGGGCTGAAATTCGTGCCCCATGTATGAGGGTGACGGGAGAAATGGTCTGTTAAAGAAGATAGTTGGTGGTGGGGGCAAGGGGAAGAGAATGCTGTTACTGTTTTGTGGGCAGTAATTACATTTGGCCTATGAACAGAAAATATATATATTTTAATATAACCTCAATATAACCTCTCTAATGTTTACTGCCAAGACCTAAAATTTCGAGACATGGCATGAAGCATTTCTGCAATCACAGAATTCTCACTTTATTTTTTTCTAATGAAATATTGTAATTGAACAAGATTCCATATTCTACTATATATCACTCTTTTACTATACTCCAGAGGGGGAAAGTTGTCCTGATTACCATTTCTAAGACTAAAGAATCTTTACGTGGTGAAAGTCCTAGTCAGCCATCATTCGGCCACAACAGTGGCTTGTCAAAAGGGTATGTAGCAGGTCATACCAGCCTCAGGAGGGTAGAGCAAAGCAAAAAAAGGAAATCTTGCCATGTCATGTTTCAAAGCTCTTGTGAATCTTGAGATCTCATTAGAAATCTGTCACAGTTTTAATAGAGTCCCACCAAGATGTGCTCTGCCTGCTCTTTTGCAGGTTGGTCAGGATAGGAAGCAGGGCCTCCCCAGTGCCAGTTCCTCGGGGAACAATTCACGAGAATCTAAGGAGTTGTCTCCCAGCAGTGCCAGGAAAGAGTGGCTGCCAAAATGTTACTAGTAATTAAGGACTAGGCACCTGAGGGCAGCAACTAAGCACATACTAGTTATTATAACATCCAGGTAGAACAAATGAAACTCCTCTTTTAAGTGAGTTTAATTGGGACTGGGAGACATTTACAGTCACATTAATGTACCCTGCACGTGCACACACACAGATACACACACAGCTACTGTTGCTGGCAATGGAGAAAATGCTGTTTGGGTCTGGCCACCTGGGAACATGAGATCACAAAGCTCAATGGCCATAAACTCAATATTGATTTAGTAAGGTGCTAAATAGTGGTAAGCTCCCAAATGTATGTTCACTGATGCTTTTGGTTAATAGAAACATGTTCCTTAAGTATCTTCAGCCAGCAATGTTCCTGTGTAATTAGCAAACATCTTAATTACACACTTGGATTTGAAGCTTATGCTAGCTAATCTTAAAGTATAAAAATTGTACAAATTAGATAAAGAGAAAAGGTTTAGAAGAGAGACTGCGTGTAGCATAGAGGTTAAGGGCGTGAACTCTGAGCCCTAGCTGGATTCAAATCCTCACCCTGGTATTTACTAGCTCTGCAATATGAAAAAGTAGTTATTCTTTCTGTGTTTCAGTTTTTTCACCTGAAAAATGAAAATAGTGCCTATCATAGGGTCATGGTGAGCATTGGAATGCTGAAAACAAGTAAAAGCTCTTTTGAACTGTGCTTGGAACATGAAATGCCAAATACATTTAGCTTATTTTAGATACGGTATTTTAAGAGTAATAACTCCACAAGTGGGTCATTACACAGTAGAAATTTTGAAAAGGAATAATAATTAACAATTCAGAAATTTTATCATAAAATCTCAGAAGCTTGCCCACATTTCCCACAGGGAAGTAAACTAATACTTTATATATGTAATAGTTTGTTAACGTTTATTAAAATTTTTAAATAAGGTCAATTTATTCAACAGATATTTTTATTGAGTACCCATAAGCATCATGGGAAGTGATATGATGTTATAGAGATACATAAGACATTATTACCCACTTTGAAGAGCTTAAATTTTACAATATAGCATGTTTTAGAACAGTATAAAATATTCAAGCATTTTAGAAACATTACTTTGATATAAATATAATGAATTAAGTAACCGTATTTTTGGCCCTTTTAGAAAAGATATTGGGTAAATACGCATGGCTGAAGATACACTGGAGATATTTATTACCTTGAACTATTGGAGTAAATATGCATTATTACTCAATTCCAAGTGTCCTACATATATTCACAAAATCACAGTATAAAGTTAAATGTACCTGAAATGCTAAATGTGATGTCGATAATCAGCTCCCTAGGTTTATGCTACAGACCACAGCCTTGTGTGTAAGTGCTGGAGAAAATATTAAGTATTCTTCATGACATTTCCTATCATTGACCTTAAATCAGCTGTGAGAATAAGCACAGCATTGTAGACTGAAAGCCTAAAGCAATATGAATTTTATCATTAGTTTGCAAAAAAAGTCACTTTTAATAAAATTTGAAAATATCACCATTGGCTGTTCTAGTCAATAAATCATGGTTATCGTCAGATGTGGTCCTATAAAGGATGAGAACATCTTAATGTGCTGGAATATTTTTAATGCTTACAAAATTATGGGGGAAGAATGGAAGTGACATTGACATGTTATTTCAGATGTTAATAATAATTTCCAACATGTTTTTATTTGTCATACCCATTTAGTTCTCTGAGAGATAAGAGAGGGAGACATTGTCATGCCCATTTTTCAAATGAATCAGTTGAGACTTAGAGGAGAGTTTATCTAATTGCCCAAAAGACAAATTAATGCTATTGAGTATTTTCTTAAGCTCTGATAGAGTCGTCAGTTGACGAGGTTTTTAGATTACCTGGGTGCTTTGTTCTTTTCTGTTTTGTCTAGTTTTTGAGGCACTTTGCTGAGTATTTTTCATTTGTTCACTCATCCATTCATCGGAAGTATCTGGGTTACTAGTGCCGGCTCAGCACTCCTGGGCAGTTCTTGGTCAGCATCTTCCATTAACATACGTGAATATGATACATCTGCTTTTCCTTGATAAACAGTTCTAAAAATCAGATTTCTGTGCCTCAAATCTTTTATTAAAGAGATAGTCTATAAATTAATTATTGAAGTTTAAAAATTTTGTTAATATTAAACTTCTTAAAGCCAGTAGTTATGTCTTATTCATCTTTTAAGCCTGGTTCCAATATTTAATATAGCTTTTGTTGTTTGATAGCTTATCTTTTATCTGAATTGTAAGATTTTCTGTGATGAACGTGATAAACATTAATGGCTATAATTATAAACACAAATTACTCTTATTTTTAAATCAAGTTAATTGGTGTAACATAGTCCTACTCTACGTTAAATTTGTGTCCTGTAAGTTCTCATGACTGTTAGGATTAAGTAGAAGGTGTCTGTTTGCTTCAAGAATTTTTAAATAAATTGAAATGTTACATTTGTAACGTAAGTAATTCTCACATACCTAAGCTCAGTTTGGTGCTTCTTAACTTTTTTTTTAATTGTTCTCTCATTCATCTGTCTTCCCAATTATATATCCATCTACCCATCTACCTCCCAACCTTCCCACCTCCCCCACTACCTCCATCATATTCGCATATGAAGTAATTTACCCTTCCTCTAAACTCTATTTCAGATACACAAGATGTGTGATCTTATATTTCTTAAACTTTCTGGTCTCTGTTTCCTTATTCTACGATGAGAATCATAATAGAATCTACTCATAAAATTATTAAATTAGTTAATTTATATAGAGCATTTAGAACAGTGCCTGGCATTAGTAAGCATTCAATAAATTTTAGCCATTTTTGGGGTTTTTTTAATTATACTTTAAGTTTTAGGGTACATGTGCACAATGTGCAGGTTAGTTACATATGTATACATGTGCCATGATGGTGTGCTGCACCCATTAACTCGTCATTTAGCATTAGGTATATCTCCTAATGCTATCCCTCCCCCCTCCCCCCACCCCACAACAGTCCCCAGAGTGTGATGTTCCCCTTCCTGTGTCCATGTGTTCTCATTGTTCAGTCCCCATCTATGAGTGAGAACCTGCGGTGTTTGGTTTTTTGTCCTTGTGATAGTTTACTGAGAATGATGATTTCCAATTTCATCCATGTCCCTGTAAAGGACATGAACTCATCCTTTTTTATGGCTGCATAGTATTCCATGGTGTATATGTGCCACATTTTCTTAATTCAGTCTATCATTGTTGGACATTTGGGTTGGTTCCAAGTCTTTGCTATTGTGAATAGTGCCGCAATAAACATACGTGTGCATGTGTCTTTATCACAGCGTGATTTATAGTCCTTTGGATATATACCCAGTAATGGGATGGCTGGGTCAAATGGTATTTCCAGTTCTAGATCCCTGAGGAAACGCCACACTGACTTCCACAATGGTTGAACTAGTTTACAGTCCCACCAACAGTGTAAAAGTGTTCCTATTTCTCCACATCCTCTCCAGCACCTGTTGTTTCCTGACTTTTTAATGATTGCCATTCTAACTGGTGTGAGATGGTGTCTCATTGTGGTTTTGATTTGCATTTCTCTGATGGCCAGTGATGATGAGCATTTTTTCTTGTGTCTTTTGGCTGCATAAATGTCTTCTTTTGAGAAGTGTCTGTTCATATCCTTTGCATAAATGTCTTCTTTTGAGAAGTGTCTGTTCATATCCTTTGCCCACTTTTTGATGGGGTTGTTTGTTTTTTTCTTGTAAATTTGTTTGAGTTCATTGTAGATTCTGGATATTAGCCCTTTGTCAGATGAGTAGGTTGCAAAAATTTTCTCCCATTTTGTAGGTTGCCTGTTCACTCTGATGGTAGTATCTTTTGCTGTGCAGAAGCTCTTCAGTTTAATTAGATCCCATTTGTCAATTTTGGCTTTTGTGGCCATTGCTTTTGGTGTTTTAGACATGAAGTCCTTGCCCATGCCTATGTCCTGAATGGTAATGCCTAGGTTTTCTTCTAGGGTTTTTATGGTTTTAGGTCTAACGTTTAAGTCTTTAATCAATCTTGAATTAATTTTTGTATAAGGTGTAAGGAAGGGATCCAGTTTCAGCTTTCTACATATGGCTAGCCAGTTTTCCCAGCACCAGTTATTAAATAGGGAATCCTTTCCCCATTGCTTGTTTTCCTCGGGTTTGTCAAAGATCAGATAGTTGTCGATATGTGGCGTTATTTCTGAGGGCTCTGTTCTGTTCCATTGATCTATATCTCTGTTTTGGTACCAGTACCATGCTGTTTTGGTTACTGTAGCCTTGTAGTATAGTTCGAAGTCAGGTAGTGTGATTCCTCCAGCTTTGTTCTTTTGGCTTAGGATTGACTTGGCGATGCAGGCTCTTTTTTGGTTCCATATGAACTTTAAAGTAGTTTTTTCCAATTCCGTGAAGAAAGTCATTGGTAGCTTGATGGGGATGGCATTGAATCTATAAATTACCTTGGGCAATATGGCCATTTTCACGATATTGATTCTTCCTACCCATGAGCATGGAATGTTCTTCCATTTGTTTGTATCCTCTTATTTCCTTGAGCAGTGGTTTGTAGTTCTCCTTGAAGAGGTCCTTCACATCCCTTGTAAGTTGGATTCCTAGGTATTTTATTCTCTTTGAAGTAATTGTGAATGGGAGTTCACTCATGATTTGGCTCTCTGTTTGTCTGTTATTGGTGTATAAGAATGCTTGTGATTTTTGCACATTGATTTTGTATCCTGAGACTTTGCTGAAGTTGCTTATCAGCTTAAAGAGATTTTGGGCTGAGACAGTGGGGTTTTCTAGATATACAATCATGTCGTCTGCAAACAGGGACAATTTGACTTCGTCTTTTCCTAATTGAATACCCTTACCGATCTCTACCTGCACTGCGGTGCAGTTGGTGGTACATTTCTTAAGTCCTCCCCCACTAGGCTGAACACTTGTTGAGGACCGGGTAAGGCTTGGTTATACTGAACATATTAGCTGGGTTCCTATGCAGCTTATACAGTCTCTTATAGGAGACAGGCAGTGAAGACTTGTAAAAATGAATGAAAGAAGGAAGGAGTTTGTTCTCTTAATACCAATAGTAAGTAATAATAATTGAGCTTTATATATTTTCTCTTAGTGGAATAAACGGTCATGTTCCTATTGACATAACAAGATCTATTTAGAGGAAAACTGTACTTTAACCAGTGTGAGTCAGCATATTTCAAACATAATTTTAATTTGGCCTTATCATTTATGGTTTCTTATAGCACGAAAGTCAAAGAAGTTGGGAAAGTTAAAAGGGATTCACGAGGAGCAGCCACAGCAGCAGCAGCCCCCACCCCCACCCCCACCCCCGCAAAGCCCAGAGGAAGGGACAACG
Organism: Homo sapiens; assembly: GCF_000001405.40. Taxonomy (NCBI): domain Eukaryota; kingdom Metazoa; phylum Chordata; class Mammalia; order Primates; family Hominidae; genus Homo; species Homo sapiens. The sequence goes on along the minus strand of NC_000004.12, from coordinate 148,154,788 downwards.
TACATCGCTCCTGCAAAAGAACCCTCGGTCAACACAGCACTGGTTCCTCAGCTCTCCACAATCTCACGAGCGCTCACACCTTCCCCCGTTATGGTCCTTGAAAACATTGAACCTGAAATTGTATATGCAGGCTATGACAGCTCAAAACCAGATACAGCCGAAAATCTGCTCTCCACGCTCAACCGCTTAGCAGGCAAACAGATGATCCAAGTCGTGAAGTGGGCAAAGGTACTTCCAGGTAGGATTGCCTCTCCTTTCACAGGCTGCATCCTGAACTTAACAAGTCTGGGCAACTGACTTCGCCATCTCCAACCATGCAGGAGGAGTTTGCGTTCTATGAAATCCTGATATCAGATTTTTTAAATTGATAACAAATTGATCAAGTGTATAGGAAAAATATGGTTAATGTGCTCATTTCTTCCGAGAATGCAGGGTTAAGGATTTTATTGTTAAAATGACAGATACGGCTGGGCGCAGTGGCTCACGCCTGTAATCCCAGCACTTTGGGAGGCCAAGGCAGGTGGCTTACTGAGGCAGATGGATCACGAGGTCAGGAGTTCAAGACCAGCCTAGCCAAGATGGTGAAACCCCGTTTCTACTAAAAACACAAAAATTAGTCCTGCTTGGTGGCAGGTGCCTGTAATCCCAGCTACTCAGGAGGCTGAGGCAGGAGAATCGCTTGAACCTGGGCGGCAGAGGCTGCAGTGAGCCGAGATCCCACCACTATACTCCAGCCTGAGCAACAGAGTGAGACTCTGTCTCAAAAAAAAAAAAGAAATTAAAAATAAAAAAAATGACATACACTTCTTATGTTGATCAAAATGGAAAATTTCATCCAAAAATATTAATAAGGTAAAATACATTCTGTTCATGAAATCACAAGTTGAGCACATTATTAGCGGCTCATAACGAGGGTTAATCTAAGTGTAGACCAAGTAAGGCAAGGCCTAGCAAGTAAGTTGTAAGAGACCTGGAATGACTCTTCTGTCTAAAAAATAATCACCTGGCCCCCAGCACCCTTTAAATTGTCCCTGGAATTCCTATTTTAGTCATTTTTTTTTGTTTCATGGTATTTAATTAATAAGGCCCCTCTTAATCTACAGAAACATCACTTAGAAATTGCCATTACATTGTCCCAGTTCATTAATCTAAAGCAGTTTCTTAGATTACCTGTGGTCAGACAGCAGCTGTAAAAGTTGGGGAAAGCTCCACTGACTGATTCTTTGAAGAGGAGCTTGCCCAGTGAAACTCCACAGGCAGAAAAATAACATGATGCCCCTGGAGATGGGGGAGGTGATAAAAAACAAAAGAAGGCCTGGTGCAGTGGCCCATGCCTGTAATCCCAGACTTTGGGAGGCTGAGGCAAGCAGATCACTTGAGGTCAGGAATTTGAGACCAGCCTTGCCACCATCATGAAACCCTGTCTCTACTAAAAATACAAAATTTAGTTGGGCGTCCTGGCAGGCACCTGTAACCCCAGCTACTTGTGAGCCTGAGGCAGGAGAATCGCTTGAAACCTGGGATGCAGTGAGCCAATATCATGTCACTGAACTCCAGCCTGGGCGACAGAATGAGAATCCATCTTAAAAAATAAATAAATAAAATAAAGAACAAAAGAAGAGCTTGAGTCTGTCAGGCAGGGAGGACAGGTGCCAGGGAAACATGTTCTACCATAGAACTTTATCAAAGTCTGGTATTAACCTGGACCATAGGAGGCACCACATGCTCATTTTTTAAGCACCACAAACTCATGAACAATGAAATCTCCCACCATTATTGCAGATACACAGGGTTTGACAGTTATTAAATTACCCTTTATTTTAGTGTTATTAATTGTGGGTGGGACGAAGCAAGTTTTACAGGTTAATACAAATTCTCTCAATCTAACCAAGGGTTTTAGGCTGTCATCCACACTGAAACTTGCTGAACTTTGCAATTTTAGTTTGCCCTGGCAGTTTACCCTCATCTAGAATTTAGGATGAATTTAAAGTGAAATGTGGAACAGGACTGGGCCAGTGGTGGGCACTCTGTAAATGACTGTTGAATTGATTTGAGTCTGTCAGAAAAGAGAAAAGTGAAAGAAAGGTGGCTGTTTGGGGTTGACTTAAGAAGCATCTTCCTGGAATGTACTTAAATGCTAAGTGTATTTCTGTGATTAATTGTTTTGTTCTTCAGGATTTAAAAACTTGCCTCTTGAGGACCAAATTACCCTAATCCAGTATTCTTGGATGTGTCTATCATCATTTGCCTTGAGCTGGAGATCGTACAAACATACGAACAGCCAATTTCTCTATTTTGCACCAGACCTAGTCTTTAATGAGTAAGTACCTATTAATTAGCCTTCATAAAATAAACTGCAGAGTTATGCGTTATGATTTCTTTCAGTAATTTCTAAACAGATGTACGTTGGTGAAAGAATCTACTGAAACTGGCATTTTTTAACGTTAAAAATTTACAGATCTCTGGGAACTTAAAAAATTACTCTTTGCAACATTATACTGTATGCTTCTGAGTGTATATAAATCAGTATATATAAATTCCACATAATAATATGTGGGATATATCCCAAAAGAAAGATGATCCAGTTGGCTCTGAAAATTGACTGGTACAAAGCCACAATTAATAGAAAACAGTCTCTTTTGGTATCGACTCCAATTGGGAAGACAATCTAATTTCTAGGAAATGTGAATATATAAAGTGCCAGCTTTTACGAGCTCATATAATGGTTCTTTTGTTAACAGTATACAGCTGCTCAATGTGTTTTCATGACAATCGTAATTACCCTTCTTTGCCATCATAAAAGAAGCCAAACTGTTATTCTGTAGCAAAACATTTTTAGTTTTATGATGCATTTTAAAAGACTGAAAGAATCGTAATCAGTTTTTCTTTGGCCACAAATTCCTTCCTATTTTAAGTTTACATTTTAATACTGTTTGCATTCCTCATTAGCACATTTTATTTATGTTTGTATCTAGCAGTGCTTCTTTGTAATTGTTGGGTCAAGAAATACTTAAAAGGGAATATTTGAATTATGATAGTAACTACAGCCATATTCTGACAGATGGCTCTCTCTGGCAATAGGAAAACAGGGGTTTCAGTAGGGGAGGAGGCAGATGAGAAATAGGTTGGTGATGAAAGCAAGAAAAGTAATGCAAAAGATGAAAAGTATAGACAGATAGTGCCAACACACCTCAGTAGTACCAGTAGTAATTTACCTAAGAGTACCAGTTCGCCCACATGTGATGTACTGCAAAGACAATTTTATTCCAAACATAAATTAGAAACATCAGTTGTTGGTTCTCGAGGTGGCCTGCTTTTGGCAATTTATCAAAAAGAGTAATTCTAGTACTGCATCAGTGTTCACCAAAAGCATGAAGTAAGGCCAAACAACTGACTTGCACAATTTAATTAACTTGTATTCCTCAATAATCAATTGATATTATTGAATAGTAAGCCCGTTTTAAAATATGTTCTATAAACCAGAAGAAAACACATATTAAAGAGGGTTCTTGTTTTAAAAGGACGTGAGTAAATAAGAATCTCTATTAATGCCCTCAGCGTTTGATTTTAACAGAACATTAAAACAACCCATTTAATCTTATTAATACATCTATTAATTTTTGTCATAAAATGTGTATAACATAAAATTTTTCATTTTTAAGCATACAACTCAGTAGCATTAATTACATTCACATTGTTGTGCCACCATCACCACTATCCACATCCAATACTTTTCATCATCCCAAACAAACTCTAAACCCATTCAACAATCACTCCCCTTTATCCCCTCCCCTAAGCCTCTGGTAACCTCTAGTCTATGAATTTACCTATTCTATATATTTAATATAAGTGGAATCATATAATATTTGTCCTTTTGTGCCTGGCTCATTTTGCTTAGCCTAATGTTTTCAATGTTCATCCATATTTAGTATGTATCAGAATTCCATTCCTTTTTATGGCAGAATAACATTCCATCATAGATATATCAAGTCAGTCCTCATTAGTGGATTCTGTAGTTGCATATTTGCTTACTGACTGCATTTATTTGTAATCTCAAAGTCAATACTCACAGGATATTCATGGTCATTTACAGACAAATGCAGAGTAACAAAGAATTTGAGTTGCCAAGAGAGCACATTGCAGCTGAGCTCACACAAGGGACCACTCCGCCATCTTGTTTCAGCTCTCATGCTATAAACTGTCATCCTTTTCACAGTCTATTTATTGCCACATGTTTTGCATTTTTATGCCTTTTGGTGATTTCACCGTTTAAGATGGCTGGCCCCTAGACGTAGTGCTGAAGTGCTAGCTAGTGTTCTTTAGCTCAAGAAAGCTATGATGCGCCTCACAGAGAAAATAGGTGTGTCAGATAATCATTACTGAAGCATGAGTTATGGTTCTGCTGGCTATAGTTCAATGTTAACAAACTAGGAATATATGTTAAGTAAGATGTCTTTAAACAGAAATACACACGAAACAAAATTAGGTATAGATCAGTTGATGAAATGTAACCAGAGGTTGTAAGGACCATTACCCCAAACTTCCCCTAGGAGGAATAGTTGAATATTTGCTAATTCAGTGTTTGCTGTGACTTTATAGAACATGACTACAGCAAATATTTTATCCAATCATCCGTTAATGGGCAGTTTGGTTGTTTCCACCTTTGACTATTATGAATAACGTTGCACTGAATATGGGTATATAAATATATCTTTGAGATGCTGCTTTCAGTTCTTTCAGTACCTAGAATTGGAATCCCTAGGCATATGGTGCCTCTGTGTTTAACTTTTTAAGGAGACACCACACTCTTTCCACAGCAGTTGCACCATTTTACATTCCCAGCAGCAATGTACAAGGGTTCTAATTTCTCTGCATCCTTGCCAGCACTTTTTTCTTTTTATTAACTAGCCATCCCAGTAGGCATGACGTGGTATCTCACTATGGTTTTCATTTTCATTTCCCTAATGGCTAATGATGTTGGACATGTTTTCATATGCTTATGAGCCATTTGTATATCTCCTCTGTAGAACTGTTCATGTAAGTTCTTTACTCATTTTTTAATTGGATTGTATGTCTTTTTGTACTTGAGTTGTAGGAGTTCTTTATATATTATGGATATTAAACCCTTATCAGATACATGGTTTGTAAATATGTGTCTCAACCTGTGGCTTGCCTTTTTACTCTATTGAAAGTGTCCTTTAATGCACAAGCATTTATAATTGTAGTGAAGTCAAAATCTCTTCTTTTGTTGCCTTTTCTTTGGTGTCACTTATTACTTTTTAATTGTTTGTAAATATCTGAGTACAAAGGGCTCCAAACAATTACAGAATTGTAAGAATGTTTTTTCGTAAATGGAACTTAGGGGAAAGCACCTTATATTTGAAGGCTGGGAATAATGTACTTAAAGGGGTTTAGAAATAAATAAGAAACAAAAAAAAAGAAAAGGTCATATAAGCTTTGTGTATTTGTCTATTCTAGAAAATATTGATACAGATAAAATGGAAACAACAAAAGATAAATGCTTTCTAATATTAAAAGTAGTTAAATGTTATTGATGTAATTATTAGAATGAACATTTTGTTCTCTGTTCTTAAAACTTTTGACCTCAACCCAACCCAGACTTCTGTAGGGTTTCTTTCTCTCAACTAGAAAGAATAGAGCAAAGCTGTGTTTTTCAAGGGGCTAGGGTGGATACTATTCTGGGGAAACAATTGGAAATTATATAAAGCCTTTTGGTCAAATTGCATCAAAAAGAGAGCTTGATGTGGTAGCTCCATCACTGGGTACCATGATAGACCCTGTATTTTTTAGGGAAATCAGTAAGTTACAGAGGATGGCCAAATGCATATGCATACATGCTTCATCTTGCATTTATTCCAGGAATATTTATTAACTGTTGTCAGTATTCTAAGCAGTAGTTTTAGAATAGTGAGAGAAAAAAAATCCCTCTCTCATAGAACATACAGTCTAATGAGAGAGACAGAAATACTGAGTTTTATAAGTAAAATATAATTGTGATAAGTATTGAAAGGAAAAGTGCTCTGAGAGCAGTTAATGGGAGAGGTTGATCTAGTCAGGAAAGTCTTCCTTGGGAATGATTAAACTGGTGTTCCCCAGGTGAAGGAAGTATACGAGGAGGAAAGTTGATCTAGCCTGAGAGACCAGCATGTGCAAAGGCCCAGTGTCAGGAAGAAACATGGGCCTTCAATGAACTAAGAGCAAGACAGTGTGGCTGGAGGGGAGCCTAAGGCCAGGTCCTGTGGGTTTCAGAGGCCACATCAGAGACTTGGCTCTTTATTTTAAGAGCAGTGGAAAAGCCATTGAAGTGTTCTAAGTGATGGGGTGACATTTCCAGATTTGCTTCTTGAAAAGATCCCTCCAAATGCAGAATGGAAAATGGGTTAGAAGTGAGTCAGAGCAGATGTTGGGAGACCAGACAGGAGGCTGCGATGGGAATCCAGGTGATAGTGTAAGGTGAAATCAACAAGAATTGCTAGTAATTGGATATTGGCAAGGACTGGAGCAGGGGAAGAATTAGCTGTCTAGGAAGACTTCCAAGCCTCTGCCATAAGTGCCTGGAAGGATTTGGTGCCCCTCACTGGGATAGGGAATAAGGGAAGAAGACTCAGGTTTGGAAGGGCAGGGGAAGGGAGAGCCTGGGACCAGTTTTGAAGGTAAGATTGACTTGCCTTTGAAGAATTATCCAAGAAGACGTATTATATAGGCAGTTATTTTTACAGGTCAGAAGCTAAAGAGGTGTCCTGACTAAAGTTAAAAATGTTGAACTCGTTTTGGAGGTAGTAGTTAAAGGACAAATGTCGTCACATGGATCGCAAGGAAAGAGAGGACTTTAAGAAAGGAGATGCGACTGCCCTATCATGCTATATGTTGTTGTGATCCCAGTGAGGTGTGAACTAGAAAACTCAAAGCATGCCTCACACATTGCCTGCCAATGCCTTACACATTCCTGTCTTCTGAACATGTTCTATATGCTTTCGCTGAGCCATTACCCGTGCTTTCCTACCTTCCACCACAGCAAAGGCAGCAATCTGGCATTTTGTGTAAAGAGCAGTAGTGATGCCACTCACTTGAGGGCAGAGTGCACTGACGTGGTCCTCCCTTGCTCTCCCACCAACCCTTGGCTGTTTATACCACCTCCCACCTGGCATTGCCAGCTCTTAAGTACGTGTATCTCTGCCTTATTTCACTGGCATACCTCACTGAAGTCACAGACTCTGTCTTAATCATTTCTGAATCTCTAGCAGCTGGCACTGTGCCTCAGTCATAGTAGGTACTCCATAAATATGTGCTGAATAAATGAATTATTGAAAAAATGAACCAAACAATCTATTAATCAGTGTGAAGGGGCTTCCTAAGTTTACATTTCTAATTATGAGGATGAAGTTTATGATGAAGTGTGAAGTTTATGATGAAGCATGGCTTTTCTGAACAGAGACATTGCAATATTTAAAACAGAGGAACAAAACTTTGGGTTTGCCTTCAAATGTGACACAGATCTGAAAGTTCCCAAAGATCTTATTCTTCGGTATTAGCATCACTGGAGATGGAGGAAAGGTGGGAAATAGGGAATAATAAAGGAAACATTCTTTCTAATTTTTTACTAAACATTGGGGTGAAGATATTAGTTAATACTTTAAATTAACATAGAACTTTTCTTATTATAAACTCAAAACTTTTCAAATATGTATTAAATGATTAATTATTCAATTTTACCTTGAAATAGCTTATCATATATTGCTACAGATCGCTGCAAGTATTCAAATTTCTTATCAATTCACTACACATATTAAAACTCCCACTGAAGCCTGTAATGACTTTTTTTTTCTTTTTTTATAAGATCTGAAATGAAGGTTCAGTATTACTCTCTTTTACATCTTGGCTGGTATTTGAAAATTAAACATATATTAAAGACTTGCTTATACTACCTCAAGTAGTAGCCTAGTAAAAAATGTTTTTGGATGATCTTTTACTGTCCTCAGCATCTGAACTTTGGATTGTTTTGGTTCACAGACTGTTGGCGAGAGTGAGAGAGGGTTGAAGTCTTAGTGGCACTTCACATGCCTCTGTGGATTCTCTGAGTGTCTCTCTGGGATGAAGGTGACTTCCACCCACACCATCTTGCGTCTGAAGCACTAGTTGTGTGAGGGCAGCTCCATTAGACGAGTACACAACTCAGTTGCCATCGGCTACTTCTTATCATGTTTTCATGGGGTGCTACCTGTTTCTTTGTGTCCCCAGTCGCTGGGTCAGTGTGCTGGCGCTGTCCAGTTGTCCTCAGTGAGAGTTCTCCCCGGGCCATCCTGCCAATGTCACAGTGCCAATGAGGTCCCTCTGTACCGAACGTTCTGAAGCTCCAGGAGGCCTGGCTTCCAAATGGGTTGTGTGTTCCAAAGTCTGTCCCACCGTGGTGGAGGCTGGCATCAGAGGATTCTAATGGAGGCCAGGGGTGGTTGGAGGTATGGCGAGCCCCAGTGTCCCTTCCCACAGGGAGTGGTGGATCTTCCTGAGCCACTGGAGGTGACTTCTGTGCCTGGACCCTCCTCACCCCATCAGGGTTAGGGCCAGCGATGGTTGGGGGACAGGAATTCTGATGAGAGGAGTCAGGGATGTAGGATGAACCTGGTCAGCTCCTCCTTCAATGGCTGCTTTTGTTCTTCCTTCTCTCTCCCCAGCCCACTTCCCCTTCTTCTTTCAAGTTAAGATTTCTTACTTCTCCTTGGCTCACTGGGAAACTGTTGTGTGATTTCTGCAGCTTCCAGTGTCTGCCCCTCCTCCCTTTTCTTCTCACTTCTCCCTGCTCCTTCGTTTCTTTTCCCTTCTCTGTTACTCCTTCCTTCTCCCCTTCTCTCTCCTTCTTCCACCTCCCACTGCCCCATACATCCCTTTTCCTTCTACTGAGAAACCTCCTCCTGAGATTTCCATTGTTTTTTTAATTTCTGGGTAAGTATGAGGGAATAAAGTTTAAAAGAAGGAAACAAGTCTTCCTTCCGTGCCTTATTTTTCCGTTGGACTCTATGAAAAACCAGGCCTCGCACCAGTAGCTAGAGGACCAAGGCCTGCAGCCGACAGCCTGACCATGAAAGCAGCACCCCCCTGCAGGTGGCACAAGTGCTGCCGGTCTCACTGTGGCCCCACTGTTCCCAGCGGGGGAATCTGTCTGGGTCTGCAGCAACCTCAATTCTTGCCTCCTCAGAAGAAAGAATTTGAGGGGCAGAAGGAGAGACTGAGGCAAATGTTACACAGCAGGAGTGAAAGTTTATTAAAAAGCTTTGAGCAGGAATGAAAGGAAGTAAAGTAACCTTGGAAGAGGGGTTACTCTCTCTGTGACTTGGGAGATCAAGTGTGCAGTTTGACCTTTGACTTGGGGTCTTACACGTTGGCATGCTTTCCGGGAGATTGCGTCCCTTCTCCCCTGATTCTTCCCTTGGGGTGGGCTGTCCGCATGCCGGGTGGCCTGCCAGCATTTCGGAGGGAGCATGCACAATGTGTTTACTGGAGTTCTATGCATGCTCACTTAAGGTGTTCCTCCCTTACCAGTCCAGTATTCCTAGGTCATACCATACCTGAACTCCGCCATTTTGCCTCTTCATGCGCGTGCTTGAGCCCACTCACCCAACTCCTGAGATCTTATCAGGAAGCTGCTTATCACCAGTTTCAGGTTTTTCTATCTATTAGGAGACTGCCTTTCCCTGGCACTGGCTGACACCAGTTATTATTTTAGAGAAACAGTATAACAACTGCCTGACCTGAGGGTCGCCTGACATTCCTGGTGGCAGTGAGAGGGACCTCTCCTGCCCTGATCATGTCTGCCTGACTACCTACTATAACACTACCACTGCCTATTTTGCATCTGGCTCTCTTCATTCCTACCTGGCCCTTGGAGACAGTGGAGCTCAAGACTCTTGAATAAAGAAAAGCAACGTCATAAGTAGAAAATAGTCGATCCTTATCTGCAAAGGGCAGAAGCACTCCAGAATGGAAATTGTGTTTTTATACTACAAAAGTAGTGTTTAGAGGCCATCTTCCCACCTGAAGGAGGCTAGACAGAGTGAACTCTAGGGGAAGGGGCAATGGGGCTGGAGGAGGTTTTATAAGCTAGAAACAAGAACGGTCATTCAGTTATATACAGGGAGAGAGGAGAGGTAGATACAAGTCCCCAAAACCAGAATTATTTCCTTCCCTCCTTTCCCCTACTTCTTTTTAAAATAGTATTTATTCCTTTTTGTCAATCTATCATAGTGGTAAGAATTAGAGTTGGAGTAGAAAGTCGCTTTTAGCCAGGCATGGTACCTCACACCTGTAATCCCAGCACTTTGGGAAGCTGAGGCAGGAGGAATGCTTGAGTCCAGGAGTTCAAGTCCAGCCTGGGCAACAAAAACCCTGTCTCTACAAATAATTAGCTAGGCACAGTAGTGTGCACCTGTGGTCCCAGCTACTTGGGAGGCTGAGGTGGGAGGATCACTTGAGCAACCAGGAGTTCAAGGCTAGTGAGCCATGATTGCACCACTGCACCCCAGCCTGGGTGACAGAGCAAGACCCTGTCTCAAAAAGAAAGAAAAAAAAAGTCATTTCCAGACATTTTAGCAGAGGAAGTGAGAGGAGGGAAGTTCTGGAAGAAATGGATAACCTGCTGCATTGGTGCTTCTGAGTTACATCATAATGAGAGAAGTTCCGAGACTGAGCACGCAGAAGATAGGGACTGCCTGTACCTGAGAAAGGTGGAAACACCTAAGAGGGGAGTATTAACTTAAGACGAGAACTGAGGGGACACTTCCTAACTCAGTTCTTCATTTGTCTTTTTTTTTTTTTTTTTTTTTTTTGAGACAGAGTTTCGCTCTTGTTGCCCAGGCTGGAGTGCAATGGTGCGATCTCGGCTCACCGCAAACTCCGCCTCCCGGGTTCAAGGGATTCTCCTGCCTCAGCCTCCTGAGTAGCTGGGACTACAGGCATGTGCCACCACACCTGGTTAATTTTGTATTTTTTTAGTAGAGATGGGGTTTCCCCATGTTGGTCAGGCTGGTCTCGAACTCCTGACCTGAGGTGATCCACCCGCCTCGGCCTCCCAAAGTGCTGGGATTACAGGCATGAGCCACCGCGCCCAGCCTGTTGTTTTTGTTTTGTTTTGTTTTTATAAAACCCTACCTCTCATTTTAGACTACTCTTGGGAGAAGGAAATAAGTGATATTTATTGTCCTTTCATTTGGCAGATATTTATTGAGCAATTTCCGTGTATTAAGCACTGTTCTAGGCAGCAGGAATATAACAGTAAATAAAACAAGATTCCCTCCCTTCATGGGGCTTACAGTCCAGTGGTAGGTATAAGTTGGTGGCATAGCAGAAAAAGTGAAGGCGGCATTGTGAAACAGTCCTGCCTGCAGTGCTGCTAGAGAGCAGGGCTTGGATCCCATCCCTGATACTTGTATATGACAACAGCAAAAGTGGTACTTAAAATAATATGTCGTTTCAGTGAATTTCCTCAAGAGCTTTTCTAGTGCCCTTGGTTAGCCACATTGGCCTCCTTTTGCTGCACTGAGGATCCAAACTCCTTCTTAACTGGATGTCTGTTCTCTGTGCAGGAAGATGGCTCTTTCGAGCCTTCTTGTCTCAGCTCTAAATATTCCTTGTTCAGACAGATTTTGCCTGATCATCTATATTAGGCTGTTCTTGCATTGCTGTACAGAAATACCTGAGACTGGGAAATTTATAAAGAAAGGAGATTTAATTGGCTCATGGTTCTACAGTGTACAGGAGGCATAGCACCGGCATCTGCATCTGGGGAGGCCTCAGGAAGCTTCCCATCATGGCAGAAGCTGAAGGGAGAGTAGGCACATCACATGGCAAAAGCAGGAGCAAGAGAGATGGTGGGGAGGGGGATGCGCCACACACTTTTAAATGAGCACTGTCAGCGGGAGGACAGCATTTAGAGCAAGGCGGTGGTGCTAAACCATCGATTCGAAATCCACCCCGAGGCTGGGCATGGTGGCTCACGCCTGTAATACCAACACTTCGGGAGGCCATGCAGGCGGATTGCTTGATTGCTACTCAGGAGTTCAAGACCAGCCTGGGTAACATGGTGAAACCCTGTCTCTACCAAAAATACAAAAAATTAGTCTGGCGTGGTGGTGCACACCTGTGGTCCCAGCTACTCAGGAGGCTGAGGTGGGAGTATCACTTGAGCCCAGGAGGCGGAGGTTGCAGGGAGCCGTGGTTGCGCCACTGCACTCCAGCCTGGGTGACAGAGCAAAACGAGGCCCTTTCGGGGGTGGGGAAGAAAGACGTGCACCCCTGAGATCCAATCACCTCCCACCAGGCCCCACCTCCAACACTGAGGATTACAATTTAACATGAGACTTAGAGGGGACACATAACCAAACTGTGTGATCTAGGATCTATAGGTCCTAGAGCTGTCCGTCAGGTCTGGGATACACTCCTGCCACTTCCGTCGCCATTCGATCACATCTCTGTTTTCTCCCTAGTAACGCTCCTGCCCGCATTAGTGTGGGCGCTGGGAGGGCAGGAACCTGGCCTGTCTGATTTACCTTTGCATTGCCAGCTCCTAAAATGCTGCCTGGCGTTAGTTAAGCACTTGATAAACTAATTAATTTTAAAATGCTATTTTCAGCATTATTTCCTGCTGCTTCTCCGCATATACTCCACACCAGCCAAATTAACCTTTCTCTTTCCTAGGTCTTTCTACTGCTGTGCCCTTGCTCCTAATACTTCCCTTCTCCCTCCCTCAAGCCCAACCCAAAGCATACTTTCTCGCTGCTGACTTGTCTTACCATTAAAGAATGACTTTCCCCTCATACACTCTATAGCAGCGGTCCCCAACCTTTTGGGCATCAGGGACCAGTTTTGTGGAAGACAATTTTCCACAGACCTGGCAGGGTGTGGGGATGGTTTCAGGTTGAAACTGTTCCACCTCAGATCATCGGGCATTAGTTAGATTCTCATAAGGAGCATGCAGCCTAGATCCCTCATGTGCACAGTTCAGCTAGGGTTCGCAGTCCTATGAGAATTTAATGCTGCTGCTGATCTGACAGGAGGTGGAGCTCAGGCTGTAACACTCACTCGCCTGCTGCCCACCACCTGCTGTGTGGCCCAGTTCCTAACAAGCCATGGACTGTAATACAGTCTGTGGCCCCAGGCTTGGGGACCCCTGCTCTATAGTACTTCTTTTATATCTCAATCATTTGGTACTTACTGTGTCTATATATGTTTTTTACTCCAGATATACTGTAAATACCTAGAGTACAGAAAATATGCTTGTTAAAGTTATCCATAGTGTCTAGCAAAATACGTGTGTGTGTGTGTGTGTGTGAGAGAGAGGGAGAGAGAGAGAGAGAGAGATGGAGTCTCACTCTGTTGCCCAGGCTGGAGTGCACTGGTGTGTGCAACCTCCGCCTCCTGGGTTCAAGTGATTCTCCTGCCTCAGCCTCCCGAGTAGCTGGGACTACAGACGCCTGCCACCACACCCAGCTAATTTTTTGTATTTTTAGTAGAGACAGGGTTTCACCATGTTGGCCAGGCTGGTCTCAAACTCCTGACCTCAAGTGATCCACCCACCTTGGCCTCCCAAAGTGCTGGGATTACAGGCATGAGCCACCACACCCGGCCGCAAAAATACATATAACTGGCGCTCGGTAACTGTTTTTGGTTTGTTAATATGTGCTCTTTCTGGCACATGGGTCAGAATCCAATTTCCTGATGTGGATTGACCTTACAGTGTTTTGGAGACTTAACATGTAAGCTTAATGAAAAAGATTCAGTTTTGCAGACTTCTTTAAATTTTACTTCAAGAGTACTGCTGTATGTTAATATTCCATGTATGATATTTCTTGTAGCATTCTTGAGAAATTTCCTAAGGAGTTAATGAAGCTGGGTAATTGCCAGGGTAGTATGAAATTAAAGCAAAACAAATATGAGACTGCAAATGGAATGAACTGTTTAAGCTATATATTACTATATTGGGATCAGATAGAGTAGTAATGATGCAAGAAGTACATCCAAGCTTTATTCTGGCTAACTAGAGGGAGCTATTTTTCATTTTTAATAAAAGTCAAAAACAGTTTAAGATCATATATTATCTTCAAAAGGCTTAGTGTGGCTAATATTAGCATATTGCTTTTTACTTCAGTTAACATGCTCAAGGGCCTTGGTCTCTTCAGCTAAAAATACTCTTCTTTTCTATATAAAATAAAGTCCCTGGAGCAAATTTCTTTCTTTTTTTAACTTTTGTAGAGATGTGGTCTCACTGTGTTGCCCAGGCAGTGTAGTAGCACAACGGCTCACTGCAGCCTCAATCTCCTGGGCTCAGGCAATCCTCCTGCCTCAACCTCTCAAGTAGCTGGAACTACAGGCACGTGCCACCAAACTGGCTAATTTCTTCGTATTTTTTAGAGACAGGGCTTCACTCTGTCACCTAGGCTGGAGTGCACTGGCGTGATCATAGCTCATCGTAACATTGAACTCCTGAGCTCAGGCAGTTCTCCACCTCGGGCCCCCAAGTAGCTGGGTTTACAGGTGTGAGACACCATGCCCAGCCTGGAGTAGATTTCTTTATTGAAAATTTGGTAAATGGAGAAAAATTAATTTTATGCAGTGATTCTATTCCGAGATAGGGCAGGTGGAAAGGAATGGGCCAGTCAACTCTAAAACAAAGGAAGGCTCCAGACTCCCCCCTTGACACAGGCCACAAGACCTAGAGATAGTAGCTTTGCTGGCACTGCTCTGGATTGAAGAAGGGAAACACACTTGAATGTGTCTTGCTGTTTAAAGCATTTTATGAACTTATGTCTTTAGACATTTCTAGAACTGAAATTGAACCACACGATTATTTTTATTGTATCACATGAGAGATGATTTTGGTTTTATAATTTTCCTCTTTTCCACCCATGAACCCCAAGCTTATTTAATAGGGTCATGTGGGGAAGGGCTCTGAAAAGGTTGTTTAATTTTCCCTGGGTTCTGGCAGCTGACACTGTTCTGAAAAAAACAAGTGGAGGATGAAGGGAAACAAACAAGAAGGTCATATTTGGAGACCCTCGGCCTGCTTATTAAAGCGCACTGTGCACTTGGATCAGTGGAGCTGCAGTAGGAGTGTTGCCCGAGCCAACATACATACCTACAGGTGTGACAACCTTGTATAACATCATCATCACAGACATCATCTGTGCCCCTCTCCCTTGAAATAGACGTCACTTCAACAGAAGCAGTGGAATTAGCAGTTTAGAACTTCCCCACTTCCTGTCCACTGCAGCTGTATGTCAGTCTCCACTTACCTGGGCACTATAGTGGAAAAGTAACTGATAATCAGTTTAGAGGGAGATTTTGAAGGATTCTGAGCTGATGCTGGAAGCTTATGGAAGGTGTCGTGCTAAATACTATCTCCAATACTCCATTTTATTTAATCCTCACAACTCTGTGAGGTTGGAATTTATGATCCTGCTTTTAAAGATGAGGAAACCAAAGCCCAAAGTTTTGAACACAGGTGTCTGTCTATCCAATGCTCAGAGTTTTTTAGCTACATAAGGCTTCTACCTTTACTATGGAATTTGGATTTTCAGGCAGTTACACACAGTATAGAGCTTTGGAGCCTAATGATGGTTTCAGACATGATATATATTTGAAACTCTAACCAATCATCATTTGTCCATATTGTACTGCAATAACACAATCCCTGATTCTGGGTAATTTAAAGAACCAAGATTTATTTCTTACGGTTGTAGAGGCTGAGAAGCCTAAGATCAAGGGGCCCACATCTGGCGGGAACCTTCCTGCCGCATCATCTCATGGTAGAAGGCAGAAGGGCGAGAAAGAAAGAGAAAGAGAATGTGCATGAGCACAAATGGGGCTGAAACTTGCTTTTATAACATATCCTCTCTCAAGATAACCCACTCCTATCAGAACATGAATCCATCCATGAGGGCAGCATGACCTAGTCACCGGTTATTAGGCTCCACCTCTCAACACTGTTGCATTTGGGATTAAGTTTGTAACACATGTACTTTGGGGGACATATTCAAATCATAGCACTAATCATGTATCATCTTTCATAAGAATTATCCTTTAAAATAAGTGAGATGGCTGGGCATCTTGGTTCACACCTGTAATCCCAAAACTTTAGGAGGCTGAGGTGGGCAGATTGCTTGAGCTCAGGAGTTCAAGACCAGCCTAGGGAACATGGCAAAACCCTAACTCTACAAAAAATACAAAAATTAGCCAGGTGTGGTGGCATGTGTCTGTGGCCCCAGCTACTCAGGAGGCTGTGGTAGGAGGATCCACCTGAGCCCAGGGAAGTTGAGGCCACAGTGAGCCGAGATCGCACCTGCACTCCAGCCTGGGCAACAGAGCAAGACCCTGTCTCAAAAAAATAAAATAGGTGAGAGAGACATACCCAATATATGAACAACACAAATGGGAAATAAAGTGTTCTTAGAAAAACTGGAACTTTGGTTCATATTTTAAATTATTTCTCCGTATCTGTTTTTCTTCCTTTCTGATATCATGACAGTATTTAAGAGCTCAATTGTTGAAGACGTAAGCCCCGGTCCCTAACATTGTCGTTAATGAGCTTCATGTTGTTGAGTGAGTGAGCCTTCAATTCCCTTCTACAGAATGAGGGAATTAGCCCAGACCAGCAGTTTGTAAACAGTGTGTTCTCAGGACCCTTTACGCTCTCAAAGCATTGAGAATCCTAACGAGCTTTTCTTTATGTAAGTTATATCTATTGATATTTACCCATATTAGAAATTAAAACAACTTTTCTAAAATATTGATTTATCAATTTATTTTAAAAGAAACATAAAGCCATCACATATTATAAATAACATAAAACATGAATATTTTTATGAAAAAGAACTTTTTTCAAAAAAAGTGAGAAGAATGGCATTGTTTTGCCTGTTTGCAAATTCCTTTAATATGGCATTCTCTCTTCTGCTTCTTACATTTAGTCTGTTGTGATGGGTTGTTTTGGGGGAGGTATATGAAAAAAATTTAGCCTCACCCAGATACTTAGTTGGAAAAAAGAGGATCTGACAGACTCCTTGAAAGGGTTTTGGGGACACCCTGGCGTCCTCAGACCACAATTTGAGAACCACTGGACTAGATGACCTTTAAAACCCAACCCAGACTCTAATTCCGCCTGGCTTTGGGGAAGCCTCACTTCAAGGTCTGGATCTGTTTCCTCATTCAAGAAAGACTTAATCTATATATCAGATGCCGGAAAATCAAAGCTAGATAGAACATAGTCCCTAAAAGGGCTCATAGTCTAGTAGCAAAATACTTACAGAGCCTACCACGTGCCATTTACTCTGCTTGATGCTTTTGTATGAATCATCTTATTTACAGACCAATTACATTTTAAAGCAGATATTATTGTCACTCTTTCATAAATGATGCAGCTGCCTTGGCAGAGAGAGATCCAATAAATTACCTAAGATCACATCACACTGAGAGATGGGCCTCAGGTCTGAGCCTAGGACTCCCCTCACAGTGCGTGCTGTTTTCGTTATACTGCATTTCTCTTCTCTGCAGAATAATGGAGATGGAAGTGTCTTACAGGTCCCCTCTACCTTCCTATGGTTATGATTATATAGTGCTACCATACCAGTGAGATAACTTATTCTCATAGCTTTGAGAATGTGTGGTTAGAATGTGTTCAAAAAAGAGTAGTACAGTATTATAAATGAATATCCTAATCACTTCCCCTAAAGTGAGAATAAATTCTCTTTATTTTTACTATTTAGCTAAAAGACCAGCCTTTCGCCAGTCAGTAGTAAATATTGAAACTATCTATACCATGGTGGCTACTGTACAGAATCAAAAGAAATGAAACATATAACTTCCATCCTCTAGAATTCTATAGTGTAGCTGGTGAGTTACTGGACAAGTAAGACCTAAATGCATAAATGGTGGCCCAACAAGGTGAAGACAAATGACGGATGACAGGTGTTATGGATGGGCACTCGAGTTTAAAAAGCAGGTGGCAGCTACTCAGGAGGCTGAGGCAGGAGAACCCCTCGAATCTTGGAGGCAGAGGTTGCAGTGAGCTGAGATTGCGCCATTGCACTCCAGCCTGGACAACAAGAGCGAAACTCCATCTCAAAAAAAAAAGCAGGTGACTCTTCTGGACTACAGTGGTCAAGGAAAGCTGCCGGGCAAAACTGTGTAGCTTGAAAGGCCATGCTGTCCTCCCAGAGGGTTAGAATTGGATGGGTATAGTGAAGTGGGTGGTACAATCCAGGCGTGAGATGCTGTACCTGAGCAGGAAAGGGGATGGGTCTCTGCAATCCAGAGTTGAAGCTGTCAAACCACAGGGCCCAAAGAACTGCAGGCTTAAGCTTCAGAGGGAGGGGGCTGTGTCTCTCCCCCTCTCCTTTTGTTCCCTCACCATTTCTGCTTCCCTTCCTTCTCTCCATGACTGGTCCCCCACTCTTTCTCCTCTCATTTTTCTGTTTCTGCTTGACCCTTTCTCTTTCCCTTCCTTTTGCTCTATAGCCCTTCCTTATCTCATGTAGAGTGAGTGGGACAGTATCATTTTTTATTGAATAAAAATGCTACATCCCATTGTCTTGCCTTTGAAATTAGGCATGCTAAGACTTTTACAGACTTTTCCAGAGAGAGAACACAGACTGGACAAAGTTTTTTTGTTTGTTTTTTTTGTTGGTTTTGGTGGTGTTTTTTTTTTTTGTTTTTTTTTTTTTTTTTTTTGAGACGGAGTCTCGCTCTGTCGCCCAGGCTGGAGTGCAGTGGCGGGATCTCGGCTCACTGCAAGCTCCGCCTCCCGGGTTCACGCCATTATCCTGCCTCAGCCTCCCAAGTAGCTGGGACTACAGGCGCCCGCCACTATGCCCGGCTAATTTTTTGTATTTTTAGTAGAGACGGGGTTTCACCGTTTTTAGCCGGGATGGTCTCGATCTCCTGACCTCGTGATCCGCCCGCCTCGGCCTCCCAAAGTGCTGGGATTACAGGCGTGAGCCACCGCGCCCGGCCGTTTTTGTTGTTTTTTAAACTTCAGTATGAACTTCTGTGCTCTTTTCTTTGAGATGGTTGCTCCTAAATTGAAAACTTTTTTTTTGCAGCTCCATCAGTCTTGGTCTTAAAATCAGTGAAATTTCAGTTGCAGAAATTACTCAGAGGAATGACTTTTCTTTACTATTATTATTTTTCCCTGACTGCTTGTCTTAGTTTGTTAGTGCCACTGTTCGCAAAGTACGTGAGACTTAGTAATGTATAAACAATAGAAATTTATTTTCTTACAGTCCTAGAGGCTGAGAAGTTCAAGTTGCAGGTGCCAGCAGGTTCAATGTGTGGTAAGGGCTGCCATCTCCTTCCAAGATGGCACCTTGTTGCTGCTTCTACCAGAGGAAAAGAACACCTTGTCCTCATGTGGCAGAAAGGACAGAAGGGCCAAACTCACCCCCCTCAACCCCTTTTATAAAGGCCCTAAGCCCATCCATGAGGGCTCTGCTCTTACTACTTGATCTCCTCCTACAGGAGGTGATTGTAGCGGGTGATTGAGAAGTGGAGCCTCCTACAGGCCTCACCTCTTACTAGCACATTGACAATTAAGTGACAATATATGAATTTTGAGGGACACACTCAAACCATACCACTGCTGTTCCTTTTCCTTGTTGCAGAAAACATTGCTGCCAAGTGGCTGCCCCTGCCCCCTTTCCTTCCCTCTCACATTCTGCCACCCTCCAGTTCTTTGTACAAAGCATCACAGTGAGGGAGGGCTTGGACTGCACTTGCCTTTCTTTCACAAGATTGCCAAGAGCCCAGTGCTTTACTCAAGAATCCCAGGGAGGGTTGAGCATGGTGGCTCACGCCTGTAATCCCAGCACTTTGGGAAGCCGAGGTGGGGCGGATCACCTGAGGTCAGGAGTTCGAGACCAGCCTGGCCAACATGCGGAAACCCCATCTCTACAGAAAAAAAAAAAATACAAAAATTAGCCGGGCAAGGTGGCGCACACCTGTAATCCCAGCTACTTAGAAGGCTGAGGCAGGAGAATCACTTGAACCCGGGAGGCACAGGTTGCAGTGAGCCGAGATTGTGCCACAGCACTCCAGCCTGGGCGATAGAGCGAGACTCCCTCTAAAAAAAAAAAAAAAAAAAAAAAAGAGAGAGAGAGAGAGAGAATCACAGGGAGCTAACACTTTTAAGGTGTTGTCCTTAACACTCACTGCTTCTAAGCAATGAACACAAAAAACCAACAAATCATTTATCATTAAAGAGAAACTGCACCGCTACTTAGTTCTGATTAGAGGAAGTTCACAGAATTTCGAAGTAGAGGAGAAGGTTAGAAAATGTCACTTTTACCCCTCATCTATCTTGAGAAAAGGAATTTCATACAAGTGGATTAAAAGGATAAGAAATATTTAGACTATACATTGAATAATCATTGTATTCATGCCATTTTGTGTGCATGTGTAGTGTATGTTTCAGTGTTGATGTTTTGTGGGAAATGAATGTCACTGGTGGTATAGTGGCCTGGTGGTGTTACACTTATTTCACCCGGTAATGAATGATGCAGTTGTTCATAATGTCCTGAACAAAATCTGCTTTGTGACAGATGTTCAGAATCAGTAATAAGAAACGACACGTGGCTAATCTCTAATAAATTAATTGAGTTGGACATCACCCTTCTTTTCTATTCAGGCAGATGATGTATCAGCTTTTAGATGATTCCAATAGAAGAAACTACCTTTCCTACAGAATTGTGGCATCCAAAAATGTTTTCTAGGGTATAATTTGATTAATGAATTTAATAGTGTCTATGATAACAGAGTCTCTGGAGCTTTAGCTGTTTTCTTCTTCCAAAGTAAGAAGATAGAAAGCAAGTGTGCTTACTTTACGGGATCATAGACTTCAAGATAGAAAAAGGAATCAGTGATCCTATAAAGTGAGCACACCTGCTTTCTACCTTCCTTGTCCCCACCCCAACACATTCGCACACTGCAAAATCACATCTGCCCATGTGAGCCACTCTCTGCTGTCGCCTTGGAGGCACAATTGTGCACCCAGATTTTATCAGAGTAAACGTCCTTCTCTACACCATCCTGCGCCAGCTTCTGGTTACTGGAGTAATGCGACTTTTGCTTTAGGAAGAATATGACTCCATGAATGTGACTCCAAGAATATGACCCCATGAGTTGTTGGTTAATACAAATCTTTTATTGTAGTAGGAAAAAGTAATTTCCTGTCACCCTTTACCCAAACAATAGTCTGGTAACGTTTCTAAATTAGCATTTAACTATTGAATTTCAAGAATGTGAACAAAGTTATCAAGTAAAGGAATCCTACCTTTTTGCAGCCCCATTTTATAAGTGAGGAAACGATAGTCATTTATTGAAAGTAAGCAGTGTCTTTACGTTTATACCCAAAATGTCCCTGTATGAAGCAATAATATCTCACCAAAGGTTTTCTGTCTTCTGTTTAACCATCTGAGATCTGCATATCATTAAATTTTCAGAAATTTAGTATTAAAATCTATAGCCTAGCCTACAAATACGAGGCTTGAGAGTGAAAAAAATACTTCACTAGAGAATTTTTTCTTTTTTTTTTTTTTTTGAGACAGGTTCTTACTCCTGTCGTCCAGGCTGAAGTGCAGTGGCCCTATCATGGCTCACCGCGTCCTCAGCTTCCTGGGCTCAGGTGATCCTCTCAGCTCAGCCTCCCAAGTAGCTGGGACTATAAGGACCCACACCCTACTAATTTTTACATTATTAATAGAGACGGAGTCCTACTATGTTGCCCAGGCTGATCTTGAACCCCTGGACTCAAGTGATCTGTCTGCCTCAGCCTCCCAAAGTGCTGGGATTACAGGCATGAGCCACTGCACCTGGCATTGAGAATGTTGTTCTTCTGTATTCTTTCTATGGGTGTAGCAACTCTGGCAGTAAGTCTTAACATAGCATTTATTAAGTGATCGTGAGTCTCCAAGCTTGCTGTTGGGTGTTTTAACCTTAATACAGCAGTTAGGAGACCAGAATCTGAGACCAGACAGCCTGGATTCAAATCCTAGAATGCTGTTTTCAGTGAGGTTTGACTGCCTTTCCAAAAAATTTCTCGGAATAAGCAAATCATTATAGTCTAGTCGACACTTAGAGCCTGTTCTTCTGTCAAAGCCATATATAAACTGTCTTAGCAAAGCCTGGAATTTAAAAATTTAGTTTACTAAATCTTAAAATATCCAGTGATATTTGGTACTATCAGAATGGCCTCTGGTAGTAGGCTCTTCTAGTAAGAATTAAGTGCCAGGCGTATTCATGGATTTCCCTGTACCAAGGCCCCTAGTATCTGTATAGATAATGTCCAGTAAACTATTTTTCCTTTTTAATCTCCTATAGTTTGCTCTTTGTCTTTTTTTAGTGTGTGGTGTCTAGACACATATCTCAGAGACAGATGTGCCTCACATGATACAATAAGCAGTCCTGAAAAGTTGCTTAGAAATCACTTTTTTAAGTGAATTGTATTGGTACTGGTCTGCCTGGGGAAATTCACAGTTCAAGGAATACTAAGATTAAACCTTTGGTCAAGCAAAACATTTTTGTAATGTGATTTATCACAGATACCCCCAATTTTAACTTTGTTCGAAATCTGAATTTTACAGTGGATTATGGCTACATGTTTTCTCTCCTGCACTAAAGACATATATCCTTGTACCCTGAAGAAACTGCTGACTATATAAGTTATTTTAAAAACTACTGTATAAAGGAATGTTTTTAAGAATACTATATATAGGATTTATGGTTTAAAAAAATTTTTTCCAGACTTTTAGGACTATCATTGGTAAATTACAGTTGCCATATAACAAGGCCCCTTCTAGATTTTTACATTGTCACATGTTATTCTGATCTGTGTATCATGAATTAAAGTCAGTGGATATTTGATGTTGAAGTCCAAGGGCAGTTGTATGAAAACATATCTCTTCTGGAACATCAACTAAGGTGATAAAATACTGAATTAGCTTTTAACTATTACTAGAATTGACCATGCAGAATTAAGAGAGAATGGATGAATGTTGTGGAGACCAATGGGACATTAGTCTCTCTAACACATTAGACCAGTAAGGCAGACCACAATAGCATTCTCAGGTGATTTCTAGACCTTATGGCTGAGTTCTACCCTGGTTATAAATAAACTCTGCAAGTACTATAAAAATGAACAGGTGTCAGAACTGCAACTAGCAAAATGGTCCTTCTACAGATACATCTTGTTTGTCAGTTGAGGAAAAATTAATAAGACTATGAAAAAAATTAACAGTAAACTGGAATAATTTGAATGTTCAAATTGGGGTCATTTTTATTCTAATTGAGGTTTGAAAGAAAAAACCTGTTTTTCTGCATGCTGTTTTTAGGAATATAATAAGCCTGAGACATGGACCATCTGTTATACTGACCATGTAACAAGATGTTAGATTTATTCAGACACGATGCAGTTTGCAGTACCAGATACAAGGTCTGGTCTTTCAGGTCAGCTGTGATTACGTCTGTGCACCACACCAGTCAAGTTATTTAACTCTCTGTTGCGAGATTGACACTATTGCTGCCTACATTCTGACAATGTAACACACACACATTCCTAGAGGCAGTTTACTAAACTAATAAATAGTATGTTAACAAACATGTTTGGCTGGGCGCGATGACTCACGCCTGTAATCCCAGCACTTTGGGAGGCCGAGGCAGGCGGATCACAAGGTCAGAAGACTGAGACCATCCTAGCTAACACAGTGAAACCCCGTCTCTACTAAAAATACAAAAAAAATTAGCCAGGCATTGTGGCGGGCGCCTGTAGTCCCAGGTCCCGGCTACTCGGGAGGCTGAGGCAGGAGAATGGCGTGAACCCAGGAGGCGGAGTTTGCAGTGAGCCGAGATCGTGCCACTGCACTCCAGCCTGGGCGATAGAGCGAGACTCTGTCTCAAAAAAAAAAAAAAAAAAAAAACAAAACAAAACAAAACAAAACAAAAAAAAAAACGTGTTCATTGAGAGGCCTCCTCTTGAGATTCCAGAGACTTCAACCCTGATTGAGCAAAACAAAACAACCTTTGTTTTGTTTATATCTACAAAGAAAAGAACAGCTGAAAGTCTATGAAATCTGTTGATTTACCTGTTCCTGTTTATTGCCAGATATTTATTTATCACTCACATAATTGTTGACCTATGCACCATACAAAAATCAGTCATAGAAAGATATGCACCCCACTATCCAGAAGAGTACACAGACCTTCAGAATGATGAGAGCTATGTAGAGCTTAATCCAGGGGCTAATGTGAAGTATTTCAAAGGCTTCTTTTTGTAGTTCCTTCTTAAATAAAGTGATGTCTTACATACCTAAAAGGTATTTAGTTGACAAGGTACAGTTCAGTGCAGTATTACTAAAGGATCTTACGTTTAAAAATGTCATTGTACTTTTCATAGGTTCCCATAGGTGGAAGAGTTGGGAAGCTTTTGTGCTTTGGCATTTATAAAATCGGCTGATGTGAAAGGATTACATTTATTAAATGTGAGTTCGTGGAAAGAGAAAAGAGTGATAAAGGTAGTTCTATTTTTCTTCCCCTTTAGGGTACCAAAACTATATCAGAAAGGTCTTTGAGGAACTGTTTCTGAGTGACTTTTTGAAATCACAGTTTATTAAAGAATTTTTACCCCGCATGCTTTCCAAAAGCATTGAGCATAGCTTGCAATAAAAACACAGATACGGTAAAACTAAAAACTATTCAAGACACAAAAAGGCAAAAAGCAAGTAGCTAAAACAGTAAGACAGACATTTTGTATATTATAAAAGAAGAATGAATCACCTGAATGCTAACAGAAGTTGCATTATTAAACACAAATATTAGTTTCTTAATCGATCTCAAAGTATAGGCTGGGTGCGGTGGCTTACACTTGTAATCTCAGCACTTTGGGAGGCGAAGCGGGGGGCAGATCACCTGAGGTCAGGAGTTCGAGACCAGCCTGGCCAACATGGGGAAACCCCATCTCTACTAAAAGTACAAAAATTAGCCAGGCATGGTGGCACGCGCCTGTAATCCCAACTACTTGAGAGGCTGAGGTGGAAGAATCGCTTGAACCAGGGAGGCGAAGGTTGCAGTGAGCCGAGATCGTGCCACTGCACTCTAGCCTGGGTGACAGAGCGAGACTCCATCAAAAATAAATAAATAAATAAATAAAGTTATAACAGGTAGGATTATGGGTTGTAGAGATTCTTGTTTTTCTAATTTTCAAAACATATTTTAGTTGTGATAAAAAAATACACATAACAAAATTTGCCTTCTAACCCTTTTTACGTGTACAGTTCAGTAGTAGTATTACATTGTTGTGCAACCAGTCTCCAGAACTTTTTCATCTTGCAAAACTAAAACTGTACTCACTGAACTAATTCTGCATTCCCACCTACCCCCAGCCCCTGGTAACCACCGTTTTACTTACTGTTTCTATGAGTGTGACTACTTTAGATAGCTCATATAAGTGAAATCATGCAGTATTTGTCTTTTTCTGACAGGCGTATTCCATTTAGCATAATATGAAGCTTCATCCATGGTGTAGCATATGTCAGAATTTCCTTTTTTAAGACTCAATAATGTCCCACTGTATACATATACCACATGTTTATCCATTTATCTGTCAGTGAACACTTGGGTTGCTTCTATCTTTTGCCTATTGTGAATAATGCTGCTATGAACAACAAATATCCCCTCGATGGCCTGCTTTCACTTCCTGCAGAGATTCATTAAGTAGAAGTTAGCATCAAGAAAGAAGCTTTTTCCAGGCCTAAAGTTCAAGGTCCATGTATCACATGAGTCTTAATAAGAATGATGAGTAACAAAAAATGGAAGTCATCTTCAGAAGCCATCTTGCAAAGATGCAGTTTTTCTGCAAAGGGCTATTTCTTGGCAGAGTTCAGTGGAGGCATAATGTTAAATAATGTCTGCAAAATGCACTGCTTTGGAGGCCTGCCTATGTGACTTCCTAGTGGTCTAGCCGAATTTCAGGGGTAACACCTTGGGAAACCATTAAGGAGTTGAGTGGTAAGCATGCCCCTAAAACTAGCCCCTAAAACTCAAAGGTGAACTCAACTGAGCCCTTGACAAGATCAAGGCAACCTCAGAATAGAGGTTGCTGATGAGAACCTGGAATGAGTGGGAAGTTCAAACCATCCCACAGATTTAGACAGTGGAAGATGGAAGAGCCTTGCTTGTGTTCTCACTGTGGTGGATGGCCACCGCATGAAGTGTCCGTGAAGGTGTTTAGACTCAAACTTAGAGCTCCCAAGTTCTACAGGCATTCATAGCCTGGAATGCTTTGTAGTTTGGGCTTGTCAAATATCTACTTCTGTCAAAATACAACATGAATATGATTCTACGATTACATTTAATTTGGGGCAATAATTTCTCAAATCAACTACTTCTAGAAGGACTTCCAGATACCTGAATGGTAAGCCAGTACCTGCAAAACAAGAGTGTTCCTTCTGACAGCCATTGGCTGATAGGCTCAATGGACTAGTCTCATAATGTGAAATAGGGCAACACGGTTGACATAATGATGGTAAGATAGCATGGGTGGGTCCTGTAGATAAAACAGTTGTTCAGATTGTTTAGGTGCTCAGTTAAAAGCAGGCAGCCAGCACCCAAGTCATTTAAATTTTGAAAGCCCTACTCACACTCGGATTTTAATGGGCTTTTTCTAATTCCCACTATTCTTACATGAATTAAACCCCATTTCTAACCCCAAATTCTCTCCAAAGCAAGGAAAAAATATTGTCTAACTCTCATTATTCACTTTAGTCCCAAGTGAATCAGATTTGGAGAAGTTAGATAATTTTAACTTAATATTTTAAAACTATTTCCAAATGATCATATGATTTTAGTTTAGTACAATGGATGTTCTAAGAGAAGACCAGATGAAGTTATAGCTACAAATAAAATTGGCTTCCTCATTTGAGAAAATTTCAAGTTTACAAAACTATTGAAGTGTTTTTTAAAAAATATTTTAGAACTATTATTCATTTTAACCCAACCTCTGGAATGGGTCTCTAGACCCACTTTGGCTGCTGTGTTTATTTATCCAAAAGTAAAGTTTTTATTCTGTTCCTGCAAATAAGAAGATATTTAGAAATGGCTGACATGTGCAAGTATATTAGTACTCACGGTTCTTAAGTAGAGACTAGCAGCTGTTAGTTACTCAGGTCTGATGTTCACTATATGGCTGTTTTCTACATCAGTAATCTATTACCACATTTGTATTAGTCCACTGTTCAAGGGTGACTTTTGGTCATGGATTTACTTTTGTTTTACAGAAGCATTATATGAGCTTGCTTCTCTTTCCCAAAGTAGTCAGTATATTTTTACATTATTCTATTCAAAATGAGGTAAAATTATAACATGAATAAAAGCACGTAGCAAAGAGTATATTCTGTAAAGCGATATTGCAAAATTAATACCAATATTATGCCAAAAGATTGTCCTTATTTCAACTTCCTTGCATGTACATTTCTATACATTTAATTTAATTGTGCAAAAAAATGCACAATTGCACAAAAAATTGTGCAAAAATGATGTGATATAAAATGCATTTTCAAGATGACCTATTTTCTTGAAATTTCAAGCTATATTGAGTGCTCAGTACTCTTCATTTAGAGAATTCGATTTCATGCAATGGAAACAGCAATGGAATTTGAAAACACAAAATGTTACCACATAATGGGGAGCAAAGAATAAACAAATGAGTGACTGTAATAACAAAACACTGGAGGTACTGAATAGAGTTGTATGACTCTGGAAAAAAGGGCCAAAAATCATTACTCAGCTTGGCACACAGAGAAAGGAGAAGGCCTGAGTTTTGAAGTAAAAAACCTGGGTTTGGATCCTGGCTTCACATGTACCTAAAATTCCTTATCATGAATATGAGAATAATTCCTCACAGGGCATTTTGAGATTTAGCAAGAAGAAATTTAGCTCTGGTGGGTGGCGGGTAATCCATAAATGATAGCTATGGAGACTGTAGAGGTTATTTAGTTAATACCTCACAAAGAGTTAAAAAGAGATGCTGTTCATACTGCAGTGGCAAAAAAAATGCTTTCTTTAGGTGTGTTGTCACACATTAACGTTCTAATCTGTTTTCAAGTGGAATCTGAGGTCTCTCTTTAATCTTTAATCTGTGTGTGGATGTTTTGTTAACACATCTGATAACAGAAACACTCTGACATGGAGGTGTTCCGTTCTCATGTTCTACTCTAGGCAAGTTATTTCTACCTTCTGAAAACCTACATTATCTCTGGTTTTTCCCTAGATTTGCCATCTTCTATATAGAAATAATTTAAAATAATAACATAATACTGTATTCCTGAAAACTTATTTTAAGACTTGACTCCTTCTTGGTTTGTTTCAACCAAATGATCATTGGTCTCTTAAGAAGCATTGTATTCTCTCCATGATTTCCAAATAAAGCTAACATGTGTGAAGTATAATTTAAGAGCTTGCATATACTTAGTTCATACATCCCTGCAAGATTGGAATTATTATTAGTATTCCAATTTTATATGTGATAAGCCTGAGATCTCAGATGGTACATGATCACAAAGCTACCAGGTCACATGCTACCAGATCACAAAGCCAGCATGCTGAAAGGCTGATGGGCTGTGCCCCTCTAGGACCTGCTGGGGCAAAGCCAGGGATGCCCCCTTAAGGAATCAAATGCATATGAGCACATTTTTCAAGCCGCACAGTATGAAATGCGTGTTGTGTTGTGCTCCACAGACATCCTGATTTTCCAATTTGCTTTACCCATGTCACAATCTAAATCAGTCTTTCTCTCTCAAAAATTTTGTAGAACTTCCTAAATGCAATATCTAATTTTGTGGCCACTTGATAATCTTACTTTTTATAAATTGCCAGTATTTTCCTTAATTATCATCATCATATGCAAATCTGTATGTTTTCATAGCCTTTAACTGTTCTCTTTTCTTTTTTCCTTTCCTTCTCTCTATCATTCATTCATGAGAAATGCTTAGCAAAGATTGACACATAGCACTTGTTTATCATATTCTTTTTGACATTTACAAAAGTTAGACATGGATCCTGTCTTGAAGAAGTTTGCAGTTACCAATCAAAATGATGGAACTAAACTGAGCTTTTTAAATTTTTCTAAACACACAGAAATTCTGCATTTAAAAAAAAAAGTCTTAAATATATAGCCAAGCTCAAAAGAAATGTTTTTAAAAGGTGCAAAACTAGGAAATTCATAGGCAGGGTGCTTTAAAGCAGAACTAATGCCACAGATGGCCCACTGACTATTGAATACAGATATGCGCTTGAGGAGTGGGTATTAGAACACAGACAGAGAAAGGTGACAGGAAGCTAGACTCCAACAAGGCCAGCACCTGAAATAGAGCTCCCTGCATAAATCCAGGGCTTGGCAAAGATTTCGCTGTCTACTAACAAGGACAATAAAACTAAACCAACCAGCCAGCATGGCAAGGAAGCTGAAAGAAATAAGAAACAAAAACCTGCACCACATCAAGTGTGGAGTCTAAATTTAAACTACATGAGTCTTGCAAAAAGTGTTTAAGCTGAGAAATTAGCATAAAAACTGCTCCAGAACAAGTAAAATGCTTATACCCATGGCAGTAGCAAATGCTAAAACTCTGTAGTGTCCCATCCACAAGCCAGAACCCATGGGATTCACCTAGAAGACAATACATGCCAAAACAATACATGTTAGATATGCATATTAGCACCCCCCAAATTTGAATAAAACATCTGAAAGAAACTATAAAATAAATGTTTAAATATCTAGATATGTAAAGGAAAAATACCTATGGAAAAGAACAGAAATGTTTGAGAGAGAATTGAATAGAGCATTTCTCAGCTCCTCAACATGAAAAATACTGCCATTAAAATTAAAACACTATAGATATTAAATGGTAGATTATATGGAAAAGAGATCTGAGAAAATCACCTAGGAATGCAGTACAGAGAGATAAAAAGTGAGAAGATATGAAAGAGAGGCTAATGTGGAAGACATGAGGAGAAGGTCCAACATACTGCTAAATGGAGTTTAAAAAGGAAAAATAACAGGAACAGGATGGGGTGATATTTGAAGGGACAATGGCTAAAAACATTTTAGAACTGAAGGAATACTTACGTATGCAAGTTGAATAAGGACATTGAGTCCTGAACAGGAGAATTAAAAATCAGTCTGCACCTCAGTACATCATAATGAAACTGCAGGCAATCATATAAATAGAGAAAAAAATTTTAAAGCTACCAAAGAGAAAAATGCAGGCTA
The DNA here is from genome assembly GCF_000001405.40 of Homo sapiens. NCBI lineage: Eukaryota > Metazoa > Chordata > Mammalia > Primates > Hominidae > Homo > Homo sapiens. The sequence goes on along the minus strand of NC_000004.12, from coordinate 148,124,475 downwards.
CCTTCAGGAGAATGACAATTAGACTAACAGGAAATTTCCCAAAAGCAACAATTAAGGCCCAGGTATAGTTGAATACTATCTGCAAAGTACTGTCGTAAATCACCTGTCAAGCTAGAAATCCATAGCTTTTTAAACTATCATCCAGGAATGAAGATAAAATAAAGACATTTTCAGACAAATTGAGACCAAAAGATGTGAGACATGAACTTTGGTTTGGTTTGGTTTGGTTTGGTTTGGTTTTGGGATGGAGTCTCACTCTGTCACCCAGGCTAGAGTGCAATGGCAGATTTTGGCTCACTATTACTCCACCTCCTGGTTCAAGTGATTCTTCCACCTCACCCTCCTGAGTAGCTGGGATTACAGGCACCTGCCATCATGCCCAACTAGTTTTTCTATTTTTGTAGAGATGGTGTTTCACCATGTTGGCCAGGCTGGTCTTGAACACCTGACCTCAGGTGATCTGCCTGCCTCGGTCTCCCAAAGTGCTAGGATTACAAGCATGAGCCACTGCACCCAGCCCCTGAACATTTATCAACTAATCACTGCTGAAAGAATTACTAAAATACATTCTTCAATAAGTAAGAAACTGAACTCAGGAGTAAAGTGCAAGAAGTGATGGTGGTCAGAGAAACACTGGGGAAATCTAAGCAGACCTGGAGTGTGTGTGTATGAGAGAAACTAGATTTAACAATGATAACTTAAGGTGTAAAAACAGCATGTATAGCTTCTAAATCCAGTAGAGCCATAGCAGAGAGGGGATATCGGGGGAACCCGCCCCCAGTATTTCAATGTAGGTTCTTTCTATTTTCCATAAGTGTTGGCCAGCTGAGAAATAAAGAGACAGTATAAAGAGAGGAATTTTACAGCTGGGCCACTGGGGGTGGCATCACATATCGGTAGGATCATGATGCCCACCTGAGCCTCAAAACCAGCAAGTTTTATTAAGGGTTTCAAAAGGGGAGGGGGTGTAAGAACAGGTGTAGGTACAAAGATCACATGCTTCAAAGGGCAAAAAGCAGAACTACTAATAAGGGGCTAACAAAGATCACATGCTTCTGAGGGAACAGGACAAAGTGCAAAAAGCAGAACTACCAATAAGGGTACAACAAAGATCACAAGGCAAAGGGCAAAAGCAGAACTACTGATAAGGGTCTATGTTCAGCAGTGCATGTATTGCCTTGATAAACATCTTAAACAACAGAAAACAAGGTTTGAGAGCAGAGAACCGGTTTGACCACAAATTTACCAGGGCAGAGTTTTTCCCCATCCTAGTAAGCCTGAGGGTACTGCAGGAGACCAGGGCGTATCTCAGTGCTTATCTCAACCGCATAAGACATACATTCCCAGAGCGGCCATTTATAGACCTCCCCCCAGGAATGCATTCCTTCCCCAGGGTATTAATATTAATATTCCTTGCTAGGAAAAGAATTTAGTGATATATTTCCTACTTGCACGTCTGTTTATAGGCTCTCTGCAAGAAGAAAAATATGGCTTTTTTTGCCCGACGCCGCAGGCAGTCAGACCTTTTGGTTGTCTTCCCTTGTTCCCTAAAAATCGCTGTTATTCTGTTCTTTTTCAAGGTGCACTGATTTCATATTGTTCAAACACACGTTTTACAATCAATTTGTACAGTTAACACAATTTTCACCATGGTCCTGAGGTGACATACATCCTCAGCTTACAAAGATAACAGGATTAAGAGATTAAAGACAGGCTTAAGAAATTATAAAAGTAGTGTTTGGGAACTGATAAATGTCCATATTAAAATGAAATCTTCACAATTTATGTTCCTCTGCCACGGCTCCAGCCAGTCCCTCCGTTCGGGGTCCCTGACTTCCAGCAACAGGGGGCTAAAAAGCTAGGTCAATCCAATGAAAGGAAGAGAAGGAGGAAGAAGGGAAAGAGGAAGGAAAGTAAGTTAAAATGGTAGAGAACATCCAAACTTGTCAGTAATCATGATAACTAAAAACAGATTAAACTGAGTTATTAAAATACAGAGACTCTCCGATTTCTTAATCCAGCCTTTTCTGTTTAGAAAATATGTGTGAAATATAATTACGTGGGAAGTTTGAAACAAAGGGATCAAAAGAAAGGTGGACAGCACACCTGACAAGTTCTAAAGAGAGCAAGAAAAAGAGGCAGAGAGAAAGAAAAACAATGTGAAGATCAGATATTTTTAAGGCAAAAAATTATTAGGAATAAAAATGGTGTTACTCAGTGCGAGAAGGAAAAAATGGGTAAAATTGGTAAAGATATGAATAGTCAAATCACCAAAGAAGACACCCAAATGATGAGTAAACATTTGAAAAAATGCTGAACCTACTGGTGATGATGGAAATGGAAATAAAAGCAACCATGTACTATCCATTCAACCTCCCATCAAATAGAAAAAAAATGAAATTGGATAATGGCAATCATTGGTGGGGATGTGAAGTAAGGGCACGCTCATGCTCTGCTGGTTGGAATGAAAGCAGGTGACATGTGCAAATCTATGACTCAGAAGTTCTGTTTTCATTCTGTATCCTGTAGAAACGACAAGGATATTCCTTGGGCATCATTTGTGATAGCAATAAAGAGCAAACAACCCAAGTGTCCATCAGTAGTGGAATGGATAAGTAAATTGCTATACATTCAAACAAATGAAGCTCGAAGCAGTTAAAATGAATTAACTTAGTTACCTGTATCAAAATAGATACATCTCAAAGTTACTGTTCAATAAAAATAAGTTGCAGAAGGATGTGCATATCTAATTTCAAATTTACATAAAACAAAGCAGTACTGTATGCTGTTTTTGTAGATACATACATGTGTAGTGAAATAGACACATCTGAGAGGAAATGATAATCACCCAGACTGGGTGGTTCTCTTCTTGAAAGAGGAAGAGATGGATGGGATTGGGGAAGAAGGCAGAGTGGGCCTTAACTCTGCCATTTTTAATTTTTAAAAATCCGGTGCACATATTGCAAAAATAGTAGCATTTGTTTATACTGTTAATTCTGGATGGTAGATTTGGAAGCTCATGCTATTAGCATGTGTGTGTTTAAAATATTTCCTTAATTTAAAATGGCTTCTATCTTACTGGGGGAGAGGAAAGACATACAGTAATGCAGAGAACATGTGCTGTGTTTCGTTATGGGTTCCTTATAATTGGCATTCAGAGTTGAGTTGCAAGAGATTTCTGCCAATTGAGGGGAGCCCCAGAATCCATCCTGCAAAAGAGATCCCCACATTGCTTTCCTGCAGACGCTGCCTGCTTTCAGTCACCCTTTAATGGATCCACTATCCAGACCTCGTTTTCTGTTTCTTTGGCCTTTGGCAAGTCCTTTCCCATTTTTCACCAATAGTGTCTCTTTCACTTTTTACGGTCTGGTCACCATGAACCAGTAGTTATCCAGGGCCTTACAAAAGGTTTATTACTTTGAAGGAAAACATCTAAAAAAAATAGTGATGCCTTGCTTACTTCTCAAGAAAAGAGAAAATAATGACTTCTGTTTTTAGATAACATGGATTTTTATGGAAGCATTTGGATAGTGGTGTGAGGGTATTGTTTGGTTGTGTGTGTGGAAGTATTTGTATATGTTGTGCCAAACTCCCTTGTCATTTTTTCTCTTTATCAGAAAAATTCCATTTGACGTTCTCACCTTTTAAAGTATTTTTTAATTTCCCTTTTAAAACATGTTGCTGTAAATAGTTAATAACATGCTCCATGACCTCTGTAAGGAAGGCCCATGGAGAAATAAGATTGGTCATCCCCATCCTATGTTCGTAGCATCTAGCCCAGTCCTTTCCTATAAGTGCTGGATATCTGTGGCTGAAAAGGAACAAGAGTCAGATCACAGCAGCTTCTCTGCTTTGTGGATGGTCTCACTGTAACACACTAAAATCCTCATCAGTCAGTATTACTCTTGACATAAAATGAAATCATGGCATACTTTAAAAGGGTTGGTTTCAGTGCTCCTGACACATTCTCACAGGGTACAAGTAAACGGCCCAGCAGTATTGGTCTAGAAGCAATTTACCAGTCACTATGAAAAGCATCTAACTTGTCTTTAAAATACACATCTGCTCCATGTTGAAGCCAAAAGGAGAATTCTGACTCAGATCTCTTATTAAGCTGCCTCAGGCTGCCAGTCTGGGTTTGATAATGAATCTTGCATTCTCAGACATTTTCTTCTTTTCCTTTGCAGAGAGAAGATGCATCAGTCTGCCATGTATGAACTATGCCAGGGGATGCACCAAATCAGCCTTCAGTTCGTTCGACTGCAGCTCACCTTTGAAGAATACACCATCATGAAAGTTTTGCTGCTACTAAGCACAAGTAAATTGATGCCCATTCTGGCACTGTTTCTATATTACCAGATCATCTTCCCCATAGGGCAGTAGGCTATTTATTGTATTCAGGTAGTTGGTACCAAAACAAAAACAAACCAAACAGAAACACTGAAGAAATGGGAGGAAGGCTTTGACCTTTGATGAACTAAGTTACTTGCAAAGTATGAAGCTTTGGGCATGTGAAAGAGCATACCCCAACATTCCTTCATCCATCCAACCACTCAGTGTTTATAAAGTATCTGTTATGTGTATGGTAGGATTGGGCAATTCAGGAAACACAAGGGTTAATGAAGCACAGTCTTTATCCTCATGGAGTTTATACTCTAAGCAAAGTTCAAAGATTTTTTTTTTTTTTTTTGAGATGAAGTCTTGCTCTGTTGCCCAGGCCAGAGTGCAGTGGCATGATCTTGGCTCACTGCAACCTCCACCTCCCAGGTTCAAGCGATTCTCCTGCCTCGGCCTCCCGAGTAGCTGGGATTACAGGCATGCACCACCATACCCAGCTAATTTTTGTATTTTTAGTAGAGATGGGCTTTCACCATGTTGGCCAGGCTGGTCTCGAACTCCGGTGATCCACCAGCCTCAGGGTCCCAAAGTGCTGAGATTATAGGCGTGAGCCACCACGCCTGGCCAAAGATATCTTTAATACATATGGAAAGTAATTATTTACTATGATGGAGGTAAGGAATGTAATGGTGGTTCAAAGAAGGGAAGAGCACATTCAGTTCTGGGGATCTGGGAGGGACATGTGATGCAGCTGGATCTTGGAGGGTTTTGCAAGGGTCGTAGGTTGGATAGAAGGTGTGAGATGGCATTGCCATGAGCATCAGTAATGAGTGTGGACCTGTGGGGAAGTCTATATAGGCAGTAACAACACTTAGCGGGAAGGGGTTGTTTTGCCTTCCAATCCTTTATTTACGTATTCATTTATTTTTTAAAGGTGCATCAAGTTATGTTGGATGGAGGAGTTGTGGGTAATAAGATTGGGGTGTGGATTAGACCAAAATATTCAATGTCCATTGAAGAAATCTGAACTTCATTAGGTGGGCAGAAGAGGGCAATGCTGAAGGCTTTTGAGCAGTGGGGTGACAGGATCAAAGCTGTATTGTATGGCTTTATAAGGGTCTCTCTGGCGGAATAGATTCAAGAGGAGAGAGACAGGATAGGAGAGAGGCAGAGACAGAGAACTTAGCCCAACTGGAAGCACAGAGACCTGCTGGGAGCCTGTGGAAATAATGGGGGGTATTACCATGACTGGTAGTATGATAGACAGGAGCAAGTGGAGTCCAGAAACATTGTAGAGTTGGCCTTGGCAGCTGCCTAGGAAGGGAAATGAAAGTGCTGTGGGTCAGAGTGACACAGGTTTTGAGCGCAGAGAAATGACTAGCCACAGTAGTGATGCCATTAATAGGAATATGTTAACATCAGGACTTGGAGCAGATTGTGTGGCGTGTAAAATGAGTGCTGTTTTGGATAGGTTAATTTTTTGATACCAACTCTGAGTCTTGATAGAAACAGCCAAAAGATGGGGAGAACTGGGGACTGGGACTGTGAAGACAGGTATGAGCATGGAGATATAAATTTGAAATTATCCTTATAGAAAATTGTAGTATAATTCCAATGGTGAGTGGGGTTACCATCATCCAGAGAGAGCCAGTGGAGCTGTGTTACAGGAGGGTGGCAGAAGCTGCAGGGACAGAGACAACTGTCAGAGAGGTGGAGAAACTGGGAGAGTGTACGGTATTGGAAGCCACGAGGTGAGAGTTTTCAAAAGGCATGTGACTAACAGCATGGCCTCCACAGAGAAAGTTGATAACCCCGACAGAAGGCCACTGGAGTTGACCATTAGGCATCGTGCAGGTGCCAGCATGCCAGGGACTTGCAAATTGATGAGAAGCTGTTTTGGGCTTCTGGAACCAAGTATGGGAGGAGAGAAGTTAGTGGCATAAAGTGCCAGAGGAGACAACAGAGGACAGGATTAGCTTTGGCAAGGATGTCTGGCAGTTTAACTCTTGACAACAGCACAGGCATTTTCCAACAGAGGGGAAAGAATTTGAGGAAGCTCCCATCAGATGAGGGCGAGACCCAGAAAGATGACAGGAGACAATGTGGAGAGGAAAACTCTGAGCCGTATGAAATGGCCACTGAGGAAACTGAGAAATGTTCCAGATGTTAAGAGCCTGCAAGGATGCCATGGCAGGTGGTATGGACTTCAGAGGAGAGAGTGCCTAGTGACAACCTGGAGTATCCAGTCTGTGCCCAGCCCTTGCCATGGGCCCCTGAAACAGAGGTGTGGGAGAAGGGGCAGTGATCAGTAAAGTCATTTGGAGAAAAGGGCCAAGACTAGCCAAGGGGCTCAGGATTTCCGAATGCGTATGAAGAGCTGTTGTTTCCAGCAGAGAGGACTGGGTCTACGGAAAGTAAGCTGGAATCAGGTAGTGATCAAAGCAGGAAGAGGGGACACAGTGGTGACATGGGTAACATCCTGCTTTACCTGTGTTTGGCACCTTGCAATTTGCAAAGTGTTTTTCCATATATTATCTAATTTAATGCTTAAAATTACCCTGGGAGATTGATAGCCCTATTCTAAAGTTGACAAAACGGAGGCACGTAAGTGTGATATGTTGAGTATCCTCTATGAGCTAGGACTAAAACCGATGGCTTGGAACTTTACCTCCAGTGTCATTCCTGCTCCCCTAAGAGCAGTCACCAAGAGGCTGAAAGGCAGGCAATGGCAGGTGGCACACAATGGCAGCAGCGAGGGCAGAGTGTCCAAAAGGCAAAATCGCAGACTCCATAGCAGAGGGGGCAAACCGGCAGTCCTGGTAGGGAGGTGGGGCCAGCAGTTCACAGCTGTGTTTTATTTGGCCAGCACAGGTTTTTGGGGTTGCTTTTGGCCTTTTGTTTTATTTTCATTGAATTCAATTGCCCGGGGCAGGGCATGTTCTCTCTAGTTTGCCACAGGCCCCACCATTCCTCACTAATTACACCCAGCCCCATCTCCCGCTGCTCTTGTGTTTACAACCCCTCACCTGCAGGGTTGTCCTCCTGCTCCACTCTTCACCAAGGTTTCTGTTGTTCCTGATTTATTCTTTCTGGAGTATAACTTTGGAACTATAATCTTTAAATTCACTGAAAATGATTTTACTCCTCTGCCAAGCTAGATTATTAACCATTACTGGTTAGAAAAATATGTTTAAAATTATGACAAATGGATGATAGAATGTAAATGAAACATTTTTTAAAGTGCTTGTGATACTAATTCTTCATGAATGTTGACTACTCAATCTAAATTCATGTCTTATCCTTTTACATCTCTTTACATATTCACTCAGCTCGTAATAGATTCTGATACCATTTTGAAGCTACTTGAATTAATTTATTAGCCCCCAAGTAGCTTGGTACTTTGAATTCTGATTTTTTTTCAATGCAGAAGAAGCAAAATAAAAAGGTAGGAAAAAACATAGGTAAAGCATTTTATGAACCATAAAAACTGCAGGCGTTAGTAAGCTTGTTTTGCTAATCTATGATAGAACACATGAAAATTTTTCATCTCAGGAATGTCAGATGCACACCTGATATCCAGTGTATCAAAGTTTTTCGGGACTGACATCAGAGGCTCTCATGTTCTTGAGGAAAGCAGACAGACTTCTACCCCAGTTGTCTCTTTGCTCTTCTCCAGATTTTGGATGATTTCCAGCAGCTCTGCTGCATTTAATAAGTAAATTCAGAAACTCTGGGCAGAACTCCAAAATTTGAGGTTTTGCTTAAGTTCTCTTTATTTGTGGGTTTGTTTCAACTTCTAAAAAATCTGGCTGGGAAACTGGTACAATATATTTCAGTTACAGCAATAATATATAAGTAATACTGTTTGACAAGTTGTTGTAATTTTTAGAATTTTTGATCTACAACTATCAGAAATATAAATTTGGTTAATCTTAGATGTACCAAATGGTATTGAAATATGATAGTGAAACTTATTTATTCTACCACTAGTTAACTTTTCATGTATAGGGTGATGTCCATATAAGTATCTATACTGAAAAACTAAACATTTACTTTGTACAGTTTTATAACTTAAATGCTAATCTGTGGGTGGGAAGTGTAAGATATTTGAAAACTTTTCCTATCTTTTAGAAGGTTTTAAGTTAACATTAAAATTTTGGTAGAAATTGGATTTTACTATTAACATCCTGGTTATTACTGTTCTTTTTGTTTTTTTACTTTTAAAATAAAGTTTTCAGGAGAAAAAAATACTATTTGTTATATAATGGATAGCATTTAACATTTAATATGAATGTCAAATATTTTAAACCACAACTAATACTGTGGCAGCCTCAGGAATTTGTGCAGTTGCTATTAGGGATTTATTTTTCCCCTCACAAAAATAGACTCAAATAAATGACAAATCAAAAGTCTCAACAATTAAACTCAAGAAGATTATTAACATAATAGTAGAAGTTAATTTGCAAGATAATCCATATCTTTTTGTAGGGTAACAGGGTTTATGTGGAAACAGCAGTATGCCTGGCTTCCAGGGTTGCACACAATACTCAGCACCATCTCCAAGTCTCCAAGTGCTGATGACCAAAGTAAATAATTATTTACACCAGTTATGGGAAATTAGCAAATAAATAGGTAATTAAGAAGTGAAAGTAAGAGCAGTTTCAAAATCAGAATGTTAATATCCCAAGGTGAATTTTCATTAGGTCTTTATCACCTAGAAATAAAATTCTAGTTGATTTTCTTATTCAGTGTTAAGGCATAAACATAACTATTGGCTATAAGTGGAACAAAAATGCTTAAACTCTGTCCTAAACCTGGACTTCATTTCTTAATAAAGTACGTTCACAAATGTCCTGGGACCTGCTTCTCAGCGGGTCACAGAAGCACTTGATAAGCTTACAAGTCCTGAATTTCAAAGTATTCCTTTTAAGTGAATTTTTTTAAAACATACGAAAGCTAGCCACCACATAAAAGGAAAGAAGAAAATATTGTCCTTAGTTTTCTACCTTATCAAAGATACAGATGAACATGGTTCATTCTCTTTGAAAGTTTTAAATTTTGCCTTGCGTGCAGAGCCACTGTTGTTGTTCCCCCCTCACACGCATAAACCAGTGTACGTGAATCCTAACTTGCCAATACCTCAGAGATAGGAAAATATATTTTGATGTACAGACGCTTTATGGGCTTGTGCTGGAAGGTCACGTGCCTTAGTGGTCATGAGATCCTGGTGCAAAGTGGATAGAAAGTGCTTCTTTGTATGCAGCGTCCTCCCCTTCGTAGATGGCCAGTTCCCCCGAATGTCTTTAATATCTGAACTTGAGAATGAGGATGTTGATTTCTAATTCTAGCCCCAACCTAGATTGTCTATGGCTCTTCAGTTATCCTGGAAAATCAAAATATATTTTACTATCTTGAAGTATTGGCAAGTTAGGATTCATAAACACTTGGATGACCAGCCACAAGGCAATGTGGCATTGTGGTTAAGAGGCAGGCTTTGGAAACAGACAGACCTAAGTTGAATACCACCCCTTCTCTGCCTTTTTTTATTGTGTCCATGGGCAAGTGATTCAGCCTCCAGTGTTCAGTTTCCTCATCTGTAAAATGAGAATGATATAACAGTTATGTCATAATATTGGTGTCAGGGTTAAGTGAACTAGTCTGTGCAAAGTGTATGATAAGACACATCTGATAAATAGTTGTTCTTTGTGTATGTATGTGTACAAGTATTTGCCAGTAGACAGCTGCCATATTTATTCATAAATGCAATTAATTGAGATTTAGTATCTAACCTCAAAATCAGTATATGACTTTACCTGCCAAGATGCTAAAGTTGTTTTCCATCCTGGAAATTTACATGTCTGTTTTCCTTAACACAGTTCCAAAGGATGGCCTCAAAAGCCAGGCTGCATTTGAAGAAATGAGGACAAATTACATCAAAGAACTGAGGAAGATGGTAACTAAGTGTCCCAACAATTCTGGGCAGAGCTGGCAGAGGTTCTACCAACTGACCAAGCTGCTGGACTCCATGCATGACGTGAGTAGAGCCCCTCCTTGGTTCCTAAGTGAAGGATCAGCAACCACATACACACTGCTGACCAAAGGAAACAGAGACTGAGAGTTTTCAGGGTGTCATGCTAGACCTCTGTTGACTCCATTAAGGATATCGCCATGTCCAAGGGGCTGAAGAAGAGACCCAGAGCCAGGGAATGAGACATAGGGTTTATTGGGTACTTACATACAGGATGGGCCAAGAGTAGTGCCAGAAAACCACTCCCATTTATAAAAAGCATTCAGGTTATATAGCATTTTCGCCTAGCAACCTCCATGTAACCCATGACAAAGGGCCTCGATCCCCTGGACGACCTGCATTCCAAAGAATGGGCCAGGGATTCGGATGTCCTCTATAGATTAGGAGTGAATCTCCAGGTTGGCCACTCTCAGATTCCTTAGCTTAGAACTCCGAACACATATTCTTCTTAAACCATAGGGTTATTCTCAGGGTATGCTTGAGTTATTGCTGTCAGGTGCATCTGCCATACACAGGGCTTTGGGAAGAATCAGAGTAAATCATCTGATAGAAAGCAGCAAGAGTTAAAAACTGATTAAGGAATTTTTTTTTTTTCAAATAACCTTTGGAACAAACCTCATTTGCAGCAGAGAGTATGCCCTGGACCAGGGAAGGCCCTCAGATTTGCTACAGGTGTCAGATTGAGTTTCACATTTTTGCTTGCAATTTAGGAAATGTTTGGTTAATAAAAATGTTTGCTTTAACATTGCATAAATAGTGTCCATCTTCTACAACTGTTAATCTAATAACCCAATCTTTCAAAAACATTATTAGTGGTTCAGGGCCAGCCTGGATCATCTCAATCTTTGCCAACTTTTGAGTCTTATATTCATTATTCTTCATAGGAGTCACCTTTCTTGTCTTGTGTCAATACAGAAAGGAGATTCTAAGCTTGTTTCTAATTTAATCAATTATAGATATAGCCGAGGTGGTTTTAGCAGTTTCTACAAAATATTGATTTGGATAACTTGCTTTGTATGTCATTTAAAATATGCTTCTTGTTTTATTTTGCAAGCAGCTTCTCCAATTCCGGCTCAAACGATGTTGTACGCAGTCATGCTAATTTAGTTCTTCATATTTGTGAAGTTTCCATACTTTCTTTTGGAGAATTTATTGCCCAAGTTCATCCTGTAAGATCTGAGTAGGAAACTCTTTTAAAAATATTTTTCTATTAAGGAAAATGTTGACAGGCATCATTGATGACCAGTATTATAATGGTATTATTATGGAAATAATGGTCCATCTTTTAGAAATTCCATTATGCCAGCGGAATGTTATCTCTCTGTGGTAACTAATGGCATAAGGTTGATTGATAAAAGAATGTCACTTTCCAGTGTTTTACACTGAGACCCTGTGCATATCATTTACCTCTGCTTTATCTGAACTTTTCATATGACAGAAGTCAAATTCCCACAAGGCGAACTCAGTGATAAATAGTTTTGCTAATTGTCAGTGGCTTAAAGAGTGTGACTTAGTGGAAAATCTTAGAAATAAGAGATGATGGCAAGCAAGGCTTTGGGGAACACAGCAAATTATGCTCTTCATGACTCACACAAAAGGAAATGCAGGGAACTGGAGCAAAGTCTTCCCACTCCTTTTATGTTGAAACCACAGATCATCTACATGAGAACACATAGCAGATTTACTTTCGTCTGTTAATTTCATTGAAAGGCCCTCTGAGTAGAGAATAGAATGGAGGTTTTGTGGTTCTTTCGTAAGTTCTCTTATTTGTACAGTTAGGCACAAGTGCAATATCAAAATTCATGTGATTATAGATGAAACATTCTGAAACAATTTCCATGTAATGAGGCTTACAACAGAAGTTAAACTTGGTTTTTCAAAAGCCCTTTGGAATTGACTTTTCTTAAGCAGCATAGCACAATGGAAACACTAAGGCCTCACCTAGTGGTCCATGGGTCAAAACCTCCTTTGCTAGTTTTTTTTTTTCCCCCACCAGCACAGTGCTTGGCATAGATAGGAACTCAATGAATAGTTTTTTGAACGGCTGTATCATAAATGCTGATTTTATGCAAAGTTTCCCAAAGTAAATTAGTGTCTGTGGGGGTTTCTTAATTGAGGTATAACTGATATAGAATAAACTGAACAAATTTAAAGTCCACAATTTTATAAGTTTTGACTTCTATGCACACCTGTGAAATTATCACCACAATCAAGATAGCGAATATATCTATCACCCCAGAAGTTTTCTCCAGCCTTCCTTCAATCTTTCCACCTACACTCCTTCTCCTCAATTACTTTCTATATCGCTCTGTGAATCGAGATTAGTTTGCATTTTCTGGTGTTACATATAAATACAACAATGCAGTATGTAGTCTTTTTTGGTCTGGCTTCCTTCACTTAGCATAGTAACGTTGAGATTCACTCATTCCATTTCATATATAAATAATTTGTCGTGTTTTTCTTATTGCAAAGTAGTTTCCCATTGTATGGATTTTCCCCCAATTAATTTGTGCAGTCACCTATTGATGGTTGTTTGGGTTGTTACCAGCTTGGAGGCTATTACAAATAAAGCCATGCTGAACCTTTATGTACAAGTCTTTGTACAGACATATACTTTCTCCTTTCTTGGATGAATGCCTTGTAGTAGAATACCTGGGTAATATGGCAGGTATATTTTCATATTTTAAGAAACTGCCAAATGGTTTTCCAAAATGGTTGAACAATTTACTGTTCCCACAAGAAGCATATGAGGTTCAGATTGCTCCATACCCTTGCCAACTCTTGGCGTGGTTAGTCGGTTTACTTTCAGCCATTCTAATAGCTGCATAGTGGTATCTTACTGTGGTTTTCACTTACGAAAAGATTGATGATGGTGAACATCTTTTCATATGCTCATTTATCTTTATATCTTCTTTGGTGAAGTGCCTGTTCAACTCTTTGGCTCATTTTTCATAATTGGATAATTTGTTTTCTGACTGCTGAGTTTTGAGGGTTCTTTATATTTTCTGGATACAAATCCAGATATATGACTGTAAGTATTTTCTCCCAGCGTGGCTGATCTTTTCATTCTCTTAGCAATGTCTTTTGAAGAGCAGGAGTTTGTAATTTTAACGAAGTCCAGTTGATGATTGTTTTCTGTATGGGTCGTGCTTTCAGGGCTGTATCTGAGAAGCCCTAGTGTAAGCCAGTGTCATGGAGCTTTTCTCTATGTTTCCTTCTAGCATTACTATCCTTCACTGATAGCCTGTGTCTTGGAAATCATTTTTTCATGGTCTTTATTTTGAGAACTTTTGGTTGTTTCAAATGGAAGGGTAGTTTCAGTTCATCTCACTCCACCTTGGCTGGAAGAAGAATACCACTTCTTTAGAATCATTAGAATCATTTTAATTCTAAAAGCTTTATTTTGAAATATCAAAAATGTTTGATCTTAAAGGGGGCCTGACAGAAGCATCTTGAATACTCTATTTATATTCCTATTCCAAACAGAGCATTGAAAAATGCATTTTAAGTCTAGAGGGACCTTTCTAACATTCACACTTACTCAGACTTGAGACTGCCTACAGCTTTTTCATTAGAGTAAATTAGTGAATCAACAGTTGTGGAATTTTCTTCAAGGGAACAAAGAACTACACAATGCGCTGGCTCTATACTCAGAGCCTAGTTCTGATCACCTTGTGGAAAAAAGAGCATTTGTTTCTAAGGGTCACACACATAAGAACCTTTGACTGTAGATCAAAGTTCTGCTTAAACCATGTGTGTAGTATGCCAGCTCTCAGGACACATCCACGCCGCTCTCAGGACACACATGGATTTCTTCCACATGGTACACATATGTGCTGGAATAATGGTCCCAAGGTGGGTGAAAGGAACATTCTCTGAAAGAACAGGTTGATAGTTGAGTGTTTGAATCAGTTAACAACTTTAATGAATCATAAGTCCTCTGAATGTCAATCTTTCCCCAAAAAAATATTTCAAACAAAGCAGCTGTGGTAAGGATACTAGGAGTAAATGTAGTTTTGCATTGTAAATGTTTAGGTGTCATATGTAAAGCATATAGAATCCTTACTCTACTAGAAAGAATTGACAATAATAATTTTTTAGCTCTTACTAAGGATAGCAATTTCCTATGAGGGAAAGAAGCTTATTTCTAATGAATTTATTGCTAACTTCTATTCATTCTTAGAGAGATCAAGGACTATTTATGTTATGGTAATTGTGTAGAACAGTAAGTAACAAAGATGATATTAATAGTACCTCTTGATGCAAAAATTGCCCTTTTCCTATTAAACATATGTTGTAATTTTATGTCAGTATACACACTTAGTAAAAATGTGCCTCCTGCCTAGCAGTATAGACAGTGCTGCAGAGGATAACAATAAATAAGATAGCAACCTGACCCCTGATAAATAGTGTGCATAGTGTGCCAGCCCTCAGGACACATGCACACAACTTTCGGGACATACATGGATTTCTTCCACATGGTACGCATATGTGTTGGTAGAATGGTAAATAAGCTTAGTTTACAGAGGTGACTGGAGCATAATGCAAGGTAGAAAGTAATCAGGTATTCAAACCAGTTCCCTGGATGGTGGGACCCTTGAGAGCATGTATGTTTATATACTGATCTGCTGGTGAGCCCTTGCCACATTCCCAGGACCAGTGGGCCAATGCAAACAGAAAGTCTGTCCTTAGTAATCGATAGAGGACGATATTCATCTCATTCAACAAATACTTGAGTGTCTAAAAGTGCCAGGCAGTGTCATAGGAGGGAGACACCCCCAGACAGGGCAGCCAGACAGCACCTGGAGGTCACAGGGCAGCATGCTGGGACCTCCGAGGAGGTGGAGTTGTGGGCTCACTGACACTTATTCTACATTGGTACCAAGCCTTGTGAAGAAAGTGGAGGAGCTGTGCTGGGCAGGAGTCATGGAAAACTTCCAAGGGGGCATCAGAGGATCCTTATTTAATGGAAGAAGAAACAGCCCCACAGAATGATTTCTTAAGGTTCCTAGATAGCTGGTGGCAGCCAGAACTTCCTTGACTCACTGCTGAGTGCTCCGGACGCTGCCATTATGAGGAGAGAACACTTGTGGCTGATAGCAGCTGCTCGTTTTTAGGCTGGGCTGCATTTCAGAGATCAGAAAACCATCATATAGGAATGTTAGGGACAGCTGCACCACCCTCCGGCGCTCCAGATTTGTTTGCATCTTCCCTGGCACGTTCTGGAATTCATCGTTTCTGTGAGGTGCAGGGTTACATCTTGAAGGCAGTCAACCTTGTTTTGTATTAAAACATCATGTGTGTGTAGCAGATCCCAAAACAAAATGTTAGTTGGCCTCAACATGAGCTGAGCAGGCCTTGGCTTGGAGGCGTTTGCTTCTGTGTACGACCATTAGACCTGGATGGGAACCTACCCCTGGGGTGGGTGGGGGTCAGTGTGTCACTCAGATGCTCTTCTCTGCACGACAGAAGGAAGGCCTCTGAGGATCCCATTGCTGAATAGCTGCTTTCTGTGTCTCCAGGGGCCATGCTAGAAGCTGACGTGGCTCTTCTCTAGCCAGGCTCTGGGAGCCATGGCTTCCCTGCTCCAAGAGGGGCAAGGTGGGTAGTGTGAGGAACAGAAATCTGGTGGTACAGAAAATACTACATGTACACACTGGGGAGATGTCATTCTTTAGGTCAAAAGGGCATTAAGTATCATTGACATGGCTGGGTGCAGTGGCTCCCAGCTGTAATCCCAGTACTTTGGGAGGTGGAGGTGGGCAGATCACTTGAGGTGAGGAGTTAGAGACCAGCCCAGCCAACATGGTGAAACCCCATCTCTACTAAAAATACAAAATTAGCCGGGTGTGGTGATGCGTGCCTGTAGTACCAGCTACTTGGGAGGCTGAGGTGAGAAGATTGTTTGAGCCCAGGAGGCAGAGGCTGCAGTGAGACAAGATTGCACCACTGCACTCCAGCCTGGATGACAGAGCAATACCTGTCTCAAATAAAAAAAACAAAAAACAAAAAACAGTCAGTGACACAATAACCACAAATGACATACTGCTACAAGCAGCAGAGACTGTTCACAAATTATTATTATTTTTATTTTTTATTTTACTTTAAGTTCTGGGATACATGTGCAGAATGTGCTGGTTTGTTATGTAGGTATACATGTGCCATGGTGGTTTGCTGCACCTATCAACCCATCATCTAGGTTTTAAGCCCCACATGCATTAGGTGTTTGTCCTAATGCTCTCCCTCCCCTTGTCCCTGACCTCCAAATAGGCCCCGGTTTGTGTTGTGCCCCTCCCTGTGTCCATGTGTTTTTATTGTTCACCTCCCACTTATGAGTGAGAACATGTAGTGTTTGCTTTTCTGTTCCTGTATTAGTTTGCTGAGAATGATGGCTTCCAGCTTCATCCATGTCCCTGCAAAGGACATGAACTCATCCTTTTTTATAGCTGTGTAGTATTCGATGGTGTTTATGTGCCACATTTTCTTTACCCAGCCTATCAATGATGGGCATTTGGGTTGGTTCCAAGTCTTTGCTGTCGTAAATAGTGTTGCAATAAATATACGTGTGCATGCATCTTTATGGTAGAATGATTTATAATCCTTTGGGTATATACCCAGTAATGGGATTGCTGAGTCAAATGGTATTTCTGGTTCTAGATTCTTGAGGAATCACCACACTGTCTTCCACAATGGTTGAACTAAATTACATTCCCACCAACAGTGTAAAAGCATTCCTATTTCTCCACAGCCTCACCAGCATTTATTGTTTCCTGACTTTTTAATAATTGCCATTCTGACTGGCGTGAGATGGTATCTCATCGTGGTTTTTATTTGCATTTCTCTAATGAGCAGTGATGATGAGCTTTTTTTCATGTTTGCTGGCTGCATAAATGTCTTTTGAGAAGGGTCTTTGCCCACTTTTTGATGGGGTTTTTGGTTTTTTTTCTTGTAAATTTGTTTAAGTTCCTTGTAGATTCTGGATATTAGACCTTTGTCAGATGGGTAGATTGCAAAAATTTTCTCCCATTCTGTAGGTCACCTGTTCAGTCTGATAATAGTTTCTATTGATGTGCAGAAGCTCTTTAGCGTGATTAAATCTCATTTGTCAATTTTGGCTTTTGTTGCCATTGCTTTAGGTGTTTTACTCATGAAATCTTTGCCCATGCCTATGTCCTGCAAGGTATTGCCTAGGTTTTCTTCTAGGGTTTTTATGGTTTTAGGTTTTACGTTTAAGTCTTTAATCCATCTTGAGTTGATTTTTGTATAAGGTGTAAGGAAGGGGTCCAGTTTCAGTTTTCTGCATATGCCTAGCCAGTTTTCCTAGCACCATTTACTAAATAGGGAATCCTTTCCCCATTGCTTGTTTTTGTCAGGTTGGTCAAAAGATGGTTGTAGATGTGCAGTGTTATTTCTGAGGTTTCTGTTCTGTTCCATTGGTCTATATATCTGTTTTGGTACCAGTACCATGCTGTTTTGGTTACTGTAGCCTTGTAGTATAGTTTGAATTCAGGCAGCATAATGCCTCCAACTTTTTTCTTTTTTCTTAGTATTGTCTTGGCTATACGGGCTCTTTTTTGGTTCCATATGAAATTTAAATTAGTTTTTTCTAATTCTGCAAAGACAGTCAATGGTAGCTTAATGGGAATAACACTGAATCTATAAATTATTTTGGGGAGTATGGCCATTTTCACAATATTGGTTCTTCCTATCCATGAGCATGGAATGTTTTTCCGTTTGTTTGTGTCCTCTCTTATTTTCTTGAGCAGTGGTTTGTAGTTCTCCTTGAAGATGTCCTTCACATCCCTTGTAAGATGTATTCCTAGGTATTTTATTCTCTTTGTAGCAGTTGTAAATGGGAGTTCATTCATGATTTGGCTCTTTGCTTGCCTATTGTTGGTGTATGGCAATGCTTGTGATTTTTGCACATTTATTTTATATCCTGAGACTTTGCTGAAGTTGCTTATCAGCTTAAGGAGATTTTGGCTGAGATGATGGGGTTTTCTAAATATAGAATCATGTCATCTGCAAACAGTGACAATTTGACTTCCTCACTTCCTATTTGAATACCCTTTATATCTTTCTCTTGCCAGAACTTCCAGTACTATGTAGAATAGGAGTGGTGAGAGAGGGCATCCTTGTCTTGTGCCAGTTTTCAAAGGGAATCCTTCCAGCTTTTGCCCATTCAGTATGATATTGGCTGTGGGTTTGTCATAAATAGTTCTTATTATTTTGAGATATGTTCCATCAATACCTAGTTTATTGAGAGTTTTTAACATGAAGGGATGTTGAATTTTATCGAAGGCCTTTTCTGCATCTATTGGGATAATCATGTGGTTTTTGTCTTTGGTTCTGTTTATGTGATGGATTATGTTTATTGATTTGTGTATGTCGAACCAGCCTTGCATCCCAGGGATGAAGCCAACTTGATCGTGGTGGATAAGCTTTTTGATGTACTGCTGGATTCGGTTTGCTAGTATTTTATTGAGGATTTTCACATCGATGTTCCTCAGGGATATTTGCCTGAAGTTTTCTTTTTTTGTTGTGTCTCTGCCAGGTTTTGGTATCAGGATGATGCTGGCCTCATAAAAATGAGTTACAGAGGATTCCCTCTTTTTCTATTGTTTGAAATAGTTTCAGAAGGAATGGTACTAGCTCCTCTTTGTACCTCCCGTAGAATTCGGCTGTGAATCCGTCTAGTCCTGGGCTTTTTTTGGTTGGTAGGCTATTAATTACTGCCTCAATTTCAGAACTAGTTATTGGTCTATTCAGGGATTCAATATAGTCTTGAGAAGGTATATGTGTCCAGGAATGTATCCATTTCTTCTAGATTTTCTAGTTTATTTGTATAGAGGTGTTTATAGTATTCTCTGATGGTAGTTTGTATTTTTGTGGGATCAGTGGTGATGTCCCCTTTATTATTTTTTATTCACACATTATTTTGAGAGAGTCATAGTTCATATAATTAGTGGGTGCTTTTGCATCTCGCTGTGGTCCTGGTAATTTCCCTCAGGATCACACTAGAGGGGACTTAGAGGGAGACACAAACCTACTTTAAACCTCATATGGAAGAATGGAAGCTGCACATTTGGCTATGTCCACCATTTACTTGGATAGCCCACTCACTTCATATTTTATTCTGTCTTATATCTTTCCACTCAGGCAAAGTTTCTCCTCAGGAAATGTTCTGAGGCCAAAATAGAAGCCTGCCATGGAAATGAGACCACTGCGGACAACAGAAAGAGTGTGGCCTCTGGTGCTAGGTTGCCCTTTCTTTCAGCCATCTTGGTGCTTTACTTCAGTTTTTGGCTTTCGGTTTCTTCAACTGTAAGGCAGTAATAATACCCATCTTGTAGGAAGTTTGGGGAAGTGAATGAAATAACACAAGAACCAAGACATCTACCACATAACAGGCACTGAACAAATGTTCACCCTCTCTTCCTGTTGCTCAGGTGACAATGAAATAAGGCTACTTGCTTCTATGTCTGTAATAAAGTACCCAGAGCTGGTAGTACCATGAATGTGTATGTAAGAGACATCGAGAGATCGAGATTCAAAGCCACATTCTCTCTCACCAAGCTAAACTATTTATTATAATTGTTAGCGGTGTTATGCTGCTTTCTTCTTTGACAAGGCCATGACTAAGAAGGCTCTAAGTAAAGGAAGAATCATTTATTCCATAGTCAGCTAACTGGTAGCAAAGCCTTCTCTTCCAAGACACCAAGGGAGAGGGGAGGACATAAATTATGCAAAAAAAAAAAAAAAAAAAACCAAACCAAAACACAAAAAAACAAACAAATCTCACTCTTTTTGAAAAGGACATCTTCATAGGTGTAAAGATTTCAAATTAAATGAATAACTGACATGGGAGATCTTACTCATTGCCTAGTGGGTAATGGAACAATTGCTAAGGGCTTACATTATCTCTATAATGATTACTAAGGGCTTACAGTGAGAGGTGGTGGAGCCAAGTTTGAATTCCTAAAGTAGATAAGAGCTGGCAATTACATTTACAAATTTCTTCTTTCACAAGGATAGCCTAGTTCAGAATACATTGCTCTGGCTGACTTGTGCCAATGGATGCTTATTTTCATATAAAGCATCTTTATATTTGTATAATTGGGAAAATGCAACAAATATAATTAATAATGGGTGGTAAATAGGAAATAATAGGTGAAAATGTGATTTCAGCGTGAAGGAAAAGCATGGCCTAGATGCCTTGAGGTGTGGTATGGGGAGGTCTGGACAAGCCAAGGACTGGTGTCTGTTACATGCCTGCAGCTGGGGCCGTGGAGTCTGACTGGAATATGTAACTCCGCGTAGAGGTAGAAAGGGCATCCTTATGTGTTCCTTCTTCGGTCACCACATTAATGGTTTAAGGGCAGCATCAATCAGTGGCCATGGTTGTATCTCTCGGAGCTCCCCTAGGGTTTGGAATAGGTTCATAGAGCGAGAGGCAGCAGAATTGCTCAGTGACTGTTTCTCTCAAACTTGTTGGAAAGAGGCTTTTCATAACCAGAACGCTACATTAAAAAAGAGATTTTTCAGTGTCCAGTTGTTATTCACTCTGTGAAACGAGCCATCTCTGTCAGTTACCCTTCTAAACAGCCTCTACGGGTACGTGCAAAGAAAGGGCTACTGAGTGGCCCTGCTTCCCGGAGGGAGGGCCTGGCTTTTGGGCCGTGAGTCTACTGGCAGGGGAGGCACACGTGGTAGCCTCTACCATGCCAGGCACAGCACAGGCACTATGGATACAACAACCACATGAGAGACCTGGGGCCTATGTCCTCTGTGAGGACAGAGCTTGCAGTCTGATGGGGAATATAGACACCTAAACTGGATTGAAAACCCGGCATGAAAGGTGGTGTGATACGGAGTGTCAGGACCACGGGTGGAGTATCTGGAAAGGGAAGTGGCAGGGTAGAGAAGGGGCCATGGCATGAGGCAAGGGAAAAGACTGCTTAGCTGCGACCCAAAAGTCAAGTCGGGGTTTGCCACATAGATGGAAGCTATTCTAAGCCAAAGGAGTTAACATCCCAAGGGAGGGAGAAGCATGCTGATTTTGAGAAATAGAGAATGTCCTTGTATCCAAGAGAGCCATGGGACGAATGGAGAGAAAGAGGAGGGAGACAGTGATGGAATCCGTAAGCCAGGTCTAGGAAGCTGTTGAGGCATTTTCACCACATCTGTAGAGAATCTGGAGCTGATCTGTCCAACGCCATTTCCACCGTCGTGTGGGGCTCTTTACATTTAAATTAAGTAAAATGGAAAATGAGTCTCCTGAACACACTAGCTGCATTTCAGGTGCCCCACAGCCACATGTGGCTAGTTGCCACCATTCTGTTTATAATGACAACAGAAAGCTGTGCAGAAGGTTGTGCTGAATGGTGCTGTCTGACAGATTCTAGAGGATCCAGGAGGGGCAGGAGGCAGCGTCCCAGTTGGGATGCTGGTGCTGTGGTTCAGGTGAGAGCTGGTAGAGCCAAGCTGGGGCAGGAGCACCAAGAGAGGTTCAGGTGGTGGAATGATGACTCCTGGTGATGAAAGGGATGGGGAGGTTGAGAGAGGAGAGAGCAAGTCAAAGAGAACTCCCCAGAGTTGGAAGTAGATAGCTGGGCAAGGTAGCACCTGCCCAGAGGAGGGGGCTCAGGGCCAGGAGATCTGGGAGGGGGGATGAAGAGCTTGTTTAGGACGTACAGGATTTGAAAGACCTTTAGGACATTCTGGAGGAAATAGCAGGTAGACACTGAGTTCTGTGGATCAAGGTGAGGAAGGCAGCCTGCTGCTGCAGATGTGGGAGGCGGCAGCATGTGAGTGGTCACTGAAGCTGGGAGTGGATGGAACTGCCCAGCTGTTGGTGCAGCTCAAGAAGAGGGCACAGAACGGAAGAGGGTCCAGAGGAAACACTGTGGTCAAATGGGGAGGTGGCTGCAAAAAGTCTGGGAAAGCGCTGCTGCTAAAGGAAGAAAAGGAGGCAGAATGGGGACATTCAGGACAAGCCAGAAAAGAGAGTGTGTGCCCCATTTTGCCAACGAGGGGCCTGAGGGGAAGAAGCTGCAGAAAGGTCAGTTAGCAAATGGCCTGAACAACTTTCAGTAGCCATAGCAACTGGGAGGTGGTTGTGAAGAATAGTGGATCGACTCAAGGCATGGTAATGCTCACGGGGTTTCCAGTATCTATATTAGAAGCCACAAAGCAAACAGGGACAGCAGTCCATTTTTTTTTTTTAATATTGAGAGTGTTGTCCAGCAAAGCTCCTTAGTAAAATTGCCTTAATAAATAGAAGAGAATGATGGCTCTTTCTGTTAAATGGTGGGATGTATGTAAGTGAGCAGTTCGAATGTGGTTGAGAGAATATACAATGTCTTTGTGTTTATATGTTTAAGCCTGGCTAAGAAATCCCATCAGCTTAACAAGCCTATCTTTGTAAATAATCCCGAAACTCTATTCCAGACCATGGCTGGCTTTATTATGTACTGTATGCATATATGTGTATATATGTGAGGATGTGTATATATCACACATGTGAAGAGTTCAGCATCAAAGGCAGCTATGAGGCTTCTGAGCTGATCTTCTTTTTTAAGTCATGATTTAGTTCAATGATGCAGGTCCTGAACCCTTCCTCTCCCATCACTTTCACATTACACCTTAATTATGATTGTTCATTTCCACTTGCAGCCACAGAACCTCTATCTTCTTCAGTCTTTCGTGCTTGATCATAGCTTTCGTGGCTGACTTAATGCAAAACCTGGGTAATATACTTACCTCTTTCAAGAAGGTTAATGTTTTCCCAGCGGCTGGTTTTTAGACAATTCATAGTGCTTACCAACAGTTGGTCAACAGCCAGGCAACATTTTAAGATGCAATTGTACTATGTTTTACAGAAATGAGAAGGGGGAATGTCCACATAGGAGTTTATGCTTTTTTATTATTTTATTTTTAATTGTAAAATACACAAGCATAAAATGTACCATGTTAACCGTTTTTCAGTGTACAGTGTGGGTGTTGAGTACATTCACATTGTTGTGCAACCAATTTCCAGAGCTCTTTGTCCTGCAAAACTAAAACTCCCCCTTCCCCTCTTTCTGTCTCTATGAATTTGACTACTGGGAGTAGCTCATGTGAGGAGACATACAGTATTTGTCTTTTTATGACTGGCTCATTTCACTTAGCATAATGTCCTCCAAGTTCGTCCATGTTGCAGCAGATGTCAGAGTTACTCCCTTTATAAGGCTGAATAATATTTCATTGTATGTATACACCACACTGTGTTTGCCTGCTAATCTGTCAAGAGACATTTGGGTTGCCACCTTTTGCCTATTGTGAATAGTGCTGCTATGAACATGGATGTATAAATATCTCTTTGAGACTCTGCTTTCAATTCTTTTAGGAATATTCCCAGAAACTGGATTGCTGGATCATATAATTCTGCATTTATTTTTTTGAGGAAACACCGAACTTTTCCACAGCAGATACACCATTTTTCATTGCTAACAACAGTGAACAAGGATTCTAATTTCTCCACATCCTTGTGATCACTTGTTATTTTCTGGGATTTCTTTTTAGTGCTCATCTTCATGCTTGTGAAGTGGTAACTCATTGTAGTTTTGATTTGCATTTCCCTGATTAGTGATGTTGAATACCTTTCCAGGCGCTAATGGCCATTTGTAAGTCTTCTTTGAAGAAACGTCTTTCAAGTCTTTGCCCCATTTTATCAATTTTTTGTTTTTTTGTTGTTGAGCTGTAGGAGTTCTTTATATATTCTGTACATTGGCCCCTTATCCAATCTATGATTTGCAAATATTTTCTCCCATTCTCTGTTTTTGTTTGTTTTCACTTCGTTTGTTTTGGTGCCAAGATCGTCTTTCTCTTATGAATTTATAATGACAACAGAAAATCGTCTGTTTCTTTTAATCCTTAACTGGCAAAAATTAAAAGCGGTGTTTGATCTCAGTTTATTTAAAGAAGGGAAAAAAGTATTTTTCTTATGATCACCAGCTCCTCGTGCTTCATCATTGATATTTCACAGGTTACAAACCCATAGAACATGTGCCTGTGTTCACAGCTAGTTTTGAAGACTTATAAGCAAGTAATTTTCTGTAAGAACACTGCAGAAAAACTAGGATCTTGCCTCATTATGGGAGGAAATCAGGCATTCCATTCCCACCTGACTGCGAGATTTGTGCTGCCACAGGGTGATCTTTCTGGAAAAAACAAAAATTTTAGGGAGAAAAAAACCACTGAAGGTCCTACAGGCTATGTTTCTAGAAGATCACATCTAAATCAAACCTGACACACAGGAATCTTTTCCTGATCTGAAATATATCTAGGGGAGATTTTGGGAAACTATCTTATTGTCTAACACCTGTGTCAATAAATCCCCCGCTCCTATGCAGCTCAAATCCCTCTTCTTACAATATAATAATAACTGTGTAATACCTGGGATTTACATAGTGTCTTTCTTTCTAAGTCCTGTCATTAAATCCTTCTAATGTTTCCATGAGGTGAGGATGAGTAAATATTACTATTTAAACTTAATCACCCTCCTGTCTTAATTCCTTTCTCTATAAAAAGAAAATAATAGTAATGCTTACTTGGATTATTTTTATCCTTTTTATAGAGAAAGGAATTAAGATGGGGTGATTAAATGCATTTTCACGGGCTCATAAATGAGGCAGGAGGGAAAGAAGCACCTGAGGGAGCCATCAGGTGGCTCCTGTGGGTGGCAGCCCAGCCCTCCACCTGGGTAGCTCCATTGCTGATAGGTTAGGTGTCACTCTGGGCTTATCCATAAAGTGGGCATCTCCAGGGCCAAGTGTCATGGGGGTGTGGCCTTGCAGTCCCACTCTTGGCATAATATTCTGCTGCTCCCATCTGGAAATTCTTAATAAACTTTGAACGAGGGACCCCTTATGTTCATTTTGCACAGGGCCCCACCAATTACGCAGTTACGCAGCCTGGCCTAGGCATAATATAATCTGTTTAAGATTGTGTTTGTCAGAATTCAGCCTGCAGTACAGCTTGCAATGGGTAGAACACCTTGCAGGTGTGGCCAGGGAAGAAGACAGCAGAGATAGGAAAGACAAAAAGTTTGGGTGGAGCAGTACATAAGAATTCAGGCAGACAAGGGACTCACTGATATGCTATAAAAAAGGAACTTTTAAACCCAGGGCCTAATTTGATACAAAAAGGAAATAGTGAAGGAATTTCATAAGGAGTGAGACACTCTTAAGCAATAGAGAAATGTTATTGTCAGTGTCATTATAAAATAGAGGAGATAGTTTTAAATGATTGATATTTAAAAGGCTAGGAAGATGCCAATTGACCAATTAAGTTTATCAAGGTCATAAAGGGACTAGAAAGTATATGTGGGTTAAACTGCAGACAGTCAATACTCATCATTCTCAGATTTTGTATTTACAACTTCACCTACTCACTAAAATGTATTTGTAGCCCTAAAATCAATGCTCAGGGCACTTTTGCAGGCATTCCCAGATGTGCAGAGCAGTGAAAAATGCCTGTCACCAATGTGCATGTTCCTGGCAAGGTCAAACAAGGTGACTCTGCTCTCTTGTTTCAGCTCTAATGCCGTAAATACTCATCCTTTTTGAGGTCTACTGCATGCCATGTTTTTTTTTGCATTTTTGTGCATTTTGTTGGTGAGTCTACTGTTGAGATGGCCCACAAGCATAGAGCCCCAGTGCTGTCTATGTTCCTAAGTGCAAGAAAACTATGACGTGGCTTATGGAGAAAATATGTGTGTTAAAGAAGCATCCTTCAGGCCTGAGTTACAGTGCTATTGGCCATGAGTTCAATGTTAGGGAATTGGCAGTATACATTAAATAAGATGTCTTTAAACAGAAACATGCATAAAACAAGGTTATATATTGGTCATTTGTTGAAAAAGTTGCGACCAGCAATGTAACCGTAATAGGTTATTGCCTGATGCACACAGCAAGTCAATACACCAAGACACTGGATTGCAGCAGAGAGGTTTAATCAGAGTCACACCAAAAGAGGAGATGGGAGGAAACCTCAAATCCATCTCCCCAGGAGTTTGGGGCAGGGGTTTTTAAGGGCTTGGGAGTGGGCGGAAGTGTGGAGGTCATTGATTGGTCGAAGAGTACAGGGGGAAGTCGCTGAACAGGGAGATGAAGAAGCCATATTCTCATGCTGATCCTGTTCCTCTGTGGGAGTCTTCAAACCGGTTGCAGGAATTCAGGGTCTGAAAAACATCTTAAGCCAGGGGTGTCCAGTCTTTTGGCTTCCCTGGGCCACATTGGAAGAAGAATTGTCTTGGGCTGCACATAAAATACACTAACACTAGCGACAGCTGATGAGCTTAAAAAAAAAAAAAAAAACAAAAAAAAACGCAAAAAAGTCTCATCATGTTTTAAGAAAGTTTATGAATTTGTGTTGGGCCGCATTCAAAGCCGTCCTGGGCCACATACAGCCCGTGGGCCATGGGTTGGACAGGACAGGCTTGTCTTAAGCGATCCTTAAACAAAAGCCTTTGATTCTAGTGTCAAGAGATCCTGTCTGTATGGTCAGTATCTAATGCTATGTGACTTTTAGCAAGTAGGAAGTGGGCCAAAGTGCAGCACGATTAATACTTAATTATAACTATATTTCTTTCCAGAACCTGGCGTGCAATTCTTGTCAACCCTACAGGGGCAGCTCAGCAGCTTGTGGGAACCTAACCCTGTATTTCCCCTAGGAGCAATTGTTCAGTATTCGTTAAATCAGTGTTCAGGTGACTTTGTAAGACAGTTAGCTACCATGGATATCGAGGATCGACTGTGAATATATGTAACCCCCAGGAAATGTAGGCTTAAAGGGAAATGACTCCTGAAGGAACAGCCAAAAATGTGAGACATGTATGACAGAGGTTGTCTATTTGAATGACAAATTCTGGAACCTTTAAGTTGCATGACGTCTTCGGTTACCTAGCCTTATGCCCATAGGTGCTAGGATTCTTTCTAAGGCGTTTCCTAAAGGCTAGAAGAATCTGTATGGTAAGAGGAAAGCCAGATCTAAGTACCACCATATCACTTAATTTGGAGACCTCTTTTCCCCAACGTTTTAGTAGTTTTGAAAACTACTAAATCCTAAATAAGATGGAGACATTGTATACTTGATTTATATATTTTAACAAACAAAACCTGTTCGTTCAAAAGCTGTTATTGAATCTGTGAGATGCCTTCCAATCCATGGGTCAGCGAACTTCTGTAGTGCGCCACGTAGTAACTAGTTTAGGCTCTGTGGGCCACACAATCTTGGTTACAGCTACTCAGCTGTGCCACTGTAGCATGACAGCAGTCACAGGATATATGTGAATGAATGAATGAGTGTGGCCGCATTCTAAACAATTTCATAACATATGAACATGTCACAAAATATTATTCTTTGGATTTTTTTTCAGTCATTTAAAAGTATAAAAAACACAAACATGGAAAAAACTTAAAAGCATGAGGCCAGATTTGACCTGCAACTGTAGTTTGCCAGACCGTTTGCTTTTTGTGGCATCATAGAATCAAGAGAAGAGAACAGTCCTTATCTATTGCCTTGAGACACCTTGATCTCACCTGTTCTTACCTAAGGCTGCCTCTGGCCACTAGGGTCTGCCCCTTATTGCTTGGTGTTCCTTTTTTGGGGAGATTGAAGTAAGGATTTAACTGCCTAATCTAGATTAAACCTAATGTTAAAGTTGGTAACATATAAACACAAGTCAGCTCAGATTTTTACTTTGCTCAGCATAGTGTACATTTGCAAGAAGGATCTAGGAAATATTGAAAACAAGATTAGGAAAAGTTCATACTTCTATATACAGTAACATGCCAATGCATTTCAAACACCACCCTTTCATTACATTTCCTTTGTTCAGCAAGGTTCTAATTACCCCTTTATCTGTAAGCTCCACTTTCTTCTTTTCCATTGTGTCATTTTTCTCTGTGTTTTTCACATGTACAATAGACCTTATTCTCAAGAAGGCAGAGCTGTGGTCTAGAATGAGGCTTTTAATACAAGGAAACGTTAAGGTGGAAATTAAATAAAATTAAACAAAAAAATTAGAAGTAAATTGAGCCCATCTTGCTTAGCACAGCATCCAAAAACATGATTTAAGGATTTAATATTCACCCCTGACCAGAGATCAGTGATTGGTGTTAAATTTGTTATAAAAATGGGGATGAAGAACAAATTAAAACACAGTCTCAATAACAATCAGATGCTAATGGATGGGGGCCGGGATGAGTTTTCAGAAATGACCTTGATTTCTCATGAGACACTGTAGCACCTACTCCACCCCTCCACCCTCCCATCCCAGCCAGCCCATTCCTGGGCAGGCACTGGACAGACCCAGACTGCCTGAGCCTGCACCAGTCTAGACTCTGGAACCAGCCCTGGGAGGCTGCATGGGACAACCCTGCCTCTGTCACTCCATCAGCGTCACTAAGCTTCCCTCTAAGGTCCCCAAATGCCTCTCACGTGCCTAGCATTTAGCTGCTGCACCGAGCATGCTCACTGACAAACTTTTGGCCAAGAAGAGCCTTTTGGTCTCTCTTGGTCAGATCTAGGAGGGCTTCAGGACTCTCCAAAACTCACCCACTCAGAGAGCCTGCCAGGAACACTCAGCTGAGCGATGGCATTGTGGAGCCTGGGTTTTCAGAAGGGAGCCCATAGTGAGTGGTAGCATAACCTTGTTAAGGTTGTATTTTCCTTAGATATAGAAACAAATCAAATGCTGCTAAATTGGTAAGGGATGGAGTTTTCATATCACGTCACATTTTGCTGAGCCGTAACCAGACAGGGAAAAAGCAGAGCCACATGGCTCAGGGGCCCATCTGGGCACAAGCGGGCAGCTTCCCTTTCAGCCTGCACTGGGAGCAGGTTGGGGGTTTAGAATCTGTTTTTTCAAAATTAATATTTATTGTGGAATATACATAGCTCACAGTTTACCATTTTATCCATTTTAAGTGTACAATTCAGTGGTATTAGGTCCATTCACATAGTTGTGCAACCATCACCACCATCCATCACAGAAATTATGCCCCTTAAACACTAACTTCCTTTCCCCTACTCCTGGTAAGCACTATTCTGCTTTGTTTCTATGAATTTGGCTACTCTAGGTACCTCATGTAAGTGGAATCATATAGTATTTGTTCTTTTTTATCTGGCTCATTTCACTTAGTTAATGTTTTTGAGGTTCATGGTGCTGTAGCATGTATCAGAATTTCATTTCTTTTTGAGGCTGAATAATAGCTCTCTGTGTATGCCACATTTCGTTAATCTGTGGATGGACCTTTTGAGCTGTTTTCACCTTTCGGAATTGTGAATAATGCTGCTGTGAACATATTTTGTTTTTTTTTTGTTTTTTTGTTTTTTTTGTTTTTTTTTTTGAGATGGAGTTTTGCTCTTGTTGCCCAGGCTGGAGTGCAGTGGCGCAATCTCGGCTCACTGCAACCTCCGCCTCCCGGGTTCAAGCGATTCTCCTACCTCAGCTTCCCGAGTAACTGGGATTACAGGCATCCATCACCACACCCGGCTAATTTTTTGTATTTTTAGTAGAGACTGGGTTTCACCATGTTGGCCAGGCTGGTCTCAAATTCCTGATCTCAGGTGGTCCACCCACCTCAGCCTCCCAAAGTGCTAGGATTACAGGCGTGGGCCCCATGCCCAGCTGTGAACACTTATGTACAAATATCTATTTGAGCACTTGCTTTCAGTTCTTTTGGGTATATGCCCAGAAGTGGAATGGTGTGTCATATGGCAATTCTCTGTTTAATCTCTTTAGGAACTGTCATACTGTCCTCCAAAGCACTGCACCATTATACATTTTCACCAGTGACATGCAAATGTTCCAATTTCTCTATATCCTTGTCAACACTTGTTATTTTCCACTGTTTTTTGAATGCCTGTTATTTCCCCCTTTTTTGATAATAGCCATCCTAATGGGTGTGAAATGCTATCTCATTGCAGTTTTAGTTTTGATTTGCATTTCTCTGATGACTGGAGATGTCAAGCATCTCTTCTTGTATCTTGTAAAGATACATTTGTGTATCTTCTTTGGAGAAATGGCTTTGGCAAGTCCTTTATCAATTTTTTTATTCAGTTTGGTTTGTTGTTGAGTTGTAGTTGTTCTTTATCTATTCTGAATATTAACCTCTTTTCAGATATATGACTGAAAATATCTTCTCCCATTCTTTGGCTTGCCTTTTAACTGTCTTGATGGTGGCCTTGGATGCACAGTTTTTAATTTTGATCTACTTGTATTTATCTTTTTTCCTTTCATTGCCTATGTTTTTGGTGCCATATCCAAGAATAACACTGTTTTGTTTCAGATAAAGGCCAAACTTCTTATATAATCACTGCAGGTCATTTTCCCATATTCACAAGGCTATTTCTGGAACACCTGGACTTTATAAAGACTTGCCAGTCATTTGTGTCCAGTGAAACTACTAGCGTTGGAGTATTTATAGTTGAGTTGATGTATCTTTTGCCCTAACCCCAACATATCGCTGACTAAAATTTTGATCTTTGAAAATAAAGTTTCCAATATCCCCCGCCCCAATGCTCATTTTAGGCAAAAGCTCACTCCAATTAGGTAGACATTCTGGAGTCAACAGATAACATATAAGAAATGAGCACGCTATTGAAGTCATGTGGGACCTACTTTAGAGAGGCTGTATCATTCAGGCTTCATCACCACTTAAGTGACTGTGTAACCTCAGAACAGCAGCAGTGGCCCCAGATGTGCAGCAAGGAGGAGACTCTCCCTGCAAGGCCTTCTGAGAAGCCTTCCTTTGCGAGCAGGGAGAGCGGGGAGTGGCCGCTGGCCTGCCCCAGCAATGACTTGTGAGGGTAGTATGGAAAAGGCAGATTGAGCCCCACGGCCTCATTGTCAGAGCGAGCCAAGTGCCATCAGTTGCCCTGTGACCTTGCCAGGCTCCTCTTCCACCCTGACAGCTGTGGCCCATCAGGCTGGAAAAATCATGCTGGGCATCTGCTAAACTTCTGAGATCCCAGCAGATGAATTCTGTACAGAATGAAAAGTCAATGCATAAATCTTCCTCTGATTTCTAACAATGCGGGACTCTTATTGCTGATTGTAATTAGGGTTCTTGCCTCTCCATCTAGCCTGGGATCTACCAGGAAAGGCCAGTGGGCATCAGCATTGAGACAGCAGGCCAGGCCATCATTGCATTTGACTCATTGCAATGAAGTCACTCATGCTGACAAGTAAAGGTAGAGCTTTGGCTTCGTCGCTATGACCACCCTCCCCACTCCGACCCCAGGGTCTCTAACCACAGTGAGCAGAGAATGGGGCTCCTAGCACCCCTGGCATGGCACGCGGATGGAGTCATGTTAAAACTCAGCATAAACAGGCTGAAGGAAACCGGAGTCTAGGGAAAGATGGAAAGGAGTTAGCTTCATGTATTGAGTTTTGCAATATTGGTGCCACAAAATGAAGATGCTCATTTAGGTTGCCCAGTTTTTGTTTTGGCTCAATGAATAAAACTAGCAACATGCTACCCTAAAAAATACTGTTGAAATGAGTCATTCCCAAGCACTGGGAGCTTGGAATAAGTCAGAGAAACCCAGGAGCGAGAATCCGGGCAAGAGTAGCTTGGAATCCCTTTAGCCCTCAGCCCACACCAGGGTTGCACAGCAGAAACATGAAGGGGCCACTTCTGGGAGCCGTGGGGAATAAGACAGGTGATTCCTCCATCAAGGAGCTTGCAGGCCGCTGTTTAAGGAGCTGCACCGTAAATAGGACAGGTTAAACCCATAAAGATGTGGACAGCAGGTTAAAGAGAAAGTGGGGTCACCAGGCTCCAAGGCTAATTGTTAAGTAAATGAGAAAAACAAAAAAGTGTCATCTGCGAGGTGAGAGTCCAGAAAGAACTCCTTCAGGCTGGGCCCCAGGAAGGCCTGCGGGGAAGAGGTGACTGCAGAGAAAGAACTGGGGAAGCAGCTGCTGCCCACGAGCATGACATTTTCCAAAAATGATTCCATGCCAAGTGAGTGTCTGAGGAAATTGCTGGGGCATCCCCGGGAGAGCTGTGCCCACAGTCATTCTGAAGTAATTTGCTTTGAAAGGTGGCCTTTGGGATGGTCTGGCTTTTCCCCCCATTCCAAAACTGACACATCCTGATGAACTGAACTCTTCTTGGTGGTTTCATGCTTTGCAGTGGGAATAGTAGTTTGGGTTCCAACTAGAAACGGTGCTTATTTAGAGATGCACAGCCTGGCTCCTACCCTGCCCAGAATCCCCTTCCAGGGTGTGAGTTCAGCCTGCCCTGCCTCTATCAGCTCTGTACTGGGGACAGTGTCTGATGATGTACAAGTGCTTTGTATGCATTTGTATCCTCATTTCCTGGCTTTTTTAGGCTCAGGCAAGGGCCAAGTCTGCATATTCCTCAATGTGTACCCGTGCACTACATCAGGCTGGTACCCAGGAGGTGCCCACATGAATGTACAGGGTGACTGGTAGATGCTTTGCCGTAACACAGCGGTGTGGCACAGGAACCAGTATCTATTCTGGCTGGTCAGTATCCATGCTGACCCAGATGTTTGATATGTGAATCTCACCCAGCTCTCCTGGTCTTGTGCCCACCTCCTTGAGATCTAACCACCTGCAGCTGCTAACTTCACGCGCCTGGATTTTTCCAGTTGAGATGGGGCTCTGCACTGTGGCGCCTCCCTACCTTAAACATCTGCTAAGGGCCAGGCATCTGTGGGTTCTGCCCTGAAGGCTTCCCTGGCCCACTGGCTGTAGCAGGCCAGGGTTGGGGGAAGGCTGTGCAGGCCAGTGAGCACACGGAGCCCAGGACCTGCAGCTCAGACCAGCTTGGTCATGTTCTCCTCGCCCAGTGACTGGGGCCCCCGCTTGGATTCTCACAGATGTTCCCTGACATCAGCAACTGCAGTCATGGCTCAGGATTTAGGCCTGCAGAGGTTTTCAGCCTTGTCCCAGGGCAGGGTGCGCCAGATGGGCTTCTGTGGCCGCCAGCACTTCCGGTAGCTGCTGAGGCCTTCTGCACACCCAGCCCTGTGGGCATCCTAGCCGCCCCAACAACACAGGCTGAGCCCTTTTCTGGTAGTAGTTGGTGGTGACACCACCCCCATCCACTGGTGACATCATGCTTACAGAGTCAAATGCCCAGCCCCCGGCTGCCAGGCCAATGCCACCTGCTGGCTCTAATGCCAGGCCCAGGTTATGCACGAAGGTCCCATCCCTCTGCAGCTGACCGAGGCATAAACAGAAGCCCTCATGACTGGGGATGAGCTGCTTTCTCTGTCTGTGGAACACGGAACAGAGGTGGGTGGGAAATGCCAACCCCAGGTTAATATGCATTGTTATTGAGTAGTGTCTGGGACACCTGTCCCCAGCCAACCTGTGAGGAAAAACAGCCAAGCCCTTAACCCCAGCCCCTCTCCGTTCTGGTTATCTCAGCATCTCCTGGGTGATGCTCAATGCTGTGGACATGTTTATGTGGGTGATAGGGACAGAGGCTCCGAGAGGGCCTAGGACCTCCCCCTGTTAGCAGGTTCACAGATGTGCCTGGGCTGCATGCTGCCTCTTGTTCAAGGGTCGACTTACTTGTTCCTTTTCTTAGTACATATGTGTCAGCGTTGCTGTCACCTGTGTATCAATATGAACCCTTCCATGGCCCTGCTGTATAACTTTTTGGGGATGTCAGTCGGTAGGCTGGCAGGCCTCTCCACTCTTCAGGAACTCCCTAGGTAACCCTGCACTTGCTGGTCCCCCAATGGCCATGCGACCTTCAGGTCATGTGCCAAGCCCATCTTTCCTGAGAGCCCCTCTGAACTGCACCTCCTCCCTTCCCTCGTCACACTAGCAGCACCTGCCTTTCTGTGTGTATTTCTGCTTAGTAGAAAAGAACACAGACGCCTTGAGAGATCTGTTCACTGCAGCTTCCCCAGTGCCTGGCACAGAGCAGGTGCTCGGGGACTTAGCTGGATAGATGGTGAGGATGAGTTGTAGATAAAGGACGCTGGCCCTCCCCAAACCCTCTGTGGCCTGAGAACAGGGAACCTTTATCCCCAGAACAAGGCTTAATTCTAGAAATGTGAAAGGTGTGGCCACCAGACACTCGTCCTTGTGGTGGTTGATACTGCCTAGAAACCAAGATGTCTACCCTCGGGTTAAAACTGTAAGAAAAGGAAAAAGTCCCCCTCACAGCCCTGCAGGCACCCACATGGAGGGACTCCAGGGCATCGAGGTCCCGAGCGCTGCGGTGGGTGTGCAGGACTCTGCTAGCCTGATGGAAGCATCCCCACCCAGCAGTTGGCACTGCTGACTCATGGTGGCACATCTGGAGTGCCACACCCAGTGTAGCTGTAGCTTTGACAGCCATGGTCCTGCCACATGAGAAAAAACAAAACAGAAATGGGATGGCATGTTTCTTAAATATTCCTGAAAAGGCAAAAAAAAAGGTTCTCCCATCCCTCATTTTATAGAAGGGGGACCCAAGGACCAAGTTCCACCAGAATGGCACAGAGCAGGTTTCACAAACTGTGTTCCATAGAGGGAAATGGTGTTTTATTGTGGAAGAAGTTTGGGAAGGACAGAATCAAAGCGCTCTTGCTCCAGCAGTACTTCTCCCCATCTTTAATAACTTGCTCCATGTCGGGTGGAATTTGAAGCACTTTACCTGAGTCACTCATTCATTCCTCTGAAACAACTCTGAGGCTCAGAGACTGTTCTTATAGCCCGGATACAGATGAGGAAACTGCGGCATAGCATGTGTGTGTGAACATGGTGCTGTTTCCCAGCTTTCTGGGCCCAAACATCCTGCGGGTGCAGAGCACATTAAACCCCACAGTCCTTGGTAGCTGATTAGGAAAATACCACTCTGCAGACTGAGGGCAGTGACACAGGTACAAACAGAAGCATGACAGTTTTTTCCCTGATGAGATTTTCTTGATTCCTGGTTTGTATTGGATGCCTTTACCAAACAGTTATTTACTATCTGACTCAATTAAAGCTTGCTAATGGGGTGTTTTTTAAAATCATCAGGGTAAGTTACAGATACAAGTTCACCAGACTATTAAACTATAGAGTTATTTTGTGGCAGGTGACATTCATATTGCCAGCTGTAATACACTTGGAAATGACCAAAAATCATTTTTCCCATAATGGAATATAGAACTAACTACAGAAAAATTAGAGTGAATTTTTTTCTGATTTGGAATTGCTGTTCCTAGTAAATGGAATAGCAGTGCTCTTGCTGTGCAATGGTAGTGCTGTGCTGCATTTATAATTGTTATTAAAGTTCTGGGGTACACGTGCCATGGTGGTTTGCTGCACCCATCAACCTGTCATCTACATTAGGTATTTCTCCTAATGCCATCCCTCCCCTAGCCCCCCACCCTCCAACAGGCCCCAGTGTGTGATGTTCCCCTCCCTGTGTCCATGTGTTCTCATTGTTCAACTCCCACTTATGAGTGAGAACATGCAGTGTTTGGTTTTCTGTTCTTGTGTTAGTTTGCTGAGAATGATGGTTTCCAGCTTCATCCATGTCCCTGCAAAGGACATGAACTCATCCTTTTTATGGCTGCATAGTATTCCATGGTGTGTATGTGCCACATTTTCTTTATCCATTCTATCACTGATGGGGATTTGGGTTGGTTCCAAGTCTTTGCTATTTTGAACAGTGCCGCAATAAACATACCTCTGCATGTGTCTTTATAATAGAATGATTTATAATCCTTTGGGTATATACCCAGTAATAGGATTGCTGGGTCAAATGATATTTCTAGTTCTAGATCCTTGAGGAATCACCACACTGTCTTCCACAATGCTTGAACTAATTTGCACTCCCACAAACAGTATAAAAGTGTTCTTATTTCTCCATATCCTTTCCAGCATCTGTTGTTTCCTAACTAACTTTTTAGTGATCACCATTCTAACTGGCATGAGGTGGTATCTCATTGTGGTTTTGATTTGCATTTCTCTAATGACCAGTGATGATGAGCTTTTTTCCAAATGTTTGTTGGCTGCATAAATGTCTTCTTTTGAGAAGAGTCTCTTCATATCCTTTGCCCACTTTTTGATGGGGTTGTTTTTTTCTTGTAAATTTAAGTTCTTTGTAGATTCTGGATATTAGCCCTGTGTCAGATGGATAGATTGCAAAAATTTTCTCCCATTCTGTAGGTTGCCTGTTCACTCTGATGATAGTTTCTTTTGCTGTGCAGAAGCTCTTTAGTTTATTAGATGCCATTTGTCCATTTTGGCTGTTGTTGCCATTGCTTTTGGTGTTTTAGTCATGAAGTCTTTGCCCATGCCTACGTCCTGAATGGTATTGGCTGGCTAGGTTTTCTTCTAGGGGTTGTTATGGTTTTAGGTCTTATGTTTAAGTCTTTAATCCATCTTGAGTTGATTTTTGTATAAGGTATAAGGAAGGGGTCCAGTTTCAGTTTTCTGCATATGGCTAGCCAGTTTTCGCCGTACCGTTTATTAAATAGAGGATCCTTTCCCCATTGTTTTTTCAGGTTTGTCAAAGATCAGATGGTTGTAGATGTGTGGCATTATTTCTGAGGCCTCTGTTCTGTTCTGTTCCATTGGTCTATATATCTGTTTTACTTTATCCTTGTAGTATAAAGTCAGGTAGCATGATGCCTCCAGCTTTGTTTTTTGCTTAGGATTATCTTGGCTATGCGGGCTCTTTTTTGGTTCCATATGAAATTTGAAGTAGTTTTTTTCTAATTCTGTGAAGAAAGTCAATGATAGCTGGTGGGGATAGCATTGAATCTATAAATTACTTTGGGCAGTACGGCCATTTTCATGATATTTGTTCTTCCTATTCATGAGCATGGAATGCTTTTCCACTTGTGTCATCTCTTATTTCCTTGAGACTTGAAGATGTCCTTCACATCCCTTGTATGTTGTATTCCTAGTTATTTTATTCTGTTTGTAGCAATTGTGAATGGGAGTTCACTAATGATTTGGCTGTTTGTCTATTATTGGTGTATAGGAATGCTTGTAACTTTTGCACACTGATTTTGTATCCTGAGACTTTGCTGAAGTTGCTTATCGGCTTAAGATTTTGGGCTGAGATGATGGGGTTTTCTAAATATAATCATGTCATCTGCAAACAGAGACAATTTGACTTCCTGTCTTCCTATTTGAATACCCTTTCTTTCTTTCTCTTGCCTGATTGCCCTGGCCAGAAGTTCTAATACTATGTTGAATAGAAGTGAGAGAGGGCATCCTTGTATTGTGCCGGTTTTCGAAGGGAATGCTTCCAGTTGTTGTCCATTCAGTATGATATTGGCTGTGGGTTTGGCAGAAATAGCTATTTTGAGATATGTTCCATCAATACCTAGTTTATTTTTTTGTCTGTTTTTTGAGACAGTCTCGCTCTGTCACTCAGGCTGGATTGCAGTGGTGCAATCTTGGCTCACTGCAACCTCCACTTCTCAGGTTCTATCAATTCTCCTGCCTCTGCCTCCTGAGTAGCTGGGATTGCAGGTGTATGCCACCATGCCTGGCTAATTTATTTATTTATTTTTTTAAGTGGAGACAGGGTTTCACCATTTTAGCCAGGCTGATCTCAAACTCCTGACCTCAAGTGATCCGCCCACCTCAGCCTCTCAAAGTGCTGGGATAACAGGCGTGAGCCACCGCGCCCAGCTATTGGGAGTTTTTAGCATGAAGCCATGTTAAATTTTATCAAAGGCCTTTTCTGCATCTATTGAGATAACCATGTGGTTTTTGTCATTGGTTCTGTTTATGTAATGGATTACATTTATTGATTTGTGTATGTTGAGCCAGCTTTGCATCCCAGGGATGAAGCCGACTTGATCGTGGTAGATAAGCTTTTTAATGTGCTGCTGGATTCAGTTTGCCCGTATTTTATTGAGGATTTTTGCATCAATGGTCATCAGGGAAATTGGCCTGAAATTTTCATTTTTTGTTGTGTCTCTGCAAGGTTTGGGTATCAGGACGATGCTGGCCTCATAAAATGAGTTAGGGAGGAGTCTCTCTTTTTCTATTGTTTGGAATAGTTTCAGAAGGAATGGTACCAGCTCCTCTTTGTACCTCTGGTAAAATCTGGCTGTGAATCCGTCCAGTCCTGGACTTTTTTTGGTTGGTAGGCTATTAATTACTGCCCAATTTCAGAACTTGTTATTGGTCTGTTCAGGCATTCGACTTCTTCCTGGTTTAGACTTGAGAGGGTGTGTGTCCAGAAATTTATCCATTTCTTCTAGATTTTCTAGTTTATTTGCATAGAGGTGCTTATAGTATTCTCTGATGGTAATTTGTATTTCTGTGGGATCAGTGGTGACATCTACTTTATCATTTTTTATTGTGTTTGATTCTTCTCTCTTTTCTTCATTAGTCTGGCAGTCTATCTATTTTGTTGATCTTTTCAAAAAAAACCAGCCCCTGGATTCATTGATTTTTTTGAAGGATTTTTCATGTCCCTATCTCCTTCAGTTCTGCTCTGATCTTATTTCTTGCCTTCTGCTAGCTTTTGAATTTGTTTGCTCTTGCTTCTCTAGTTCTTTTAATTGTGATGTTAGGGTATCAACTTTAGATCCTTCCTGCTGTCTCCTGTGGGCATTTAGTGCTATAAATTTCCGTCTGAACACTGCTTTAGCTGTGTCCCACAGATTCTGGTACATTGTGTCTTTGCTCTCATTGGTTTCAAAGAACTTATTTATTTCTACCTTAATTTCATTATTTACCCAAGAATCATTCAGGAGCAGGTTTTTCGGTTTCCATGTGGTTGTGTGTTTTGAGTGAGTTTCTTAATCCTGAGTTCTAATTCGATGGCACTGTGGTCTGACAGACTGTTGTTTCCTTTCTTTTGCATTTGCTAAGGAGTGTTTTACTTCCAATTACGTGGTCAATTTTAGAAAAAGTGCGATGAGGTGCTGAGAAGAATGTATGTTCTGTTGATTTGGGGTGGAGAGTTCTGTAGATGTCTATTAGGTCTGCTTGGTCCAGAGCTGAGTTCAAGTCCTGAATATCTTTGTTAATTTTCTGTCTCATTGATCTAATATTGACAGTGGGGTGTTAAAGTCTCCCAATATTATTGTGTGGGAGTCTAAGTCTCTGTGTATGTCTCTAAGTACTTGCTTTATGAATCTGGGTGGTCCTGTATTGGGTGCATATATATTTAGGATAGTTAGCACTTCTTTTTGCATTGATCCCTTTACCATTATGTAATGCCCTCCTTTGATCTTTGTTGGTTTAAAGTCTGTTTTATCAGACACTAGGATTGGAACCCCTGCTATTTTTGCTTTCCATTTGCTTGGTAAATCTTCCTCCATCCCTTTATTTTGAGACTATATGTGTCTTTGCACGTGAAATGGGTCTTCTGAATACAGCACACCGATGGATTTTGACTCTTGATTGAATTTGCCAGACTGTGTCTTTTAACTGGGGGATTTAGCCTGTTTACATTTAAGGCCACTGTTATGTGTGAATTTAATCCTGTCATTATGATGCTAGCTGGTTGTTTTGCCCATTAGTTGATGCAGTTTCTTCATAGCATCGATGGTCTTTACAATTTGGTATGTTTTTGCAGTGGCTGGTACTAGTTGTTCCTTTCCATGTCTAGCGCTTCCTTCAGGAGCTCTTGTAACGCAGGCCTGGTGGTGATAGAATCTCTCAGCATTTGCTTGTCTGTAAAGAATTTTATTTCTCCTTCACTTATGAAGCTTAGTTTAGCTAGATATGAAATTCTGGGTTGAAAATTCTTTTAAGAATGTTGAATATTGGCCCCCACTCTCTTCTGGCTTGTAGGGTTTCTGCAGAGAGATCTGCTGTTATTCTGATGGGCTTCCCACTTTGTGGGTAACCCGACCTTTCTCTCTGGCTTCCCCTTAACATTTTTCCTTCATTTCAACCTTGGCGAATCTGACTATTCTGTGTCTTGGAGTTGCTCTTCTTGTGGAGTATCTTTGTGGTGTTCTCTGTATTTCCTGAATTTGTTGGCCTGTCTTGCTAGGTTGGGGAAGTTCTCCTGGATAATATCCTGAAGAGTGTTTTCCAACTTGGTTCTATTCTCCCCTTCACTTTCAGTTACACCAATTAAACGTAGATTTGGTCTTTTCATAGTCCTGTATTTCTTGGAGGCTTTGTTCGTTTCTTTTTCACTCTTTTTTCTCTCATCTTCTTTTCTTGCTTTATTCCTTTGAGTTGATCTTAAATCTCTGATATTCTTTCTTCCGCTTGATCAGTTCAGCTATTGATAATTGTGTATGCTTCACGAAGTTCTTGTGCTGTGTTTTTCAGCTCCATCAGGTCATTTATATTCTTCTCTAAACTGGTTATTCTAGTTAACAATTCGTCTTTTTTCAAGGTTCTTAGCTTCCTTGCATTGCTCCTTTAGCTCAGAGGAGTTTGTTATTATCCACCTTCTGAAGCCTACTTCTGTCAATTCGTGAAACTCATTCTCCATCCTGTTTTGTTCCCTTGCTGACGAGGAGTTGTGATCCTTTGTAGGAGAAGAGGCGTTCTGGTTTTTCGAATTTTCAGGCTTTTTTGCACTGGTTTCTCCCCATCTTCATGGATTTATCTACCTTTGGTCTTTGATGTTGGTGGCCTTCAGATGAGGTTTCTTTGTGGACATCCTTTTTGTTGATGTTGATGCCCTTCCTTTGTTAGTTTTCCTTCTACCAGTCAGGCCCCTCTGCTGCAGGTCTGCTGGAGTTTGCTGGAGGTCCACTCCAGACCCTGTTTGCTTGGGTATCACCAGTGGAGGCTGCAGAACAGCAAAGATCGCTGCCTGGAGGCTTTGTCCCAATGGGGCACCCGCCAGATGCCAGGTGAAGCTCTCCTGTATGAGGTGTCTCTTTGTCAGGAGGCACAGGGATCAGGGACCCACTTCAGGAGGCAGTCCGTCCCTTAGCAGAACTCTAGTGCTGTGTTGGGAGAACCACTGCTCTCTTCAGAGCCGGCAGGCAGGAACATTTAAGTCTGCTGAAGCTGTGCCCACAGCCACCCCTTCCCCCAGTTGCTCTGTCCCAGGGAGATGGGGTTTTATCTATAAGCCCCTGACTGGGGCTGCTGCCTTTCTTTCAGAGATGCTTTGCCCAGAGAGGAGGAATCTAGTGAGGCAGTCTGGCTACAGTGGTTTTGGGGAGCTGCAGTGTGCTCTACCCACTTGGAACTTCCCGGTGGCTCTGTTTACACTGGGAGGGCAAAACCGCCTACTCAAGCCTCAGTAATGGCGGATGCTCCTCCCCCCTTCCCCCACCAA
Organism: Homo sapiens; assembly: GCF_000001405.40. Lineage (NCBI taxonomy): Eukaryota > Metazoa > Chordata > Mammalia > Primates > Hominidae > Homo > Homo sapiens. The sequence goes on along the minus strand of NC_000004.12, from coordinate 148,082,874 downwards.
GCTCGAGCATCCCGGGTCGACTTCAGACTGCTGTGCTGGCAGCAAGAATTTCAAGCCAGTGGATCTTAGCTTGCTAGGCTCCGTGGTGGTGGGATCCGCTGAGCTAAACAGCTTGGCTCCTTGGCTTCGGCCCCCTTTCTAGGGAAGTGAACGGTTCTGTCTCGCTGGTGTTCCAGATGCCACTGGGGTATGAAAAAAAAAAAAAAAAACTGCAGCTAGCTCAGTGTCTGCCCTAACCAGTGCCCAGTTTTGTGCTTGAAACCCAGGGCCCTGGTGGCATAGGCACCCAAGGGAATCTCCTGGTCTATGGGTTGTGAAGACCCTGGGAAAAGTGTAGTATCTGGGCCAGAATGCACTGTTACAGCACAGTCCCCCTCATGGCTTCCCTTGGCTAGGGGAGGGAGTTCCCCAACCCCTTGCACTTCCCGGGTGAGGCGACGCCCCACCCTGCTTCAGCTCACCCTCTGTGGGCTACACCCACCGTCTAACCAGTCCAAATGAGATAAGCCGGGTACCTCAGTTGGAAATGCAGCAATCACCCACCTTGTGCATTGATCTCACTGGGAACTGCAGACCAGAGCTGTTCCTATTTGGCCGTATTGCCAGCCTCCAATTTTTTTTTAATAAAGTAGGAGTAGGTCAGGTCTGGAGGGGCTGAGAAAAGTTCTTGGTTCACAGAGTAGGGAAAATGAGCTAGGGGGACACCCCAGAACTTGTCCTTGATGTATTTCACTGTCTCAAAATCAGCCTGAAATAGGAAGTAGCTGAAGAGTCTCAGGTCTGCCCCTACAGGGCAGGCACCCACAAAGAAGGAAAGAGGGCCTGGGGCTGCAGGTGGAAGTGCCAGCTGGCCCCTTGGCGGCAGCTCCATTGGCGGGCCCAGTTAGGGGAACACCACAGCTGCCTGTGCAGTGCTCTGTCCTGCTCCTCACCCTCCTGGGCATCTGTGGTGCTTAGACCCTGGGCCAGCACTTGCCCCTTCCCACCAGCCCACCTTACACCCTGGGAAGGCCCCTCACCAATACAAAGATACACGTGTAGGCACACATTTAGAAATTAGAATTTGATGAGTGCAGTTCAGTGACCCAGTCACTGTTAACTCTGTCACTGTCCCTGTTTCAGCTCATACATTCAGTGCTCAAAATTCAGCTCTCAGCTGAATTTGTTTGTTTTCCATGAAAGGCAGATGACATGGGTGATGTGAGCACCCTTCTTCCTCTCCCAGGACAGATGACTCTGCTCAATTAATGAAGACATGGTCTCCTGGGAGGCTTTCTAAATGTTGTCATTTGAGTTCCCACCAAAGTCAGAAGGCAGAGGGATCCAGGGTCGGAAAGGAGGCCCCCGTGTCATGCCCCCTGTGTCTGTGTTACAGCTGGTGAGCGACCTGCTGGAATTCTGCTTCTACACCTTCCGAGAGTCCCATGCGCTGAAGGTAGAGTTCCCCGCAATGCTGGTGGAGATCATCAGCGACCAGCTGCCCAAGGTGGAGTCGGGGAACGCCAAGCCGCTCTACTTCCACCGGAAGTGACTGCCCGCTGCCCAGAAGAACTTTGCCTTAAGTTTCCCTGTGTTGTTCCACACCCAGAAGGACCCAAGAAAACCTGTTTTTAACATGTGATGGTTGATTCACACTTGTTCAACAGTTTCTCAAGTTTAAAGTCATGTCAGAGGTTTGGAGCCGGGAAAGCTGTTTTTCCGTGGATTTGGCGAGACCAGAGCAGTCTGAAGGATTCCCCACCTCCAATCCCCCAGCGCTTAGAAACATGTTCCTGTTCCTCGGGATGAAAAGCCATATCTAGTCAATAACTCTGATTTTGATATTTTCACAGATGGAAGAAGTTTTAACTATGCCGTGTAGTTTCTGGTATCGTTCGCTTGTTTTAAAAGGGTTCAAGGACTAACGAACGTTTTAAAGCTTACCCTTGGTTTGCACATAAAACGTATAGTCAATATGGGGCATTAATATTCTTTTGTTATTAAAAAAACACAAAAAAATAATAAAAAAATATATACAGATTCCTGTTGTGTAATAACAGAACTCGTGGCGTGGGGCAGCAGCTGCCTCTGAGCCCTCGCTCGTCCACGGTCTTCTGCATCACTGGTATACACACTCGTTAGCGTCCATTTCTTATTTAATTAGAATGGATAAGATGATGTTAAATGCCTTGGTTTGATTTCTAGTATCTATTGTGTTGGCTTTACAAATAATTTTTTGCAGTCTTTTGCTGTGCTGTACATTACTGTATGTATAAATTATGAAGGACCTGAAATAAGGTATAAGGATCTTTTGTAAATGAGACACATACAAAAAAAATCTTTAATGGTTAATAGGATGAATGGGAAAGTATTTTTGAAAGAATTCTATTTTGCTGGAGACTATTTAAGTACTATCTTTGTCTAAACAAGGTAATTTTTTTTTGTAAAGTGCAATGTCCTGCATGCATAATGAACCGTTTACAGTGTATTTAAGAAAGGGAAAGCTGTGCCTTTTTTAGCTTCATATCTAATTTACCATTATTTTACAGTCTCTGTTGTAAATAACCACACTGAAACCTCTTCGGTTGTCTTGAAACCTTTCTACTTTTTCTGTACTTTTTGTTTTGTTCTTGGTCTCCCGCTTGGGGCATTTGTGGGACTCCAGCACGTTTTCTGGCTTCTGCTTCATCCTGCTCCATCGGGGAATGACACACTGCGGTGTCTGCAGCTCCTGGAAGGTGTCATTTGACAACACATGTGGGAGAGGAGGTCCTTGGAGTGCTGCAGCTTTGGGAAAGCTGCCTCGTTTCCCTTTTCCTCTAGAAGCAGAACCAGCTCTACGAGAGTGAGACTGGGAACTTGATGGCTCAGAGAGCATCTTTTCCTCCCATTTTAGAAAATCAGATTTTCTCCTGTGGGAAAAAAAAATTCCATGCACTCTCTCTCTGTTAAAGATCAGCTATTCCCTTCTGATCTTGGAAAGAGGTTCTGCACTCCTGGAACCGGTCACAGGAACGCACAGATCATGGCAGGATGCGCTGGGACGGCCCATCTTGGCAAGGTTCAGTCTGAATGGCATGGAGACCGGGAGATAGAGGGGTTTTAGATTTTTAAAAGGTAGGTTTTAAAAATAAGTTTTATACATAAACAGTTTTGGAGAAAAATTACAGATCATATAAGCAAGACAGTGGCACTAAAATGTTTAATTCATTAATCTGTTTGTTTGGCACTGATGCAATGTATGGCTTTTCTCTTGCCCCAAATCACAAACATATGTATCTTTGGGGAAACTAACAATATGATTGCACTAAATAAACTACTTTGAATAGAGGCCAAATTAATCTTTTAAAAATGATGATAATCATCAGGTTTACTCAGTGAAATCATATTAATTATTTTCCAAAATCTAAAAGCTGTAGCTGGAGAAGCCCATGGCCACGAGGAAGCAGCAATTAATTAGATCAACACTTTTCTCCAGGGTTCACCATGCAGGCAACATTACCTTGTCTTTCAAAAGACACCTGCCTTATGCAAGGGGAAACCTGTGAAAGCTGCACTCAGAGGGAGGAGTTTTTCTTACATAATTTGCAATTTCAGGAATTTAATTTATAGGCAGATCTTTAAATACAGTCAACTTACGGTGCACAGTAATATGAAAGCCACACTTTGAAGGTAATAAATACACAGCATGCAGACTGGGAGTTGCTAGCAAACAAATGGCTTACTTACAAAAGCAGCTTTTAGTTCAGACTTAGTTTTTATAAAATGGGAATTCTGACTTACTTAACCAGGTTTGGGATGGAGATGGTCTGCATCAGCTTTTTGTATTAACAAAGTTACTGGCTCTTTGTGTGTCTCCAGGTAACTTTGCTTGATTAAACAGCAAAGCCATATTCTAAATTCACTGTTGAATGCCTGTCCCAGTCCAAATTGTCTGTCTGCTCTTATTTTTGTACCATATTGCTCTTAAAAATCTTGGTTTGGTACAGTTCATAATTCACCAAAAGTTCATATAATTTAAAGAAACACTAAATTAGTTTAAAATGAAGCAATTTATATCTTTATGCAAAAACATATGTCTGTCTTTGCAAAGGACTGTAAGCAGATTACAATAAATCCTTTACTTTAATCACCTGTTGTTTTGGAGCAAATTCATTTGAATGTCTGTAGGTACACCTGGATTTTGTGCCCTCCCAAATCTTGATTGTATGCACTCTGCCTACATCCAAGATGGAGAACGTGGTTTTCCATGTTAGAAAGAGTCCTATGTTAGCCACATGTTAATTCTACTCTTTGGGGGACTGATCAGAGACCTTGTTTTTAATACTTTTGATTGATATTTAGTTCATTAAAATACTCTGTAACCATTGGATAACTATTGCCATGTAGTTGCTAAACCCTATATATACATTGCCTCATTTATCTTCACAACCACTTGAAAACTTATTCTGCAGAATTTGAGACTAATGTGAGTGGAGCCCCCGTCTGACTCCAAAGTTGTTCTTCTACATGGTCTCACCCTATCATCCCCCAGCACCCTTGCGCCATCAAGAAGCTCAGCTCCCCATTGGCCATGATGCTTCTGACATTTCTGCAGGCTTGTCCCCTGGATTCCACTCATTAATATGGGCCACAAAGGAGCAGTAAGCAATCACCAGCTGGTTTTTAAATAGAAAACATTTCCCACAAGATAAAGTACAGTACATTTTTAGTGTGTTGCTCAACTGGTGATTGTTCAAATTATTTGCTTTCAGCAAGAGAAGACTATTTGATTGATAGTAAAATTCAGCTTTGTGAAACACAACAGATCCATTTCTGGAACACAGCATACCCACTGAACACAGCACAGGAAGAAAATTGGGAGCACAAACTTTTGGTGTGTGAAATACTGTAAGTGCAATTTTAGATTTAAAAATTTCAGAAATTTGACCTATTAGGGAACAGGGCTTTTCACAGAGAGCCCCTACCTTGAAACAAAAGCCATCTTGGGCTGGGAACCCACCCAAAGCTGGCAGGAGGCCCCTACAATGTGCACCCTTGGCTAAAGGGGGTGCCCTTTTTGAATTGAACAGACTCATTCTTGGGTCAAGTGTGACTATTTCTCACAATCTCTAGAAGTGCTCTCAGGCCCAAAGAATTCAGCCCACAGTTAGGAATCATTAGCTAAGAACTGTGTCTCTGCCACTGAGACAGCCAGCCACTATATGCCAGAGCAGTTAAAAAAAGAAAAAATTGTGCCCGGTGATGCCTATGTATTTAGAGGCTTGTTTGCTTCTGTATGCTGAATTCCCTCCAAGCAAATAGAAAACATTGTCCCTTTATGTACAAATCAGCTCTAACATTTTTTATAAACTCTGCAAATGTACACAGATTAAAATGACTTGATTACAAGTATCTCTGGCACTTTAATTTCAAGTCAGCCAGTTGCTACTGTAGCAATTTTCTTGGAAATGAAACAGTAGCTTCCAAAACAACACTGGAATTGGGTAAGGCACAATCTCAACATTGATCATCGACCAAGACTGTCCAAAGCAAAGTGAACGATGGGGCAAAGTGGCAGGCAGTTAGCTGCTGCTGTATAACAAAACATCCCAAAACTTAGCGGTTTACATCAATCACCATTTAGTATTTCTCATGTTTCTATGAGTCGGCTAAGGGAAGCAGGCTAGGGTGTGCTGACCTGAGCCAGGCTCGGCTGAGCTGGGATTGTTTGTATATCCGTGGTTAGCCTGCAGCTGTCTGGTCTGCAGTGGCACTGCTCCATGTGGCCTCTCATCCTCCAGCAAGCTAGTCTGGGTTTATTTTCATGGCAAAGCCAGGGCTTTAAAAAAGAGCCTGGAAAGGCATATAACACTTTCCATGCCTCTGACTGAATCAAGTTTGCTCCAAGCCCATTGGCCAAAGCAAGTTGTGAGGTCAAGCCCTGAGTCAGCCTGAAAGGACTCCACAAAAGGGCATGGGTTTGGGGAGGGGTGAAAGATCAGGATCTTTAAATGTCTACCACACTAGTAGTTACTGAGATATTTTGCTGCAGCATGTATGTTGCCAAGACAGTGGTTTCCAAGTTTTCCCTAGTCTGAAAAAACCCCTTTATATGGATCTCCATGCCCTGAGCCAGCCTGACTGAGGGTGGATGGCAGCACCTGTGAAAACTGGCCTGGCTAGGTCTGATCCTGCTGCTCCTGGCATGGGAGCTGCTCCACCTTGCAGTGTTTCCTTAGTTGCTAAACTCCACAAGGAAGAAGGAATCCAGACACCAAGGCATGGCCCTGAGCTGCCATGCATTCACTGCCCAAATTTAAAGTGCAGGTCTCTTGGGCCAAAAATAGGAGTTCTTCCAATCAAGTTGATCTTCAGATAGAAAGTGTTTTCCAAGGTATTCTTCTAACCGATAGATTGAGATACTTTTAGCTAGACATTTAAGTGTCAGAATGAGCTGGGCTGCCCAAATGAGGTAGCAATAAATTACTGCTCAGGCCAGTCAAGGAGGAAGAGTGCTGACAAGCAACTGAGAAGACATTTGCAGAACTAGGAGTGGGAGAGCTGTTTGAGGACACACTCCTGGAACAGCATCCTCAGAGTGGACAGAGGAAAGCTACGTGGCTCAAGAAGATTCAAGAAGTCATGGAAAACATCTGGCCAGCGAAGGAGTAACCAGAACTGGCTTTGAGAGACTGGAAGGGAGAACTCCTAAGAAGCTGAGAAGATGCCCAGTCTGGAGGTGAATGGGAACAAAGGCAAGTCCAAGAGAGCAGGAGCCTGGAGTGGCGTTGGGAAGGAGGGGAGAGGCTGAGCAATGTCAGCAAAGGACAAGAGCATGGAATGGCTTTTGGAGAAGAGATGCTGGCAGGAAGCAGGCAGTGATTTACAGATGAGAAGGGGGACAGAAACCGACCCCCAACCACCACAGTGTCCTGCTGCCTTGCCTTCTCCAGTCCTCTCCATTTACTAAACCCCACTTCCTACCATGTGCCCATCCAGCACAGGACATTCACTCTCATTTAACTGTCACATCCCACAGGTTGCTTCTCCTCTTTCCATTTCACTGGCACAAACAGAACCATAAAAAGGTCAAGTAACTTACCAGAGATCACCAAGATATAAAATAGCAAAAATAGGATTTCAAAACAGCTTGTTTGTAATGCAACACGCACTTTTCACCACTGTATTACGTTCATAGAGCTACTGTAACAAAGGACCACAAATTGGGCACCTTAAACAGAAATGCATTTTCTCCCAGTTCTGGAGGCTGGAAGTCCAAGATGGAGGTGTCAGCAGGGTTGGTTCCTTCAGTGAGGGCTGAGAGAGAAGGGTCTATTCCAGGCCTCTCCCCTTGGCTTGTAGATGGCTGTCTTCTCCCTGTTTCTCTTCATGTCATCTTTCTTCTATGTGAGTCTGTCTCAGTGTCCAAATTTCTCCTTGTTTTAAGGACATCAGTCATATCGGATTAAGGCCAACCCTACTGTGCTCAGCTTAACTAGCAACATCTGCAAAGATTCTAGTTCCTAATGACATCACATTCTGAGGGACTAGGGGTTAAGGACTTCAACATGTGAATTTGGGGAGTGGGAAACAATTCAACTCATAACAGCATGGCCCTGAGGACAAGATGGCACAGCAGAAAGAACTTTCTGTGACTAGCTTATCGAACCTGAGCAAGCAAGTGCTCGTCTCCATTTTCTCATCCATAAAATGGGCTAATATCTCCTGGCTTGTGCAGTCATTGTAAGGAAAGAATGAGTTAGACATCCATCTCTGGCATGGACACCCATTGCTTTTCCCTTCCATACCCCCAACTGCATGTGTGGCTGCTACTACAAAGGAAGGAAGTTGGGGCTGCAGCCCCTGCAAGTCCTTTGGCTCTGTTTTCACCTGGCATCTCCTTTACAGGTGCAGGGAACACCAGGGAAGGCCCTGTGGGTGGCACCATCAGATGCAAGCCCTGCAGCCCCAGTGTCAACAAGAAACACATAGCCCAAGTGCTCTTTTTTGCCCCAAACCACCATACTGCCTCTGAATGAACACAGGCTATGGACCTGGTCTAGGCAGGCGCAGTTGGTGCTGCAGTCGCTGAGCAAGGTAGGGCTGAGGGAAGTCCAGGCAGCCTCAGCAGAGCCTTGGGGAGCAGCCGCACCCATCCAACTAAAACAGCAAAACATACTCCGCTCCTCTTCTAGGGGAAGGAAGATGATCCACCAAAGTAAGAAAACACCTCCTGATCCCATTCCTCAGTACATCCTGGGCCATGTCCAGGGGTAAGCTCCCTGCCCAGAGGCCTTGGCAGTCCTGGCCACACTGCTGTGCACGTGTCACATTCTCAGACAGAAACACCCCTGCTCCCCTCTGGCACTACCCCACTCTTCCACAGAGCCACAGGAGGGGTCTTCAGCTCTTAAGGCTACAGGAGCCTCCACAGGGCACAGCTGTAGAACTTCACTACTTGTCACCCCATCATCCTAAGGAACACAGAAGACCCTGATGACAAAGATGCAAGATACTGCTATTCTTATTCGTAGAACTAAGAAAAACGGGAACAGCAGTTCCTGTTAGCCAAGCCCTCCCCACATACTGGGTGCGCTGCTTCTATTAGGTCATTTCAACCCCAAACCTCTCAGTATCATTTTATTTTTAGGAGGCTTTAACAGAATCATGGGGGTAACCGATCTTGCCCAAGGTCACATAGATAGCCAGACTTGGTGGTGATTTCTTTAAGTGGTGGTAAAAGCACTTTGAGGGGAACGGCTGGTTGGGTGCATCTCACTGTTAACAATAGGAATCTCCAGCAAGCAAACAAATCAATCAAGGCCTGATGCAGGGAGATTTTTAATGGCCCCTGGGATACACCAATTAGGAATCTGCCAGGAAGCCACTCCCAACACTAACCTGAGCCTGCTCTAGCTGCCCACAGGTTTGCCTTTTCCTGCAGAGGGGCTCTCACAGAAGTGGAACATGCCAGAAACCTCTTCTCACGAGTCAAGTTTCCTTTCTACATCCCAAGCAACAAGTCAGGGCAGCAATGACAACTCAGAAAACAGGCTACTGGAGGTTATGCTGCCCCAGCCCTAGGGCCAAGCCAGCCCCGGCCCACACCTCAGACCCGCTTGTGGTAGGGTGGCCCTGGGCTCCTCTGTGGTCTCAATGCTCTTCACGGGGCCCGTGATTATTTTAAATTATGTTGCATCGAAATTGTCCTTATTTTTATTTACAATACGGACACTTTTCAAGAATCACATTTCCCCATACACATACAACTCCCAAACTCCACACCCTCACGTGATCCACATGAGGTGACTTCCAAGCTGTTAACTGGCAAGCTCTTGAGTCAGTTCATCTGGGGATGAGGCAACAGACACATCCGTCCTTTGATAAATGTTTGAGAGAAGTCTGACAGGTCCAGGAACCTCCCATGGGGATGCATGGAAAGTCATGCCTGCCCCAGAGCAGCCTCTGGGGCATGGGGCTGGCTTCAGAATCCTGAGGCCACTAAAACTAAGCCCCACATTCCAAGGCAAGTCCCCTCTTCCCCAAGAGGTTGTTGCACCTGTGGCTTGTAGGTGGAGGAGAATGAGGAAACATCAGAGCAAGGCCTGCCCAGGCTGGGGGTGGCCATCATCACGGGGCAGGGCAGGGTCAAGGGTGAAGGCTCCTCCAGGAAGGTCTGCTCTGCCTCCCTCTCCTCCCTCCACGTCGAAATTAATCCAGATGGAGAGATTAGCAGGGAGGCCTGGAAGGCAGAGGCATGCTGGGTGGTGTAGGAGAGGGGTGTACAATGGTGCTGGTAGGACGGCTGGTCCCAGGGCACTGAGATGGCTCACACAAACCACCCAGGGCCAAAGCCCCAGCCCTGCTCCAGGTCCTGCAGGCACCAGGGTAGAGAGGCCTGTGCAGCCACTGGAGGAGGTGTGAATGCCCTTCCAGGATTGCACACATCAGAGGCTGCTGCTGCCCCCAGGAACACGCCCCACCCCGAATACTCCAGGCTCCCCGCTAACAGATTCTACCTGTGAGCAGGCCAACAGCAGAGAGAGACGAGTCCCCATCGTAGGCTGCCAATTCATAAATCAAGACGGGGCAATGACTTCCACGACCGCTTCCCCACATTAGGACAGACAAATCAAATAGTAAATTACAGTTTATTTCATTTACAGAGACCTTGAGGCAAAAAGGTGGTGTTTGGAAAACAGCACACGGGTGAGGAGCACCGAGAAGCCTGTTACAAATACGCCAGTGCACGCTGCCAGTGCAGTGAGTGTGGGGTCCTGCAGGTGGCCGTCTAGGAAGGGCAGGCTTGAGACGCGCGTCTCTGCTTCCCTCTGACTTGAGACCATCTCCCTTGCACCAACAGCAGCTTCTCCAAGCTAGGCTGCCACAGCCAAGCACACACTCTGCAAACCTATCACTGCGAGTAGTACAGTTCCCTTTAAAATCGCAGCAGCAGGTGCTCAGGGAGGAGAGGGAGCCAGGGTGGCTCTGGTGGCGTGACTGCCAGTGGAGGCGACACAGGTGGCAGAAGGCTGCCCTCCCTCTCATTCTATATGCTGGATAATTAAAAATCACAAGTCCCAATACTTGACAAATGAAAAGTCCATTTTGCGAATCCTGACATTCCCCTCCTGATCCACAATCACAGTTCTGTGTGGTGCGTCCCATCCCTGCCCACCACCCCCCACCCCCAGGGCTGACTGTGATGATGGTAACTCCCAAGTGTGGAGGTACCTGTGGGTGCAGCCCAGAGCCTCGGAGGAGGAAGACAGCTCTCTGCCCCCAGGCAGGTCCCTGGGTGCCAGGGTCAGCAGGGGCTCTGAGGCCAGGAGCTACAGCAGCTTGACGTAGTTCTGTGGAATCAGCCCCCTCTTGCCGTTCAGAGTCCCTTCTAGCCAGCCAGGTTCCCTGGAGGTTTGTACTGAAAAGGAAGAGAAAAATCACTTTTACAAAATGCCCCCAAGTACTTGCCTCCTGGGTGTTCACTTAAAAGCTCAAGCAGGGAGTGGCCAGTAGAGAACAGGGGCCACTTCTGGGATGTTGGGTCACAAAGTCTGCACCAGGGTCATTGACAGGCTCTGCCTCCCTGCACTGGCCACCACAATCCTCATCTACACAATCCCAAAGCAGCCTCCTAACTAGTGTCCTAGTTTCCAGAGTCCGGCCCCTTCCAATCCACTGTGCACGAACATGCACAGTGAACTCTCTAGAACACAGAGCTGATCACATCACTCCCCTGCTTAAAGTCAAACTCAAGCTTTTTGTGTTTTTTTTTGTTTGTTTGTTTGTTTTCTTCCTGAGAGGGAGTCTCGCTCTGTCGCCCAGGCTGGAGTGCGGTGGCGCGATCTCGGCTCACTGCAATCTCTGCCTCCCGGATTCAAGCAATTCTCCTGCCTCAGCCTCCTGAGTAGCTGGGATTACAGGCACGCACCACCATGCCTGGCTAATTTTTGTATTTTTAGTAGAGATGGGGTTTCACCACATTGGCCAGCCTGCTCTTAAACTCCTGACCTCAGGTGATCCACTCGCCTTGGCCCCCCAGAGTGCTGGGATTACAGGCGTGAGCCACCACTCCCAGCCTCAAACTCAAGCTCCTTACTGGTCTGTAACACAGGCCCCTGGGCACCTGGCTCCAGCCGCCCCTCCAGGAGCTCTTCACACTCCACTGGCACATCATGCATGTCAACTGCAGTGAATCATCCAGAGAAATCCCAACTGCAACTCCAGGCCTTTGCAAGTGCAGTGGCTTCTGACTGGAATGCCTTTCCCCCACCTCTTCACCAGGTAGTTCCTCCTGTTTAGAGACCTGATTGGATGCCTCCTCCTCTCAGAGTCTCGTCTGACTCCCACACTGTATGGGAAACTCCTGAAGGCAGCCTGAGCCTTATACATCTGGGCATGGTGCCTGGCACAATGGACTGTTCATAAATATTCACGTGATACTCAACGAGAAAATTGCAGCCTGGACAGCAAAGGGCACAGGTCCAAGCACTCCTCACCAGTGTTCGGAAATGCAATACAGAAGCATTTCATAACCCCCAGCTGTGAGCAGGCCCCAGCTCAAACCCCCAACCATGGTCAGGTGCAGGCGTGGCAGCCGTGGCATAAAGGAAAGGGGAGGCATGAGCTACTCCAGCGGACCAACTCGAAAGGTGGCTTCTGATCACAACCCAGGAGAATAATTTCATATCAAAAACCAAGTACAGGCATACACATCCGTAACACACACAAGTTTCATGAAGCAATACTCTTACCCTCACTGCGCGCATGCAATGCCTTCCTTTCTGTATTCTACTCTTTTTTTCCCCATAGATTTGTGTAGAAAAGTATTATTCTTTGAATGCTAATTGCAACTCAGCGAATTGAGTTCATGGTCCTCTAAGGTATAGCTGCCCACAGTTTGGAAGACAGGGACAATCCAATTCTAATTGTCCTTTGCAACAAGGTAACTGTTTGTTCTTCCCTCCCCTGGATGAATAGGAACACATTCCGGCTGTCTGCAGACTAACCGCCTGCACTTTCCTTACATTCAGTAAGCTTCTGGCTTCAACGCCTCCCTGGAGCTGTTCCCTTGGGCCTGAATGCTATTCCCTGCCTTTATGCCTGGACAGCACCTACTCATGCTTCAAAGAGCAGCTTCAGCATCCCCCCACTTCCAGGACTCCTCTCCTGGCTCCAGACCAGGTCGGGGCTCCCAGTTATGCACCCTACATGTTCTGTGTGCGTGTGTGCAGGCATACGTGTATATATAGGAGAGACACACTGAGACATTCTCTTCTAGTCCAGACTATGAGAGCATGTAACACATATAACATGAGACCCAGCACCTAGCACCGTGTCAGACACATGATTATCTGTGTAATGACTGAGTAAGCAAATTCAGAGATGTGCTCTCAAAGCGATCTGGCAGCAAGTTACTTCCTTCATGCCTTCACTGACCTTGACTCTGACATTGTTCTTCATACCAGGATTTTTAGAGACTTCTCACTTCATCCAAACACCCCAGCTGGCAGTGCTACTAGTGTGCAGCCACCATCAGGGAAAAGCTTTGGATTCTATGCAAAACAGGCCCTCAGGGTTGTAACAATGTGGGGGCCTGAGTGGCAAGGGGCCCAGGGCTGAAGTCAGAGCCCTAGAGGAGACTCCTGGCTACCTAGATGCATCTGGGAAATTAACCCCTGGGCCTTGCTCGGCTGTTACCTGCAATACGGGGTTACTAGCACTTAGCTTGCAGGACCTGCTATGAGGAGGCAGTAAGAGAGTCTCAAATATAGTCTCACCTGCACATGCTCACTATTTCTCCTCCTACCCTATACACACCACACACTTGCGCAAGCACAGACTCGGTATTAATAAAAGACAGGATGAACAGAGGAGGAAAAAGGTGATTTTCTACAACGCTGGAGGTGAAAGGAGGCTTGATTGGGGAAACCAAGGCCAGGCCGGGAATCCTGCATCTCCCCAACCAACAAACCAGAGAGACGCCTCCACAACCCCATTCACCACCTCCCCAGCCCTCCCCTCCCTGGAAGGCAGAAGCCAGTAGGGAGAGAGATGTCACTGCTTTACAGAGGCGACCAAGGGGGATCCTGTAACATCCAAGAGCCTTGGAAGTGGACCCAGCTGAGCAGTGGGCGAGGTGGGCTACAAGGGTCTGGAGACCAACAGCAAGGCATCCCCAAGCACAGGAAAAGTGGCTCCGCAGTTGCAGATAAGGCTGGCAGGCTCTCCCTCCCTCTCTGAAGATCTGACCTCTCTCAGTAGCATCGAACCCCAAAATACCCATCTGGGGCTCCTCTCCTAGTTTATCACACCACTCCTCCCCCAAGCAGTGTCTACGCGGACAACAGGGCTCTGCTTTTCCATTCTTATGGGTGGAGAACATGGCAGTCTCAGTGTCTGTCATTTCCCACGCACCCTCCCTATGCCTGCAGGTCTCAGTCCAGGAACCTCACCCTGCTTCAGCCACGGTGTCCTCACAGCCTTTAGACCACAACAGGGAACAAGACGGGTGTGAGGCAGGGACCCCAAGTAGCACCAAAGAGAGGCAGGTCCCTTCCACCAACTCAGTTTTCAGCATAATGTAGACAGTGTATGTGACAAGTACTGAAATCACTGAATTGTCATCATCACACGGTGAGTGCCAGGAACCCACACTCAACTTCAGAACTGCCACAGGACCCACAGGGAGGCTGCGTCCTGGGCTCTGTCCTATCTCCCACCCCGAGGCAACCAGTAGCTTGAATGTTGTGTTTCTCATTATCTTACCATGGCTATGGGTAAAATTCAGTTTTGTCACACAAGCACATATCCCTAATAATATCCTATTTATTTTGCATATGTGTGAGCTTAACCAGAAGCACATAAGTCAGAAGCGCATAGTCATCTGGAACTTATTTTTTCACTCGATATTTTTTTCTCAGATTCCCCTGTGCTAGGAATCTATCTGGCAACCACATCGCTGGGCTGTGGGGTCTATATGTGATCAGCTTTCCAAGATAATGCCAAATTGTTTTCCAGGGATTATTCTGTGTCTATCTGAGACCTTTAAAGTTTAATCGCCAGAGGCTTTTAAGGATTAATTTGGGCCACACCTGCTCCCCCACATCTACATGTGGATGTTGACAAAGAGCCTGGGACAGCCAGGAAAGCAGTCCCGCTGCTGCTGCCGCTGCCACGTGGGGTCGCTCCTGGAAACCACCTGCCTCAGCACCCCTCCCAACCCTGCCCCTGAGGAGGCAACCACTGCCCATCTAACTGGAGCGCACCTGACTGGAAAGACACAGCAGGACTGGCTGGTGGTCACCAGCAAAACCTATTTCCAGGATTCCCCAGGCCCAGAGAAAAGGGAAAGGTCCCTCTGGCCATCACAGGAACGTCACTGCCCTGAGACCTTACAAACACAGCCCTCTCCCGAGGGTGGGGGGCGGGGGAGTTGGGAGGCATAGCCCCAGAGAAACAGCTAGGCATTAGTGAGTCTACTAGAGAAACACATCTTCCGCCTAGAACTGGAACTCATAACTTAAGTCCAGGCCCACCCAGTAAGAGCAAAGAACAAGGACAGTCATGGAGCTACACAATTGCTAAAGACCCCTGTGCCAACCACACTCTGGGTCAGGATATCTCACAGCTGCACACATCCCAAACGCATAACTACTGACGAGGCCGCCCAGGGGTCACTCTGACCTCCAGTTTGTTTTCTCCAAAGGCCACTGGGTGGCATAAACCAATTTCCTTTGTTGCCTGTATGAGGTACAAAAAGGAATTGCACTGCAAGAGCATCTATGGAGGCTGGAAGACTCCAAATGGATAAGTGAACACAGGAAAAATGTCTTGGGCATTCCAGGGACACTAAGTATTGCTGGTCTGCAGAAAGGGAGCATTCCCGGCAGTACTCCTGTGGGCTGAGCTGTCTAGAGTGGCCACTTGGAACACTGCCTGGCTCCACAGAAGCCGTGGTCAGATGACCTGCCAGTCTGTCTTCTCAGTGTCAGTTGTCAGACAGGAAGACCCCATAGCCATTTAAGGAAGGGCTTCACTAGATGTGTTCTGGGCAAGCACCTGCTTTTAACTAGCTAAGAGATCAACTATGCACAGAAGATGTAAGGTGCAAACACACACACAGATAAACCCTGCTTAAGGGCTTTAAACTTACTGTACCCTTTGAAGAAGTGTTCCTATTAAGCAGCAAGCCTAATGCTGTTGATTCTGAACACCTTCCACTATTATCTGCCCTGCTGCAAAAGAATCAGGGCGGCACCTACAAGACAAGTAGCTCACATTAAATGAGACGCTCACATCCCTGGGTAGGGAGAGAGTGTCAACACATCCACAAGGTATTTTCCAAGTAGCCAGCCTTAGGGGAGGGACAGAACGAGGAGCTCCTGAGACACCCGGGGTGCCCCAGCCAGCAAAGTCCTGACAGAGCTGGATACCAGCACCGCAGAGCACAGAACCAAGGGAGACACAAACTGGCTCAAAGCGTAGCCTCGTCTATGGCACACTACAATGTACCCAGTGTGGCATCGTGGTCAGCAGCCTCTCCCCCATACGTCTATAGCAACTCAGAAACCTCTTTTTCTAGTAGCCCCAATGCTATCTTAATACAACATCAATGTTGTGGCCATCCCTGCCGCTTAGGATGAAGAATCAGCTGCACAGAGTCCTAAAGGAGCCTGTCCCAGGTCACACAGAAGATAAGAAAGCCATGGTGTGAGCCCAGGCAAAATACCTGCAGAGTTCAGAATCCACGTTGCCTGCAGTCAGTGGCTCTCCTCCTCCAAAACACACGGAGACACTGGTATTTGTGTGCACATGTGTGTACATATGTACAAATGTGTGACTATGTATGTGTACGTGTGTACACGCACACTTTCTTTTTAGGAAGACTCCAAATCATCTCGGGACTTTAGACCTGGAGAACGTAAGTCTCCTGGGTCAGACGCCTACCAGGCTGTCCTCTTTTATCCAAACTGGCAGATCTGCATTGGCTTTAGGCACTGACCCTCATTCACATGGCTGTGTGCCCAGAGCAGGTATCCTATACCCCGTGTGATTCTCATTGGTCTAAATCCTTGCAAATGATGGATGTAGGGTAAGCATGTGACTCAGTTCTGCATACTGGGATGTGAGGATGGGTAAACTAGGAAGAAATTCCTGGAAAAGTTTTCTCATTCTTAAAGGAACACAAGGATGAGACACCTCCTTCCGCCAGAGTGTGGCCATGATACATGGAACTGTGGTAGTCATCTCGCTCCCGCCAGGGAAACAAGACAGAGGCCCAGGTCCACCAGCAGAGAGCAGTTCCACAGAGAGATGGAAATACTTTGGTCTTTGATAACATCTTTGAGACTATGAATTAAAATTAGAGCTCCCTACTTCCACACTTACTATTGTGTAAACTAATCCCCTCAACCCTTTTTTTTTTTTTTTTTGAGATGGGGTCTCACTGTGTTATCCAGGCTGGCCTCGAACTCCTGGGCACAAGTGATCCTCCTGCCTCAGCCTCTGCAGTAGCTGGCACAACAGGTGTGCACCACTGCACCTGACTTTAATCCATCTTCATGATTGATTCAAACAGTTGTGTCAATTTTTGTTACCTGCAGCCTAAGGTATCCTAGTAGATACACCTTCTACCAAGGTAACTATCTCACAAACCATACTGCAGGAGGGAGTTCAGAGTCTTCTAAACAAATCCAATCACACAAAATAAAAATTCATCACATTTCTCAAATGAGTGCGTTTCAATACTACCATCGCACCCTCCCCTTCAGCCATATGGTGTGCCAACATGAGACAGGCCTGGGGCAGGGCAGCTACGTTCCACATTCTCTTGGCAAAACTGCATGTATGTTATGGTGATGGAGGAATGATCTTGCTTCTATTCCAAGAACAAAATTTCTCCACAAAGTCTAATTCTGTTCCATGTGGGGTTTTGTTGTTGTTGTTTGTTTTCTGACACTACCAGGAGTCTCTGTCTCTGAAGAGTACATATCACACGCATATAGAAATCTATTCTAAATGAGGCAACTTGCTTTCTAAAAAACAATCGTCAGCAAATGCTGCATTACTGACAGTACACCACTGTGCCTCGTGTTGATACATTCCACATATCCCAAACATTCTGGATAATCAACCATTCCATTCCAAGCAGCTAAGGTTCCTACTGCTTCCCTGGAACTCTTCTGAGGAGCTCCACCCACACACGACATCACGGTTTCCACAGCAACTAATGCATTTCATAATGAGCAGGACTGGGGAGGGAAGAAAGCAAGAGCAGGAGAAAAAAGACACTGAGCCATAAGAGAACTTTTTGAAATATTTAACCAGGCATAGCTCCTAAATGCTTGTGTATGAATATTAAATCCTCAAAAGCTACACCCTTGTTTCAATATGCAAAGTCAATACCCGAATCTGGAGACTCACACACTGTTCAAATCAGCAAAAATGTAAAGCACAAAAATGGTAAGAGAAATAGAAATCAAAAATTTTTAAGGACAGTAGTATCCTCTGTTGACTCAGAGTTGGTAAACCCGAAGCATTTAAAGGACTTGGTTAGCAACTCTGGGAGAACAAAGAAAATAAAGTGTGCAAATCAGAAACATTTCTTAAGTCCAAGTGACACTAGCTTCTTCCCGTCAGGAGAGAGATGACCTGAATGAAGACCCACAAGATGAGATGGGTCAGAGAGTAATCAAGAAGCAAGCATAGTGGCATTCCAGCCATCAACAACAGGCCCCTGGCATTGGGGTCTGGGAGCCTAACGCAGCCGCTTAATCCAGTCCAAAGCATCAAGGGGGAGACTCGCCCTCCCGACAACAGCACCATCGCTGACTGCTCACTCCATGCTGCAGACTTATTAATCCTGCGGACAGGATTAACAGACGAAGCTCCCACTAACACTTACCATCCTCAAAAATTGCTCCTATTTCAAAAGATAATTCCGAGCTGTGTTCTGCTTCACACGGATACACGGCTCGAGCCTTCCGACTGCGGATGCTGAAAAGAAAGAGAATACAAAAGACACCAATGAAAATGTGGAAAACAGAGAGAAACTTCACCCCCCAACCCCCCTTCCCCAAATCTCACTGATGTCACCAGTAGGGCAACTCCTCCCAAAAGAGAAATTAACGTGGAAGTGAACATCAGGCTAAGAACAGTACTTGATTTTCAAGTAAATGATGGGTTTCCAATTCAAGCCTTTCCTCAGGGAGCCTCTCTGAGGAGCTGTCACTGAACCACTTCACCTAATTCTCCTCCCTACCTGGTGGGATGCCCTTTCCTACCATTCAGCACTGTTAGAACCACAGGACATGTTTATCTCCAAGCACTTCAGTTGGTCTATTAGGAAAAGCACACGCACCTGGAGACACACGGCCAGCCGGCAGAAGGAGGCGGCACAGCCACACTCCACAGGTGAGAAACCACTGGCCCAGATCCACTCCGGGTGGCCACCGCTCTAGAAGGGGCTTGTTGCTCTTGCCTGAGTCTTCTGTATTTACACCCTGCCTCCGCCCCAAGAAAGGCACACCAGGCCCAGCTTCTCACCATTTGTTAAAGCAACCTCTGTGTCCGTTCATGGAAAGGACGGAAACCATGCTTTTAGCCAGTCTAATCAAATCCAAAGGAAACGCCTCACCTCACTGGTGTGGGGGAAGCCACTGACAGGAAGAAGCACCTGAGCCACTACAGGTGGAAGAGGCTGCTGGAGGGCAGCAGCTCTGTCCTCTATGGACTTGGCCACTGGATGCCATGGAAGCGAATGTTTCCAGTGCCAGCTTGCCTACTTTTAAAACGAAGAATGTGCTTTATACTCATGAGCAAGAAGTTCTTCCAAAATAAGAACTTCTTCATAAATGCACAACCAGCACCACAAAGACAGAGTAGGCTCAAGCAAGTCTCATGTAAGGCAAATTCTCCAAAGAACGTCCTTGCTACTGAACTGGGTGAGGCACGGCCCTGATACAAGGTGGTAAGTGCTGTCCATGAAGTCCAGGATGCTGGGGGTATCTGGGCAAGCTTTTGCCAGCAGAGAACACAAGAACCTGCTCAGGTTCATCAAGCCCCCTGTGTGTGCTGCCACCATATTCCACATTCCACTCCAAACCACGTACCTTTCAGGTGGCTTGTCCGCTACAGTAGCAGGAGGAGAAAAGGGGAAAGGGGACGACCCGGGTGAAAGAGGTGTCACAGCTGAGTTGGAGCTTGTTGTGGTTGGAGACTGTGGGTTAAGCCACTGGACCATAGACGATCGGGTCTGGCCTGGGCTAAGGGTAGGAGTTTGAAGGACAGGATTAATAGCAGAAAGGCCACAGAACACGAAATGCACAACATCCCAATCCCAGATGACTAGGTCACTAATTCCCCTATCATGCCTGACCAGTAGGGACAGAGTCCTCTCTGCATCCTGCCGGGGCTGCAGCCCAAACTACGGATACCAACAACCCAGAAACCAGCCACAGCCCCAAACTCAAGCTGTCTTACTGTCCTTCTCCAGGTTCTCCAATCTGTCCAACCTGCTAGCACCCTATGAGTTCACTAATTAGAAAACCAGAATCTAATTGATCAAAGGAGTAGTGGGACATTCAAGGTATTCACTTTTTCTAATTATAAGGAAAACCACAGGAATCTAGCATCAAGCACATGACCGGCAGCTGCAAAAGATCAGCTAAACATTTAAAGATCTTTCACCTGCTCCTACACGTGTGGCAATTCAGAAGAAAATGCCACTGGATTCAGGCTTCCTCTAGAGAGGGCCAAAGACTTCGAAACCAATGAACAGCAAAAACTTCTGGTGACCAGAGCATTTCTTAATATTTCCCTTTTTTTTTAAAGTTAATGTAAACAGGTCAGTGAACAGACACCTGGAATGGCCTCTAAGCACAGAGGGAGAGTTCAAATAATTGATGCGTGTTAATCTGAATTACTCTTCAGTGACCTCAGAACTGGAGGCGACTATGGTTTATGACATTCCCTTGAGAAGTGTCTCGTTTCATTCAGTGACATTTTGAACACACACGTGTTCCCTGTCTGCAGCACCCAGGTGCTCTTCACCTAAGATACCCCGTCTTCTGCTAAACCAGTACACCAGTTTCCACGAGCAGTTTCCCGAGGCTTCTGCACTCCTCAGCATGCTCTCAGATTGTTTCCCCTGCCGGAGAACTAGCACCGTGTTCTTCAGTACCAGCATGGTCTCCTGGCCAGCCCCTAGGTGCAATCCTCCAACACGGTGACACTCAGCAACCTAGGGCCAAGTTTACCCACTTGTCTCCCTATACACAATGCTCCTGCACCTGCTCACCTACCAGGGGCCGTCCCGCCCCAGCAGCCTACCCTGTCTGCCACAGCTCTGCTTCCTGGCGTTCCCACCTCCGCCTCAAGCTTTGCCTTTCCTCTCAAGCTCCCCGCCCTGCTCTAATCTTGCCCTTCCTTGGCTCAGCTCCAGTTCCACCTCCCCCAATACTCCCCCTGTGGCCTCTCTAACCCATACACCTTCCCTGAAGGCCTGCGACACCAATAAATGAAAGGGCACATTGATACTGGTTGTTCTCTGATGCCTTCAAGTATTTCTCTTGCCTCCACAGGAAGATCTTTAACTCTTTTTCCAGATCTCACGAAGCCAGGCAGATTGGCGGGGACATGGAGCCATCAGCCAACATCGGAGCAACCAAATTAGAAAGCTCTAAAACCAAAAGTGGATTTTACAAATCTGGTGCATAATTGACTTGGTAGGTATTTAATACACAGAAGCTTTCCTATGCTTTGGTCAGGAAAAAAAGGGGGTCATTTAAAAAAAAAAAACATTATTCTTCTAAGAGCTTATTTACAATTCCCTTATCCAGCCATTCATCTGGGAGTCATAAAATCTATTTTATCCCAAGGCAAGATTTGTTATAAATCTTAAAGTGATCTGTATCAACAGTCACAAAAGTCACTCCATTTTTTTTTAGCAGAAAAGGAACGCTGAATGTTGTCTTACTAATCAGGAACGGAAAGGACAGGTAGGCGTGAGTGAAGCCCTGGCAGGAAATTAAGGCCACAGTTAGCCAAACAATTGCCAAGTTATCTCCCAGCAATTATTCAAGGTGCTTGGAGGGTGTGAATGGAGGAAGATGAGATGTTTTGCCACACCCCCCATCAGCTCTTCAGAGTCATAAATCGTCAATGACTGCCATCCCTCTGCCTAGAGGGAGGACAGTTACAGGAAGAAGATAAAGTAACTATGTGACTACACTTATGTGGCCCTTGAAAAATAAAGAGCATAAATTTTATAGGTATTGTCTGCTTGATCCTCACATCTTTCTTTAAAAAAAAAAAAGGAAACCTCCATGAAAACACCCGCGGGTGGGTGGGTGTGTTTGTTTAGGGAAAATACCCCTCAGTTTTTAGAAAGTGAAAGAACCACTGTAATGACAGATACGCAACAGAAAAGCCTGCCTGTCCCGCACCCTGGCTTTCTCCATCTCATCCCAAAACAGGAACACAGAATCAGCAGTCCTTGTCCAGGGTCAAGTTCTCCACATTCACCTTTTTTGTTTTTTTGTGATCTTTCTGTTGCTATTTAACACATGCGCTATGTGATCTAGCACTAACCGGTTCACCAAGATTACCTCCCACACTTCCCATGTAGACTTAAGTTTCTGCATGTGATTTCCTGGGTGTGTCTCAGAAGCCTCTACTAGGTAACTCCTTTGATTTCAGAACCCCACAAGGGCAGACACACTGTAAGCTGGAATATTCACAAGACGGGGCAACGTGCAAGGCTGGAGACAGTGTCTATGGAGATGAGGCAATGAGATGTGTGGACAACTGGAAGCCTGTGAAAGAAGAGACCTGTGCAGCCAAACAAGGTTTGGGAACCAGCACAGTAGCTGCTTGGATAGAGGAAATTTTTCAGAGGCTTGTCGGCTGGGAAGGATCAGGTGAGGCAAGTGAGTAAATATACTTAAGTCGTGTAATGGGTTCACATCTAAAGCCAGTACACGTCAGATGATGCCATGTTTCACAGTGTCTCCCAAAAGCAACCTGTCCATATTTTTTGGAAGGCCAAAAAAAAAAAAAAAAAAAAACTAAACATGAGCTTCGTTATGTAACCATCTCTTACCTTCCAAACTTTGGGTTACTTTTTAATAAGAAGAATCGAAACATTTTTTAAATATCATCTAAAATGTAATACCTACATTTTCTCAAAAAACGGTAGAGGAAAGTATTAGTTTTAGAAGAGAATTTCTGATATTCTCTTTCCCTTCTTTTATTTAAAACATTTTGAAGGAACACGAGGCATTTTGGAATGGCAGCCCATAAGCAAAGGACTAACAGCTTTTCCTCAACCTGGGTTCCAAGAGAGAACTGAGCCCTAAGGCATATCTGTCTCTCGTCTCTCTCTCGTCTCTCTCCCCTCTCTCTCTCCTCTCTCTCCCCTCTCTCTCTCTCTCTCTCTCAAAGAGTGGGCTTTACCCATCATAAAAGATCTGGGTTTTCTAAGCTCCAGGTTTCTCTCTTGAGGCATGTAGGTGTGACCTGGCCCAAGCTGCATTGCCTTGTAGGAACTGGAACTCAGGGAACTGGCACAAGAAAACACTGATACTGTCATTGCTGTGATTAATAGAGGCTGTTGGCTCTGACCGCGAGTCCCACGCCTTCTGCCAGCATCCCGGAAACGATGGTAGGCTAATTTGGTAGCTCGCAAGCAGGGTACGGTTTCAGACCCTTCACAGTTCTTGACAGTATCATCCTTGGGAGAACTAAAACACTCACCAGATCATTTTTTTTGTACTCTGTGGTTCAGGGGAGAGCCCCAGCTTTTTCCCAAAGAACATCTTTGGGAAAAAGATCAAAGGTGATTAGTGAAATAATAATTAAAAGCTCATTATGTGCTAGAACATAATGAAATTTTTGAGAGTCCTTTCCTACCATTTCCCAAATTTAAACATTTAAAAAATCTATTTATTGCCTTTTTTTCTTGTTGTCCCTTTAACTACGGATTTTTGATTAGTAAGACTGGCATGAGCACAAACCACCAATTCTGTTTAATGCCAAGCTACTGACCAAGTACAAAAAAGTACCTAAGTGCCACAAGTTTCCTGAAAGCCAAGTTGCAGTTTGCGAAAATGGAGGAAGAAGTCAACTGTTCCTAAAAAGCTCAGAAACCACGTTTACCAAGACAGAAGAAATATACAGAACTGCTAATATCTGTTCGCTATCTTCCCAACTTAACACACTACACTGCAAAAGGCATCTCCTAAAACAGGATTCTTCTCTATCTTCAGCACGGAAGGCCAACATCACCGTCCTTCTTTCTCAAAGAAAGGGGACAAATAGAAACAAGAGTGTTTCACTAAAAGCACATGAAGATTTCAAATTGCTAACTTGGAAACACGTTCCTGAAAATGCACAGACTGAAAGTCTACCTGACTGTTCCTGACGCCACGGAGGCATTTCCTGTGTTTAGGTGGGGTGGGTGGAAGAGCTGGGAAGACAGTAAGCAGGGAAAGAATATGCATTTGTGTAAAGGATGAGGAAACTCTCTTCTTTAAAAAGAGTCAACACTCTTGCTTGGAAACATGGGCCTGAATTTCGGGGAAAGACCTTGTAGCTTTCACGTGCAGCAGTGGGGCCAAACCCCAAAACATGAAATTATGACAGTGCTGTATATGTGGTTACTTTACAAAGTGTATTTTTAGAAAATGGAACAGATCAGCAGTCCATGCTGCTTCTGATTCAAACTGTGATCCAGTCGCCTCCAGTACCAGACTCTACGCTCCACGCATATTAAAAACATTCTGGCAGCGACAGATCACAAACATTTCAGAAAGGGGGAAGGGAGTAGGGGCCTTAACTGTTAAAACTCGACACCAGTTGCACCAATCACCAGAGAACTCCTGCATCTAACAAACATTTCTTGCATAATATACACAGGTCAGGCTTTGGGCAGCACTAGAGATACAAGCCCCTGATTCCAGCCTGTATAAGCACTGAATGCAATCTAAATTCAAAAGGGTAGAGCGAGGAGAATACGCATTAAGAAAAGAAATGAATGCTTATTTGAAGTGACTAAATCCCCCAAATACCAAGATATTTCACTACGGTTATACAATACGAGATCAAATCAGAAGTTTGCACTGCAATGAAAGATTCTAAACTCTCATTTGCCAGGTCTCTGAGCAGAAGCTAACACATTAGTGAAATGATCTTTCATGCCAGTCTGGGAAACATACAGCATAAGTCTAGAACAGCTGTCCTGGGCAAGAGTGTTTGAAAATGTTAATAAAGACAGAAGGAAATATTGTAGATCTGTATATTATGGGAAAATCTCTGTTCAAATAAATGCCAGTTATTCCTTAAGTGCCAGGAGAGGGAGAACTCCACACGCAAGCACATTGTTTGGCTCCCCACGAGCACACCGAGGGACAACAGCAGTGCAGAGAAACAAAGGCCTGTGACATGCAAGTCGCCATAACCCACGGCGTTGGGGGAGAAGGACTTTGCTGCCCATCAGGAAGGTTCGGAGTAGACCCACTGGCTCATCATTTACAGTCTGAGGACTTCCTGTCAGGCCTTGTGCTAGTCCCTGGGGACACCCAGGAAACCGTGACACCACCTGCTCTGCAGCCAAGTGAGTGGAGAATGCCCAATTAATAACCATAATACAGGCACTGAGAGCCATGTAGCGATCTGCCCAAGGTCCCTCAGAGGAAGAGTGGAGGAAGCACCTAATAACCATGGGGATAGCCAGGAGGGCTTCCTGGAGGAGGCAGCATCTGTGCGGAGCTAATGCTGAAGCTGATGCTACCATAGTCAACATCGTCATCACCTCCCCACACCCAGGCTCATGTGAGGCACAACTGTGCAATCTAGCCCTGTGCTAGATGCAACAGGCAGGCACTAGTACACTTATTCCCAACCACCCTATTATTCCACATGACATATGAGAAGACCATCTCAGAAAGGTGAAAGCAACTTACTCAAGGTCATGTTTCTAGTAAACCCTGTTTTGACAAGACAGCACAGATCTCAGACCCTCAAGTCCTTTTCAGTGACTAGAATGGAATATGGAAAGAATGGTGAGAGATGCAAGTACCGGGATATTCAGGAGGCACAATCATAACCTAAAGGCAAAGAGGGGCCATTGAAGGATTGTACGCATGCAAATTACAAATGCCTAAGACTCTGCCACTCTGCAGAGAGACCTGGGTGCCAGAGCTGGCACTATCATTGTTGGCTGAGTGCCAGCTTGCAGTTTCTTCCTCCCCTAGGCTTGTTCCTCTTTTTGTCAATAGCTAGAGGCTATGCTGAGAAGGAAGCGAATGACTTACGAGTGCCCCCCAGAGGTTGGCCCACAGTTGCCATCATTAGCCTGCACTTAGTGTCATCCACAACTGAAACTTGGCTGAGCAACCTAAACTCCCTCAGCTAACGTGAAGAGAGTCATGACTCATCGGCTGGGTCACTGTGGGTTTAAATGAGATGATAGGCGTAAAGCCCTGAAGCATAGCAAGCAGTCAATAAATGAAGCCCTCACTACTATTACATATTTCTAGGTCAGATCTTACCTCTGATTTCTAGGGTTATATCATCACTAACCATTTAATTTACCAAAAGACAGCAAATCAGCTATGCAAAGGGAAAAAAGTATGACTATATTAAGTAGATGTCATCATTTAAAAAATCTAAAGTTGCTTATAGAAACATGGCATCCTGGATTTGAGCTTGAAACAGAGAAAGAACATTATTGGAAAGACTGGTGAAGTCCATATGAAGTCTGTGGTTTAGTTAACAGTACTGTATCAACACTAATTTCATTATTTTTAACAAAGGTACCACAGTTCTGTAAGATGCTAAGAGCCGGAGGTGGGGTGGGGGCGGGAAGTGAAGAGGGGAAGTGAAGGGTCTACGGAAGCTCTGTAGTATCTTTGTAACTTTTCTGCATACCTTAAACTATTCCAAAATAAAAATTTATTTTAAATGATACATTATAAAAAGAACAACCCCACATAGGTTTTTCAGTCACTGAAACACTAAAAGCCTTCTGAAATTATAAATAAACATTTGAGGGCATCCAAAACCCATAGGGAAAATGTCTGGTTGGTTTAATGACAAGAAGAGATGTGTGAAGCTTACACTGAAAATCACCTGGCACTCTCCATCTACCACCACAGTGGTTAACTGCACTTCCTAAAGCTGGGTTTTAAGAAAGGTGGGCCCTTCCAAACAGACCTGTTTTGATTACTGATTAGCTCAAGATCAGTAAACTTATTCTGTAAAGGGCCAGAGAGTAAATACTTCAAGCTTGGCAGGCCTTCTGCAACTACTCAATTCTGCTATCACTGTCAGTGAAAAAGCAGCCACAGACAAAACGTAAACAACTAAGTGTAGCTGTGTTCCAATAAAACTTTATAAAGACAGGTGGCAGTGGGCCACGGTTTGCTCACCCCTGGATTAAACAGACCAGATAAGAAGCCTGGAAGGGACGTGGGGTTTGGGGGAGATGAAGACAATTCGGATGGAGAATCCCCTCCATCTTCACTGGTTTTGTGGTGCGGGGCTCCCCTGTTCGTGCCTGGGGCTGACCCACACATACCCAGTGCTTTCCTGCAGCAGAGGCCTTCTTCAACTGTATAAGATCATCTCTCAAGCAGCAGGGAGCCAGCCAATACATGAAGCCAGCACGTAAAAGCAGTAACTTGTTCACCTTTGAGAACAAATATCTTTATTTTGTTGCTTCCCTGAGACGGAGTCTTGCTCTGTCACTCAGGCTGGAGTGCAGTGGCGCAATCTTGGCTCATTGCAACCTCCGCCTTCCAGGTTCAAGCAATTCTCGTGCTTCGCCTCCCGAGTAGCTGGGATTACAGGTGCATACCACCATGCCAGGCTAATTTTTGTATTTTCAGTAGAGACAGGGTTTCACCATGTTGGCCAGGCTGCTCTCGAACTCCTGACCTCAAGTGATCTGCCTGCCTCAGTCTCCCAAAGTGCTGGGATTACAGGCGTATGCCACCGCGCCCAGCTGAGAACAAATATCTTTTGCAGGAGGTAGGCGGTCAGGGAGAGGAGGAAGGGCACTGCAGGAAATCCCTCAAGCCCCATGAAGGAAGGCCTGCCATGTTTAACACTCAGTCCTCAGCCTGTGCGATCCTGAGGCTCCTACATGGATTTCCTCCTTTAACAAGAAAGGACATCACCATCTAATCATCTGACAAAGTTCACTCCCAAAGTCCACTCTCTTAGAGCAAAAGTTCTTGGTTTTGCTGTAAGAGAACAGGCGCAGAATTACATCTCTGACTGCTCTTCCACTCAAAGAGTTCTCCTTGAATCCTACCTTCCTTCCAGATGATCAGTGTGGAATCAGGTAAGAGGGCTGAACTTTAGCTTGCTAGTTGAACAGAAAAGGAACTGTAACTTCATTTCAGAAAATTAGGGGGCATTCGAGGTCTGAAGGTTACTGTCCTGCAGTCACTGACAGGAATGTTTCGACCAGCTGCCACCCAATGTGAAGGCTGAACATCTTCAACAGGGCCAAGCACAGCTCTAAAGGGACACAGATACTCCGCTCAGAAAAATCCACCAATCACTTACAAAGAGATTTATGGGTTACTTGTTGTAATGGGTGAGCTACCTGGGTATACGGCTCAGAATAAGTTATAAATGTGGTTGGGTCTCAGTAGGTTCCCCATGCTTTGATCATGTGATAGCCAAGGGTCTATTCTCAGAGGCTCTGACAAAGCAGATCCCCAAAGCAAGAGGCTAGGAGAGAAGCCCCAGCTGAGTCCTCCGGGAATAAATACAGTAACTGCTAAAAACAACACAACTTCAGGTCAACATCTAGAGCTTCTCCAAGGCTAGAAAGGTTCTCTCTCTGAGCTAGTCAGTGAGGAGATTATGTAACTGATGAACCAGG
Source organism: Homo sapiens (assembly GCF_000001405.40). Taxonomy (NCBI): domain Eukaryota; kingdom Metazoa; phylum Chordata; class Mammalia; order Primates; family Hominidae; genus Homo; species Homo sapiens. The sequence goes on along the minus strand of NC_000004.12, from coordinate 148,054,517 downwards.
AAGTTGGGGTCAAGTTAAACTAAGAATATTAAACTACATTCTCAGAGGAAAGGAAAATCCCAGCAGGTGGCTGCCTCGAGCTCTCAGGGGAGCAGTGATTGGGTTTTATTACATGTGGTATCTGGAAACCTCACCCCGGCCCAGAGGGGCAGATGTTATTATTCCCCTTTTACAGATAATCTTGCTAAGCCTTGGTTTGCTTAAATCCCTGGTTTGCTTAAATCACTTATATAAAAGATCTTCAAGGTTGTAAGAAAAAGAACGTGGATGCAAGGCCAGGCCTGTTTGAAATCAGTGACTTACCAATGTAAACGGTCTCGAACTTACGGAGAGAGCCCATGAGGTCCTTACTTTATTTAGATATTGAGACACAGCCAATTTATGAATAGCAAATAATAAATTACAACAATGGCATCAAGTAAGAAAATCTTTAACAACAAAAACCAGTTAAACTAAAAACCAAAAATGACTGATGCAAGACTTAATTGTTTTTAAGTCTTAAGCAGTGGAAAAGCTACTACAAAATTCAGACATGTCTTTATTTTGGGAAGTCATCTTTTCATGGTAGGGCTTTAAAGTTACATGGACTATCAACATTCTGACTTAAAAATAAAACCTCCAAATTTCAGCACCTGCAGCTACAGCACAGCAAAGGAAGGCACGAATTAGGCCACACGCAAGTGCCAAGTACACAACGCAGATACCAAAAATACCCCAGCAAGCCACAATGGATGTGTATCGAAGCATGTAAGGGGCCAGGCAGTCGGCATAGCATAATTTCTATACAAAGCTGGAGAGAAGAAATTCAAGGAAACACACAGGACAAAAGTTGTACCCCCAGACTGAATGTGAATAGACAATGTGATGGTAGATGGCCAAGTATACAGGCCCTGAGAATCACTTCCAGAGCGTTTCTGAAGCTGAAGGGAGACAACCGAATATCATATTACTCATAAAAAGATTATGGATGCTGCCTGGTTGCATAGATCAAATTTCCAAGTCTCTCAAGCTCTGCTGTGGGGGAGAAGGCCCTCCCGCCCGCATCTCAGCCAAGGTGTTAGATGATAAATGCGCAGCAACCAGATTCAAGTGTTTATTCCCCATAGATAATTATAAACCACAGCCACATGACTTAATGTAAGGTCAGTGCTCCCTCTTCAAACCAAGGGCACTGACCAGTTGACAGCCATGGCTGTTTCACTGGGTTTCAGAATCGGGGCAGGGTGGAGAATACCTGCAATTCAAGCAATGTCCCCATATGCAACTGCACAATTTCAATTTCTACAGTAAAACAAGTCACTGGGCAGACACATGAGGGGTCAAACTCACCTGTCCTTTACTGCTTGTGTGGCTTGGGCCAATTTTCCTATGTCCTTTGCGCCTTCCAATCTTTTTAAAAATGAAGATATATCTACCGCACTGGGTTGATGCAAGCATTAAGATGAAACGTCATCTACAAAATAGCTGAAACAAAGTCTGGTGGCCCATAATACTAAATGCTCCATGGTCTCTCAGCCTGGAAGTGCCAAGAGGGTATCTAATACTTTTTCTGCAGCCTCAACCACCAGCCTCTGCTAAAGCCAAAGGTTCTACTCCCTCAAATCCCCAGACCCCCAAGAGGTAGGGGAAGGAGCTAACCTCTGTGCAGAATTTAACAGGCTGCTGTGGGCTCACAGCAAGGCAGCATGTTCCTCCTGTTCATTTGGCCCCTGTTCTTCCTTAGATTTGAGCTCCCTTAGACCTCCACTATCTAAGTGACCCTGCTGTTTACTTAGGTATGGTAACAGGTACTGGCTGCCAATTCATTCTTCACAGTACCCAGAATCAGAGACCACATCCTTCCACAAGAAGGCACTAGGCTCTCCTAGAGATCTCAGTGTAACCCACTGCATTCTGTAACCAGGGCCCAGATACAAGTAAACAGAGTAAAGCTGCTCATCTTATTAGGAAATCATCCCCCTACTAACCAAGAAAGATGCAGGAAGTTTTTGCAATGGGAAGTTCATTCCTTTAGGTTACTTATCACCCTCTCCTGACCTGAAATTTACAGAGCTTCCCACTTCTTATTACAAAAGCAGTATATGTTCATTTTGGTCAATTAGCCCAAAAAAAAAAAAAAAAAAAAGCAAATGTGCAAAAAAACACTTTTAAAAGATAAATCTTTTTTTTTTTTTTTTTACATAATCAGATTAAGATACCAACTTCTAGGGTGAACTGAGTGTCCTGGCCCTCAAGGAGTGCTGGGGTTGAGGAAGCCCTCTCTGAAGGAGGAGAGAGAGGGAAGAAGGAAAGACAGAGAGAGAGGAAAGGAGGAAGTGAAGACAGGGTTTGCCAGTGACTCCCACCCTGTAATTTCTCAGTAGGCACCAGACTTCACAGAAATCTATTAAAAATGATCTAAAATGATTATTTTTCTGAACTTTAGGCAAATCATTCACAGTTTACTGTGGTGTACTAAGCCACAAATCATATTTGGGGGAGCGGGGTACTCTGGTATCTCCCAGCAAAATTTATTGACTTCCTGAAAAGCAATCATGGAACCAACAGTCAAGTAATTTGAAATGCCAAGCAGCTGTCTCTGAGAAACCCCCCATTCATTTGCCCAATTTAAAGGAAACAAGTGATTGCATTGACGAGAATAAAAATGGTTACCAGTGAGTGCACACAAAGTATATGATGACATGCACAAGGCTGTATATGGGAATAGGAAGGTGTTATCTAGTGATTTTAAATAACTGACATCAAGTCTGAGTAGGCACAAATCTCAGTGGCACAACGACAGCTTGAGGCACTAGCTGGGATAGATGCTTTAGAGATATCAACATTCAGGATAAACAAAGCCAAGCCTCTCAGTGGGTGGGAGAGGGGAATCTACTGCCCTCCTGGCCTGCCAGGGCACACAGTGAGATGCATCTCAGGGTGCCGGCACCCCCAGCTAGAGTGAGCTATTCTGAGACCATGCCATCTTGAATTTGAGAATGTGCCAGCAGAAAAGGAGGTGTTCCTTTTCATTTGAAATCTGTAGAGGAAGCAGATAGCAATGCCCGATATTTCTTAAAAGAGATTTTCTTTTGTGGCAGAGAATCTAAAAGGATTACTTGTCAAGGACCCGGCTCCATCAATTACAATAGAAGAAAACCTGTTTAGCGAAAACTACCTTATTGTGGGGAAAAAATGACTTTGGAACATTCGAAATACCTTGACCTATGATGCAATGTCCTCCAAGGAGACTGAGCTAGCAATTCTTCACTGGCAATGAAGTCACCCATCGCCTTACTGAGGGTACAGGTAAGTAAGAGCTACAGATTGATTGACTGCAATGAATAACACCCACAAGTCATGAACATCAGCAGAAATCCAAGGAATCCAATTCTGCTGCATTGTTTTCTACCTATCAGAGGCAACAGCTACACCACCTATGTCAGAACCACGGCTGCTGTAAGTTTTCCTCTGCAAACTGCTTCCCAGTGGACAAGATTTTAGCATTTTTGTTCAACAGATCTACTGGGGTCCTATGTGATCCACATACATTTGGACTCCATTCCTTAGGACCTGAGACCACAGTAAAGGCATTGCCTCCTATTAAGAGCCCAGAGTAGAGTTTCAATGACTCCATAGCAACTTTGGTTAAAAGGAATCTTAATGAGCATTTACTTAGAACCTATGATATTTAATACTGTATAGCTGGTATGCAGAGATAAAGGGGGAAAAGACAAGAAGAGAACATACAATGAGAACTTATAAATGCTAAGGAAACAAAACACAGTAAGGAGCAAATGGTAAGATTAATTGTGTGGAATTCCTAGAGGAAGAGTTTGTAATCTTTATAAGAAAGAAGATGAATCAACCGGGCACGGTGGCTCACACCTGTAATCCCAGCACTTTGGGAGGCCGAGGTGGGTGGATCACGAGGTCAGGAGATCGAGACCATCCTGGCTAACGCAGTGAAACCCCGTCTCTACTAAAAACACAAAAAATTAGCCAGGCGTGGTGGTGGGCGCCTGTAGAACCAGCCACTCGGGAGGCTGAGGCAGGAGAATAGCGTGAACCCAGGAGGCGGAGCTTGCAGTGAGCTGAGATGGCACCACTGCACTCCAGCCTGGGCAACAGAGCGAGACTACATCTTAAAAAAAAAAAAAAAAAAAAAAAAAAGATGATGATGAGTAAGAAACCAAATGTAGTAGCCTAAGAGACATTCAGTAACACAGAGAAAGAAATGAGATTTCCAAAAGGCAGCATTTCTATAAATACATCATTAAAATAAGAAATTAAATGTTCACTAATAATTACATCAATATCACAAAAAAGTTCAAAGAATATAAGATCTAATTCCTATCATTAACAAGGTTATGGCAGGGCACGGTAGCTCACGCCTGTAATCCCAGCATTTTGGGAAGCCAAGGCAGGCGGATCACTTGAGGTCAGGAGTTTGAAACCAGCCTCACCAACATGAGGAAACCCCATCTCTACCAAAAATATGAAAAGTAGCCAGTGCGGTGGCACGTGCCTGTAATCCCAGCTACTGGGGAGGTTGAGGCACCAGAATCACTTGAACCCAGGAAGCGGAGGTTGCAGTGAGCCGAGATCATGCCACCACACTCCAGCCTGGGTGACAGAGTGAGACTCAGTCTTCCCCACCCTCCCACCGCCACCACCACCCCCCGCCCCCCGCCCCCCGCCCCCCCACCCAAAAAAAACAAACAAACAAACAAACAAAAAAAACAATTTTATGATCTAGCTTGGGGTAAGGGAAAGATTAGCTAGATAGGTAGAAACATTTATTCCATATAAATATCAAATAATACTAAAAGGCAAATATTAAAGAACACTCAAAGGCAACTTGAATTTCTTAGCGCCAAATAATAAGTATCAGCAGAAATACGGACAAGGAATCTCTTTAGAGGCTCCCTGTAGATTACAGCATGGGGAAGACTTCCCGGAGGTGAAGATTAAATTAGACCGTTAAGATAGGTCAGGATTGGCTTGAGCAAAAAAGCAGGACAGATATTTGAGGCAAAGAGAACCAGACCATGTGGGAAGCACACACCGGCTACTGGGAGGACAGCAACGCACGACCCTAGAAGAGTGTGTTTTACACAAAAGAGGTGGAGCAATCACTTATCCTAATTACGCTCCTCAGAGAAGCAGCTTATACTCAGCACAGCCCTGGAGGCAGGCAAGGAGCAGGGGATGGTCTTCCATATCAAGGCTCATTCATCGTCACCTGGGAACTCCTTAGAATGGCAAGCTCTCAGGACCCTTCTCGGACCTACAGAATCCTCAGCTCCAGGGTGGGGCCAGCAGTGTGGGTCTCAGTGAGACCTACAGGAGGTTCTGGTGCATACTCAAGTCCAAGAGGCACTCATCTATATACAAACTTCCTAACATAATGACAAATCTGGACTGATACACACTCATCAGTAAATCCTTTAAAAGATACATAAGAAACATTTTAGTATATACTTCAGAGAAACATAGATGTATTCCATCCATGGCACAGAAAAAAATAAATCAAGTTTCTGAAATAGAAGAAAGTCTCCATTAAAAAAAAAAAAAAAATCTCCTTTCCAGGCTTGCTTCAACTACTCCCCCCAACCCCCTTTTTGGCCTCTCAAGGTTGGAGTGCTTTTCATGACATTTTAAAATGCGTATGAATAGGAAGCTGGGGAATTCACTCCTCATTTGATTTATGACCAAAAATATCAAGCCCTTCTTGTTTCAGGCATGGACGTGTTGTGAATTGAGTGTTGGCTGTACCGTGGCTCATAATGTCAGTTTTCTGCAGAACTGCTACAGAAGAAAGATGACTGCTTAAACTGCACTCCACTGCCTGTGATATTCACTTACTGAAAGGCATAATTAGAGATCTGGTTTTCACTAAAACATACACACATGCTAAATTCCACCTCGAGTGTAACCAGGATTATAGATTCTGCGTGCCTAGGTAACTACTGTTATTGTTGCTTGTAGTACTACGGTGAAACAGAATTTTTATTGTGGAAAAGGAAGAGTAAAGGTGACAAGCATACCTAGTAATGTAGGATTTAAATCCACAATCCTCAGCATAAAAAATATGCACAGATGAAAACACTGGCAGGAAAAATCTCATCTGGAGAATGTGTTTCCATACTTGGAGTCTCAGATTTTCAAAGTCTTCAGATCACCCCCAAATTTTGGCATACCAAATGTCTCCCAGCCTCTCTTAATACTTAATAAGTTCACAATCATTTCATGTGAATCCAGCAGTAACTATAAAAAGCCACGTAATCTGAGGAACACTTTCCAGTCCATTTAAAGTCCCCAGAATGCCCAGCTAGGGTCAGATGACACCATTATCTATAATTTATTTTAAGCAACTTTGGCTTCAACAAAATTTTTTGAAGACTCTCTGGATGGGCTGGGCATGGTGGTTCACACCTGTAATCCCAGCACTATGGGAGGCCAAGGCGGGTGGATCACTTGAGGTCAGGAGTCTGAGACCAGCCTGGCCAACATGGTGAAACCCCGTCTCTACTAAAACTATAAAAATTAGCTGGCTGTGGTGGCAGACACCTGTAATCCCAGCTACTTGGGAGGCTGAGGCAGGAGAATCACTTAAACCCAGGAGGCGGAGGTTGCAGTGAACCAAGATGGTACCACTGCACTCCACCCTGGGCAACAAAAGCAAAACTCCATCTTTAAAAAAAAGAAAAAAAAAGATTCTCTGGATGAATTATAAATGTATTTTTAGATAAAATTTGATTGACTAATCAAGTATTGCCTTGTAATTATTATTGGAGTTTTCTCTTCTCTGAGCACTTGTTTGAAACGTGATGCCCTTTTGGGTTCCACATCACCACCATCCTGCCTTTACTCCACAGCCTTGGTCAACACAGCCAGACAAGCCCTCACAGGTTCAAGGTACTTTATTTGTATTAATATTATTTGTCCTAATATACTTGAGCTGATCTGCACATGCCTGGCACTAAACCAAACTGAGAAGATAAAATCAAATGTCAACCATCAAGTCTCAACTCTGCAGGATGCTATGGAGCAAAACAGAGCAGAATGCTAGCATAATGCTCTCAGAAATTCATGTAAGTAAAATATCATTCTACAGACAGTTTCAAGAGTCTGTCCATCAGCATGCATTCTCACATCTCTAAAGTTTGCATAACTAGTGGGGAAACATCTTGGGTGGGACAGTAACAAATTTCCGTTGCAGAATCCAAAACTGCCCAGGAATTGAACTTCGATCAGATTTGACATAGCATCCAGCTACCCCTTCCATACTAGAAACACAGACAGTATTCAAGGAAGGCTCTGTTTTAAGGACCCTTCTCCCTTTGGTGGCCCTTCTGATAAGAAAACAAGGGCTCCTAGATCTAATGGCTTCAGCACCCACAGGTCACTGCTCATGGAAACTTTAAAATGAACAAAGTCAGGGCTTCCACCCTTCAGCACCCAACAGAAGCACGGTTACTTACATAGTGGATGCCCAGTCTCCAAAGCTCCCTCCATCTGCCAGAAGGTGGTTTTTGTCTGGTCCAGGAGGCCCAGGGACAGCTGTAGTCACGGGAGACGGGGAGGAAAGTGAGTCCAGACTGCTGGTAGGGGTGTCCTCCTTGGAAGGGTAAGGATTGTCACCTAGGAGGAAAAAAAGCATTGAATATCAAACAAATACCTGGAGAAGAAAAAACTCCACTAATAATTATATGGTGTTACTTGATTAGTCAATCAAATGATAAAATTACATTTACAGTTCAGCCTGACAGTATCTGGGTGTCCTGTCTTTACATTTTTTTTAATCAAAGATGCTTAAAATAAACCACAGATAATACACAGCGAGGAATGTTTTCCTTACAAGAAAACACAATGATCAAAATCAGATAATGGAAGATAAAAGGCATAATGGCAGCCACAATGACTTCCTCACTATACGGAGTCCAGGTATAAACCAATGAAATCAAGAATAGCTCCAAGCAGCACACCAGCCCTGTGGGGTCCAACCTCTTCCTTTCTGGTCACCTATTGGTTCTTTAAGTCATTCTCAGTTGCCATTTAGTGCATAATAAATTAGACAACTCTAAAAGGGACTTGTCTTACTGAGCTGGTATCTTGGATTATAATTTCTAATACCCCAACATTAAAATCCCACACATAGACAAACTTCCATTTCCCTTTGGATATCAGGGAGGGTACTACAAGAGAGTTAGGCTTTTGTGGTAATGCCACACGATGAATTTAAACCAAAGCTAAATTTTTTTTTAAATGAGTTGCACAATGTATCCATTCACAGGGGACCATTTTATTAAATATGTTTAGTATAATATTTGTATACATTGTGGGCTTGGGTAGAAAATGCAGAAGACGGACAAGAGAGCTCACAAGAGCAGTTATTTCCCTCTATTGGTCTTCTTGCTTTCACAGTCCTCCCAGCTACCATAAAATGCACCTGATCTGCACCCATCAAGGCTTGGCCCTTTGGCCTAATCCTCAGTCCCCATTAAATTTTAACTGCTCCAGGCAACCCTGCAGAGGCAGCAATGTTCTACAAAGATGGCACTGACTTGGCCTTAATTTTATAGGTGATGGTCCTAAACTGCTATGGAAGCAAATGTGACACACATAGAGGTCCATAACCCCAGCCCCCAACAGCTTGTAGCTGATTAAAGCTTCACGTTTCCTCACTCCCAGGTCCTAGAAACAAAGCAAGCAAGAACACCAGCAACAGCAAGGACCTTGCTCTCAAAAAACATCTTAGATGGATTTCTTTTTTTTTTTTTTTTTTTTTTTTTTTGAGATGGAGTTTCGTTCTTGCTGCCCAGGCTGGAGTGCAATGGCGCGATCTCGGCTCACCGCAAGCTCCGCCTCCCAGGTTCAAGCAGTTCTCCTGCCTCAGCCTCCCGAGTAGTTGGGATTACAGGCATGCACCACCACGCCCGGCTAATTTTGTATTTTTAGTAGCGACAGGGTTTCTTCATGTTAAGGCTGGTCTCGAACTCCTGACCTCAGGTGATCCGCCTGCCTCAGCCTCCCAAATTGCTGGGATTACAGGCGTGAGCCACTGCACCCAGCCAGATGGATTTCAATTCTCCTAAAAACGAAGCATAAGAGAAATTCCAGGCTCTGATTAAGCTAGCTCCCCAGACTCCAGGGGAATCTTGAAAACTGATTGTACAAAATAATTATTATTGACTCCTGACCCAGCTTACAACTAAGGGTTAAGAGAGAAAATCTCAGAAATGGAGATCTAGAACAACTGAATCCAGACAAGCAGGAGTTAGAGATGGTGGTGATGGCTGGAAGAAGAAATTGTTTATGGTGAGTATTGAGGGGGACCCCTGGAGGACACTGTGCAGAACATTCTGTTAAGAAGAGGTTTCTGTTTAAGTGCTGCACACTAACCAACTGTACCACTGAAACTCCAAGGAAGAGTTTTCTGAGCTCTTTATTTCATAAGTGTGTTCCCGGGGAGGGTGGGGGAGATGGCTGAGCAAGAGATGAACCGTATCTCCACAGGGCAGTTCTTCTTGTCTGAGTCTATTTATAAAGTCTAGAAGACTATGATTGCTCTTTCAGTGAAGCCACTTTTTCCACAGCGCTTCACCACAAAAAACGTTTAGCTAATTGGAGAAACTCAGCGCCAATAGAAGGGCCAATTTTCAGGCAAATGGACCAAAACCCACTGGTAGACCACTGCTATGATTTCCTTTTAATGTATTTTCTTTCTGGGATCCATCCACTTTGGAACAAAGACCACATCATCCCCTGTGCCCAGCGAGCTCAACTCCGTCCAGTTCTTTTCTGTGAAAGAGCCCAAGTGACGCGAGGGGCTGGCCTCCAGCTTTCCCCAGCCCCTCCCTGTGTCTTTCATTCATCATGAGCAATGACTCCCCTCAAAATTAAGAGAATCTCAAATGGAACCCCAGAACGGAGTCCAGAGTAAACCTGAACATTGACCTGGCATGACGGCTGCCCTCAGTGCTCAGCTAGACATAGCAAACTGTCATCAGTTCTGAAGCAGAACAGGATCACCTTCACAGCAAGTCAGATGCCAGCAGCTCCCTGGCTGCAGGAGGCTGGACCCAGGCCCTCAGTCCTCCCTGGGCTGTGTGCCCTGACAGTTGGGCAAGGCATGACATGGCAGAAGCAGCAAAGGAGAGTCTGGGACCGGTTTATTCCCTGACTTACTCCTACCGAGAGAAACCTGTCAATGAGAAGCAACTTTGGGGAACTGGAGACCAGGGGTTTAATGTTACTTTTGAAAGATGCCTGAAATGTTTTTACAACCAGATAGAGCAGATCATTTACACTGCCTCTAATCCTTTTCCCAAGCAGACTGACACAGCACAAATTGTCATTCAACATATTAAATCACATTCTATTAAGAGAGTTCTCTCTTCCTTCCTGCCAAACAGTGGCAATTTGAACCCTCAAGTGAAAATAACATTGGTAGAAGGGAATGTTGACACAGCCTGATCAAAGGAGAAGACACTTCACCCTACTTTCCAAGTGTATAGAGTTCCTTCCTCCTTCACTGTTCAGGAATGAGCTTACCTACTTGAGAGAATCACTGAATTTGAGGGAGAATAAATCATCAGGTACACAAACATTAAATACTCACAACCATTTCTGAAACTTTAGTTAACCAAAAATCAAATTAGCATTTTTTAACTACTATGAAAATAATAAAACTTAAAAAATATTCTATGTTCAACAACTTCTGGAATGAATGCATATATATATACATATATATATACATATATATACACATATATATACATATATACATATATATACACATATATATATGAAAAATGCATATACATTTTTCCTTATACATTTTTCCTATATACTTACATATCTATATTTATACACCTAAAATATATATATATATATATATATATATATATATATATATTAGAGAGAGGGTCTCCCTATGTTGTCCAGCTTGGTCTCGGACTTCTAGGTTCAAGTGATTCTCCTGTCTTGACTTCTCAAAGTGTTCGGATTACAAGTATGAGCCACCACCCCTGGCTGGGAATAAAGATTTTAAATCCCACAAAGCTAACTTAAAATTGAGAATTAAAGTCAGATACACTCATTATTTTTCACCTATCATTTCTTCTGAGTGATCACACAATCTCTTCCCTTAGGTGTTACCCTTTAACAGGCATCTACAAACAGACAAATCACCTCTGGGTAAAAAGGTTGTTCCAGTGAGTGAACAAAAATGGTACCAAAGGATTTATGAACAGACTCTAAGACACTCTGGAAAATGAACTACCGCCGATTAGAAGAGAAAATGACTTCCTTGCAGCATCCTCAGATTTAACTCCCACAAGGTACTTGCCAAACCCCTCCTCTCCTGATTCTTTTCTCCTTTCTCAGAGCTGTCTGCAGCCATCAATTTTGCATTTCGCCATCATATACTGGTTTTATAACCTGGTTTTAGGTGCCCATTTCCCTTGTACATTTTGTCAGGGTGCAGACCACGTCTTGGTCTTGGGAAGCCTTAGAGAACACAAAGCAGTGCCAGGCAATCCAGGAGTCATCAGGACTGCCACTGCCACAAGAAATAGCATCAGCATGGAGAGCCACTGCCTCTACAAATTGAGGAGGGAAAAAAAATCTGAAGACCCCAACATATTCTTACAAAACCTGCACACAGTTTTGGATTCTCATCCTCTCCCGTTTTGAGCCACAAGCATCTCTAATCCACTTTATTCACCCAACTAGCATTTACTGAGCTTCTCCTTATGTACAAAGGCATACCACAGATGCTGAATTATACAGGCAGACAAGCAGTCCCTAACCCAAAGATGCCCAGAGTATAATGCAGAAGACAGGCAAAGACAAACAAGGTGGTGTTTGCTGTAATATGGTTATGTCAAGGAGCTTTCAGACCCAGAAAAAGGAGTTTTCAGAGTTACCAGTGTCAGGAGCGAAAGACAGGTGGGAGTGCAGCAACAGGAAAGGGAAGAAATTATTGCCAGTTTCAAGGAAAAAGCCTCTGGTCGAGAAAGTATCAAAACTGAAAGAAAAGAAACAGGAGAGCATGTGGCCATTTTCAGAGCCACAGTAGTTGTTGGATTTTGTTGGAGAACAGGGTCAAATGCAGAAAGCAGGTGCATGATGTAGGGTAAAGAACTTTGTATCTAATGTAAAGGCATATGAATTTACTCTGCAGACACTGGGAAGGTATTGCAGGGATTAAGCAGGGAAGTGATACGATCTGGAGAACAGCTTCAAAAGATATTCAGTTATGACAGTCATTAGAACTCAGTGAACAAAGGTGAAGGGTGAGAGAGAAACTTAAGATGAGCCTCAGGTTCATGGCTTAGGAACTGGGTGTATGGTAGAATCATTAACTGAAATAGGGAATAAAAAAACAAGGAGCATACTGGGTGAGGGAGATAATAAGACCGGTTGTAGGCATGTTGGGTTTGGGGTGTCAATAAAAAATCCACGTGGCAGTATCTAAGGGAGAGTTGCTTATACAACCCTAGAGCTCAGAAGAGAAGCCTGGGATAGTTTTATTGATCTGAAAGTCACGCACAGAGAGTTGAAGTCACAGCACTGGATGGAGAGAGCAAGGAAGAAGATGCGGAAAAGTAAAAGAACGTTGAGGGATCTCCCGGCCAAGAGAGCTGGCTTTTCTTTAAAGCAATATTGTTGTTGTTTTGTTGTTTTAAATACAACACAGTGTTCTTTTGCAAATATTTAGGATTCCTGAACAAACATCAATTCTCATAAAAACTGACCACAATTGGTCAAGAGGACATGTCTTTGGTGATAGCTACCACATTTCACTTAATCTGATTTTTTATGAGCCTGAGCACATGAACAAGTGCTTTATTTTCAGGACAGACTAAAATCATCTTCAAAGATTGGCAGAAAATTAGACCAAGAGGAGGAAACAAGAGCTTGATAATTCTACCATTTCTAATAATTTAGAGGATGTTTATATCTTATTTTAATCTAATGATAAGCTTTTACACTTCAGGTAGTTTAACTTTTTGTTGTGATGATGACAAACTGTTCTCTTCATTCATTTTCTGGTCATTTCACTTGAACAGAACTGCTTTTGGATTGTTGGAAGGAATAAAGCTTTGGGCTTCCCTGCCATTTCATTCATTTCTTCTTTGTCTCCTTTCAAATATATTTCCTAACAGTTACGTCAGAGATAGTTCCCCCCTGAAATCCCTTCCCTGCTGTTCTTCCACGTAGCTGAAGATTTTTTGGGCATGGTATAAAATCACAGACAGTTTCTGTTATTCCTCACAGATGGACCATTCCCACATCAGCAAAGCTATCCCATGCTCCTCATTCTTAAACATCTAGCTTATGTATTAGCAGGAGTAAGGAAGAAAAGGAGAAGACAGAAAAGAGGAAAGAAAAATGCATAAAAAGAAAAGATCTAATATATTAGTTGAATTTAATTTAAGCAAACCTCACAGTCATGCATTTGGCTAGCTGGGGGACGCTGAAACCTACTTTGGTATACAAATACTCTTCCTGTCAGATCAGAATAAACTTAGTTACTTCTAATTAACAAGTAGTTAATAGGATCAAAAGAAAGTTTTGCTGAGAACAAAGTAACTGCAATTATAACACAGAAACACTCTTGTGATAAAGTTCATTCAGAAAATGTTCAGCCAAGACGGAATATTAAGGAGAAACCTACCTCTCCCTCACACATACACCAAATAACCCCCCCCAAATCTTTTTTAATAAATAAAAATACATAACTTCCCTGATAAACTTGTTACACATTTCTGTCGAACAGAAACAAAAAAGAAACAACCAGAGGGACCATTAGCCAAAGGTTTATGGTTCCAAGACCAACTGAAACCAACAGAACCACCTAGACATTTAAACCCTGCAGGGTTCTGGCCAGGCGCTGCAGCTCATGTCTGTAATCCCAGCACTTTGGGAGGCCGAGGCAGGTGGATCACCTGAGGCCAGGAGTTTGAGACCAGCCTAGCCAACATGGCAAAACCCAGTCTCTACGAAAAATACAAAAAATAGCCAGGTGTGGTGGTGCACGCCTGTAATCCCAGCTACTCAGGAGGTTGAGGCAGGAGAATCGCTTGAACCCAGGAGGTGGAGGCTGCAGTGAGCTGAGATCGCATGACTGTACTCCAGCCTGGGCAACAGAGCAAGACCCTGTCTCAAAACAAAAAACAAAAAACAAAAAAACCTGTAGGGTTCCTAGTATCTATAATAATATACCAAGCATGGGGCAGAGGGGCTACAGCCAGGCTCTTCATGTGGAAATAGGGACTGGGAGAAGCCCTCCACCCTAGATGGAGGCCAAGAACCTATAACCAAGTTCCCCACTTGCCTGGGGGATGATTTGGCCTATCCCAAGGACAAGAACATTGTGCTGGCAATAATAGACCTGGCTCTGAACCAGCACCTAGGTGACCCCAGTGGAGGCAATAGCCAGACAGTGAAAAGAAAGGGGAGAAGATGGATCCAACACACCCTAACCATGCATACACACAAAAAAATCCTCCTTCACCATGGACTTGTAAATGAGAACTTCTAAAAACAGAAAACTAAGACAGCAAACTCAATGAATAAGAAAACTCAGAGATTTAGAGATTTGTAATATAGAGAATAGAAGTGAAATTGCCAGAATCTAGATCCCAGAAACAAATTCAGAGGAGGAAATATTTAAATAATAATCAAAGTCTCAAAATTAAAGAAACATCAAAGACCTCAATTATAAAGGACTGAGAGTGCCAAACAGAGGAGTAAGGAAAATCCTGCACGTAAGACATATTATTTTAACATTTAATAATATCAAATACAAAGAAAAAAGCACCCATATGGAAAAAGCAGATCATATAAAAAGAAAAAGAATCAGATTGGCATCAGACTTCTCAACAGCAATGCTAAGTGCAGAAGGAAATTGAAGTAGTATCCTAGGCCGGGTGTGGTGACTCACACCTGTAATCCCAGCACTTTGGGAGGTAGAGGTGGGCAGATCACTGGAGGTCCAGAATTCGAGATCAGCCTGGCCAACACAGTGAAACCTCGTCTTTACTAAAAATACAAAGAAAAAAAAATTAGCCAGGCGTGGTGGTGGGTGCCTGTAATGGTATAGGCTACAGAGTGAGACTCTATCTCAAAAAAAAAAAAAAAAAAAAAAAAAAAAATTGAAGTAGTATTCTTAAAGTATTAAAGAAAAAAAATTTGAGCAGAGAATTATATATTCAAACTGCCTTCAAATGTGAGGGCATAATAAAACTATTACCAGATATAAAAATCCCCAAAGGATGGCCACACGAAGAACTATACTGATAACACTCTCAGAGAAATTCCTTAAGTATTTAAATAAAAGAAGCAATATAAGATGTTCAGCTAACTTGATCATGTCCATTGTTGTCTTTTAAAAAATCTAAGACAAAAGAAAAGGAAAATAACATAACCAAAATAATCCAGAACTGAAATTCTGGAAAATACCAACATGGTGGGGGTGGGTAGATCAGAGGGAGTTGATAGCCCATTAAATTATTTGTCTTATTGGAAGTGGGGAGAGAAATATAGTTTAAGAAAGTAACAGAGAAATAACACTAAGTTTCAAAACAAAGGCACCACTTTAGAAACAAAAAAAACTGTCATTTTAAAAAGCAGAAGAACATTTGCTTCTTTGAAGAGAAGGCAGCAATTGTATCAAAATTCATTAAGGGAAAAACAGACTTCAACCAAAATTAAATGAACTCTTTCACCAGCGGAGGGTGAGCACAACTGCTCCAATTAACATCCACCTCATGCCCCTATATCCCCTTGTGCCTGAATTCATCCTCCTGTCACCCTGCATTTTCTATCTTTTAAATAGGGCCACCCAATCAAAACCAATAATCTCTTGCTTTGAGTATTTCAGTGGCTTCTCTGCCCAAATGATGTGTCTCTTCTAATGATGCTGTACCCAAGGAGGACTAAAGCAACCACAATGTGGCTGAATGTCTGTATTGGAAGACGAGGGTTCAGGAGGTAGGGGAGGAGAAAGGATACCCTCAAGAATCAACACCTCTGGGTAAAAGTCACAGTGGCAGACTAACAGCTCTGAGAAGAAAATCTACAGGAAGAACCTGAAATGGGGGGGATTATAAAATGTTGCAGTAGGATGAGAGTTTTGTTTGGCTAATTAGTATAAGCCTGTTTAAAACATAATCTTTGAACTAAGCATGAGATAGTCATGTCCTAATTTCTACCACATGGCAAATACTATGACAATAAAATCTCCTAACCATGGCAGCCTTTCCTCCTAATGTTACCCAGGACATTCAGGCCACTGAAAAGGAGAGTGGTATCTAGTACCAAGAAACAGAACTGCCAAACTCATTTCATATATATTCTAGCATAATTTCTACTCTGCTAAAATAAAGTCTGGGTTGCTATACCATGTCAAAAAGTAGTACCTAATGCTACACTGAATAGTGAAAACTAAAATAAACCAAAATTTGTATTTTCCTACCCCAGTTCAAATGTTTTTGGACTTGATGTTGTAAATAAAACCTAATTCTTAACAATGAATCCAGAGGTGACCTATATAAATAAAGTTAAATCTGTCTAGGAGCTGGTGAAAAGCTTCAGCCAGCATATGAGATGGAACCAACAATTGAATTTTAAGATTGACAGAGATCAAAGGATATAGCTGACATCCATTCTTTTCTTTTTTTTTTTTTTTGAGACGGAGTCTCACCCTGTCACCAGGCTGGAGAGCAGTGGCGTGATCTTGGCTCACTGCAACCTCCACCTCCTGGGTTCAAGCGATTCTCGTACCTCAGCATCCCAAGTAGCTGGGATTACAGGCACACGCCACCACACCCAGCTAATTTTTGTATTTTCAATAGAGAAGGGGTTTCACCATGTTGGCCAGGATGATCTCAATCTCCTGACCTCATGATCCGCCCCTGCCTTGGCCTCCCAAAGGGTTGGGATTACAGGTGTGAGCCACCGTGCCCGGCCAACATCCATTCTTTAATGATCTAGTGCCTGGGAAGAGTAGAGTGCACCATACTGTTTCCTCAAATGTGGTACATACAGGTCAAAGTATCCTACTTACTCCCTGCAAAAAGAGACATCTCAGACTGTCATATTGGATCAGAACAATGACTCATCTTGTATGGCATTCTGTTTTAACAAGGACATCCAAAGATGCTTTAGTTGTCCACAGCCTCTTCCTCCCTACCCAAGACTTAGAAGTACATCATAACATCCACTTGTTTTGAAACTACTGGGGCAGCAGTTTGTCATGGACAGTGGAACATTCAAGACTTCCAATTCTGAGGAAAGGAGCATGACTTCCAGAACAGCTTATGATTTCTTACTGCCCCAAAGGCAGGATTACAGTTTTGTCCAAAATTTTGATTTTGCATCTTGTCACTAGTACTCCAATAATTATTAGCTTTCAGAAACTGGGTGACCAGATCCCCAAAGTTACCATAAGACTGAGGGAAACTGAAAAAGATCATGACCAAAGAACACAGAAAAACCACCTATCTCACCTAGCTGGATTATCTAAGACTGTTTTTTTTCCAAGTAGCTCATTCCTCAGTTTTTGAAGAAAACTGAACAGCCTTGTTTCTTCACAGCTTACCCAGATGCTTGGCTGGACCAAAATGTCATGGTGTTCCAGGACCTCATCTACCTAGAAGTTGTAATCTATACATGGAATGACCAGTACACACAGAGCAGTCTGAGCAGCATGGCTGAGAAGGGTCAAAGTCAGGTCCAAAACCCAATCAACCCCTAACAAGCCAAAGAAAACCTGGCACTCCCTCTCCATCTATCCGTATGCTAGTCAACTTGTATCAGTCCATTCTTAGGCTGCTAATAAAGACATACCTGAGACTGGGTAATTTATAAAGGAAAGAGGTTTAATTGACTCATAGTTCAGTATGGCTGGAAGGCCTCAGGAAACTTACAATCATGGCAGAAGGGGAGGCAAACACATCCTTCTACACATGATGGCAGGAAGGAGAAGTGCCAAGCAAAAGGGGAAAGCCCCCTTATAAAACCATCAGATCTCGTGAGAAGTCACTCACTATCACAATAACAACATGGAGGTAACTGCTCCCACGATTCAACTACCTCCCACTGGGTCCTTCCCACGACACGTGGGGATTATAGGAACTACAATTCAAGATGAGATCTGGGCGGGGACACACCAAATCATATCACAAATTCAACTGAAATGGCTAAGGAACTGAGTGAGATAATTTTCTTCATGAAGCACTATCAACAGAGGCACCAAACAGATAAGATCTACAGAAAGAAACAGTCCAAAGCAAGATAAAAATTAAAATTGAGATATTTTTCAGCCCAGGTATTTATTCTCATCCTCTATAAAACCTAGGTCACGGAATTATATCATATTATCTTATACATTAGTTTTCCTTAACTGGAAAAGTATACACACACACACACACACACACACACACACACACACACAGAGGCAGCTCCTTTATTAAACAAATTAGAATAGTAAAGATAGGTTACGGAATACTAAGTTTGACATTAAAATGAAACCTTTTAAAAACTGTGAACCTAGAGATATCTTTTTTAAAAAAGAAAATCAACTCTACCCTACCATCCAAAGGAAATTCTTCTTTACTGTCCATAGAGTAGTAAGTATTGCATGATTACTGCTAGAAAAAAGTCCAGATTCTTTGATCAGAAAATCTTCCTTAAGTCTTACATTAGGGGGAAAAAGGGAGAAAGATTAAGACATTAACCCTGCCAACTGCCCATTAAGGAAAGAAGCTAACTGTGTTTCTCAGCACGGGCAGGTGCACTGAGATGCAGGTTATAACTGCCGCATGGTAGAGCTTCCTAAAATTCCACTTAGTCCAATTCTCAGTTACACTGCAAGCTCAAGTAATGCCATCCAGGGTAAGGGGCAGAACGACCTCACTCCTCCCGTTTCATTTTCCCTCTGAAACATGGCAAGACAAAATGGGAACTATAATGAAGCCAAATAATGTACAGATGAATGACAGTCAGTTGCTAGATAATAATTCACTTGGCTAATATAATGTATCTGAAATTCTCTCTAGAAAAAGAAAAATGTGACTTCTCAAGAAAAGAGCTTCCTACTCCACAATCCCAAAAGCACAGAAACAAAACTACATACAGCTCTGCATTCCCCCCAAAACTAAAAAGGCAACTCCTGAACTATAAATTAAAATGTCACATTAAGGCATGAAAAGATGTAATGAAATTGCCATAAACTTAATAAGTACATTTTATTTTCTGTTGCCCAAAGATTTAAAGAAATTAAGCATAATGCTTGCCCAAAAAGCTACTATGACAGCTAAAATATGCCAAAAGTACATGCCAGGAAAAGCTGATGAGAGAATCAGCTGTTAAAACCAATCACATGACAAAAAATAAAGACCCCATTATAAAGTTATAGCAACAGCTAATAGGCATCAGGTTACAACTCCAGGAACCACCTCTACCTCTTGCAAAGGTCGATGGAAATCTGCAGCAATTCAATTATAAAGCAAGTAAGACCAGTTCAGTTGCAATGTCAATAGAAGTCAAAGCAAATTGCTTTACTCTACAAAGCAAAGAGCATTTTTATGTCATAATCACAGTCCTGGGGCATTGTTTAAAGACTAAAATTTTTGCCCATATAAACAAAAAATATAACAGCCATGTGTTATTATTCTTGGGAACCCAAAACTACTCAGATACTTAAACTGTCTTCCATAAACTTTGAGGAAGCTGCCAGTTTGACAGCTCAGGAAATTTAGAGCACTGTGCTCAGAGTACAACCTCCAGTACAGCTGAGACAATGAGGATTGCCAGACTCCTTGCTTTTCACCTGTCCTCCCCTATTCCTCTCATCTAAGAAGAAGGAAAGTTCATTATTAATTGCCAGATGGAGGCCAGGGCAGTGGCTCACACCTGTAATCCCGGCACTCTGGGAGGCCGAAGTGTGTGGACCACCTGAGGTCAGGAGCTCAAGACCAGCCTGGCCAACAGGGTGAAACCTGTCTCTACTAAAAATACAAAAAAAAAAAAAAAAATTAGCCGGGAGTGGTGGCAGGGGCCTGTAATCCCAGCTACTCAGGAAGCTGAGGCAGGAGAATCACTTGAACCTGGGAGGCAGAGATTGCAGTGAGCCAAGATCGCGCCATCGCACTCTAGCCTGGGCAACAAGAGCGAAATGGTCTCAAAAAAATAAATAAGTAATTGCCAGAGGGAGATGCTAGTTACCAACAAACTTAGGTATAATGTTGGACAAAAATAACCAGAAATAAAAGACTAAATTACATTTTATTTGAAAGCATACCAAACATGAAAGCGTATCTGAAGCTCTTCTGCTTCAGATATCAGGCTCTCAAGAAAATATAAGCGAAAACTATTCAATATTTACCATATATTGGCTGGTTTACATCCATTAACTCAGTTGTTCCAGGCAAAAACCATGTCAAAGTTTTATTGTCCAAATTTGTGAGGCTTAGAGAGAGATTTGCTGAGATCATAAACAACATCAAGAGGAGGGAAGAAATTTAAATCCAAACTTAACCGTTACAAGCAAGTCAACCATTCAATAAAACTCTTTGCTGCCTAAGTATTTCCAGTAATAGGGATCCCCAAAACGCCGGGACAACGTAACCATGAGAAAGCAGCCTGGGCAAAAGGTGAAAGTCACGTGAAGTCTAACAGGAAAACACTAAGCAGTGAGAGACAGTCATTCTCAGTTAGTGCCAATGAAGTCTCTCCAGGCCAGCTCATGCTAAAGGGACTCCATTCCCTTTCTTTCTAGACTCTGTTTCTCAGTCCTTCCATTACAAAATATTAAACATATACCCAACACACTAGTATGAAACACAGCTTGCTTCGGAGTTAAGCTGAAACATTTGTAAACTAAACACATATAAATGTATGCGGTATGTGTGTATATGTGTATTTATATGTATGTATTACAAGTAATACACTATAGACAAGATAGGAAATACAAATATGTATAAAGAAAATCACCAACTCTAACCACCTAAGGATAACCATTGTTATAACTGATTATTTTTCCAGATTTACTTGTATGCTTATATTTAAATATATAGGTTTTCCTTTAAAAGTGAGAATATTTTTGAAAATTCCATCTTAAAACTTGCTTTTTTCATTCAAAAGCATACTGTACATTATTTCTATGGACAAATCTTTATCATCCCAGGATGGCTGGAAGCCTATGTGTGATGAGTAAGACATCTGCATCATCTGACTGTGTTTGGCTGGGCTGTAGAATACAAGGTCCTCTTATAAGTACATCCATACAATAGAATGCAGAGAGTACTATACAGCAGTGAAGAAAGGAGAAAGCTCTCTTTGTACTGACATAAAAAGCAACACAAGATATACTATAAAATTTGAAAAAAACAAAAAAGGTACCAAACTGACTCTTCAGTGAAGAAGAGAATAAATAAGAATCCATATTCATATTTGCTTATTGTGGTGGTTAATATTGAGTGTTAACATGATTGGATTGAAGGATGCAAAGTATTGTTCCTGGGTGTGTCGGTGAGGGTGTTGCCAAAGGAGATTAACACCTAATCAGCTGCCAGAGCAGCTGGAATAAAGCAGGCAGAAGAAGGTGGAGGACTTGACTTGCTGAATCTTCCACAGCCGTCATCTTTCTCCCAAGCTGGATGTTTCCTGCCCTCGAACATGAGAGTCCAAGTTCTTCAGATTTGGACTCCTGGACTTACACCAGTGGGCTTTCGGGCTTTTGGTCACCGACTGAAGGCTGCACTGTCAGCTTCCCTACTTTTGAGGTTTTGGGACTTGGACTAGCTTCCCTGCTCCTCAGCTTGCAGATGGCCTATTGTGGGACTTCACCTTGTGATCATGTGAGTCAATACTCCTTAATAAACTCCCCTTCAATATATACATCTATCTTATTCATTCTATCTCTTTAGAGCACCCTAATACACTTATATATAAAAATAAAGAATTCTAGAAGGACAGGAAACTATAGGTTGAACCATATAAAAATGATGATATTCAATCATGTTTGGCATATACCTACAGCAGTTTCACAAGGTACAGACTTGCTAATAACTGATCATCAATCCAATTTACATCTCAACTCTAGAAGGATTTGAGAAACCACAAGTTGAACTACATGAAATTCTCAATGATTACAACGTTTGGCCTACAATATGGGGGGGGGGGGGGGGGGGACAGTTGAAATTGCCAATATTAGATAATTTTTTACCTAAAAGATGGCAATTTTATGTGGTTCAACCCATGAACATCAATGGCTACAGATCTGGCTTGCAGACGCAGGCACTGAGTCAATGGGATGGAATAGATCTTTCCACTTTGTATCTTTTTATACTTTTTGAGTTTTCATATATGGTAATATATTATTTATTTTTTAAATTATTTTTAATAAAGAAAGAAGGGGAGAGGAGTGGGAGGAGAAAACAGAAAAGCAACAGCAAAATCTCATATATTTGGGCAGCATCAAATTCCAAATTGTGTTCACTTTCTAACAGCCTGTTAAAGCATAAGGTACCTGAGATATCCTCACTACAACCAATCCATGACCAGATGTTTGTTCATTTAGGTAAGTGGTGGCATAAATTACAATAAAATGCTTTTGCAGTACTTAATATCACTGAAATAAAATGGGTCACTTCCCTCCCCTTTCTCTCATAAAAAAACAGGCCTGGATTTTTCTCCTGGAGGGCCCATGCTTGTTACAGTGTTTTATGTCCCACATTGAAAACCATAGTCCTCTCTGGCTCTTCCTTCTCCTTTATCTCCTGGATCAAGACCACAGCTGTGACTCCCTTACAACACTAAACATTTGTTTTTTAAATGGAAAAACTAAGAATCATTCTTAAAATTAAAAAATAAATAGCATTGTTAGAAATGCACAGAGTAACTCTGAAAGGAACCACAAGACAAATGGCAATGTCTGTTGACTCCAGGGAAGAGAAGTTCACAGTTGCCCTTATGTTCAGCACTCTAGTAGAGTGATTAAGAACCCAGACCCTGGAATCAGACTGCCTGGGTTCCATCCTAGCTTTGTCACAGATGTGGGTGAGTTATTGGCCTTCTCTATGCCTCAGTTTCCTGAACTATAAAATAGGGATAATAATACTACCTATAGGATTGTTCTGGATATTATCTAAGTTTAATAAATATTGCCAATAACAGTACTTGGTATATAATATGCTAATACATAACTGTTCAAAGTTATTACTCTCTGAATTTTGTATCATACTCCTGCATGAACTACTAAAGATTTTAAGAAAAAGAATATACCTTTTAAAAAATAGCCAAGATAATAAACAGACTTAAATAATCACTATTTCTCTTTAAAAATAAAAATCATTACCATAAGCACATTTCATGCTCAAAAACTTGTGCTGCTGATTTTAAAGACTATTAGTAGATCCAAAATGCCAGTCTCAAAATTCATTTTTTTGTTGTTGTTGTTGGAGATGGGGTCTTGATCTGTCACCCAGGCTGGAGTGCAGTGGTATAATCACGGCTCGCTGCAGCCTCAACTTCCCAGGCCCAGCTGATCCTCCCACCTCGGCCACCCAACATGCTGGGATTATAGGAGTGAGCCACTAGGCCTGGCCCCAAATTTCATTTTAATAGGCTTAAATGGTTTTTTTTTTTCTTTTTTTTCTTTCATCTAAAGGTGACCCTGTACTGCTTCTTAATACAGCCTAGGAGGGCACAAAGGAAGGTAGAATGAGCATGCAGAGGGAACCAGGCTGCAAAGATGCAACCCAGAACTAAGAAAAGCCAACTGAAGACAACTGATGATAAATACAAGGAGTGTTCTCTGGCATTGCCTCAGTCTTGCATCATTTCTTTTTCCTCAACAGCTGGTAAGAATTCAGTAAGTAAAAATGAACTGGCCACAGGTTGGCTTTGTTCTATTAATTGTACACAACACTCTTAGATCATGGTCATTTTAATCATGGGCCATAGAGTTTTCAGAGCAACAGAAGTCACTTGGAATTGGTTACACAGAGAAATACCTTCTCCCTCAAGATTTCTGCTCATCTTCCTGGCTATCAAAGAAAACGTTTCAAATCAGTCACTCTTGACAGCCTTAAAATTCCATTTCATTCAGGATAAACAATACTTTGGTTGGTTTGAAAAGATGTTTCTTAGACAGCCCAGCTACCTCCTACGCCACAAGAGTTTCAAAGGGGGCTATAAAGAGAGTGACAGCTGCTTGAATTCAGAACTAGAAATTAAAATAAAAGCTATTAGAAGTGGAGAAAAAACCCACTCCACAGGGAGAGAAGCTTTAAAGAATTTTTCTCTCTTCTATAAATCTGAGTTACCTGCCATGAACTTATTTTCACCACAGAAGCAGCTATGTATTTTTTTTAAAGGCATTAAATAAGCTTTTTTTTTTTCCTCCTCCACAGAAAGGGGGAAATGTTCATCCCACACAGAAGCACAGTTAAAATTACATAGGAAGCAATAGAAGAAGTTGCCTTTCACTTTGTCACTAGCATTGGGGTTGGTGGGGGGGGGGATGCTGAGCCTCACGGGAGGTTTCTGGGGAGACACCAACGCAGGGGAGGCATCCCACATAATTTCTAGGCACGCCACAACTCAATTACAGCCCTGAATCTTCTGGCTGCCTTTTCCAACCCATTGATCTCATCATTGTAAAAGTGAGTTAAGAAATAATCTGTCTACATATACTGTCACACATTCAAGCCTGGTCTTAGATTAAACTTCACAACACAGTAATTCCATGTCAAGGAATCATAACACTGCTGTGAGGAGATGGCAAAGGGCTTCTGGGCTTGGGAAGTTATTATCCAGAGCCCACCCATGAAATGCCATGCCAAAAAAAAATTGGTAAGCATGGAGAAAAGACAGACTGCCCATCTTAATGCAAAGGTCTGCTTAGTCCAGTTACCTGGATTGATTATAATCTGCATCAAGCTGATCACATGTTTACAAGGAAACATCTATAGCTACAGAATGTCAACGAAAATCCATGCCAACAATGGTTTTCCAGTTGTCCTTCTCACACCTCCACATAGTTTGTGTCCTGCTAACATCGTGGGAAAGACAGAGTAGTTACAATTCACTTATGAAAGCACATTTTCATAAAGAGGCATTCTATAGATGCTCTCTTGGGAGCTGAGATTACAGAGTGCACCGCTGCCGTGAATGTGAGCTATCCTTGGCTTCTA
This sequence comes from Homo sapiens, assembly GCF_000001405.40. Lineage (NCBI taxonomy): Eukaryota > Metazoa > Chordata > Mammalia > Primates > Hominidae > Homo > Homo sapiens. The sequence goes on along the minus strand of NC_000004.12, from coordinate 148,029,321 downwards.
ATGAAGGGTCTCACTAGAGTGAGTGGCCTCCCATCCCTTAATATGAGCCTATGGATGAACGTGGATATATGTGCCTGTGAGGAAAAATTGGAGAAAAATGAGCTGTACTTTGCTCATAGTTATAGGACTGTTCTTTTTCTAAGCACATGGAATATTTTAGTAACTATTTACTATTTCTCTCTTTCTACTGACTTTCCCATATACACTATTTCCATATACACTATTTATACCAAGACATTCTACACCATTTTTTACTAAACCTATTTTTCAAAGCAGTTACGCATAAGAATACGTATTGAACACACTAACAAAATGGCATGTTTCCTTCCTTTTGATGGAAAGATGGTCTGTTTTTAAGCTGCAAGGAAAAAACTGAAGATAAAAACAAAAACATAAACACAATGATAGATTTACCTATGAGCCTAATCTGTGGCGAATAATGTCCACTTTATCTGCCTTGATCTCTCCATCTAGTCAGTTGAGAAGTCCCCGATTTGCTTTAACATCTCTCCCAGATATCCATTTTATTTTTGCTTTCTAGTGCTAATTCAAGCCCACTTCAACCTCAGCCTAAATTACTTCATCAGCCTTTTACCATGGCTGCCTTTCAGATTTCTACTGGCAGATTAAGTCAGATTAAGTTTCTTAAGTATTATTTTCAAAATGTTACAACTCTTCTCCCTTGCTGAAAAATATTCAGTGGTTCCTCTTATCATTTTAAACCTAAAGCACCTTTCCCTGGCTTTAAGAATACTACCCTACAGCAGCAGCTAGAGTTCGAGTGCTTACTATGTGCCAGACGTTAGGCTAAACACATTAACAACTGAACCTTCTCAACCATCCTCAGTGGTAGATACTATTATTACCCTGATTTTGTAGCTAATAAAATAGATTTAGAGAGGGTAAGCAATTTGTCCATGAGTATACAGTCAGGATACATATTCCCCAGCCCAGGCTCCAATCCACCCATTTGTCCCTTAAGCTGTCTCTCCTGGGTCTAAGTCTTTCACATCAGTTCCGCCCATCATTCACAACTGTCAACACTGTCCCCTTCTAATCAGGGAATCTCCTACCCTCACACCTGGCTCCGGCTCTCTGCTCCTGCCATGCCTCAGTCACGCTACTCCCCTTACCTGAAACCCTTTCCCACCCAACTGCCGAAACAGCTCATTTCAAGGAAACCAGAAAGCACCCCCTACAGACTTCCCTTCCTCAGAGCTAGCACTGGGCACTTACTGCCACGTTGTTTCTTATTTCACTGCAGTGACAAACAGAATGGGAACAGAAAATTAGCTCCTTTAAAGGAAAAACCGTATGTGGCAGGATGTGGAGCATATAAAAGCTCTTCAATTGATATGCAGTATAATTCTGATTTTCATATCTAGTATAATAAAAACCACTAATAAATGGTAGAGGCAAAAAAAACTTCCAAATGGCTAACAGCATTCCATCGTTTAGAATTAAAAATCTACATTTAAAAAGACCGCACAGTGGCCTGCTTTCTAGTTTTCTGTTCTCTTGCTCATGCCTCAAAATCAAACCAAATTCTTTCAACCTACCTAAGACGGCTAATTTATATCATCAGCATTGCTCTCGTTGACGTGTGACATTTAAATTTTAGCTAATTATTCAAAGTTCTAATTTGATATTACTCAGGCTGAAAGGACATCTATATATGACATATTTGTCCTACTCTGATTTTAGAGACTCACCTAGATCAAGATATGTTCCTACTTAGGATACAAGGAAATGATCACGTGTCATTGTTTATCCATCTCTGCCCCGCTCAACAGTAGTATTTTCATTTTTTTGCTGAGAAGGCTCTGTATCCTCATCACGGTATCTACCACGCTGTAGGACTACAATAACACATGCTCAACAAAATGTGCTGCAGTTAGCACATTCGTGATCCAAATGTTAAAGTGCCAACCCGACGATACCCAAGTAAGACCAACACTCAAATGTTATTAAATCTTGCCAATTGGCTTGCAAGATGATTTTGTTTTCAACTCACTATAAGTCATATTTTTTTAAGTTGCCTAAATAAGCTGCTGTATCATGTTACAAAAGAAGACAGGCAAAGAATACTTAATTACACCAGAAGATACATATAAAACCTAGTTCTGTAAATGTCTAGTTTTGTTTAAAATTAGAACTAGCATGAAGAAAGAGATTCAGATGGTAATCCTCTTCTCCCCGACTCCCCAGACCTTTGCTTAAAATTTCTTCTGCCTTGAATGAAAAATAACAAAGATCACTTTGATCTCATATAGCCTCCTGAACTTTCCTTGTATTTGGGGGAATTACAATAAACACAACAGCCCCTCTTTATGTAAGAGATTGTAAGGACATGCACTTGGAGTGGGGGCAGGAGAAAATAAACACATAACATATATTTAACATTTTTAGAGTTATCTTACTAGTAGTTCTAAAGAAATAAAAACATGGGATATAACTTGAAAATGAAATGAAAGCAAACCTTTGATTTCTAATCTTTTCAGCACTTAGCAGCCTACGTCATATTTTGCTTTTTCATAACTGACTTAGCCAAATCTACTCAGCTTTGATGTTGAGATTAAATGTTATATGAAAAATGAGCAATATGGCTTCAACAAAATAAAAGATGAGAATCTCACAAAGATTTAACAGCTGCTCTAATTTAAGAAAACTAGCCAGATACTATATCCATTTTAGTTCATATTAATCATCAATAAAGAAGCTTAAGCAAGTAACTAGAATTTTACAGTCTTTTGCAAATAAATTTAATATCATTTAATCATATATTGCAAAGAAAAATAATGAGCATACACAGTATGGCTAGATGCGCCAATGCCGATGGAAGTCTTTACTAAAGTAAAGACACTCGGTTTATTTAGTTAAACTGGTCATCTCTCAATTGGGAGTGGGGGTGAGGTTGAATGAACATAACAGAAAACATGTCTCCCAGCAGAGGATCTCCCCTCCGGCTTCATGCTGGGTTTTCTGCATCCAGGCCCATCCTACTGTGACACATGCTAACAGGCTTGCTGACTCTTCGCTGATGCTTTTTTGATCTGCCTGATGCTGAACTGAAACCAATTCCGAGTGTGTTCCAAGACTGGCTGTTTGGGACATCACACAGTTTCATACTCTACTCAGTGCAGAAGAAGAAATAACATACCACAAACCACTTCACTCAAATACCAAATCTCTGACCAAATCATAGGCCTGAAGAACATCTCCAGTCATCCAATCCAGTTCCTCAAATCTTGGCAGATAGTCTACACCTAACTTATAAGCAAAAACTATTCATCCTGTATTTAATTAATTCAAATTAACTTACACTACAATGAGTCACGGGGCGGGGGCAGGGAAGAGAGAAGCATATTTGTATACACATTTTCTATCTGTCCCATATAAACTAGAACATTTGGAAAAATAATCAACCAAAGTTGTCTATAATAATGCATATTTTAACACAAACTAGATTAACATGGGAAGTCACTTCACTACTAAAATAAGAAAAAAATACAAAAAAATTAAACTTTTTGAAACCTTCAAGTCGTTTTGACAATTATATGATTCAAGCTACTTTAAAAAAAATTAAGTCGTAATGACAAGAATACATCTTCTTCTGGCAGTAAAATTTTCAATATGCTAAGTGACATTCAATAACATGAAAGTTTTTTTAGTATTCTTTTCCTATATGCTTCCTTTCAAATAAATGTATTCACTTTTCTTTTTTTTTTAGAATATGTAAAATATAAAAAGCCTATGACAAAATATAGACCCTACTCTGTTCTCTCTGAAATAACTATTTTTTCACACAACTAAAACTTAACTACAAAAAACTGAGGGCAAGGGAGAATAATAGTTTTAAGTTGCTTTATCTTATCATATAACCTCTAACATAAGATTAAATCACTATGACCAAACTTAAGAGTTTTCCTGATTCTGACAACTTAAAAAAAAAAATCCCAAAGTTGCAACCAAGGATGAATATAAAGCTATAAAATACTTCATGAAATACAAAATGTAGAACAAAACATCATGCAAATAATGAACATAAAAACCAGACTAAAGAAGTTAAGTAGCTGACAATCCTTTCCCTTAAAAATCAAGTAATTTTAACGAATTATTTTATCACCTACAAGTTAGGAAGGCTGTGATTGTACACTAGCTTGAGTGTTCCCATAAGAGATATGCTAAATACCACTACAGAAACTTCTTACCATTAATAATCACTTAGCAATCCAATGATCAAAAGGTTAATCCACTAAATAAATTTGACTGGATATTACGATTCCATTGCTAAGAACATCAAAATAGTAGACGTGATCCTAAGACCAAAACGTCCTTCTTTAGTCATCTACCTCATGAAATACAGTCAATTCCATTTTGCTCAAGGGCCAATGAGCCATTTGAGGTATTCTGTGTCTTCTTGATTTCTTTTTCCTTTCCTACTTTCCAACATTTGCTTATTTCACTATTTATTAACACTTCCATCAGAGGACAAGTGAGGTGTAAGAGAAGGTGCAATTCAAAACAGTCAGTTTTACTCCTTATTAACAACTCTGCTGAGAAAGAATGAACGTAAGAAAGAGACAGAATAAAAAAGTTAGCTAGGATCAGAAGTTGAAATGAGTGTCTAAAAGGAAGTTCTGAAATTATAGCTTAATTGTAATGATTCATGCCCTTCCTCTGGAAATTAACTATCCAATTGTAAAACTAATATTTGTATCATATGTACCTACGTCTTAAGCAATATAAAAGAATCCCACATTTTAGTCCCCCTGTGTCATTACAGGAGGCATTCCGAGTCTTCCTAGAGATACCTCTAAGTCAGGTAAGCTGAAGACAGTTGTCACCTGCTTGCGTGGATCTCTGGATATTAACCACCTGGTGTGTGCATGCAGCTGCCTATGATGAAGGCATGGTATCTGTCACCATCCTCATCCCCTTCCTCACTCTGCTAATCTCACACTTCCCAACTAAGGTAACCTGGGTAGCTCAAGGATAATAAATGAAAGATTCTCTTTTTTGAAAAAGAGGACTAGAAGAAGAATGAAGACTACTTTCAAATTCAGCAAATGTTCTCAATAAGAGGAAGGCCTCACAACACGAGTCACAGCTTCAGGCTGCATACTGAAAACGCAGGTTTGGATACCAGAATCATCTTATTCTCCACACCAATAACCATATGATTACAAATTAGCAATGGGAGGCGTGTGCACAGCTCCCAGTCTTGTTTTGTATGGATCAGTGTTGAAAACTCAGATTTCTAGGCTTTGTAAAAACTGGGCAATCTGGCAACACTGAAACAACAGGGCCACGTGGCAACGATTAGCTGAACAGCATGGCTCGGAAGGGACGTGAGAACTTCCACTGGCCAGAGTTCCACTGCAGCCCAGTTCCCACAAGCCTGGCCCAGGTAGGCAGGTCAACCTGCCACCCCTGCCATAAGATGAAGCATTCTGCCTGATGAACAAGTCAGAAAAATGGGGCAAGTAAGGCACACAAGCCATAAACCCCAGAGCGATGGTGAACTGTGCCTTTAATCTAGATGCATTTAACATGAGACTCCATCCGCTCCTCTCATAAAAGATCTGCTTTAATTTTAGTTCCCCTTCCATTTGTCTCAGGGTTATGTAACCTCACAGGAGGTCACACAAGTCTCCCAAAAAAGAAATTTAAGCTGTCTTTTAAAAATAAAAAAAGAACCATGCATAACAAAGACAAACACAAAACCGAAACTTGCGTTTTCTCCCTTACAAAAAAGCTTCACCCTCCCTGTAAATCTCAAAATTATAATCTTAAGGGAAGAAGAAATTAAAACACAGATGACAGAAAACTGTGGCCTGCCCTGACGACATATGATACGCCATACTCTCAACATGCTATCAAGCAAAAAATATCATTAACATCTTACCATCTTCCAGCTCCAGACAAAGATTGTAGACGGCCACGGGCCTCTTGGTTCTCTGGCCTTGTCTCTTCGACTGCCTTGGTGGCGCATTTGGGGGTGATGCTGACAGGCAGGTGGGCTCAGGGAATGTAGTATCGGGCGGCGTCCGAAAAATCTTCCAACAAAGCATAAAGGACAGGAATTATTTACCATGAACAGAAACCTGTGTGTTACTCCAGTAAACCAGCACCACAACATTTGATTTGGAGTTCATTCAAGACAGGCTAGAGCCCAAAATCCATTCCTTCCAATGAAGGGAAGAGGTCATAGCCTTTTATTTTTTTAACAGAAGATTCCAAAATAAAATCTCTGATTAAATTTAAATCAAAACAACATCAGATTGTTATATATCAAATAATTCATTCCAAAACTAAACAAATAAAACTATCTTTAGCAGATATAGACAGTACCACAGCCCTTCATCTCCAAAGGAGGCAGCCAGGATAAAACAGTAAAAACAAGTATTCCATTAAATTTTATGGAAGGTTATATTTACACCAAAACGTTGGCCTCAATTTTTTCCAAACTACGTAAACAGAAACATATGACTGCAAATACTTTTTACACATTTAAAAATAGCCTATGCTTATGAAATTACCTTTCTAGCTTCCCATTTACATTTTTCATAAAATGTTTTCTGGATTTTATCAATTCATTTAATACCCTCTAACCCCTCTTTTATTTCCCCTTTCATTTATGAAACCTAGAATATTAGCACCTTGATCTATCTATAATGTCATTCACAGATCAGTAATAACAACATTAATTAAAATGTGCTGCTCCTTTGCTTAGCAAATTTCTTCTTTTGAGAAAAGCAATTTGTGCCACAAAGAAAGCATATCACACAGAGGTGACTGATAATAGACCCTCCATAGCTGTGAGACCCCAGTTCAGAGGCTTCCTTCCAGCAATGCTGCAGGCCCTTCATTCTTCAATAAAGTCATAAAGTAAAATACATTAGAGATATCAACCTAATAGAAGCTGCATCTCCAAAGGGCTGACGTTCCTCAGGTGGAAGCAGAAAACAGGAAGAAAGCCAGCCAGCTTTAAACAAAACATGAATATAAAACCCACAAATACCTAATGTATGTGGGGCTTAAATCCTAGAGGGCGGGTTGATGGATGCAGCAAACCACCATGGCACATGTATACCTATGTAACAAATCTGCACGTTCTGCACATCTATCCCAGAACCTGCACGTTCTGCACATGTATAATTTAAAAACAAAAAGCACTGTGAGAATGTCTCACTGTTTTATATTTTTTATATTAAAAGTGGTACACAACCTTCGATACAAGTGAGGGTATATCACTTACATATGTGTATTGCTGAACAACTAACAACAATGCTGGAGTTTTAATTGCACAGTCAAAAAGTTCGCACCTAAAAACTATTATATACCAATAAAAATAAGCTACTTCAAAGACAGCATTTGCTTTATAGTCCCATACTGCCCCCTCATGTGTAAATGAAATTTTTAAAAAATGATTTAAGTTACTGTAGACAAATATGTGCTAGTGAAAATTTAATTTATTGCTCCAACTGGTAACCTGCCAACACCATGTTTCCACAAAATCTGTGTTCCAATAGACCACTCTGGCCAATAGCAAACTACTTATCTGCCTAAAAAATCCTCTGCTGCCTGGACTATTATCCACAGCTGGATTTACTGTCATCTGTCATTGTTCAGATGTAAGAAGGTTGTGGGGTGGTGGGAACAGGAGAGCAGTTAAATTGAGAAGTCCGATAACAGTGAAGGAGAGAAGAAAAGCCAGGAAATATGACTCCACTGGAAAAATAAAAAAAATGGCACCTGTGACATTTAAAACAGCTCCCTGGCTTACCTACTAATATGTTTGATGTTTACAAATATGGCAGATGCCTCTAGGATGTCACCAGAATAGAAAACCAAACCATACACACAGCCAGTATATCCAAAGCATAAATTAGCAATGAAAAAGTTATATCCCAACAACTGGTGATGGACAGATGAAAACCTTCCAAACAGACCCTCTTACAGGATCATACTGACTGGAACAGCGCAAATGCTGAAAACTGCCCCACCTCTTTCCTCCAGTTTGAAGTGAGGGTGTTGGGGAAAGGGTGTGGGGGGTGAGGTGTGGAGGCAACCCCAAACTGCAGAGCCAGACTACCAAGCAAAATGAGACCCTGCAGAGGACTGATCTCAGTCCTTCCCAGCACCTCAGTCCAAATCTCAGGGCTGGGTCCAACCCGGGTTGGTCTCCAGAAGACTTAAGGCACTGTTTAGCTCACATCAGAATATCTGGGAATGAGTAACAGGCTTTGGAGTCTGTTTTGTTTTCTTTGGTTTACATCTTAAAGCTCCTCAGGTGATTCTTTTGTGTAGCCAAGACTAAGAAACAGTGATTTAGATATAGGTATTCTACAGCTATTTTACACTTATCTTGGATGAACAAAAGTCAAAATCAAAACACCAGAAAATGGGAGTGTAAATGAGTTCAACCACTGTGGAAGACAATGTGGTGATTCCTCCAAGATTTAGAAACAGAAATATTAATACCATTTGACCCAGCAATCCCATTACTGGGTATATACCCAAAGGAACGCAAATCATTCTGTTATAAAGATACACGCACGAGTATGTTTGCTGCAGCATTATTCACAATAGCAAAGACATGGAATCAACCCAAATGCCCACCAATAATAGACTGGATAAAGAAAATGTGGTGTATATATATTAGAATACTATGCAGTCATAAAAAGGAACAAGATCCTGTCCTTTGCAGGGACATGGTTGGAGCTGGAAGCCATTATCCTCAGCACACTAATGCAGGAATAAAAAAAAAAACAAAAAACGCATGTTCTCACTTATAAGTAGGAGCTGAACAAAGAGAACCCATGGACACCTGGGGTGAACACACACTGGGGCCTGTCAGCGGGGCAGGGGGAGGGAGAGCATCAGGAAGAATAGCTAATGCATGCTGGGCTTAATACCTAGGTGATGGGTTGATACGTGCAGCAAACCAGCATGCCACACGTTCATGTAACAAACCTGCAAATCCTGTACATGTAGCCCCAGAACTTAAAAGCTGAAGGGAAAAAAAACACCAGAAAAATTATTTCATAAAATTTGTCACTGTACATATATAATCAATTCCTTGAACCTTGCCAAGCCCTGAGGTATAAAATATGTCAAAGATTCTAAATACACACCACACCCTCAATAAGCTCTATGTTGTATAGGCTGAATATCCCAAATCCAAAAATCTGAAATCTGAAACACTCCAAAATCTGAAACTTTTGAGCGCTGACATGACATTCAAAGGAAATGCTCATTGGAGCATTTTGAATTTCAGATTTTCAGATGTGGGATACTCAACTATTACACATAATGCAAATATTCAAAGCTCAAAAAAAATTGAAATTCATAACACTTCTGGTCCCAAGCATTTCCATTAAGGGATACTCAACCTGTATTAGCATTTCAGAAAGCTAAGCTATCATCCCGATTAACACAGGTAGCAAATCACAGATGCTCATCTGAGACAGCACTATCCTGGCTTTTAAATCTTAACAGCTATGGAAGGTTAGGTTAGACGTTTTTTGTTTTTTGTTTTGTTTTTTTTTTTTTAGGTGGAGTCTCACTCTGTCACCCAGGCTGGAGTGCAATGGCGCGATCTCGGCTCAGCTCGGCTTGGCTAACTGCAACCTCCACCTCCTGGGTTCAAGCGATTCTCCTGCCTCAGCCTCCTGAGTAGCTGGGATTACAGGCACGCACCACCATGCCCAGTTAATTTTTGTATTTTTAGTAGAGATGGGGTTTCACCATGTTGGTTAGGCTGGTCTCTAACTCCTGACCTCGTGATCCGTCCGCCTCTGCCACCTAAAGTGCTGGGATTACAGGTGTGAGCCACCATGCCCATGCCGGGCCAGACTTATTTCTTAACACAGTGTATCTCATTTTCTCATGTGCACAATGAGAACCATAATGCCTGTACTACAGGGATTAAGTGACATAATGTTTATAAAGTGTTCAGTACAGTCCCTGGCACACAGTAGCCAGAAATAAATAGTAGCTATTTGTATTCATAATATAATTGTAACAGCAAATAATTACAAAAATGAATTCAGACCTCATGACTCCACTCAACTGCTATTTTAGAGGGCACTAATTTCTTGGAGTCTTGAATATTCCCCAAATTCAGTGCTCTGAGCCAAGTTATTCTAAAGTGCTCTGGAAAAGGACATCAAGTAACAGGCTAAAGAAAAGTAACAAGTGGAGCACCTTTTCAAAATTCCCAAGTAACCTGGAATCAAACAACTGTTTCCTGTATTTATTTCTGCACTTTAGCACTGAAATTTTGGATATAAATTACTTCCTAATTCATTGAATACATTTAACATTTAACAAACACCTACTAGGTAGCAAGCTTTCTCATAAGCAGTTTAATAATCTCAACAGCCTTTGAGGTAAGTACTGTTCCACACATTTTACAAATAAACAAAGCTCAAAAATTAAACAATTAGCACAAGTCTCCACGGTTTCAAAATGGTAGAGTTGGCATCTGAAGTTGGCTTTCATTCCAAAGTCACTGCTGCCAAACTATAAAAATATTATAGGTTTATGAAACAAACAACATTTAATTCTTAGGGAAAAATACTACCAGCTAGTACTGTCTTATATCTGTTTAGAAAGAGTAAAATGGGGAATAGCTACATAAATTCACCATCCCCTTCTACATGTTCTGAGAATGCATTACCTTTATGTGCATTTACTTTGTCTTCCAGTGCCCCCAGTTCTGAAGCCTTTTTTTTTTTTTTTGTGGATACAAAGCCATGCTCTGATGGTCTCTCTGAAACACCAGGAATGACTTAAAGGGACACTGTTTTTAGATCTACAAGAAGAGGAAATAGTAAAACTGTTTACTTTAAAATTCTGACCTGTGATTTTGGCTATCAAATTCTAGAAGATAAAATGTAGCTTATCTTGTTCTACATTGCCAAGATGTGTATATAATATATACACAAACATAATACTGATTTGCCAATTCTGGAACTACTGCCTGGATGCAAATTCCTCTTAGTGCCCAGGTCTCTTTCTAAGATTGCCCAGCTCTCCCAACTTTCCTGGCATCAAACCTCTCATTGCCTTTGTTCTAAGAGAGATGAACTCATCTTAAGCAATATTGAGAATCAAGAGATTACATCTATTCAAAACTTTTTCCCCACAGGGTGAAAATTTCTTCACAGCACCTACGTATTTACAACATAAGAAAAACTCAAGTCTGACAATCCAATGACAAAAAACACTCCACGCGTAGGCATGCCAGGTAAGGAAGTGCTTGCTTACTCGGGTCTCCTAAGAGTGCCAGCACAAACAGAAGTCTGGCACCGCTGTTCAGAGTGACAGATTCCTCAGACACAACACAATGGATGTTTATGCTCATGGGACTCAGCCATTTATATAAATCCCTCCCCAAGTCCTTCATGCTCTGTTACCAGGGACCACATGTGGAAATGACTACACCACTTCTGCCAGAAATACTTTGCCAATAACAGGATATAAGATGGTCTCTGCAAATTTTGCTTTAGCACACAACTTAAACCTGCTGCATTTGATTGAACTGAATTAATAAATACTTAAGTCCACAGTATCTATCTATGTAATGATATCACACTTCCTCTCCCTGAATTCCTTTACATACACACACATATATATATATATATATATATATATATATAGTTACTGGCTCATAACTGTCACAGCTCTCATTATAATGTTGGGATGCTTTAGGCCTTGGAAGCAGGCCTCAGAAAACAGAATCTCTCTCTGCTCTCCCCAAAGTAGGTATCTTCCCCTGCATTAAAGAGCTGGCCTTCCTGGCTTACCTATTAATTATTTATATTAAAAGAAAAAGTAGCACACAACCTTTGATACAAGTGAGGGGGTATCAGGTACTGTCTATACCTGGTAAACATAGTTTTACTTGTTTAGTTTTGGAATGAATTATTTGATGTATAATGATTTGATGTTGCTTTGACTTAAATTTAATCAGAGATTTTATTTTGGAATCTTCTATTAAAAAAATAAATTCTCTGACCTTCCTTGTCTGACTTTAGGTCGTAAGACCTCCATTTCGGAAGGCATCTCGCTCTATATTCTGGAGGAGGGAATGCTGCACAGAGAGGCCAAGAAGAATCTGAACAGTCAGGCATTGCTGGGTTTCTCTTTCAGTCCATTAGCATTAGATCAGACCCTTTTTGTACAATTATATTTCTGCTTGATGATCAATCATGCCCATCCAATGAAGTCTCCATAAAAGGCGATTCTCCTGCCTCAGCCTCCCGAGTAGCTGGGATTACAGGCATGTACCACCACGCCCAGCTGGTTTTTTTTTTTTTTTTTTTTTTAATAGAGATGAGGTTTCACCATGTTGCCCAGGCTGGTCTTAAACTCCTGGCCTCAAGTGATCTGCCTGCTGCAGCTTCCCAAAGTATGCAATGTCCCTTATAACAAATCAGTAAATGTGTTTGAGCTCTGTGAGCCACTCCAGCAAATTAATCAAAACCAAAGCAGGGGTTGTGGGAACCCCAAGTGGAAGCCAGTCAGAATTTCTGGAGGCCCGGACCTGCGACCAGCATCTGAAAAGGGGGCAGTCTTGGGGACTAAGCCCTCAATCTGTGGCATCTGGCACTACCTCCAGGTAGACGGTGTTGGAACTGAATGGGAGGACACCTAGCTGGTGCTTGCTGCAGAGCTGACTGCTTGCTTGGTGTGTAGGAAAAACCCCCACACATCTGGACACAAAGGTTTTCTGTGTTGATTGTTGTGTTATAAGAACAGAGAAAAAAACAATTTGCATTTTTTCCCTCAATTTTTTTTTTCTTTCAGAGACAAGGTCTTGCTCTAATTGCCCAAGATAGAGCGCAGTGGCACAATCACAGGTCGCTGCAGCCTTGAACTCCTGAGCTCAAGCAATCCTCCTGTCTCAGCCTCTTAAGTAATTAGGACTTTAGGCGCGTGCCACCACAACCAAGTAATTTTTAACGTTTTTGTAGAGACAGGGTCCGTTTTGTTACCCAGGCTAATCTCAAACTCCTGGTCTCAAGTGACCCTCCCACCCCAGCCTCTCAAAGCACTGGGATTACAGGTATGAGTCACTGCATCCAGCTCCAGTAATTCTTTTTTAAAAAGATGTTTCTACTAACATGTTCACTGGTCTTTATTATGATAGAAGATTATGTTTGTATATTCCTATGATCTCAAATAATAACAGTTGCAACTTTTGGGTACTTGCCACATGCCTGACATTATGCCAAGTGCTTGACTTACAAAGATTTGAACCCACTTCCCTCACTCCACTGTACATGTCTTGACCAATGTGTTCCATTGCCTCCAACATCACCCAGTCATACCAAGCCCCATTCACAGTGTGTCCTCTGTGCTGATGTCTTATTTCACAGAACTACACTTATCCATAAGCAGACAGAGGTACTTCCAGAAGACAGCTAGAAATCAACGCAGGCTCTCCTAAGTTAACATAGAAAGGAGGGACAGAAATAAAATGTCCGATCTTCTTTCTAAAAGAGCATAGTTACAAAATGGCCAAATACAACTTTGAGCTTTGGAGTCTACAGGTTTAAGCAAACCCTGATCACCTTGGGGTTGTTTGACTAGGTTCACTCCCAGGCAACCTGAACTTCGACCTACGACTTAACCTCAGAGTAGCTACCACGTGAACAGTACAGAGAGAAAGCAATGAAAACCTTTTCCGACTCTCTGTCCTTGAATCACCATGACTAAATGAGGGTCTTTTCTAGAAAATTTAACTAGAATTGACGACAGGGTCTGACAGTAAAATACCAGTCGGGTTCAGGCTTGAGGCTGGAAATATTCTACAGTTTCACGTTTGTTCTGGTTCACTAAAACTCAGAATCTTGGAGCTGGAAAGTATCCTAGTTATCCCTTAGGCCAAGCCCATTATTTCACAGTTGAGCAAACTGAGGCCCTGTGGTTAAAGATTTGCTCATATTCATACCACTAGTCAGTGGCAGTCAGACCTTACTCCCAGAACAGGCCTCACAGCCAACTGCTACTTCCTATCTTGCCGGCTTTGACCCCTTCTTTCCAACAAAGTACCCCTCATGCATGTACTTCCTCTTCTGGGGAGATTTTGCTGAATAGCTGAAATTCCTCATAGTGATTTCCTATGCATTACAGACGCAAGAGGCTGACATTAGAGCAAATGAAGGGCCCTGTTTGGAGTCCTGCTGCTACCTATCAGTATGAGGCCCTCTCTACCATGTCACAGGAGACTAGAGAAAGGCAGCCAGGAGAAAAGAGAGGGAATAAGGGAACAGGAGATATTTCCCTGCCAGTGGTCACCCATCCCACAGGCTCAGGCCCTGACTCAGCATAAGCTTTTCAAAAAACAACTTCAACTTAGGTTTACAACTAAAACTAAAAGAAGAAAAAAGTACTTTTCTACAATATATCAAATTGGTAGAGTTTCTGTTTTTCTAATTTTGTTTATGTTTTATTTCAGGAAACATTTTTAGACTCCTTTCCCAAGTTCCAGTGGGACATACCATATTGATTTCGGTAGCACTCTATACGCTAAATAGTGATGCATAGCAGACTTTGGTTTTTGCATTAAAGGTTTCAGCATATTGACAATCTTTATCAACCAGACTTTATAAAGTACAACACATTCCAGAACTACCTATTGCACCCATAGCATTTTCAGTGCCACTAACTAGGGATGCAACATCAGTGCCCTGCTTCTTCCAGTGTTTCACAAAGACCAACAGAAGGAATAATAACTTTGATAATACGCTCAGAACCAAATGGCATTAAAGAAATTTTCACTATGTAAACTTTCTCCCCATCTATATCAGGTGAACCTCTCCTGATTAAGCCAAAGCTGCATCACTGTTATGTTCACGGTGTGAACATATATCCCCAATTATAAAATGTTGTTTTCTGGTTTGCAAACCTTTAAAAACACTCCAGGTGCAGTTTTATCAATTTGCACCTGCAAACATTTGGAAAACACAGCATACGATTTCTGAAGTCAGAAGAATACACTTCCCCAAATATAGCTGTAATGTTGACTTTCATAACCCAAATGTCTACAAATACTCTTCGCTGAGTAAAAAGCCAAAGCCTTTTTTGAATGTGTCCTTTGCTCACATGCAAACAAAAAGTTTACATTTCAGTAATAAACGCCTAGACTAACATTAATAAAATATACTCTATGTCAACTATAAGGTATAGTCCATACACAACATTCCTTTTTTTCTCCTCTTCTTCCTCCTTCTTTGATGTTGGTTACAACTTCTTTTGAGGTTCCTTTTCTCCTCTCTTTTCACCCTTCTTTCAGAGCCTCAAGCCTTCCCTTAAAAATCACTGGGTGCCACTAGCAGCACAGAAGATCAAAAAGTAGTAAATGTAAAATTGGCAGTCCCAAAGTCCTGAGGATACCCAAGAAGAGGACTTCCTCTCCTGGGCTAGTGAGAACCCTGATAAAAAAGAGTCTTCCTTAAATGACACTGGTGAAACTTTAAACTGAGTATAAGTAAATACATTTAGAATTAACTGACTCATCATCTCATGAAATTTCCAACGTGAATGCTATTTTTCTTTTGGAATACAAGCCATGACCCCTAGTCATTTGGGTAGGCTAGAGTAACTTTTCCTTTTTTTTGAGATGGAGTCTCGCTCTGTCACCCAGGTTGAAGTGCAGTGGCGCAACCTCAGCTCACTGCAAGCTCCGTCTCCCGGGTTCACGCCATTCTCCTGCCTCAGCCTCCCAAGTAGCTGGGACTACAGGCGCCCGCCACCATGCCCGGCTAATTTTTTGTATTTTTAGTAGAGACAGCATTTCACCGTGTTAGCCAGGATGGTCTCGATCTCCTGCCCTCATGATCCACCTGCCCCAGCCTCCCAAAGTGCTGGGATTACAGGCATAACTTTTCCTAGAAAGAAAAAATAAGCCATGGACCTCTTCATTCTCCAAAAGGAAATGTGTGAATTTTAGTCACAATGAAGAACACATCCCCTGAAGGCAGGTATATGTATTTATCAGAATCATCTGAAACCTTTTCCAAGTACACGTTTACAGGAATGACTTACATATTTAAGAGAGAATCCAATACTTTCTTTTTTCCATTTGCATTTCAGCTCTAATAAAAATAAAATGCCTAAAGTAAATCCATGTTTTGAAAGTGGTCAATGGTGGCACTTTAGGACAGGCTGCCCTGAAGGTGGGGGGCAGATTAGTATCAGCCTTCATACTGAATTACTGTTTCTAAAATTTATAGGAACACTTTGCTTTAATTGATAAACATTTTTTTCCCAAATTACAATTTATTCATGTTACAAAGGTGATAATACACATTATATTCCTTGTAGAAATGTTGGCAAACACAAAACAGCTCTTTAAAGAAGGTTTAAAAAAAAAAAAAAAACCAGACAGATACCCACCATCCCCTACAAAGGAACATTTCTACAAAATTTTGGTGACTATTCTTTAGGGTCTTTTTCTTTTCTTAAAACATTTTGTCATCATAAGGAAGAAAACAGTCAATATATTTAATACAACTATATATGGACCTCAGGTTCCTAGAATTTATTCAGCCCCTGGTTATACATGAGACGTGGCCTCTGCAATATATGGGTTGATGCAACAGTAACTGTGGTTTTTACAATTACTTTTACACCAACTTAATATATCTATTAAGACTAAACTTTGAGGCAAGATTCAATTTCTAAACACATTAGGACACAGGTAGATCTTACCATCCAACCGAAATGTTTCTAAACAAGGGCTTAGAAAATCTGCAGTAATACATTTTAAAAACATTTCAAACAGCACACTGTTCCCCCTCTCACTCCTGTCAACTTAAGTCTATGTGGAGGTCACACATACTGGTGCCAGGCACCAGCCTCTCCTTCAGTGTGAACTGCACAATTCAGTTTAAGAAGTCTTATATATGACGACAAAGCATAATCTTTACCTCGCTCCTGCACCTTAAAAGGTATAAATGTTCCTGCTTAGATTCTTGGATGACCTATTGGTTTGGAACTCACTGCCTCTCAGACATAGCAGCCATGTCTCAAAAGCACAGGGGGAGAGTTCTCTCAATGGGTATCACTTCACTTAGGCCTTGGACCAGCTTTGACATAAATGTTTGCAATCATAATAAATGAAGTAATGACACACTGTCAGGCACATCCCCTTAACTGAAAGGAGAGAGAACAGTCAGGATAATAGGCATAGAACCACACACACAGGAAGGTAGAATGCCTTCATCTGTATTACTGTCGACATGCTAATAATTGTTTGGCACTATCATCAGTAAGACATGGCCCACCTGTCAAATTGGGTCATGCATGCTTATCTTTGTCCAAGAAGGGATTTTAAGAACCCAGCACTATCTGTTATTCTTACGCGTTTAGTTACTGGGGGATTAGCACATAGATTTTTATGTAATTCAAATCCCAACTAATAAACATAAAGGAGCCAACAATTAATGCTAAAACTAACTGGCTAAAGATGCCAAGGAACAGGATTCTTAAATATTCTCAGGGTGTCTCCTGATAGATTACAGTTAATTCCAAAGAGAAAATGGCTATATTTACAATTAGGAAATAAAGCAGTCACTACCTGTGGCAATTTTAAAACATGGCCACAAATTCTCTGACACTCTTTCCGTCAAGAGGTGGAGTCTATCTCCCTGCCCCAGATTTCCCAAATCTGCACAGGCTCCTGACTGCTTCAATCAATAGCTGATGTGAAAGTGAACTATATATGACTTCTGATGCTCAATCATGAAAGGCCCTACAGTCTCTAGCTTGTTTGCTGGAACACTCACTTGGAGCCCTTAGGCAGCCATGTCTGTGAGGAAGCTCAAGCTACATGAAGATGCCACACATAGGTGCCGTGCTCAACAGTCCCAGGGGAGCCCAGCCTGTGAGTCAGCCCAGCCTAGGCACCAGATGTGAGTGCAGAAGCCTCCAGATGATTCCAGCCCACAGCTATTCAAAATTTCCCAGCTGAAGCTCTAGACATCAAGGAGAAGAGACAAGCTAAACTCGCCCTGCCCTGCCTGAATTTGTCTCTATAATCATGAAAATAACAAGATTGTTTCAAAACACTAAATTTTGGGGTGATGTGCTATGCTCTGATAAATAACCAGAGTAACACCCAACCAAGGGATCAATTTCACCAATAATGGAACAAACTGATGTCATGTGCCTCTTGTTGTGATGCACTTAGAACAATCAGCATCATCTATGTACCTCCCAAAAATATGTAACTTGAATCTAATTGTGAAGAGTCAAAGTAATGATTATTTTATAAAACAATTGTCCTGTACACTTCAGAAGTGCCAATGTCATGAAAGACTAAGTCTGAGAAACTATTCTAAGTTAAAGTAGACTAAGAAGGCATGGCAATTATTAAATATAATGTATGATCCTGGATTGGGGCAATTTTTCTATTAAAAATGTCATTTGACAACGGGGAAGTATAAATATGGACTACCATTAGAGCAGTACATCTCAAACATTTACACACACACAAATCACCTGGTGTTCTTATTCAAATGCAGATTCTGATTCAGCCCAATAGTCTTCAATTCTAACAAATTCCCAGTTAATGTCAATGTGTTGGACTACGGGCCACAATTAGAGTCATGATATATAGATAACAGTATTGTGACCATGTCAAATTTCCTGAATTTGTCCTTGTTTTTAGGAGACACATATTCAAATATTTAGGGATGAAGGGTTATGATATAAAGGAACTTAGTCTCAAATTATTCAACAAAAATAGCAATAATAGAATTATACTATAAAGGGTATACAATGTTTATTGTAAACATTCTTGCAACCTTTCTGTGGGTCTAAAATTTTTCAACCAAAAAAAGGGTATGAAAGATAATATGATCAACCCTACAAGGTTGATAGTTTTATTCTAATGATATAGATGAAAAAACCAATGGTTAAAGGGATTAAACACTGGTACACAATATTACTAATAAAAGGACACAAGATCATAATGTTCATTGCTATTTAAATGCACTGTGGTCTTGAAAGAGTAACTTAACTTCTCTATAGCTCAGTCTCCTGATCCAGCTAAAAGGGGTGCACCAGACCAGAGATATCTGGAATCTCCAACATCATGTTATTAACACAGGTATACCATTTAATCACTATATTCCTCACCTACTTCATTCATAGGGCAGAACTTCATTCTCCCTCCAACCTCATGACAAAAAAAAAGTGGAGGGGAATGGAAAACATAACTAAAAACTGTATACTTAAACTAAGACCAAAACACAGACATCTATTAAGTTTTGATTAGTTAACTATAGGAAATTTAATTTCAAAAATTAAAAATGTTTGGGAATCAAGGTATATATTCACTCTAAGGAACAGAACTGTTCCTTATTCAGATACCAGAAACTGAGGTTTCACAAAAGCAGCCTTCACAACGTTCTGAATAAAGTCACCTACGCTTCCAACACTTGAGGTCCCAAAAGGAAACTCGACTCAAAGGGCCAAAGGCAATTTCAAACACTCATTCCTAACTGCAACAAAAATTATGCACAAAGTGAGGAGAGGAAATTGAAGCTGAGTTAGTCCATCTGACTAGATGGAGATCCCAAATTAGGCTCTGGATTGATTACTTAAAAAACGGTGACCATCTGGAAATGTAGAAAAAGATAACCAGAAACTACTACAAGTTCACTAGAAACATGTGAATTAATTTCTTTCAGTACAGGGCTTCCAGACTGGGAAACATCAAAATTCTGTACATCTACATTCTAACAAGGCCTTTAAAATTGTTAACACATTATATCCTTGCACATAAAATGAAGAAATATAGCCTAGATCAGAGGATCTTAACATTTTTTACCTCAAGACTTTATACTCTTATAAATTATTGAGGATCTCGGCCAGGCATGGCGCCTCATGGCTATAATCCCAGCACTTTGGGAAGCCAAGGTGGGCAGATCACTTGAGGTCAGGAGTTGGAGACCAGACTGGCCAACATGGTGAAACCCTGTCTCTACTAAAAATACAAAAATTAGCCAAGCATGGTGGTGTGCACCTGTAATCCCAGCTACATGGGAGGCTGAGGCAGGAGAATCACTTGAACCTGGGAGGCCAGAGGTTGCAGTGGGCCTATATTACACCACTGCACTCCAGCTGAGCGACAAAGCAAGACTCCATCTCAAAAAAAAAAAAGAGAAAAAAGAGAAGTATTGAGGATCTCAAATAACTTTTTTGTTTTTTTCCCCCAAAGAACTTCTGATCATGTGGATTATCTGTTGATCTTGACAGTAAAAAAAATTTAAAACTTTTAAATATATGTATTATTTAATACTAAACCATTACATATTAACATAATGATTTTTCCAAAGCAAAAATAATTTAGTGAGAAGGGCATTTTATCACATTTTGCAAATCTCTTTAACGTCCGACTTAACAGTAGACAGCGGACTCTCTGTCTCCTTCTGCATTCAATGTTTTAATTCAATGTCTTAATATCATCGCCTCTGGAAAACACCACACTACAATCTTAAGGAATGAGTGAAAAGGGCAATTATCAGAAAAATAGCTCTCACCTCACAGAACCCTGAAAAGGTCTCAGGTGACCCCAGTTCACACTTTGAGAATTCAGTCTTACATGCTGATATAGTACGTCTGATTAACAAGATTAAAAACATCCAACCCAACAGACACTGTTAGTAGAACTACATTAATCTGCTGACGGCTTCTCAATCTCAGCACTATTAGCATTTGGGGACTGCTAAGTCGTTGTTGTGGAGGGATTGCCCTGTGCACTGTAAGATGTTCAACATCACCCCGGCCTCTACCTACTAGATACATACCAGCAGTACCACCACCCCCAGTGGGGATCACCAAAACTGTCTCTAGACACTACCAAATGTCCCCTTCGGGCCAAAATTGCTTGAGGTTGAGATCCACCACTTTAAAACTACAAAAATGTTTCTAATAGCATGTGTCAGAGCTCTAATTCAGTAACTGTTAGCACCGGCTTTGTTTTCATCAGCAGAGGACATGAAACTGGGGGAGATACTGATTAATTTCCTGAGCAAGAAGTGCATCCAAGATGCTTTCAGCAGGTTGGAAACAAAGAGACCAGTAATACTAGATTCAACAGAAAAAACTATCAAGCAGTTCCTATGTTTTAAAAAGCAGCTACACAAGACAAGCAATGGAGACTGTATGCCTCAGGAGGAGCAATGCAAAAGGTCAACATAAACAGGAAGCCTAGGATGAGGCCACCACAGGCCATGATTGCAAGCTGATAACCTTTTAGACAGGATTAACAAACACAGGGCACATCCAGAAGGAGGAAGATGCTAACCCAACTGCAGTCCTGATTGACTGGGACATGCTAGGGCATTACATTTCAGTTCTGCAGTAAGAGAATTACTGAGAAACGGAAGTGTCTCCGAAGACTGTGACCGGGAACATTCAAAGCTAAGTCATGCAACTGAAGGAACTAGAAAGAAACCCAGCAAGCCACAGTATCAATTTTTAAGTTCCAAAACCATATCAAGTGGAAGAGGAATAACCTTGTAAACCTTGTATTTGACCCCAGAGGTTAAAACTGGGAATTTAGCTTGAGAAGAAAGTATATCTCAGCTGAATGTAAGGAGGGGAAAAGCCTTCCGAATTGCTGAAGTTACACAATGCTTGAGCAGTTTAACTTGGGAGACAGCGAGTTCTGTGTCAGCAAAGTTTTACAAGGTTAAGACTGGGAGCTTTCCAAAGAGGTTCACACACCGCATGAAGGGCTTGAATAGCTGACTCATGAATCGCTGAAGGAGAAAATACATACCCATCCCCAGAAGATATCCTCATCAAGCTACGTAAGCCAAGTGACTCATACTTCTCGCTACTGAGCAATCCTGTCAAGCTGACCTGTCACACTCTTCTTCCTCCATCCCTGATAAACACTCCCTGTACCATGCTGGAATCCGAGCTCCCTTCCTTCCCTGATGACATCCACAGAGTAACCATGTGAACATGCCAATGGGGTTGCCCTGATCATTTCAGGGAGGACCTGTAACAGTCATCTCATCTCATCTTAATGTTCCTTTTATTCTGATTATCTCTTTCCGAAAGAAAAGCGTGTCAGATAGTAAGTACACAAAAAAGGTTAATAAACTGTAACCATTTCACAAACACATATATTAAAGTCATTCTTATTTAGCTCTCTAAACAGTAACCCTTTTCTTCTTCTATACAGATTTTTGTCCAAGAATAGGATGATTAACCTCCTTGAAGTGCGCTAACTCCCACCGCACCTACAGGCAATTTCGTCTAATTTTTCTACATCCTATTATGCAAAAATATGTAAATCAAGAAAAGCTATCCAGGTAGTATAGTACTGCTGAGTGCTGTTCAGAAAAAGGCCACAAAGGTCCACTGATAAGCAAAGCATGTGTGCTGGGGTGGGCTGATGGGGAGGAAGGAAAGGGTGCATGGAAATCTTAGCCATGGAGCTGACTCTCCCAAATGCTGTTGATAGGGTGAGACAATATGAAGAGAGGGTAACTAATCACCTGGCAGGTTCTCACTGCATTTTCACTGTCAGAGTTTTTTTATCACATGAAAAGATGCAGATAACATGGTTATTCTTCTTTAAACACATAATCTTTTTAAAATGTTCCCTTTTTTCCCCTTAAAAGTACTCTCTTCTGGAAGTCAATAGGAAGTAAGTCAACAGGGAAATCAAATTCACAAAACCAAAATTCATTTTCAGTGAAACTGTGGGACATAGCTTCTGTATGTTGATGAAAGAGCTCTCTAATGCTCCACAGTGGCAGACCACCACCATTTTATTATGCTAGGAATATTCTGGCTTGGGAATGTGGGCATGGCACAGCAACAATGATCAGACGCTGCTGGGGTCAGGCAAAAGACGGGAAATAGCTGGAACAGGCTGACAAGGGTCATATATTTGACGTTCCCACCATTTTCGTTGTCAGCTGGGTGCCTCCGTTTTCCCCACGTCATGTCTGCTAACGTCTGGGATGACCAAGAGGTTTCTTCACATGTCCAGTGCCTGGACAGGAAAGCTGGAACAGCTAGGGCAGGCCGGGTATCTCTCCCCGTCTCTGTAGCCTCTCTACACGGTGAGCATGGGCTTCCTCAATGCTTGGCAGGCCCAGGGTGGCTGAACTTTTAACACGGCAGCTGGCTTCCTCCAGAAAAGAACGTTCCAGGAGGAAAGAAGTGGCAGCTGCCAGTGTTAGGGCCTTAATTAAGAGTCACTCCTGCCATAGTATAATGATCAAAACAGTCTCGAGTTCTACTCAGGTTTAAGGGAAAGAGATACTTAGACCCCCATATCTCTGCGGAAGGAGTGTGAAAGAAATTTGTGGCTACTTTTAATCTGCACTAAGAGATACATGTATTTGTTTCACCTAATATTGTGTAATGAGACGGTAATTTGCATGAGTAAAATAATCATTCCCAAAGTAACTTCAACATGTAAATGCTTCACAATTAACATAATACATTAAATAGATCATACACATGTAAATACTTCTCTCACTGCTTCACGTTTTTGTCATCGAAGGACAAGACACAAGAACCTCAATCATGAAAGAGAAAGGACATAAGAATTTAAGGTGTACAAACTCAAAGAAGAATCAGATTCACTGTTTAAAGTTTCTTCAAATTAAAACCTGGTCCCTCCAGCAACTTCTAGTTTTACCCAACAGATTAGTCAAATTGACATATTTCTACACTCTGAGATACAGAACTAGAATATTTGTTTTTTAATATACATTTTAATAGCCATTTAGTTGGCTTTTTAGTCAAAGAAGAAAACCACAAAAGGGCCATAATAATTGATAATACTGATACATACAGAATATTGTAAAATTCACTATTGTATATATATTTCTATATATGTTTTTTTAAATAGAGATGGGGTCTCGCTATGTTGCCCAGGGTGGTCTCAAACTCCTGGGCTCAAGTGGCCCTCCTGCCTCAAGCCCTCAAAGTGATCAGATTTCAGCCATGAGCCAGCACACCTAGCTTATATATGTATGTGAATACACAAGGGATCCTAGTAGATACGGTTCCACACTTAAATATTTATTATTTATTCACACACTAACTGAATGCCTAATATGGGACATGCAGCGTTATAGACACTGGGAATAAACAAATAAGTGCAAAGACCCTGAGGCATAAATGTGCCTAGCATGTTCCAGGAATACCAAATAGGCCAGTGTGCCTGAAGTGTAATAAGTGAGGGTATGAAGAGCAAGTTGGATCAGCAAGTGGCATGAGATTCTTTTTTTAAATTTAATGCAGAGTGAGACAGGATACCAGTGTCTTGGAGATGGTTCCATTTTTCAGTGTATTAGTTTTCTATTGCTGTGCAACAAATTAGCATAATCTCAGCAGCTGAAAACAAAATGCTTACTCTTATTATATTTTCTGACTCATGCTTTAAATAAGAAAGCTATCAATGATCTCAAAGTTCCCATGGGTCCAGAGGCTAAGCACAGCTAAACTGTGTCTTCTGCTCTGGAGGTCCTCAGCCCACAAAGCTATAATCAAGGTGTCAGCCAAGCTGTATTCTGGACGCTGAACTGGGGATCAATCTGCTTCCAAACTCATTCAGGTTGTTGGCAGAATTCATTTCCTTGCAGTTGCAGGACTAAAGGCCGTGGCTTTTGCTGACTATGGGCTGGCGGCTGCCTCAGCTCCTAGAGGATGCCTGCGGTTTCCTGCCACGTGGCCCTCTCCACAGACAGTTCACGTGGTTGATTACTTCCAAGCAAATGGGAGAATTTCTCTCTCTGGTCTAAGACAATCTTATATAATAAAAGATTTACATCTGCTGTATTCTACTGGGTAGAATCAAGTTACAGGTACTTGCACACAAGGGCCTGGGTCACTGGAGGTCATCTTAGGGTGAGTCTGCCACAATCACTATCACTATTTAAATCTATTCATTCTTTTCAAAAGGCTACAGAATGTTTCTTCCACCTGTTGAAGACTATTTGTTTCTGACTTTTGCATTAAAAGACAATGTGGCAGTGAAGGTGCTTTGCATTTTTGCAAAATTTTGAGAGAATATCTGTAGAGTATTTGATAGCAGAGAGATGCCCTTCAAAGCTTAAGTCAATTTTTTATTTTTGAGACAGGGTCATGCTATGTTGTCCAGACTGGATTCAGACTCCTGGGCTCCTCCAGCCTCAGTCTCCTGAGTAGCTGGAATTACAGGCGTGCACCACTGGACCTGGCTCTAAGTGCATTTCAAGCTTTGATAGACACTGCCAAACCCTCACAGAAAGGATGTTCCAGTTCACACCCCCGCCAGCAGTACAGAAAACCACGTAGTTCCTCCCCTCAAGGAGATTTCTCTCACGTCTCTTAGCATAATTTTGCAGCTTTCTTCACATAGGTGTTCTTCACTTGCTGATTTAGGCTTACACTCAGATAAAAGACACTGTTGGGCAAATAGGATAAAGAGTCAAGACCTATCAGTGTGCTGTATTCAGGAAACCCATCTCACATGCAGAGACACACACAGGCTCAAAATAAAGGGATGGAGGAAGATCTACCAAACAAATGGAAAACAAAAAAAGGCAAGGGTTACAATCCTAGTCTCTGATAAAACAGACTTTAAACCAACAAAGATCAAGAGACAAAGAAGGCCATTACATAATGGTAAAGGGATCAATTCAACAAGAAGAGCTAACTATCCTAAACATATATGCACCCAATACAGGAGCACCCAGATTCATAAAGCAAGTCCTTAGAGACCTACAAAGAGACTTAGACTCCCACACAATAATAATGGGAGACTTTAACACCCCACTGTCAACATTAGACAGATCAACGAGACAGAAAGTTAAGGATATCCAGGAATTAAACTCAGCTCCGCACCAAGTGGACCTAATAGACATCCACAGAACTCTCCAACCCAAATCGACAGAATATAAATTCTTCTCAGCACCACATCACACTTCCTCCAAAACTGACCACATAGTTGGAAGTAAAGCACTCCTCACCAAAAGTAAAAGAACAGAAATTATAACAAACTATCTCTCAGACCACAGTGCAAGCAAACTAGAACTCAGGATTAAGAAACTCACTCAAAACCGATCAACTACATGGAAACTGAACAACCTGCTCCTGAATGACTACTGGGTACATAACGAAATGAAGGCAGAAATAAACATGGTCTTTGAAACCAATGAGAACAACGACACAGCATACCAGAATCTCTGGGACACATTTAACGCAGTGTGTAGAAGGAAATTTATAGCACTAAATGCCCACAAGAGAAAGCAGGAAAGATCTAAAATTAACACCCTAACATCACAATTAAAAGAACTAGAGAAGCAAGAGCAAACACATTCAAAAGCTAGCAGAAGGCAAGAAATAACTAAGATCAGAGCAGAATTGAAGGAGATAGAGACACAAAAAACCCTTCAAAAAAATCAATGAATCCAGGAGCTGGTTTTTTGAAAAGATCAACAAAATTGATAGACCACTAGCAAGACTAATAAAGAAGAAAAGAGAAAAGAATCAAATAGATGCAATAAAAAATGATAAAGAGGATATCACCACTGATCCCACAGAAATACAAACTACCATCACAGAATACTATAAACACCTCTACGCAAATAAACTAGAAAATCTAGAAGAAATGGATAAATTCCTTGACACATACACCCTCCCAAGACTAAACCAGGAAGAAGCTGAATCCCCGAATAGACCAATAACAGGCTCTGAAATTGAAGCAATAATTAATAGCCTACCAACCAAAAAAAGTCCAGGACCAGATGGATTCACAGCCGAATTCTACCAGAGGTACAAGGAGGAGCTGGTACCATTCCTTCTGAAACTATGCCAATCAATAGAAAAAGAGGAAATCCTCCCTAACTCATTTGATGAGGCCAGCATCATCTTGATACCAAAGCCTGGCAGAGAGACAACAAAAAAAGAGAATTTTAGACCAATATCCCTGATGAACATTGATGCAAAAATCCTCAATAAAATACTGGCAAACCGAATCCAGCAGCACATCAAAAAGCTTATCCACCATGATCAAGTGGACTTCATCCCTGGGATGCAAGGCTGGTTCAACATATAAAAATCAACAAACTTAATCCATCATATAAACAGAACCAAAGACAAAAACCACATGATTATCTCAATAGATGCAAAAAAGGTCTTTGACAAAATTCAACAGCCTTCATGCTAAAAACTCTCAATAAATTAGGTATTCATGGGATGTATCTCAAAATAATAAGATCTATTTCTGATAAACCCACAGCCAGTATCATACTGAATGGGCAAAAACTGGAAGCATTCCCTTTGAAAACTGGCACAAGACAGGGATGCCCTCTCTCACCACTCCTATTCAACACAGTGTTGGAAGTTCTGGCCAGGGCAATCAGGCAGGAGAAAGAAATAAAGGGTATTCAATTAGGAAAAGAGGAAGTCAAATTGTCCCTGTTTGCAGATGACATGACTGCATATTTAGAAAACCCCATCATCTCAGCCCAAAATCTCCTTAAGCTGGTAAGCAACTTCAGCAAAGTCTCAGGATACAAAATCGATGTGCAAAAATCACAAGCATTCTTATACACCAATAACAGACAAACAGAGAGCCAAATCATGAGTGAACTCCCATTCACAATTGCTTCAAAGAGAATAAAATACCTAGAATCCAACTTACAAGGGATGTGAAGGACCTCTTCAAGGAGAACTATAAAGCACTGCTCAATGAAATAAAAGAGGACACAAACAAATGGAAGAACATTCCATACTCATGGATAGGAAGAATCAATATCGTGAAAATGGCCATACCACCCAAGGTAATTTATAGATTCAATGCCATCCCCATCAAGCTACCAATGACTTTCTTCACAGAATTGGAAAAAACTACTTTGAAGTTCATATGGAACCAAAAAAGGGCCCGCATTGCCAAGACAATCCTAAGCCAAAAGAACAAAGCTGGAGGCATCACGCTACCTGACTTCAAACTATACTACAAGGCTACAGTAACCAAAACAGCATGGTACTGGTACCAAAACAGAGATACAGACCAATGAACAGAACAGAGCCCTCAGAAATAATACCACACATCTACAACCGTATGATCTTTGACAAACCTGACAAAAATAGGAAATGGGGAAAGGATTCCCTATTCAATAAAAGGTGCTGGGAAAACTGGCTAGCCATATGTAGGAAGCTGAAACTGGATCCCTTCCTTACACCTTACACAAAAATTAATTCAAGATGGATTAAAGACTTAAATGTTAAACCTAAGTTAGAAGAAAACCTAGGCAATACCATTCAGGACATAGGCATGGGCAAGGACTTCATGTCTAAAACACCAAAAGCAATGGCAACAAAAGCCAAAATTTACAGATGGGATCTAATTAAACTAAAGAGCTTCTGCACAGCAAAAGAAACTACCATCAGAGTGAACAGGCAACCTAAAGAATGGGAGAAAATTTTTGCAATCTACTCATCTGACAAAGGGCTAATATCCAGAATCACAAAGAACTCAAACAAATTTACAAGAAAAAAACAAACAACCCCATCACAAAGCGGGCGAAGGATACGAACAGACACTTCTCAAAAGACGACATTTATGCAGCCAACAGACACATGAAAAAATGCTCATCATCACTGGTCATCAGAGAAATGCAAATCAAAACCACAATGAGATACCATCTCACACCAGTTAGAATGGCAATCATTAAAAAGGTCAGGAAACAACAGGTGCTGCAGAGAAGGTGGAGAAATAGGAACACTTTTACACTGTTGGTGGGACTGTAAACTAGTTCAACCATTGTGGAAGACAGTATGGCGATTCCTCAAGGATCTAGAACTAGAAATACCATATGACCCAGCCATCCCATTACTGGGTATGTACACAAAGGATTATAAATCATGCTGCTATAAAGACACATGCACACTATGTTTATTGCAGCACTATTCACAATAGCAAAGACTTGGAACCAACCCCAATGTCCATCAATGATAGACTGGATTAAGAAAATGTGGCACATATACACCATGGAATACTATGCAGCCATCAAAAAGATGAGTTCATGTCCTTTGTAGGGACATGGATGAAGCTGGAAACCATCCTTCTCAGCAAACTATCGCAAGGACAAAAAAAACCAACCACCACATGTTCTCACTCATAGGCAGGAATTGAACAATGAGAACACTTGGACACAGGAAGGGGAACATCACACACTGGGGCCTGTCATGGGGTGGGGAGAGGGGGAGGGACAGCATTAGGAGATATACCTAATGTAAATGACCAGTTAATAGGTGCAGCACACCAACGTGGCGCATGTATACATATGTAACAAACCCGCACGTTGTGCACATGTACCCTACTAAAGTATAATTTAAAAAAAAAAAAAAACACTGTTAATAGGAGCTATTTTTCCCACTGTATTTTCTGATTCTTGTAGTAAGGAAGCTATCCATTCTGGTAATTCCTTTTAATCCCCCATCATGTTGTAAACGAGGGGGGCAGGGCAGGGGTCCTTGCCCCAGAGCTCCCAAGATGGTGACCAGCCGCTTCCAAAATGGTGGCAAGCCTCGTGTTCTCTGACCTGGGGTTCTTGGCCTCACGGATTCCAACGAATGGAATCTTGGGCCATGTGGTGAGTGTTAGAGCTCTATTCGAAGCTGTGGGTCACTGAAGAGAACCGTGGAACCCAGTGACTAGTGTTCAGCTCCATTACGACGAACATGGGCACTTAGCTGTGCAGGAACAATGGCAAGCCTTTAACCTGATCCAGAGCGGCAATGGGCGCCTCACTGGATCAGGAGCACAGCAGACACCCTGCCGGATCCGGAGGGATGGAAGTCAGTGGTGGGGCTGCAATGGCAGCGAACAGCAGTGGTGGACAGCCAGCAAAAGCTCAGCTCCAGCTGTAACAAACACGGACCAGAAGAGTGTGTAGTTGCAAGATTTAATAGAGTGAAAACAGAGCTCACAAAGGGAGGGTACCCAAAGAGGGTAGCCATTGATGGCTCAAATGCCTGGGTTTATATCCCAATCACTGTCCCTCCTGCTGTGCTCTCAGGTGATAGATGATTGGCTATTTATTTACCTCCTGTTTTTGCCTAATTAGCATTTTAGTGAGCTCTCTTTACTACCTGATTGGTCAGGTGTGAGCTAAGTTGCAAGCCCCGTGTTTACAGGTCAATGCCCTCACCTTCCCAGCTAGGTTTAGGGATTCTTAGTCCACCTAGGAAATCCAGCTAGTCCTGTCTCTCAATGTTAGCATAACAGTTCTTCCATTTGTTTTCCAGGGCTCTCTATGTACACAATCATATCTGTGGATAGTGCAAAATTTTCCCCTTCCAGGTTTTAGATACCACCTCGTTTCCCTCTCTTCTCTCTTCTTGTCTAGTTCTTCCAGGGCAATAGTTAATAGAAATAGTAAGTCATGTTGTCAATATTATAAACATTTCAACAATTAAACAGAATACTAAATTAAGGGCTAAAATACAAATTTTAAGATATATTTAGGAAGTAGCTACAATTTCTGTTTCATTGAAGTATGGTATCACGAATTAATGTAAATTTTCTCAAATGCTTTTAGGAATCTGCTGACTTTCTCTTTTCACTTAATAGTAGGATATACTAATGTATTTTCAAATCCTGAGCCATGCTTGTGGCTCAATATCATCCCCTTTCAGGGATGAAAACGACCTAAACTGCAATGTTATAAAGTATTGATTCTATTTGCTGAAATATTATTTAAGAACTCTATATAATATTGGTAAGTAAAACTGATCTACAACTTTATCTTTCACAGACTTGGCATTAGTGCCCTGCTGACGTCACAAAAAGAATTTGCAGTTTTCCTTCACTATGGTGTAGACCAGTTTCAATATCCAAAGATTTAACTGTTTCTTCTGAGTTTTAAAGCATTCAGCAGTGAAAATATCTGACTCTGGTGCTTTTTGGGGAATAGATGATTGCTCTTTGAAAATTCTCTCAGTTTATTTCACTAACTTCATTCAGATTTTTAAAATTATATGCACTGTATATCTATTATTTCTGTATTTGTTTTTATACATGTAGGCCCTCTCTCCCCATCCCTTTCCTTGACTAGCCCACAGTTTATCTCTTTTATCCTTCCCAATCCCCCCTGAAATTTAGGATTCATAAACGCTACTTTTTTTCTCTTTCCTAATTCATTAATTTCTGCTTTTGTATGTGTTATTATCTTCTAATTTGGGGAGTAGGTGAATGCTTATTTCATTTTTTTCTGACTCAGCTATACAGTTACTTAAGGCTATAAACTTCTCTCAGAATGTAAGTTTTGCCCTGCCATTTCAGTTTTGATATGCTTGTTTTTGTAATATTTTTTCTAGATATTCTATAATTTTTAAGGTTTCTACTTCAATCCATGAAACATGAAAGTTTTAAAAATTCCTTATTACTGGGACTAATTTTTTTGCTCCTATTATTACTGTTGGTAATTCCTAAATTTGAGAACTATTATGGATGAGAAAAAAGTGATTATTTCTGCCTTTTGAAATCTGGCATTTTCCTTTGTGGCCAGAAATTGATACTCAAGACTTATCAACCTCAGAATTAATCTTTCTTGAAATTTAGTGGATTCTTTGACCAGGTTAAGTTATTCTTTGATTCTGACAAAAAAAATTCTGTTGTTTTACCATTAAAGTTATTTCTGTTCTACGTGTCTGGTTCTATACCTGTGTTGATGCCTTCTGATGGGCCATCTTTGTCCTCCACATCCAATGCTTTCTCCATCTTCTCATCTGTCTTTCTCCTTTCATTCACTGTGACTGCTTCATCAACGATCATTTTTTAACTTTTGATTCTACTCATTTCCATTTTTAAATTGTTCATTTGTTTTGAAATGTTGTTTTGGATGTCTGTTGTCTTAGCTCAGCAAGCTCCCTTAAAGAATCATATTTAGTCACTTTATTTTTGAATTCCCATTTTACTGAATAGTTCTATAGAGATTAATTTTAGTAAGTTCATTTCTTCTCTTTCTTAGATCAGTTATTTCTTCCAAAATAGATTATTGATGTACAGTTTACATTTTTCCCTCCTGCTGCAATACGTTTGTAGATTCCACACTGGGTATTTTGGTTAGTTAATTTCAATTACACAAATATTTTAAGTGGACAGCTTTGTTAACACTTTTTATTCACACCACTACACCAGGGGTGACAACTTCTTGAATCTCTTCCCATGTTTTGGATATCTGTGTTATTCTTCCGTGCACTACAGTTTTGCCTGCTCAGTGTTCTGTCACATGAGAGAATGGTTATTAGTCGGCTGGGGCTGCTATGACAGAATACCACAGACAGGGTAACAACAGAAATTTATCTTCTCACACTTCTGGAGGCTGCAAGTCCAAGACCATGGTGCTGGCAGGGCTAGCTTCTCCTGAGGCCTCCCTCCCTGGCTTGTGGATGGCTGCTTCTCCCTGTTCCCTCACAACATGGCCTTTGCTCTGTGCATGTACCTCTTAAGGACACCAGGCCTATAGGGTTAGGACCCCACCTTCATGACCTCATTTCACCTGATTACTTCCTTCAAGACCCTGCCTTCAAATACAGTTACAATGGTTAAAGTTAGGGCTTCAACATATGAATTTTGGGAGGGGTCACAGTTTAGTCCATAACAAATGGGTACAGGGAGGATGAGGATTCAGCCAGGCATCTATGCAGCCTGGTCATTGCCCTCATTGCTGTGGTTTTGCTAACACACTTCAAGCTGTGTTCACTCCCCTGACTGGGCTGTACACGATTCCAACAGAAGCTCTGGTCCTTCAGTCCCCCAGGGAGTCTCAGTCTCAGATGGCCAGTCTGGGCCAGTTTATCATCCACTTCCTAGCATTCTCAAGGCACAAGATGGACAGAGTATGAGATGGTCATGTTAAGACAATCACATTGGAAGTTATGAGGGTAGGAAACAAAACATCCCCCTCTATCTCAGGGTTCATCTTTCCCACCTTCCTCTCCTGAGGCAATTCATTTTTTATTTAGTTTCCATTTTGATGTTTTGTTTTCGACTGCCTTTCTGTTTATTGCTGGAGATGGCTAACTCTGGGTGTTTATGATAGAGGTTTCCATAGGCCATATCCTAGCTATTCTCTCCTTTCTCTGAAAAGAGGAGGACAATCAGGAGGAGACTGTACCTTTGTGGAAGTTGCAAGTCTTTACCCAAAGCTGCCCAAACCATCTCCTGCACCTACTTCTAAAGAAGAGCTTTTTGAGTATTTCACACATACAGGCCCCCTGTGGAAGGTCAAGTTGGGAGTATAAAAGAGATGGACCACCAGGCGCAGTGGCTGATGCCTGTAATCCCAGCACTTTGGGAGGCTGAGGCAGGCGGATCACGAGGTCAGGAGATGGAGACCATCCTGGCTGACATGGTGAAACCCCATCTCTACTAAAAATACAAAAAAATTAGCCAGGCGTAGTGGCGGGTGCCTGTAGTCCCAGCTACTCGGGAGGCTGAGGCAGGAGAATGGCGTGAACCCAGGAGGCGAAGCTCGCAGTGAGCAGAGATCGCGCCACTGCATTCCAGCCTGGGTGACAGAGCAAGACTCCGTCATGAAAAAAAAAGAGAGAGAGATGGACCATGCAAATTTTTGGAAATTTTGTTTGCTGGTCTCTAGCCTTTGTCTCTGACTGATACCAGGTTATTATTTTTTCTTCTAACCTACTGGTGGTCTGTATTGTAAGGCTGACAAATCTGTCTTTACTCTGTCATCTTAAAACATGTTTGAGATATCTGTTTTAGATAATAATAAGTAGACAAGAAATAATGCTGGTAAATACATAAGGAAAACATAATATACGGTAACATGTGGCAAGCTCTAACTTGATAAGCTTCCCTACTCCTCCCACACTCCACACTGTAAGTAGATCACATATTTTTATTACAGTATTTTAATATCACCCTTGCTGTTTTCACCTAGAGCCAGGGTTTCTAACCAAGTCTATTCATAGACTTTGGAGGTACTGTGTGCCCTTAAATCGTATATGAATGGTGTATACGCACTGGTATGTTTTCAGAAAGTGGATTATTTTTCATCAAATCCTCAAAAGGATGTGAAACATAAAAACTGGTTATCACTGACCTAGAGGAATGAATGGGAAGGCTGCCAAGAATGGGTAGCAATGGAGAATGAAAAACAATTTATAACAGTTTGGATCTATCTCAATAATAAAATAAAGTAAAAGGGTTTTAAGTTACATAGAATGTGGATAAAAACACATAGACTTCCAAAAAAGTTACACTGTGGATCTGTCTGTGGCCCTAGAAACACAGTTCTGCGGGAACCACAGAATAATACGATTACACACAAGAAACAATTCTCACTCAGAGGACCTTTCCACGTCGACCCATCAATAAGTACAGCTTACTCTGTGCTTATTAGCACATTAAGCACAAATAATCTAATTCCTTCATTAAATGATGAAAATAATGACTAATCCTCTTAGCGGTCATTTCCCCCCATTTCCACCTAAACATAAATGACATTCCAGAGAAATCAAGTATTTGAAGCCTTTCCTAGGAGAATGTTTCAACTTTTACGTATTGCTGGGGCAGAGAAAGACAGACAATTGCCTAAGAATGGGATAGCCTAGAAATAAATTCCATTTTCAATCTACGAATAAAGCAATGTTGATTCAGCAACAAATTAAAGAGTACAGGAGATGGATATTGAGAATAACATTGAGATTACGATCTACATTTTGAGTTTCTGATGTCAACTGTTTCTTTATATGAACATATACAGAATTAGTATCATTCACAAAGGATTATAAATCTTCCCCATAACCTATTAATCCAACTACTTTAGAGATTTACTTTGGCACAGGCTAAAATCTGTAGCCCATGTGCACTTCTGGTAATTAAGAATAAGTAATAATGACGACAAACACCACACCAGCTGTGCAAGGATTAACAAGAACTTTCTTGTGCACACAGCCAGGCACCGGCATGTGTGGCTCAAGCAACTATATAAAGCTCATGACTTTATGAAATCAAATACAGGGATTTCCTTTCTTACTCCCACACATTCCAACAGAGACATACATAAGCACTTTTGTGCAATTTAAACTTGAAGCCATCCATGTAGTAATGTTGACTGAAACACTATGCATCATTTAAGCTCAAAAGGAAAAAAATACAGCCTTGTTTTTCTTGGGACAGTAGAAAGACCACAAGGAACTTTCTAACTGTGTGGCTTAGCTGCCCGAAATCCCTTTTGGAAGAAGTCAGGCTATAAATGAATAAAGCAAGCTGTGTGACCTTGGGCAAGTTAATTTCAGCTCTCCAAGCTTCATTTTCTTGCATTGATCTGTAAACTGCAGATACATCAATACTATCTACCCTTTCAGGGTTGGCTGTTGATTCACGGTTTGCATGAACTAGAGCTTGCCCATGTCTGAAACACCAGCTCCTCACTGAGCCTTTAATGCCTACCCTCTCCCCCAAGCAGACTAGAATGCTTAGGAAAAAGAGTTTTGTATTTCATAATTATATCCATTATATCCTCTGCAGGCCTACTACTGTGAATGGAATAGGTAAATCTTCTGAAGACACAACTATGTTGACTCACAAATAAATGCTTAGTACACGAAGTCTTTAAATTGCAGAAATGGTGTTAACCTGGCTTTGAACAAAGCAAACGACAGGCTCCTTGTAGGTCCAAACTCAGACGATCTCCAGACCATGCTACTGGGTTTCTACTGTGTCACAGTTGCACAGCTGACTTTCTCACTAAATATTGGACTTCTAGAAAGCATGACATGCTTTTTTAATCTTTTGTACCTGTTCACATAGCAGCTTAATGTTTGCTGAATAAATTAATAATTGTATACAAGGATGCTAGCAACAAGTATCAGGTCATTTAACTATTGTTATGAATAATTTCAGACATAAATGTAAGGAAAAAGAATAATATAATGAACTCCTACATACATCATCACCTAGCCGAATCAATTACTAACTCATGACCAATCTTAGTTCATCTATATTCCCACCCTTAAAATTATTGTGAAGCAAATTCCAGGCAGAGTACAGATCTTTAGAGCTTCCAATGATTAGGTTTGACTCTGCTCTAGAATTCTAGATAAATGTATCTCTGTCATATCAAGAAAAACTTACAGAATACTGCATGACAATCAAAAGAATTCATCACTATCTGGTCAAGAAAGAACAAGATATAAACAAAAGCAAAAGCCAAACCCTGCTCCCAAATCATTATGAATTAGGTATGCATAGGTAAGATATTAGAAAGAAGGTAATTCTACAAATATCTGCATAAGAAGTAGTAATGACTAATGACTAATAATGTCCTGAAAGACAGAGGTGCCTTCTTCAATACACCCTCCAATCAGTTTCTTACTTTCTTCTTCATTCAGGCAGAAGGCTGAATACCAGAGCATCGCAAAACAATAGATGATGGGTGTCTTTCATTATTTAAGTAGAAAGTCCCGTGGTACAAGCTCATACCTTCCATGGCCATCTTAAATGAATTGAAGATGGCTCATGGGAGGAGGAAAATGGCACTAATACTGGATGGCAGAAGTCTAGAAATTGTTTTAAACCTTTTTATTAAAAGGCTTTTTCGGCCAGGTGCAATGGCTCACGTCTGTAATCCCAGCACTCTGGGAGGCCGAGGCAGGTGGATCACCTGAGATCAGGAGTTCAAGACCAGCCTGGCCAACATGGTGAAACCCCATCTCTATTAAAAATACAAAAATTAGCTGGGGTTGGTGGTGGGCGCCTGTAATCCCAGCCTCTCAGGAGGGCTACAAGAGAATGGCTTGAACCCGGGAGGCGGAGGTTGCAGTAAGCGGAGATAGCGCCATTGCACTCCACGCTGGGCAACAGAGCGAGACTCCTCCACAAAAAAAATTAAATTTAAAAATACAAAATAAAACGCTTTTTAGAGAAAAATCCAAAAGACAAATAGAGGGAGCAGATCTGGGAGGGGTGGTCAGTGTGACTCAGTGTGAAGGGGGAAGTTTGACCAGATGTAGACGAGAGAGCAGGACAAACGTGGCAACACCTGGCTTCTCCAAAAAATGTGGGGACCGAACGACAGCATGCAATCAGGCTTAGGGGTGGAAGGAGAAAGAAAGCTCACAGAGCTGATTCTGCCCTCCAGGGTCACTCTCAAAGAGAAATCAACCAACTGGAAAGCTAAAACAAGGAGCGCTTTTGAGGGACTTTTCATCCTGTGCCAAATTAATCCAGTGACATAAGACTGCATGGCTTGTAATTTCCTTAACCCGTAATGGCCACATTCTTCTGGATTCCCAGGCTCCACACTGAAGTTAATCCTGCACTTTTTGAATGTGGCTGACAATTCGCACTTCACCTATAGAACGGGGAGACCCTGCCAAAGCAAAAGAGGAAAGGCTATGAATCTTTATGACAGCATCCTTGCAGGAGAACCAGAATGTCATCCTCTTCCCTGCTCCTAAGTTCCTCACTACGGCAGTTAAAAGGTACTCAGCGTGCAGAAAAAGAGTAAACACAGCAGGCCTGAGCCTACTATCCTTAGAAAGGCCTGCCTGCAAACTTGGACCTGTTTTGGCATCTGGGAACTTGGCTGGTACACAGTTCTATAAACTGATATAAAACATTCCCTAAATGGTTAGGGTGTATCCCATGTGCCCAAACTGTTTGTACAAAACTGTGCATGTGCAGTTGTCATGCTGAATACCTCCTCGCCTTCTGGGAGCCTGGAATTTTGGTACACACTAGGTAAAGGATGCGCATGTGACTATCTCCCAACAAAAACCTTGGGCACTTAGTCTCTAATACCTGGGCTTTCTTGGACTGAAACATCATCCACTTGGGGCTACATTTTTGTTGCTGGGGAAGAGTAAGCTCCGTAAGGCCCCTCCTGGGAAAAAACATGAGGAAGCCGGGATGTGGATTTGGATTGCTGCAGATGCCACCTGTGTCTTTTTCTCTTATGATCTGGCTGCATATTCTCACTACAGGGCTGCCTTCAATCTAACTGTGAGTGCAACTAAATGCAGAGTCTCACGGGTCCTTCCAGTAAATCTCCAGACAAAGACGTGGCCCTAAGGACCGCTAACATACCCAGAGAAGCGGGCCCTAGACCTAATGGAAAGACTTCTATTTGTTTTCTTTTATTTATTTTTTTTTTTTTTTAGGTTCAGGGGTACACATGCAGGTTTGTTATATAGACAAATTGTGTGTCACGGGGGTTTGGTGTAAAGGTTATTTTGTCACCAAGGTGAAAAGCATAGTAAACAATAGGTAGTTTTTCTTGTTTTTCTATTGAGACAGGGTCTCTCTCTGTCACTCAGGCTGCAGTGTATGGTGTGATCATGGCTCACTGCAGCCTCGACCTCCTGGTCCCAAGTAATCCTCCCACCTCAGCCTCCCAAGTAGCTGGGACCACAGGTATGCACCACAACACCAGGCCCGTTTTTCTGTATTTTTGTAGAGACAGGGTTTCACCATGTTGCCCAGGGTCTAATAGGCAGTTTTGTGATCCTCGTGCTCCGACCTCCCTCGTCCCTCAAGTAGACCTCGGCGTCTGTTGTTCCCTTTTTGTGTCCCTATGTACTCAATGTTTGGCTCCTGTTCATAAGTAAGAACATGTGATAATTTTCTGTTCCTATGTTAGTTCACTTAATAGACCTCCAGCTCCATCCATGTTGCTGCAAAGGACATGATCTTGTTCTTTTTAGTACTCCATGGTGTATATGTGCCACATTTTCTTTATCTGGTCTACCACTCATGGGCATTTGGATTGATTCCATCGAAAGACTCCTATTTGGAGGACCCTCTGTAGAGGCCCGCTTCATCAAGTGGCCACGTTGCCCACTCTGACTTTTAGTTATCTTGGAAATTGGAAGATTAATTGAAGTCTAGCAGAACTAGAACTGTCATGCCCCAGTGTGCCTGAGCTAAGACTGTTAGCCCTTAGTTTAGCCATTTTCTGGCTAACATTCATTCGTCAAAATGTTTAGTTAGGTAGGATGTTACTGTTTGCCATTCCAAAGATACAGGAACTGAGATTTGTGCAAACGCTTACCTACTGGTTATCACTAACTAAATGCAGCATTTGTGCTTCTGAATGTTTTGAATTTGGGAGACATTCGTAAGAATTCAAATGAGATAATGAGGTTGCACCATGAAGACCTGACCTGAAGGACGGGGTGCCTTCTTCATCTGCCCTCCAATCAATTTCTTTCCTCCTCCTCATTCAGGCAGAAGGCTGAATATCAGGAGTGTTGCGGGAAGTCAGGGACCCCAAACGGAGGGACCAGCTGAAGCCATGACAGAAGAATGTGGATTGTGAAGATTTTATGGACATTTATTAGTTCCCCAAATTAATACTTTTGTAATTTCTTATGCCTGTCTTTACTGCAATCTCTAAACATAAATTGTAAAGATTTCATGGACACTTATCACTTCCCCAATCAATATCCTTGTGATTTCCTATGCCTGTCTTTGCTTTAATGTCTTAATCCTGTCAGCCGAGAAGGATGTATATCATCTCAGGACCCTGTAATAATTGCGTTAACTACACAAATTGTACAGCATGTGTGTTTGAGCAATATGAAATGTGGGCACCCTGAAAAAAGAACAAGATAAGAGCAATTGTTCAGGGAATAAGAGAGATAACCTTAAACTCTGACCGCCGGTGAGCTGGGCAGAACAGAGCCATATTTCTCTTCTTTCAAAAGCAAATGGGAGAAATATCGCTGAATTCTTTTTCTCAGCATGGAACGTCCCTGAGAAAGGGAATGCGCACCTAGGGGTAGGTCTCTGAACTGGTCCCCCCAGGGCGTACCTGTCTCTTATGGTCAAGATTGCAGAGGTGAAATAAACTCCAGTCTCCCATACCGCTCCCAGGCTTATTAGGAAGAGGAAATTCCCGCCTAATAAATTTTGGTCAGACCGGTTGATCTCAAAACCCTGTCTCCTGATAAGATGTTATCAATGACAATGGTGCCCAAAACTTCATTAGCAATTTTAATTTCGTTTCAGTCCTGTGGTCCTGTGATCTCGCCCTGCCTCCACTTGCCTTGTGATATTCTATTACCCTGTTAAGTACTTGATGTCTGTCACCCACACCTATTCGTATACTCCCTCCCCTTTTGAAACTCCCTAATAAAAACTTGCTGGTTTTTGTGGCTTGTGGGGCATCACGGATCCTACCAATGTGTGATGTCTCCCCCGGACGCCCAGCTTTAAAATTTCTCTCTTTTGTACTCTGTCCTTTTATTTCTCAAGCCAGTCGACACTTAGGAAAATAGAGAAGAACCTACGTGATTATCGGGGCAGGTCCCCGATAAGGAGCATCCAAAACAATGGAAGGTGGGTATCTTACATTATTTAAGTAGAACGTCTTTTGGTATAGGCTCATACCTTCCATGGCCAAACTCAGGAATGATTATTTTAATAGGAGGTTTCCTTGGTGGCTGGCCCCAGGTGGGGAAAGGAACACAGCATCACTGACAGAATAAAGCATGAGTCTGAGGTGAGGGGCATCTTTACCTCCTCTCCTCTCAGTTCCTACACGGAAGTGTGGGGGAAAAGTCAACACTAAAAGGCCACAAAGGCTGACTCTGAAGAAATGTTCTAGACCCCATTTTTTTATGGATCATGTTGCAGCTCTTGGTTTCCCCAGGGTTCTAGGTTCCTAACCTGAGAAGTCCCCAAAATTCCTGAAAGTGTACACTTTTTGGTGTGTGTGTATATATAAACATTCAATTTTCTGGAAACAGAACCCAAAGCTCTCATCACATTTTTAAAGTGGGTCTTAATGTACTAAAGCTTCAGAGCTAGATAGAGGAAAAGGCTGTCAGATGGAGGAGGGAACTGTAAAATGCTACCTGACCAAAGGACCGGCAGGCCAGAGGACCAGCCAGGAGATGTGGAAGAATGCAAGGCACAGAATAGAGACTAAGATCTCAGAAAACATGATCTAGTAAATGAAATTAGTGGAAGTTCAGAGGAAAGCTACTTCTGGTTTAAACTGTGGGCTGAGAAAACTGAAAAATAAAGTTAAACAAGTTTTAGCCATAAAATTTTGGGAGTCAACCAATAGGCTCAGGTTTGAATGGCTTCAAAGAGCCAGTTTCTACCTAAAACTATGTTGACCAGACACACACGCTCCATCTGTTTTCCTAAGGACTGGGCCTAAGAAGCAGCCAGCCTCAGGGACAGGCAGGAGACACCTGCAGTAAGGGAAATAAAAACTACACTGAGTTAAACCAAACTCACTGAGTAAACTATGTATCTGTAACTTTATTGAACTGCAAGTGCCTCACACTCTGTATTTTCTCACACTGCTGGAGAGATGATTTGGTTGCAACCAAAACTTTGCCAAAGTGGCATAAGTAAAAGTGGATTTATTAAAAGGAATCAGCAGGAAGTAACAAGAGCTGGGACTCAAGACTGCCTTGGATTAGTAATGAGAGGCCATCAAGAGTCAAGGCAGCAAGTCTCCACTTCTCTCCCACTCCTCTTCTCCCTCCTGAGGAGCTGCCAGATTCTCTCCCCATCACTGCCTTTTCTCTGTTCTGCCTACACCTGACCCAGCACAGAGATGTCTTCAGCCCCAAAGCCCAGAGACAACCTCATAGTAACTGGCTCAGTCTCCCCAAATCCTAATTCTCAATTTCTAGCAGAGAGAATCTGTCTCAGCTCAGATCGCAGTCTGATAATTCATGTGCTTAGCTCTGTGTCAGCAGCAGACCCAGAGAAGACAGGCACCAAGCCTCACTAACACAGCAGGAGGGGTTCATGTCCACAGTGAGCAGTTCTCAGTGCTGCTGGGCTGTCGCCTGAAGGAAATACTTGTACCAAATGACTACAGGGCACTACAGACTGAGGAGGGACCCAGAAAAAGGTAAAAAGAGGAAGTGGCTATGCGTTCAGAGTCTAGAAAAATACCCTTCTCCCAATCCTGCCGATCTAGAAGGGGAAGGAAATCATTCCAGAAAAAATTTTTTAAAAACTTCTCTACAAGTATCCTAGTCTGATGTAAATGGCTATATGATTATAGAAGCTTCAACAGTATATGTATTAATGTATACTTTATCATTCTTAATTACAATGATTTTGCTGAAAGCATGTAGCTTATTCTCAATACATTTGTTTACAGTTTAGAAAAGTTAGTTTTTCATATATTATGTGATACTCCATGTTTATCTTTCCCCACTTAGTCTATCTGGTATAATTTTAGATTTCTGAAAATATATTTGAGACATCAAAATATTCTATTTTCAGTGATTCAGTTCAATCCGCAATAATCCCGTTATCTGCTGTTTCTGAGGATCAGTGTAGCCTATTAAACAGTCACAATGAAGACAAAAGGTTTTTACCTAAAGCCATTTCGAATGGAAGGAGCAGCAGCAGAGTCTAGGGCTTAAGAATCCACCTCCAAAGCCAGGCAGCCTGGGTCTGAATCCCCACTTACCAACTATGTGAATTTGGCAAAATTCTTCACCTAAACTTCAGTTTCCTCCGTTTGTAAAGCAGGGATGAAAGTAATGTCTACCTTTCAGAGTTGTTGAGCAGGATCTGAATCATGATGTACTTTACAGAATATGAGCACTTAGTAAATGTGAGACATACTCTTATTCTATATGAATTATATTGATGGTGATGAAGATGAGGAGGAAGATGGTAACCAGAGAGGCCTGACACTGTCTGAAGATCCTAGAGAGACTGTCTTGGCTGTGGGGTGTACGTCACCCTGGAGACAGCACACTAAAAGCAGTATGAGGAGAGGGTAGGTGACCAGGGGAGAGGAGTTTGCTTTCCTGTCATTACCCTCTAGCTGTAAAAATCAGTTAACCCCTTGATTTTCTCGAAAAGCAAACAAGTAATTGCAGTCATTTAATATTAAATGCATATATTTGTATATACTTCATCAGACAACAACAGTGGAAGAGCTAAGGGACAGGCTTTGGAAACAGAGTGGGCTCAAATCCCAGTTTGGCCATTTTTAGTTCTATAACCTCGAGCAAGTTGATGACCCTCCATGAGCTTCATGTGTCTCATTTGGAAATGGCAGTGAGAGGCATGGAGTAGCTCACTTCATCCCTGTAACCACTCCATCAGGGAGGTAGTTCCGTTTTTCTTATTTCATAGATGAGGAAACTGATAATGAGGTTAAACCGGTCACTTAAGTCCCTCAAAAGTCACATGACCTTTTTTCCCAAGATGGCAGATGAGAGGCTTTCCGCATACCTCAGCCACTTGCAAATAGCAAAATAGTGCATAAAGATAAACCCTGTGAGCTTTAATTCAAACAGGAAAACGGAAATCCACTTCAACAGCAAAGGACACCCCAGACTCCAGAGAGGAGAAGGTGGGCAAACAGCCTCCATGATGGCATCTGGCTGGTAAAAGTGAGTGAAGCCTCAATACATAAGAGGCAGAGGACCTCCCGCTGTCATTTCCCTTACTGCTAGGGATCCGCGCAACCCAGGCCGAGGGAGAGCACTTTGTTTCTCTTCAGCCTTGGAGCTAACTTGGGGAAAAGCTTACAGACGCTGAGACGGACACACTGAGAAAAGCTGCATGTATTTTCTCAGAACCAGGAATGACAAGGGGATGCCATTTTTAATCCAGGCTCAAACAAGGCAGTCATTCTTCAGCAATTTGGCAGTGTGGTCATGCAGACAATTTAGTCTTGGATCAAATATTGCAGCATTTGCTCTGCAGCAGGGGAAAGGCCTCCACAGCCAAAACTGAGCAACAAATATAGAAAGTAACCCAACAGTAGGTACTAGAATTGTGCTCTCCCCCATCACAGGTCCAAAAGTAAGAGGAGAGTCGCTGTAGCCATGGTTTATCTGGGCAATGAGGCGTGCAGACAGAGCCAGCTTGGTGGCCTGGAACTGGTTTGCATGTGTCCCTGCTGGGTGCCCAGCCTCCTCTCCTGAGGTTATGGTGCAGCAGGGCCTTCTACACTCCACCCCCAGGCAGATTTCCATGCATTCAGAGCACCTGCTCACCTGGATCAGTAGCCTGAGCCACCCATCTTTCCTGTGCAGAGACCGTGGTACAGTGAGGCCCTCTCTTCCCCACACCCAGGAGTATCTCCAGGCATTCAGAGCACCCACTTGCCTGGATCTGCAGCCAGAGCTACCCTTCCCTTCTTGTGCAGAGACTGTGGTGCAGCAGGGCCCTCTCTGCTCCATACCCAAGCAGATCTCCTGGCACCTGGAGGACCCACTCTCCTGGATGAGATTAGGCAGCTCCACTGCCTCATGCAGAGAACTTGAGACCAGGTGAGGTTCCCAGCTCCACACCTAGGCACATCTCTATGTGCCTAGTAGCCACCCATTGGACCACCCCTCAA
Organism: Homo sapiens; assembly: GCF_000001405.40. NCBI lineage: Eukaryota > Metazoa > Chordata > Mammalia > Primates > Hominidae > Homo > Homo sapiens. The sequence continues at coordinate 147,984,964 of NC_000004.12, read as the reverse complement.
AGCTGATGCTCGGACCTGCCATTGGGGGACCTGTAGGTGGGCCTGCCTGGTCTGGCCTGCCCATCTTGAAGCCCTCCTCCAGGTTGGAGCAGGGCGCTCAGACCACTGTGCACTCCACAGATTGGCCCTGAGGCAACAGAGAGTTTCCCCAGTAAACAAGGATCAAGTTTCTACTCAACTATATTGGCCACAGCTGGCTCTTAACCCAAAAGCCACTTCTTGGCCTGGACGTTGAATGGCACAACACAATAAGAAATCAGACATAAGCACACAGCACTCAGGAACGAGGTTAGTCTCCTGAGACCACTGCCCCCTGGTCCTACAGGAGGCAGTGAGCCTGCTCACAAGCCACCACAGAAATGCTATTTATAACCACAGAACTCAAACAGACACCTTGCCAGTGAAAACAGCCAGATCTGGAGACCCAACTCTTGGTGTGGTCCTCCCACAAGGGAGGTGGGAGCACAGCCTCCAAAGGCCACCGTGGGTCAAAGGAAACACGGGCATGGCATTAGCCGCTAAAGGTGGCACCACCACAGCCCTGGAACGAACATGGAGAGAGGGTCGTCTCATACTCCCTTCCCGCCTCCTCAATGTGCTGTGGCGGACTTGGCAGTGCGTCCTCCTGCTGGGGCCTGGAGAGTTTGGGCTGAAAGAAACTGCTTCCTGGGGCTTCTCCAGTGGCTCCAGCCGCTGAACGCGAATGTGTACTGGGGGAGGGCGCTTTTCATGCTTCTCTGTTGCCTCCCTCTGCCCATTCCCCAGGCAGCTATTACTCTTAAGCGCCATCTACTGGACTGCAGCTTAAACAACACCACCAAACAAAATTACACCCCTACAAGCAACAAAGGAGAAAGCCACTGTAGGAACCTCTCTGCAACCAAGGAACTCATAAACAGCCTTGGAACTCTGAAAATACCCAGAAACGTAGCCAAACAATCACACACAATATACACCACAGTAACAGCCCCAAGGACAAAAAGAATAAAAAAATCAAGAACTCTCATCCAAACAATAACAAAATCAAAAAAAAGAAAACATCAGTTCTTTCAAATGAGAAGAAACCAGCATAAGAACTCCAGCAGTAGAAAAAGCCAGACTGTTTTGTCACCTTCAAAGGATCCCACTAACTCCCCAGCAATGGATTCTAACCGGAATGAATGTCTGAAATGACATATAAAGAATCCAGGATATGGATAGCAAAGAAATGCAACAAGATCAAAGAGAAAATTGAAATCCAAGACAAGAAACAACACAAAAACGACTCAAGATTCAAAAGATGACATAGCTATGTTAAGAAGGAACAAAACAGAACTTCTAGAATTGAAAAATTCACTATAGGAATTTCAAAATACAGTTGGAAGTCTTAACGGCAGATGAGACCATGCAAAAGAAAGAATTTCAGAACTCAAAAATCAGTGCTTCAAATGAACCCAGACAAAAATTTGAAAAAAAAAAAAAGAATTTTAAAAAATGAACAGGCCGAGTGCAGTGGCTCACGCCTATAATCCCAGCACTTTGGGAGGAGGAGGCGGGCGGATCACGAGCTCAGGAGATGGAGACCATCCTGGCTAACACGGTGAAACCCTGTCTCTACTAAAAATACAAAAAATTAGCTGGGCGTGGTGGCGGGCGCCTGTAGTCCCAGCTACTCGGGAGGCTGAGGCAGGAGAATGGCGTGAACCCGGGAGGTGGAGGTTGCAGTGAGCCGAGATCGTGCCACTGTACTCCAGCCTGGGCGACAGAGTGAGACTCTGCTTCAAAAAAAAAAAAAAAACAAAGCAGCCAGGCACCATGGCTCATGCCTGTAGTCCCAGCACTTTGGGAGGCCAAGGCGGGTGGATCTTCTGAGCCCAAGAGTTCAAGACCAGGCTAGGCAACATGGTGAGACCCCCATCTCTACAAAAAATGCAAAAACTTAGCAGTGCATGGTCATGCACACCTGGAGTCCAGCTACTAGGAAGACTGAGGCGGAAGAATCACCTGAACCCAGAAAGTCGAGGCTGCAATGAGCTGTGATTATACCAGTGCACTCCAGCCTGGGCGAGAGTAAGACCCTGTCTCGAAAATTCAGGAAAAAAAAGAAAGTAAGTAAGTATTTGAGAAATACGAGATTATGTAAAACAACCAAATGTATACCTTATTGGCATTCCTGAGAGAAAAGAAGAGAAAATAAGCAGCTTGGAAAACATATTTGGGGATAAAATTCAGGAAAATTTCCCCAATCTTGCTTGAGAGGTTAAAATGCAGATATAAGAAATCCAGGCTAGGTGTGGTGGCTCACACCTGTAATCCCAACACTTTGGGACACCAAGGCAGGAGGACTGCTTGAGCCAAGGAGTTCGAGACCAGCCTGGGCAACATAGGGAGACCCCATCTCAACACAAAATACCAAAAAAAAAAAAAAAAAAAAAAAAAGATTTAGCTGGGTGTGATGGCACATGCCTGTAGTCCCAGCTACAGTCTTAGGAAGCTGACATGGGAGGGTTGTCTGAGCCTGGGAGGAGGTCAAGGCTGCAGTGAGCCGTGATTGCACCACTGCACTCCAGCCTGGGCAACAGAGTGAGACCCTGTCTCAAAAAGAAAAAAAAAAAAAAAAGAAAGAAAGAAAAGAAACCCAGGGAACTCCTGTGAGATACAAGACGACCGAGTCCAAGGCACATAGTCATCAGACTTTCCAAGATCAACGCAAAAGAAAAAATCTTAAAGGTAGCTACAGAAAAGGATCATGTTACCTATAAAAAGAAACCCATCAGAATGACAGCTGACTTCACAGAAGAAACTTTATAAACCAGAAGAGACAGGGGGCTGAGGCAAAAGGATCACTTGAGCCTGGGAAGTCAAAGCTGCAGTGACCCATACTCATACCACTGCACTTCCAGCACGGGTGATGGAGCAAAACCCTGTCTTTTGAAAAAAGACTAAAAATAAAAGACATAGGGTGGCAAATTGAATTTTAAAACCAAGATCCGTCCTTCTGCTGTTTGCAAGAGACCCATCTCACATATGATCACGCCCCTGGGCTCAAAGTAAAGGGATGGAGGAAAATCTACCACACAAATGGAATCGAAAAAGAGCAGAGGTCCCTACTCTTATACATATATCAGAAAATATAGACTTTAAACCAACAACAGTAAAAAAAAGGACAAGTAAGAGCATTACATAATGATAAAAGGTTAAATTCAACAAGAAGATTTAACTATTCTAAATGTATTTGCACCCAACACTGGCACACCCAGATTTATAAAACAATTACTTCTAGACCTAAGAGAATACTTTGACAGCCACATAATAATAGGAGGAGACTTCAACACTTCACTGATGGCATTAGACACATCACAGAGGCAGAAAATGAACAAAGAAATTCTGAACTTAAATTCAACACTTGACTAACCGGACCTAATAGGCATCTACAGAATACCCAACAACCACAGAATAGTCATTCTCCTCATCTGCACATGTAACATTCTCAAAGACTGAACACATGCTGAATCATAAAGCAAGTCTCAATATACTTTTTAAAAACTGAAATCATACCAAGCATCTTCTCAGACCACAATGGAATAAAAATAGAAATTAATACCAAGAGCAACTCTAAAAAACACACAAATACATGGAAACTAAACAACTTAACTCCTGAATGACTTTTGGGTAAACCACAAAATTAATGCAGAAATCAAAAACTTCTTTGAAACAAACAAAAGTAGACATAATATACCAAAATCTCTGAGACATGGCAAAAGCAATGTTAAGAGGAACGTTTACTGCACAAAACACCTACATCAAGTGGAAAGATCTCAAATTAACAACCTAACCTTGTACCTAAAGAAACCAGAAAAACAAGAACTAAACCCAAAGTTAGCAAAAGAAAAGAAATAACTAAAATCAGAGCAGAACTAAATGAAACCAAGACCCAAAAATACCATACTAAAGATCAATAAAATGAAAAGTTGGTTCTCTGAAAGGATAAACAAGATTGATAGGATTAACAAGATTGATAGGATTGCTAGCTGGATTAACAAAGGAAAAGGAGAGAAGATCCAAATAAGCACAATCAAAAATAACAAAGGTGACATAACAACCGATACCACAGAAATAGAAAAGATCTCCAGAGACTACTATGAACATCTCTATGCACACTGATTAGAAAATCTAGAGGAAGTAGACAAATTCCTGGAAACATACAACCACACAACTTCCCAAAATTGAATCAAGAAGAAAGAGAAATCCTGAACAGACCGATAATGGAGTAATGAAACTGAATCAGTAATTTAAAAAACCTACCAACCAAGAAAAGCCCTGGACGAGATGGATTCACAGCCAAATTCTACCAGGCTTACAAAAAAGAGCTGGTACCAATCCTACTGGAACAATTCCAAAAAATAGAGGAGGGAATCCTTCCAAACCCTGTCTTTGAAACCAGTATCATCCTAACACTAAAAGCTGGAAAAGACAAAACAACAACAAAAAACTACATGCCAATATCTCCAATGAACACAGATGCAAAAATCCTCAACAAAATACTAGTAAACCAAATCCAGCAGCATATCAGAAAGTTAATTTGCCATGATCAAGTAGGCTTTATTCCTGGGATGTAGCAGTGGTTCATCTACCCAAATCAATAAATGTGATTTACCACATAAACAGAATTAAAAACAAAAACTATATGATCATCTCAATAGACACAGAAAAAGCATTTGATAAAATCCAATATGTCTTTATGATAAAAAGAAAAAAACCAACAAACTAGGCATTGAAAGAAGATACCTCAAAATAATAAAAGCCATTTATGATGAACCCACAGCCAGCATCATACTGAATGAGTAAAAGCTGGAAGCATTTTCCTTAAGAACCGGAACTAGACAAGGGTGTCCACTCTCACCATTCCTATTCAACATACTAGAAGTCCTACCCAGAGCAATCAGGCAAGAGAAAGCAAAGGCATTCCAAATAGGAAAAGATGAAGTCAAATTATCTGTCTCCACTGACAATATGATTCTCTACCTGGAAAACCCTAAAGATGCTGCCAAAAGACTACTAGATCTGATTAACAACTTCAGCAGAGTTTCAGGATACAGGATGCAAAGTCAACAGATAAAAATCAACATTTCTTTATATCAGTAACATCTGAGCTGAGAAGTAAATCAAGAATGCAATCCCATTTACAATAGCCACACACCTACACAAAAACCCAGGCATATATTTAACCAAGAAAGTGAATGATGTCCGTGAGAAGAACTACAAAACACTGCTGAAAGATATCACAGACAATACAAATAAATGGAAAAGCATTCCATGCTCATGGGTTGGAAGAATCAGTATCATTAAAATCTCCATACCGCCCAAAGCAATCCACAGATTCAGCATTACTTCTATCAAATTGCCAATGTCATTTTTCAGAGAATTAGAAAACACTTTTCTAAAATTCACATGGAATGAAAAAAAAAGCCTCAACAGTCAAGGCAATCCTAAGCAAAAGGAACAAAGCCGGCTTCAAACAATACTACAAGGCTACAATAACCAAAACAGCATAGTATGGGCACAAAAATAGGATATATAGACCAATGGAACAGAACACAGACCCCTGAAATAAAGCCGTACACCTACAACCAAGTCACCTTTGACACAGCTGACAAAAAACAAGGGGGAAAGGACTTCCTATTCAATAAATGGTGCTGAGAAAACTGGCTAACTCTATGCAGCAGAATGAAACTAGACTACTACCTCTCATCATATACAATAAATTAACTAAAGATGGAGTCAAGACTTGAATGTAAGACTTCAAACTCTAAAAATTCTAGAAGAAAACCTAGGAAATACTCTTCCAGATAGTCGCCTAGGCAAAAAATTTATGAAGACCCCAAAAGCAAATGCAACAAAATCAAAAACAGACAAACGGGACTTAATCTAAAGGGCTTCTGCACAGCAAAAGAAACTCTCAACAGAGGAAACAGACAATCTACAAAACGGGAGAAAATATCTGCAAACTATGCATCTGACAAAGAACTAATTTCCAGAATCTATAAGGAACTGAAATGAATAATTAAGAAAAAACAGCCCCATTAAAAAGTGGGCAAGAGACATGAACAGACACATCTCAAAAGAAGACGGACAAATGGCCAAAAAACATATGAAAAAATTGTTCAACATCATTAATCTTCAGAGAAATGCAAATTGAAACCACAATGAGATACCATCTGTATTAGGCCATTCTCACACTGCTATAAAGAACTACCTGAGACTGGGTAATTTATGAAGAAAAGGGGCTTAATTGACTCACAGTTCCACAGGCTGTACATGAAGCATGGCTGGGAGGCCTCAGGAAAATTACAATCATGGTGGAAGGCGAAGGAAAAGCAAGCACACCTTACTGTGGCGGAGCAGGAGAGAGTGAGCAAGCAAGGGGGGAAGTGCCACACACTTTTAAACCATCAGATCTGAGAAAAACTCACTATCACAGGAACAGCATGGGGAAAATCCACCCCCATTATCCAATCACCTCCCACTAAGTCCCTCCCTCAACACTGGGAATTACAATTCAACATGAGATTTGAGTGGGGACACAGAGCCAAACCATATCACCATCTCACACCAGTCAGAATGGCGATTATTTAAAAAGTCAAAAAATAAGGTGCTAGTGAGGTTGTGGGAAAAAAAGGGAATGCTTATACACTGTTGGTGGGAATGCAAATTAGCTCAGCCCCTGTGGAAAGCAGTTGGACATTTCTCAAAGAACTAAAAATAGAACTACCATTCGACCCAGCAATACCTTACTGGGTATATATCCAAAAAAAATAAATGAATAAATCATTCCACCCAAAAGACACATGCAGTACTTGTATGTTAATCGCAGCATTATTCACAATAACAAAGACATGGAATCAATAGAGTGCCCATCAATAGTGGAGTGGATAAAGAAAATGTGGTACATATACACCACGGAATACTATGCAGCAACAAAGTTAAAAAACCAAAATCACGTCCTTTGCAGCAACATGGATGCAGCTAAAAGCTGTTATCCTAAGTGAACTAATGGAGAAACAGAAAACGAACTACTACATGTTTTCAATTATAAGTGGAAGCTAAATCTTGGGTTTACACAGATATAAAGATGAAAGTAATAGACACTGGAGACTCCAAAAGGGGAGGGGGAGGGGGAGAGAGAGAGAAAGGGTGGAAAAACTTCCTGTTGAGTACTATGTTCACCATATGGGTGACAGGATCAAAGCTCCAACTTCAACACCATGTAATATATCCCTGTAACAAACCTGTACATGTACCCCCAAATCTAAAATAAAATGGAAAAAAAAAGTCACACAATTGAGTGGAGCTGAGATTTCAACTCCAGGAATTCCACTTTAGAGCCTACTATGCCATATTATACTAAACTGTCTATGGAATGTCCAATTAAATGTCATATAAGGAGCCCAGCCTAGTGCCTGGCACACAATCATCTTTCAATCAGTGTTAGCTATTATAATTATTATTGCTCCCAATTTTATCTTGAGAGATACAAAAAAGACAGCTCTAAAAGCTTTATTTTACAAAGAAAAAATACATAGTGAGCACTAGCTCAAGGCAAAAAACCAAGCCCATATATACCCAAACTACCCTCTCCCCTCAAGAAAAGGCACCTGATGGTGCCTTCCCTGGAGCCGACCTACACATACGCCACCACACTCGCCCTCTCATTCTTTCCTTCCTATCTTCCCTTCCAAGTAGTCTTGTTGTTCCTGGGAATATAAACAACCTAAAAATGCAATGAAGAATAGGGTGATATTCTTCATCATCATTTTTTATTCTGCAAATACTGATTGAATGCCAAGTTCTAAACACTAAGCTAGGCTCCGAGGAGCTCTCTTTGCAGCTCCGCATCTCCAGATGCTTGGGCAGAAAATTTCAGAGTGGGCAGGACCTCAGAGGCCTGCTTTCTTCCACCTCAATCCCATCCCTAACATGAACATGTTCTCATTATTATAAATATTACGAAGTTCTTCTTTCTAGTGAATCAAAAACTCACCTCATGGCAAGTACTGCTCACTTGTACTCAGTATGCTTTCTCAGACAACACAGAATAAATCTATGCACACTTTATATTGGAGCCCTTCAATTTTCCCCAGTGCTTTGTCTATACTGGGCACTAAAATGATGCAGAATGACTCTCTCCTAAATTTGCTCTTATCAAACCACTCTGGTCCCAAGGGAAAATACAATCTACCATTTACAGAGCCACATGACAGCAGAAGCTTCCAATGCCACAGCTAAAGAAAAACAGAATAAGGAAGACAATGTCATTATTATTTTCCTTCTCTCCTTAAAGGAAAGAGAAAGGAAGACAGAAAGTTTCCTGTGCTTTTAAAGTCTCTTTTTAAACACTCCAGAAAATGCAAAGCCCTGCTGAGAAGAAGAAAAAAAAAAAAAAACCACACACAAAACAGTAAAGTTTTCATAGCAATGCCAAACAAGTCAACATTCATGAAAACTGGGGATGGGGGGGAGTCTGAAAATTTGTCAAATATTCTTGCTATGGGATTTTGACTTCTACACTGAACAGTCAATACTCAGGCAGACACAAAGCTTTTAGAAACTTTGCAGCTTTATTATTGCTGCTGCTATTGTTGTTGTTGTTTAAGACATTTATTTTTCTCTCACATAAAAACTAGTGCTGCCTAGCAACCCAGTGCCAGCAAAGCTAAATCAAGAAGCATTTTTGGCTAGATGTTTTTTAAAGAGATTTCTTTTTCCCATTAAATGGCAAGCATGCTGTAAGACTGGAAGACTCTTGCACTTGATGGAAAATGGTTTGGATATTACTCACTCAATCTCTTTATATATTAAAGAATGACAGAGACCAACCTACGGAAGAGGGATAGGACATATATTGTGTTTGTAGCCACAGGAATGAAGCAGTGGATACTCCTCATCAAAAACAGCCCACATGTGGCTGTCACTGGGACAGCAGCAAGTTGAGACTGAATGGGAATCCAATTACACCAATGAACCTAGGAGCACCAATGCATTCTACTGATCGTGGCAAAGAGAGGTAGATGCAGGTCATAAAGTTGGTTGCAGGGTTAACAAGAGTGAAACAACACAGTGTGATACTCCTCTATATGTGCACGTAACATTATTCTGGTGATTACATTGGACACTGCTATGGTCTGACTGCATCCCTCAGAGTTCATATGTTGAAAACATAATCCTCAATGTAATAGTGTTGAGAGATGTGAGCTTTAAGAGGTCATTAGGTCATGAGGTCCCTGCCCTCACAAATGGATTCATGTTATCTCAGGCATAGGTTTGTAATCAAGAGAGTTCGTTAGAAAAGCAAGTTTGGCCCTCACTCACTTGCACATGCACTCTGTCTGTCACTCCTTTTTCACATGTTCTCTTGTCCTTCTGCCATGAGATGATGCATCAAGAAGGCCCTTGGCAGATGCAGCTCATCAACCTTGGGCTTTCCAGCTTATGCAACTGTAAGAAATGAAATCTCTGTTCCTTCAAAATTACCCAGTCTCAAGTATTGTTATAGCAACACAATACAGACTAAGACATATGGGAAACACATATGCCCTTCTCCCTACTGCTCTGTCTAGGCTCCTCCGTGACTGGAGGACACACACTACTCGGGGACTTTGAAGCACATGTTACAAACAAGGATAAATCAAAGTGCCATGAAGACACCTCTGGGCAGTACAAGGCCATCAGCCATTTCAACAAAGCAAGACCACCACAATGGCCTCCACTGTCACACCAAAAAAAAGACACATTCTACCACAATCCCTATTACAAAGGCTAAAATGCTTATTACAAAGTTATAAAGAATCCTTGTCCAGGAAATGTTTAATGTACATGAAATGTAATTGTCCCTTGGCACAAAGTCATCCACAAAAACTGTAATACATAAAGGCTATGATATGGTTTGGCTGTGTCCCCACCCAAATCTCATCTTGAATTGTAGCTCCCATATTCCCACATGTTGTGGGAGGGACCCAGTGGGAGATAATTGAATCATGGGGGTGGGTCTTTCCTGTGCTATTCTCATGATAGTAAGTCTCATGAGATCTGATGGTTTTATAAAGGGGAGTTTCCCTGCACAAGTTCTCTTGTCTGCTGCCATGTAAGATATGCCTTTCCCCTTCCGCCATGATTGTGAGGCCTCCCCAGCCCTGTGGAACCATGAGCCCATTAAACCTCTTTCATTTGTAAATTTCCCAGTCTTGGGTATGTCTTTATCAGCAGCCTGAAAACAGACTAATACAGGCTAGTACTAGGAAAAAACCTCCTGATCATCAGGAAATCAATGAAACATCAGAGCACACTGAAGTACCACACAAAGCTAAGGTCAACCAAAGCACATTTTACATATCTCATTGAAAATCCAATTAAAACCCTCAATAAGATCAATGTAATCTGAATTGTATTCTTATATTAAGTAATTCTGAGAGTAACATTATATTCCTTACTTTATAAATTGCCAATTTTTCAGTATTAAGACAGATATTAAAAGAAAACCACCCTGATTAATATGATCTTTGATGCTTTTCACAGGCTCTTCAGAATCTTCAAGGGCCCTTAGGAAGTGGGGGGAGATGAGGAGGGAGTCAAATTACAAACAAAAGTTTTTATTACATTATAATGTATAAAATATAAGAATGAGGTATATGAAAATGTTCACAACACCACTAATCATCAGAGAAATGAAAAGCAAAACTACAATGAGATGTCATCTCACCCCAGTTAAAATGGCTTTTATCCAAAAGTCAGGCAATAAAAAATGTTGGCAAGGATGTAGAGAAAAGAGAACCCCTGTACACTCTTGGTGGGAATGTACCCCTATGGAGAATACTTTGGAGGTTCCTCAAAAAACTAAAAATAGAGCTACCATATGATCCAGCAATCCCACTGCTAGGTGTATACCCAAAAGAAAGGAAATCAGTATATCAAAGAGATATCTGCACTCCCATGATTACTGCAGCACTATTCACAATCATCAAGATTTGGAAGCATCCTAAGTGTCTATCAACAGACAAATGGATAAAGAAAATGTGATACTTATACACAGTGGAGTACTATTCAGCCTTAAAAAAGAATGAGATCCTGTCATTTACAATGGCATGGATGGAACTGAAGGTAATTATGTTAAGTGAAATAAGTCAGGCATAGAAAGACAAATTTTACATGTTCTCCCTTATTTGTGGGAGCAAAAAACTGAAACAATTTAACTCATGAAGATAGAGAACAGAATGATGGTTACCAGAGGCTGGGGAGGGTAGTGAGCAGTGGCGGGGGGAGCAGGGATGGTTAATGGGCACAAAAATACAGTTAGATAGAATAAAATTCAGTATTTGATAGCACAACAGGATGACTGAAGTCAACAATAATTTCTTACACATTTAAAAATAACTAAAAGAGTATAACTGGATTGCTTGTAACACAAAGAATGGATAAATGCTTGAGGTGGTGGAGACTCCATTTCCCCTGCTGTGATTATTACCCATGGCATGCCTCTATCAAAATATCTCATGTACCCCATAAATACATACACCAACTATGTACCCACGAAAATTAAAAATAAATAATAGACTCAATCTACACAGACTCAGTGACTCCTGAGAGGGTTCATTCCCTGTTTAAGTTCCTCTAAAGAACTCCCTACCTCAGACATAAGCTAACAGGTCACTAGACTCTGAGGGTGACCAGTGAGCCATGTAAAACTCAGGCACTAGTGGTCCTGCTCTGTCCTTCCCCTCCATGTCTATTCTGGCTTTTCCTCCTGCTTTATTCTTGTCATATGACAAAAACAACAAAAAAAAATTGACACTGAATATCACTCATTCCGAAACACTCATTCACATACATCTTACAAGTTGATCCACACTCTGGCTCTCAACAGAAATGTCACCATTAGGCCAGTCACGGTGGCTCATGCCTGTAATCCCAGCACTTTAGGAAACCAAGGCCGGTGGATCACTTGAGATCAGGAGTTCGAAACCAGCCTGGCCAACATGAAGAAACCCCATCTCTACTAAAAAATACAAAATTAGCCAGGCATGGTGGCACATGCCTGTAATCCCAGCTACTTGGGAGGCTGAGGCAGGAGAATCACTTGGACCCGGTAGGCAGAGATTGCAGTGAGCCAAGACCATGCCACTGCACTCCAGCCTGGGCAACAAGCATGAAACTCCGTCTCAAAAAAAAAAAAGAAATGTCACTGTTGAAAGAGCTCACTCATGCCACTGGTTCATGAGCTCACATCACTAGCCTGTCCTCATACTTGCCCATCTCATGGGACGTATCTGGCATCCTTGACAAGGCCCTAGACAACCCTGACACTAGCACTGACCTGATCCTGCCTGGGTTTCTTCTGGCTCCTCTATTACCCCTAACAGGAAAATCTTGGTGTTTCTCAAGGATATTACTGTCTTCTCCTAGTGATGAAAAGCAAAGGCTTTGGGGGTCAATCTCAGTTCAAACCCAAGCACTTCACTTTTACTAGCTGTGTGCTCATGAGCAAGTTAAGCTCTCACCCCTCACTTCTCTCAGATGTATAAAGAGATAATATACATAAGAATTTTCACCCATACAGGGATACTATTACATATATTTATGCAATGGGAATTTTATGTTTTATATATATATTTTTAAGTGTATGGATACACAAAGAAGCATCCTCATACACTAGAATTACATTAATACCCTTTATAGTAGACCCAAAGCATGTAACATCATGAGCATCCAATAAATATTTTCTTACGCCAATCTCATGTCTTTAACTATACCTTACGTTATACTTTCTACCCCTAAATTCACTCATAAGTTTGAGCACCAAATCTCTGTCTAATGGACTTATCTTGAACAGATAACTACAATTCACCATGTGACAAACTGAACTCATCTTACTCCTCCCCCAAACCCCTTTGTTCCTTCCTTTTATTAGTGACACCCATATTGTCCCAGGATTGAATCTCTATCACACCTTCCCCAAGACCCCTTACAAACCCAGTCCCCGGGTTTTGCCTATTCCACCTCACCAAATGATGCTGTCCACCCTGGAACTCCCCATTCTCACTCCCATGCCCTTCGACTATGCCAAATAACCTCTCTCCTAGCCTTTCATTCCTCTACTTCCTACTGCAAATCCTGCTGTCAGATTAAGTTTTGTGAAGCAGTTTACTTGAAAACTATGAGTGGCCCCAGTACCTATAAAAGTAAATGCAAAAGTCCTAAAGCGGCATTCTCAACCTCCCACACCTGGCCCGAATCTCTTTCCAATCTCATCTCCTGCCATTTGCCCATGTTCCAACAAGAGCTGCATTCCCAGAACACGTACCTCCTCTCTGTGTTTCTCTGATTACATGGTCTCCCATACCCGAAATGTCCTCTTAAAACATCTCCACCTGTTCAAACTCCATTATAAAACTGATTCAAAACACTTACTGGGGAAACTTTCCAGATTCCCTGCAGCTGAACATAAACTCTCCTCTGAAGTCTCCGCCACTTTCTCGCTCATTCTCTCTCTGTCTCTCTCTCAAAGCGCTTATTCTCTGCCATATCTTGTAGCTACTTTTGGACATTTCTTCTTTCCCCTACTGGACTGTCTTTACTTCCCCCAAATCTCACACCATGAATGACTCACAGCAGGCACTGGGGGAAAAAATGCACCAAATTAATGCATAACAAGTATACTCTGTTAAGAACAGAACTTATGCAAAACTCACAAATCCTAAGGCACAACCCCAATTTGAAAATCCTTGAAAAGTTCACAGCACCCTTTGCCACCTGGGAAATAAAATTTTCTCGTTAACAAAGGAAGAAAGACCTTAATAATATTTTGGCCCAGGAACTCTTTTTTTTTTTTTTTTTTTTTTGAGACAGAGTCTCGCTCTTGTCACCCAGGCTGGTGTGCAGTGGCGCAATCTCAGCTCACTGCAACCTCCACCTCCTGGGTTCAAGCAATTCTTCTGCCTCAGCCTCCTGAATAGCTGGGATTACAGGTGCCCGCCACCACGCCTGGCTAATTCTTGTACTTTCTTTTAAGTAGAGATGGGGTTTTGCCATGTTGGCCAGGCTGGTCTCGAACTCCTGACCTCAGGTGATCTGCCCGCCTTGGCCTCCCGAAGTGCTGAGATTACAGGCATGAGCCACCATGCTCAGTCTACATCTTTATTATGTGTAAATAAAGCTAAAACATATGGATTAAGTTTCCTATAAAGTATACACAGATTTATAAAAACAGCAAGGAGGCTAGGAAAAATTGTCATCTCCAAAGCAGATTAACTAGGAGCCTTTTTCTAACTCCGAAATTCATCTAGAGCAATCTTGCTTTAATTACATGTTGAAGTTTCCTCTTTGCTTTAGTGACTTTCCTGGAGTCAACATTTTTCACATTCTTAGGGAGGAAAAACAAATAACTGAGGAAAAGAAAATGACTTCCTTCTCGCCATTTTTCGCCTGTCAGAGCCACTGTCAGTGACACACATAGGCCTCTTCCTTTCCTCCCCAGTTTAACCTTCCTTTTTTGCACCCTCCCCCCACCGCCATCCATTACTGTAATGTTTTCCTTTCTCAGACTACTCTTTTCAACTTTTCCTGTCCTTACTCCCTCTCTCGTTTTCATCTTGTCCTGAAACACTAAGAGGGACTAGATCCTTCCCTCCCCACTCTACAGTCAAATGTTAGGATCCTCTGAAGGGTATACTTAGGTCAGCTGCCAGGGAAACCCGTGGCTAACATAGATCCACGCATCCATATGAAGTTTTCCTGCACAAGCACCCTTGTCAGCAAAAATATTCTTCCTCATAGCAGAGCCTGGACTCTGCAGTGAAGTCCAACTGAGCAGGAACAAAGAGCCAGGAGTGGGAGTAGAAGTGTTCAAAGATGAAATGGGAGAGACAAGGCGAGGTAATGGGGAAATTTAGGTTCTCAGAACTGTTAACTAATCCAAACTGACATCCCCCATCTCCAACCCTCCAACCCTGCCACACAACCCTGCTTCCAACCCTAAACCCAAGCACACAGTGAAGAATCTGAAACTCGATGTCCATTGCTCCCTTCTGAATAGAAAGCCTGAGAGCACTTAATTAACGTTGGTTGTGCATTCATAGAACTATCTAGCCACAGAAAGGAAGAGAAGGAAAACCGAAAGACCTCTGCTTAGCTCTATAAAGCTCTGAAAGCGAGGCCACTTTCGTCTGCTGTAACTATTGTAACAGGCTTGCCGACGCTACTGGAAAATTCCTGTAAGATTTATTAACAAGGTGAAAGCAGCACTATCTACTTCCCAGCAGACAAATCATGTACTTATCTCCCCAGCTTCAAAAAGGGAAGAAAACAGGCAGTTGCAGCATGAAATGGAGATCCTTTTATCCAAGAGCAAGACCCAGAGCCAGTATTTTCACAAATAAATTGCATAAAGGTTTCCTAATTAGGATTTAATCAAATGATTGTTGAGCTACTGTAACATTGTCTCAAAGCTTGTAGTCTAATTATTTTTCTTTCTAAAAATGAACAGTAGCCATCTTTCCATGAGCTGTCTGGATGGCTTAGTGCACACTAATGAGGCTTAATAACAGTTTGACAGGATCATAAAAGGAGGCATAAATTCACCACCACTGGCAAAAAAAAAAAAAAAAAAAAAGGCAAAACAAAACTTCTCACATCCATAAACAAGCTGCTTTTACCATAATGGTAAAGAAAATCCCCAATCAGCTTTCAAGCTTATCTTTTCCATGAGAACCCAACATTAGCAACAAGCTAGAACTGCTCCAGCAAACAGCCAATGCAACAAGTACCCAAGAAATACTCTTGCTATGCCTTCCCCAAAGGGACTACATTTCTGTTTGCCTGTCTCTTTCCCAGTCCTTCAACCCCCTCAAAATGTATTGAATTCATTATTTCACTCCATAAGTATTAACACCTAATATGTACCAGGTATTACTATAAGTGGACAAAAAGATCTCTGGCCTCAAGGATCTTAGCAGAGAGAAACAGACAAGAAAATAAGTTATGTAACATATTAGACTGGGGTACGTTTATAGGATCCGAGTCCCAAAACATGGCTTCCGCCCCCAGATGACGACCTGCTTTCCCACAGGAGCTGGAATATTCATCTGCACATCCGGCACCTACTACATGTCTGGCATATGATGCAATCTCAATTTAAAAAAATCTTTTTAATAAACAAATGAGTGACCAAGCATTCTAACAGTTTTCAAGCTCCCCATCTTAGAGGCAGAAGTCAGGAATGTTATTAGCAAAGTGCTCATCTACAGGTGACTGAAGAAAAAAAAATCTAAAAGTTCTTGAAAGAAAATAATGTGGTATTTAAAATCATGTTTTCCCTTGATTACAGAGAAACAAGTAAGAAAGCAAGTCACTTAAGAGATTATTCATTTTAAACCAGAAATACTTAACCTACAGTCCACAGATTCAGGAATGCAGGTGAGCCCACTGAAACTGTTAGAACAATTAAGGGGAAAGAAGGATTTATGTGCATTTATCTGGGTTACTAACAAAAGGGGTAATAACTTCTGTCAGCTTCTCAGCAGCCTGTGATCCCAAGAAGATTGAAAAGTACTGCCCTAAAGAATAAGTGTTTTTAAAAACTGTATTTACATCCTTATAAAAATAAAGGTACACTTTTAACTATGAGTCAGCAGCATTTTTCTTAATAAGTGGAAGCTTTACTTTGAGGGGGCTTGAGACAGCGGGAGAGAGGCAGGCCCTCAAGGTGGTCCTATTGAGAACAGCACTCCGAAAGCATCCTAAAACCATTTTTTCCTTATGTTCCCCCATAGATTATCTCATCCCTACATATAAATGAAGCCCAGCTAAACTGAATAGACACCAGCTCCTTGCAATTCTCAATTCAAACACAAACTGCCATGGGCCAGCTCTAACACCAACAAATGCCATACTCAGGTCTTGTTTTAACTCTTATGAACAAAACCCTCTCAAATATTAATGAAACCTTCTTTTCGTGTTCCAGACTGAAGTCCTCTCCTAAGTTCTTAATAAAGAAGAGACGTTTCCTCCCTAGATTAGCAGTTCTTCTTGCTGGCTACTTATCATAATTCTTGGGAAGGCAAAAATTTAACAGAATACGCATGGCTATGCAGCCACTTACAAGAGGCCCTCAGGTGATTCTGATTTGTTGGGGTTGAAAATTATTGCTCTAGATTGGTCCTTTACAGAAAAGCCTTGCAGATCCCCCAGGCAGTACATAGTTATGCCTTGCGGGCTATCTGGTCTCTGTTGCAAGTACCAGACTCTTCTGTTGTATCGTAAGAGTAGCCATAGACAATATCTAATCAAGGAGAAAATAACAGTAATTTGGGAAAGTGATCCCAAAGTGACAATCATAAACAGTACTTATTTCTAGTAGTTAATATGCTGAGTGGGTATGGTGGGAGGGAAGAGTATATTAAAGCAGTTTCTGCTCACCCCAACATGGATCACCTGGGTCAACCCCATCCACCACACCCCAGGAATATTTACCCTTCCCTGCTCCCCAGATGCAATGCCTAAGCATATTTGAAGAGTTTACCCTTCCCCAATTTCTCCTCCTTTACTTGTCATTCACAACAGCTAGGTGTAACCAGAAAGACTCTTTGCAAGGCAGGCGGTTTCCCAGGTGCAGAGCAGGGGCTGGCTTCACTGCCCCTCAACCCCTACTCTCAATGATGCTCATGGTCCTCTGGCCCCATCTCACATCCCTTCAACCTTATTTGCCTTATTTTCTCTTGTAAGTTGCAAAGCCCTAACTTTATCAAGAGTACAGGGTTGCTGTGCCACACAGAATTTGAGTGAGAAATCCAAAGATGGGAATAAAAGCAACAAAAGTCCTAAATAGTTCACAATTGCCTTGATATTCACTTACATCTGGATTAAATGCTTCTTCATTAAACCAGGGAGATAACAAAAGACCAGATAAATTTCAGATTTATGGAACTCCATCAGAAGACAGAAGCTCAATGAGAACTTCTTAGAACCAAGCTCATCACAGTGAGAATGAAAGAATTTTTTTAAACAGAGAGAGAGAAAAGGGAAATCTAAGAGGATCGTTGTGTAGTACATGGCGACAAGCCGAAAACAAAGTCTCTTAAAGAAAAAAAAAATTTTACCTTTTCATGGTTTTCAATTAAGATTTCCACAACAATATTCTGAAACTTCAAGTCCATGAGGGCAGCGACAGTTTCTTCCTGTGGCCTCATCAGAGTTGGTCCAAACACCACTCCTAAGTTTGCCACAGTCATCAGGTTCTGCTTGGAGTGATTTGAAACACTGAAATTGGTAAGGGGGGAGGAATCTGTTTAACCAAAGGAGCAAAAATTGTGGACTGTAAATAGTCTGCAACTCTGTATTTCCTTAAAAGCAAGGGGTCAAGAGACTTAACCACCCTCAACATCTACCTCTGAAATAACCAGATCTGAGAAACCCTCCATGCAGATGCTCCTGCCTACTCCTTTACTTCCCTCTCTTTGGTGCTCTAGTCTAACCACAATGGCTTTCTTAATAATTCCATGCACAGTTGGCCCTCAGTATCCCCTGGGAATTGATGCCAGAATCCCTACAGACACCAAAGTCTGCAGATGTGCAAGTTCTAAAGTCAACCCAGGAAACCCATGGATAAAGAAAAGTCAACCCTCATGTCCACAGGGAATACTGGATTTTTGATCAGTAGCTGGTTGAATCTGCCCATGCAGGACTCACAAAGAGCCAACTGTATGTGCTAATCTTGCTTCCCCCAAAAGCCTTAGTTTACTGTTCCCCTCTTCTTAGAAAACTCACTCTTTCCCCAGAATATTATACTTTTGCTTCCAAGGAATACTAGACTGCGTAGCACCTTTGTAAAAGCATGCAGACTTTGGTCAGAGCACCCACAATCACTCTTTCAGCCCAGTATCACTGTGCAGTGAATCACATAGACAACTGTTCTCAGCAGCCCTGCAACTTAATTCAGGTCTCAATTCAAAGATACCATCTTCAAAAAGCCTTTGCATAACATTTTTTATAGTCTCACACTCAATATATTCTGTCCCCTTACTCTGCTTTGTGTTTTTGCTATTTATCATCTGAAGCTGTTTTATATTTTTATTTGTAATCTGTTTTTCATATTTTCCCTTAGAAAGTAAGCTTCATGAAAGCTGGGACTTAGACTATTTTATTCAACTATGTATCCACTAGCACCTAAGAAAGGCATTCACTAAATATTTGTTGACCAAATGAATAAATGGCTAAACTAGCAGTAGGTCCCTTGGCAAATCACAGTATCTTCTGACCTTCATTTTCTTTATATGTAAAAGAAAGGTTCTAAAATATAGCGTTCTTCAGCTTCCTTTCACGTCTAAAATTCTACAGTTAGAATGATCTCTATACTTAAAGAAAGGGCTAATTTCTCCACTGATTTGATTTTGCCGGTTTTTAAAAGGAGGAGGAAAAGGGAATGAAATCTATAAAATAACTACCCATTATTGAATTAAGCCAACTTAAAGGACATGTTCAAATTTAGAGGTAGGTAGGTGTGAAACCAAGCTAAATATTCTAACAAACTTATATTCACACTTCCAGAATCTGTGTATAGGGTAATGTATAATATTCTCTTCTTTCACTTCAAATCAAACCCTGAGTTGCTGGCAGAGATGTTAAGCAAATAATTATACAGCTTCATGAAAGCATATTTCAACAGTCTTATCCAAAACACACACAATGAGTCAAACGTTCAGCCTGCCCTTCCAGGTGTGGTCCCCAGTTCCACCCGTCACAAATCCCAGAGCACTACCCAGCACCTAGAGCAAAGTGAAGAAAGTTAAAACGAAGAAAAAGAGGCTTACTTTGTTAAGTGTTTCACCAAAATATCCAACATCTCTTTATTCTTCTCTGGCAGTTTGTGTACCAAGAAATGGATCGCATTAACACGAGATTCTGGGCTGCCGCTTTCTTCCAAAAAAAAAATAATAATAAAGAAAAAAATAAAGAAAAAGAAAACAATAGTTAATAGAGAACTCAGAATCAAATATATTTCCCAAGACAATGACAACAGCTCCTCTGTTCAAGATTATCAAACATGGAGAATGTAAACATATTTTGCCACCGTTAAAAGGAAAAAAAAATCTTTCTCCTTATGATGAATCTTCTCATGCCTCCCCTAATGAGGTAATTTCAGTGTGGCTGCAATCGGTGCCTTTTCCTTGGTTTATATTACAGAACGGACAGCTGCTAAGCTTCTCCTTCTGACATGCTGTGTTTCATGTCTGTTCATCGTTTACTCGATGGGGTCTAGTCACTGGGTCACGCCACAATGGAATGCAAGTAAAATATCAGCAAATAGGCTATTGCATGTTACAGGTTGAACAGGATAACCCCCTCAAAAAATATGTTGAAGTTCTAGCCCTTAGAACTCGCAGTGTGGCTGTTTTAAACTGTACTTGGGATTTAATGACATCAGGTATGCTAAGGCATGCATGAAAATGACTGTCAGGAAGGGAAAAGTTTAGACTCACAGAGCCCTAGAAACAGAAGGCATGGCATGTTGTGCACAGCCACGTGGGGAAGCACCAGCGTCGATCAAGAGGCAGAGGAAGAACGGGGAATGCGGGCAAAGCCTCTACTGTAGTTTCTGCAGGAAGGAATGGGCAAGGCAGGGTGCGCAGGTTGAGGACCGGCTGGTTTAAATTATTTCAGTGGGCACTGCAGCACAAGGGCTGTCCCTAGTTGCTGATACTCGGAACTGAAGTGACAAGGGCAGGAGAGTACAGCCTGTAGCGTAAGGGCCCGCAGAGGAGGCTCGTAGGGAGGGGGGTCACGGGGCTTTGGATTGGAGAGTTCCATGTGAAAAGCCTGCAGAAGTTTAATATCTCCAGGAATGGGCCAGCCCTGGGAGGGGCAGTTTCCTCGGGTCAGTGAGGCCCCAGATGTCAAAACATCAGAATAAAAAGGCGTGCTTAATACACGATCTTATTTGGGAAGAGAGCTGTTGCAGATGTCAGTTTAGATGAGATCATAACTGAAGTAGGGTGGGGCTTCTTCATCCAATATGACTGGCATCCTTACAAGAAAACAAAGAGAGGGATAGTGACCGTGTACAGGCAGCACAGCGGAGGTTGTCCTGTCACAGCAGAGGCTGGAATGAAGGACCCACAAGCCAAGGGATACTAAGGACGGCCAGCAACCACCAGAAGCTGTGAGTGGCAAGGAGGGATCCCTCCTACAGTCTTCAGAGGGAGCACGGCCCTCCCAACGTCTTGATTTCAGACCTCCAGACTCTAGAATTGTGACGGAATAAATGCCTCTTCTTTGAAGCCACTTGGTTAGTAGTAAGTACTTTGTTCCAACAGCCCTGGAAAACACAATCCCTTAACCCCCAAACTTTGGAATTATTATACGTGGCTCTTATTAACAGTGTACCCCAATTCCCTTTATTGTGTTCTTGATTGGAAAACTATCAAATAAATCAATAAAATGTTTGTTGTTGAAGATTTTGCTAGTTTTCACAGGCGTCAAAGAAGTGACAAAAGAGAATTAGGTTCTAAATTTACTGCTGACAGAAAAGAAGGTTAGAAACGGTTTTGTAGTTTCACTTAGGGCTGGCCAGGGAAGCTCAGGAAGGGTCTCATAATGGAGAGCCCTTGGAGATTGGGTCCTGAAGAACGGGGAAGGGTTCAAGGAAAGGCAGGACTGAGGGGCAAGGGGAACATTCCAAATTCAGTAAATAGCATGACAAAAAGCACAGAGCCTGTGCAGAGACAGCTCTTCGAGGGTATAGATAGAAAGGTAGCCCGAGGCCAACTCTGGTCTGCAAAGGCCAGTTTGAAGAAGTTGTCTCACTGTTGGCTTCTAAATTAGTCAAGTGAAAACAAAGCAAGAAAGCGATATGAATAGAGTTATATTTGGGGAAGGTATGCCTGATATTTTTCTTAAAGGATGGATTAGAATAGGAAAAAGAACTAATTAGGAGGAAAAAGTTATGTGGGAGATAAGAAAAAAGAAATGAAAGGAGTGGTGGCCAGGCACAGTGGCTCATGCCTATAATCCCAGCACTTTGGGAGGCCGAGGCAGGCAGATCCCTTGAGGTCAGGAGTTCAAGACCAGCATGGCCAACATAGTGAGACCATCTCTACTAAAAATACAAAAATTAGCCAGTGTGGTGGTGTGCACCTGTAATCCCAGCTACCCAGGAGACTGAGGTGGGAAAAGTGCCTGAACCCAGGAGGCGGAGGTTGCAGCACCACTGCACTCCAGCCTGGGCAACAGAGAGAGACTCCATCTCAAAAAAATAAAAATAAAGGGAGTGAGGTAGGTGGTAGAACTACAAAGAGGGAAGTAGAACAAAGAAATATAGATGCCCTATGATTTATGATGGGGGGACATCCTAATAAGCCCCTCATAAAGTCAAAAGATTGTATGTCAGGACCGTCACTACACCTGGGAGTCGTTGCTTCTAACTGATAGCTGAGTGGTCTTGAACAAATTACCTAACTAACCTCTCTGTGCCTCAGCTCCCTCATCTGCAAAATGAAACAATATCTTAAAAGGCCATTATGAGATTCAATGCTGTAACATACATAAAGCACTTAGCCTCTGTGGCTGGCACATGTGGGCACTCAATCACTGTTAGCCATTAGTACTGTTGTTGTTCGTGTTACTATTATTATTTGAGCGCTACGATGGAAGAAGCAGAACTGACAGGTTTTAGCAGCAGACTAGCAGTGGGTCAGAAGGAAGAAGGCAGAGACGAGCAGTGTTTCACATCTGGGTAGTCTGGCAACAGGGCCAATTCCACCAACAGACAGAAACACAGCAGCCAAAGCTGTCTTGAGGAAGGAGATGATGGTGGAGGGAATGGAGGAAGTGACATTCAAATGGCTGGTATTTAGCAGTAGCTGGAAACAGTAGGAGGCTTTAGAGATCAAGGCTAGAAATGTTCTCCAGGAGGTGTGACCACTAGCTCATGGACAAAGCTGCCGAACTTCTACAGAAAGCTAACTGAGGGCACTGTGGGGAAAAGGGCTCCAAAGATGTACAGGGAGATGTGAAGTCAAGGGCTAAGTCAAGCAGGCAATGCAGCCAAGGAGGAGGAAGAGGTGGGAGGACCAGGGAGGTACGATGTCATCAGGAAGGCAAGTGAGAAGAAATCTGCAAAGGCTGGGCACAGCCAGTGGACTCGAGAGGTAAGGAGAGGTCAAGGAATGGAAACACTGGGATTAAGGGGCCCTGGGTATCACCAGTTTTATCAACTGAGAGCCCCTTTCTACTAAAATGAGGAGGTTAAACAAAGAGGAAGCTGCTGGAGAAGGGGAGAAGAGTGGGATTTCAGAACACCTGTTCAGAAAGCAAAAAAAAACAAGAGAATGGGAAAGAGAGGTAAAGCAGATCAAGAAAGGGGCATTTATTTTTTCAAAAGGATAATAGTTTTCCTTATGACAAAAGTTAAATACCTGTAATACTAAAATCTTGGACAACACAGAGAAAATGACCTTAGTACAAAGTACTAAATATCTGAAATACATATATACATAAGAAACAGCATGCAATCAGATTAGAAAGAACTACAAACCAATCAGGGAAAAAAGAGACAATCCAACAGACAAAAGGGCAAAAGACCGGGGCAGGAATTTCACAAAATATTTATTCCAGTGACCAAAAAACCTATGAAAACAGAATAAACCTATATCGGTGAAACAGAAGTTAACAACACAATGAAAGAGTAATACTCACCTGCCAGAATGGCTTTAAATGAATACTAAGCTTTGGCAAGGACATGAGGCAACTGAAACTTCCACATGCTAACTAGATGGTAATCATTAAAGGGTTCAACCACTCTGAAGAACTGTTTGGCAGTTATCTACTAAAGCTGAACAAACACATACCCTATGACCGACCCAAAAATTCCACTCGTAGGTATATAACCAGGAAAAATGCACATAAATGCTCATTAAAAGACACATACTCCTATACTCACAGCAGCGTTCTATTAGCCCAAAACTGGAAACAACCCAAATGTCCATTAACAGTAGAACAGATAAATCTATTGTGGCTTCTTCAAACAGAATGCAATGAAAATGAATGAATGTTTCATACAACAGAGATGAATCTCACAAAATGAGCAAAAGAAACCAGATACAGAAGAATATACTCTGATTCCATTTACATAAAGTCCAAATGCTGCAGCCTCAACCTACAATGTCAGGAGAGTGATCACACTTCATGGGAGTGGATAATGACCACATGAGCAAGAGAAAGGGCTTCTGATGATGTTTGATTGCTTGATCTGGGGCTGATTACATGTGAAAATTCATTAAGCTGTATACTTATTTGAGCCCATGTTATATTTCAACAAAAAGTTCACTTAAAGCTACCCATAATAAATCTCATCCTAAAATAAACTGGTAAATTTTAAGTATAAATCCTGCAGAGTTTTCCTTCCTTTTTTTGGTAATGAAATGCCTAAACAACCTATTTTATTTAATGTATCACAGATATTTTTCAGTGTCATTAAATGGAACACCTTACCATCGATTTTATGAACACTTAGATTGTTTCCAATGTTTGTAAAGACAAGTTTGTTCCAGTTTACACCCCTAATAATAGTATTTGAGAATGAGAAATGATATTTTACAACTGAGGACACTAAGACAGCTGTTGCTAAACAGAAAGGATGCAAAAAGGCTAAGAAATTAAAAGGCACATAAATAACACAACCAAATCATATTATATCATTAAAAAAACTTCTAGATACAAACTAAATTTATCACCAGAAACAAAAACACAACTGTCTAAAGGGTTAGGTAATAAATTATAATCCAGTTCTTAATCTGGTATAAAAAACAAGATACTAATCAACACTAGAGAAAATAAAAACAATATAACAATTTCAATTCACAGCTTTGATTTTTAAAAATAGACTTAAAGCAGAGACTCTGCAAAATAGTAGAAATTCCAAAGGAGTAAAAGGACAACTACTGAGGATAAGAATTTTATATCGCAAAAATTAAAAAGTCTGGAAAACTTTGCACTAAAAACCTACTAACTTGTGAGTCTATCTTGCCATTAATAATCATCTTTTTCCAGTGAAAACCTAGTTTAAATACTTTAGGATTCATTATTTAGAAACAGAAGCTAGAGAAACAGTTTCCCACACTCTATGAATTACATTCTTCATTTCTTAAAATAGTGGAATTGATTTTGAAAAATAGAGTCAAAACCTGGATTAAGAATATGTGGCACATACACACCATGAAATACTATGCAACCATTAAAAAGGATGCGTTCATGTCCTTTGTAGGGACATGGATGAAGCTGGAAACCATCATTCTCAGCAACCTATCGCAAGGACAGAAAACCAAACACCGCATGTTCTCACTCATAGGTGGGAATTGAACAATGAGAACACTTGGACACAGGAAGGGGAACATCACACACCTGGGCCTGTCGTGGGGTGGGGGGAGCGGGGAGGGATAGCATTAGGAGATATACCTAATGTAAATGACGAGTTAATGGATGCAGCACACCAACATGGCACATGTATACATACGTAACAAATCTGCACGTTGTACACATGTACTCTAGAACTTAGAGTATAATTTTAAAAAATTTAAAAAAAGAAAAATAGAGTCAAAACCTTTCACTATCTTCAGTCTCTCTCCTGCTAGCCCATCCTAATCTATTTTAAAATCACACATCCATTTCTGCCAAGTCTTTTTCCCTCTTCTTCAAAAACAAAAAAAAAAATACTCTGGGCTTTTTAAATAAAACCATTTTTTTCTCTATCTTGTTTTGACATTAATCATCAGAGCTTTCTATTCGCAATCATTTCTATGTAGCTACAACATAATACCTTTAAGGTACTCCAAAAAAAGTTTTTGAAGATAAATCATCTAAAGTTGCTTATGCTAATGCAATTTATTTTAATTGCTACTGATTGACAAAGAATGAACAGCCTACCTTAAAAAAAAAAACTAGGATACTAAATTAATCATAATACCAAATTCTTGAAATATGCCAGGGAATTAGGAGCTTACTGTAGTGGAAAAGGCATTTTAATTGTGTAACTACAAATCAGCATCTACCACACTGTAATGTCCATCTGCTTATGATGCTGTGCCAACTAACAGAAACTGAAAAAGATGTGATCATGGAGCTTATCGAAGACACAGAGGCAGATAAATGCTAAATTATTTCAATATTGAAATGTCAAAAGTCAATGATACTGTAATTTTAGAAAGGCATTAGCAGTAACCATCCAAGCACTTCCCAAGGGATAAAGGGCTTCAGTCAACAGACATCAAGTGTTGCATTTCTCCTGTGGCATTCGTATCTACCGTGAAATGAATACATCAAGCTAAGAGGGAGGCATGCCACTAAGCATTCAGTTCCCTTAATTCCTGGGTTCCTAAGCCCTTCCCCAGCAAGAATCACATGATTTTTGTCTTGCTTCCCAGATATGTTTATCAAAAACGATAGAACATTCTGGTTAGGTAAACACCAATGTCTTGGATCCGATTATAGTTATGTTTCTCATGATAAATAACCAAAGACCTTTGTGGTAATCATTTTGCTTCCCAACTAACTTGACTACAGGAAGAAATACACTGAACATAGCAACACAAGTGTTTTGGTTTAACTGACAGTGAAGAGATTTTTCTTCTGATACAACAGGCATTCAGCCTTTAGTTGTCATTCTCGTACTAAGCACCATGACTCCAACCCTGAGGCATGAGTCCACTCTTATCAAAATGATACAGCAAGGACTTTGAGGCCAAAAGGCTGACACACAGATCATAGCCTACAACTTTCTCAAAGGTAACAGACATCACGCAGTAAGACATCCAGCTAGATGCCTGCCTGTGGTGGACACAATCTTTTGTATTCCCCATAGACCAGGTAACTACATTTTCGTCTTATAAATTTCCATGTCAAAAGTCCATTATAGTCTCCCCCAAGATGGATCGTCTACTGGGTTCCTTTTATAAGTTTAGTTTGGAATTCAGCTAACGGAGAAAGTTACATTAACTCTCTTAATTTTCTCAAAGAAAAAAATGTTTTAACTTTTCCAATGCAGTCAACCTTTAAAAGTAAGTTGATCTTTTTTTCAGAACAAGGAACATAAAACAAATGTGCCTTTTGTGGTGACAAAATAGAAATGAAATTTATATTTGTATCATGAACCCTAGAAATTAACACGGAGGTTCACAACAGGAAACTACAGGAAAGAAACTGATGAGAGAAAACAATGGGACCCAGGAGAAACCTTGAGAACTCTCAGCAGGGAGGGTAGAAGAGAAGAAACTATCTCATCACCACAGAACAGATGGAAACCACTGCACATGACTGAGAAGAATCAAAAATTAGTTTTCAAGTTGGTGTGAGAGGTGGTAACAAAGACTGCTGATGCTTAGTAATTTTAGCAGTCAGCTCAGCTAACAGACACTTGAGCAAAACCAGGTAAGCTGTGTCACTGTTCACGGAAAATGACAGCTTAACCACAATCCCGATTTTCCAACAGCATTCAAAAGGGGAGACTAATTTTGGCCACCTGATTTCTGTAACTATTTTATTCGATCCTTAAAAGTCCATATGCAAAAGATTAGGAGATCTGTTCCCACACTCTCTAAAAGAGGCAATGAGTGCAGAGAAGGGTACTCAAGAGATTAAAATAAAAACTTAAAGTCTACATTGGAAACCTTGGCCCCTAAAATACACCCATTTAGTACATGTACTTTTTCTCATTAAATCAAGTTACTACAGGTCCCATTCCAACCACAACGGCACTTAGGTGCAAATCCATGCCAATGATTACAGTAGAAACAGTATTTCTTTCTGACGGTCCTGTCATCCAAATCACTGTGAAGACTATCACAGCATTCCCACAAAGTCAGGAAGCAAAACACAAGGTACTGGTCCAACAGGTGATGATCTTGTCTGCGTTTCTGCAATCGTTTTCACCACTCTGCTCAAAGATGCCTTCAACAAACTCTTTAAACTTATTTTCTACCACCATAGATTTTATTACCTCTTAAGATATAAGCTCCTACCTCTTAGGAACCTCTTCATTTGGTAAAACACACTGATATTCAAATTTCAAAAACACTGCCATCAGTTATGGGGCGTAATAATACTAATGATTGTGGTCATTTAAAACATATGTAACTAACCTGCACAATGTGCACATGTACCCTAAAACTTAAAGTATAATAATAAAAGAAAAAAAAAAAGGAAAAAAAAAAACCTTATTCCATAATCACTTTATCTTTCTCTAATTCTCAAAGGATTCTAGATTAAAATTGGCACTCTTCTGCTTTTTCCAGTCTCTAAGGCAAACAACATGAAACAATTGTCCTCCAACTAAGTTTAATTTCTCTTTCCCCAGTTTGCCAAAAATGCCACAGGGAAGAAATCAAAACAACTAAGCATTTACTTGAGTTTTTGCCGAAAAAATTTTCCCCCACTCCCTTGATCTCACAAATTCTCTTTTTTAAAAAATCCTCTCCCCATGTGAAAACAAAAACGAATAGAACCAGTTTTTGCTTTTCCAAAAGCCTCTTTTATATGTAGAGTCTAATGGGGCCTACACACTCCTCCTTCCTGCAACACAGGAGGAACCTTTACACTGGCTGGAGCAAGGACCTCACAAGAAGGTAACATTTAAAGCAATGTTCAGGCAGCGGTAACATTGGTCCCAAAGGGAATGCTCTAAGTTTTTCAACAGATTAAACTATGGAATACATCCAAGAGGAGAAAATAAAAGGAAATGAAAATACAATTACAGCTACTGTCAGTGCACCTGTGAAAACCAATACTGCAGGTTTTAGCTAGTAGAACTAGGGTTCTGAATTTTAAATAAGGCTCCCTATAATCTGGCAAGTTACTTAACATGTCTCAACCTTCATTTCCTTCACTATTAAATACCTAACACCAGTGTACTTCAGAAGACTATGATGATTAAACAACACGTGTCAAAGATAGAAAGTGAGCCATATAACAGAAAACAAAGCCTCAAATGAGTATGACTCACAAAAAATTCAATCACAAAATTCTACCAACTATAGGCCTTTTTCATTTAACATTTGATTGTATATTATTCAGTCTGTATCAAATACTGTTTGGAGTTCTGGCATTATCTCATAATATTCCTTCTGTCTGTAATTTAGATCCGAGTATCTGTCTATGTGAAGCCACCTCCAAACTACTAATCTCTCCAAATCTGTTCATCTCCACAACCTTTCGCAAATTAAATACTTCTGTGTTCCCTCAGCATTTTGCTCATGCCATTATTGTACATTTTGTAGTATAATGAGAAGTATGCCCCAGTACTTGCTATAGAATTGTCTCATGGGACAAGAATCCTGTCTTGGCTTTACATATCCAGTAACATAATAGGAAATAATTAATGTATGTGAATAAATGAAAGAATATACTGTCCCTTTTATTCACCTCCCAAGGATGAGGGGAGGCACCAAACATCATTTAAAGCGATTTCTATTTTTAACACAAACTGCAATAACAAGTTGAATTTTTCATATGGAAATTTTTCGTTTATGCTCACTACCAACTACAAAACTGTTCCTATATACCTTTACATAATACTTACTGGCTGGAACAATGAAATCTCCATGTAACTCATAGGTCATGAGAGGCTCTGGAAGACTCCTGTGTGAAAAGAACAGCTCAGAATTATCAAATAAATCCAAACAAGTCACTTCTGAGTTTTTTTATGAAAGGATGTTAAATTTGTTATGCATTTCTTAATTAATGTGTAAAACTTCCCTAGGGAATACCTTTACATATCAAAAAAGATACATAAACGGATCACTTTATTAACTGCTGTTGGCACCAAGCACTATCAAAGCCTAGGGAGCCACAAATCCCTACTAGACCTAAGCATACAGTATTTCATATCTAATCACGGAAAGTAGCTTTGTGAACATCTGGTTTTATATATAAAACTTCCTTCTACACATTAATGTATTTAAAGCCAAACATACCATCTAACCAAATGTAAGCAAACAATTTTGAAACTTCATCTCTAAGATATTAGCTGAAGATTCCACACAAAATACATAGAAAAGATTAAACAAACTCAAATCCTCTCTGATTAAATATATTATAAAAATAAGAATTTATCTTTATTCCTATAAGATGAGAGATGAAATAAAATTGATGACAACTTTAAAAATATACACAGCATTTTCAGAGTCTACAAAACAAGTTACATAAGGTAGTTTATTTTATCCTGTGATCAACAGAAATGCTACAGTTCAGTCCACCTTGCTACATATCTTAAAATTATAAAAGATCAGAGCAACTAGCTTTATAAACACTTAAAGAATACCTAGACAAGTGTCGGTCTGTACAGCCTTTCTGGAGGGTAATCTCGCAAGATATTAAGAACTTTTAAAAGGTTACAATCCTGTAACTCAGAAATTCTGCTTCAAATGTTTAAAAAAAAAATCAAAGATGCACAAACAAAATTTTTTAACATATGCAAAGCCGAGAATATTGCCAGAGATAAAGAAGGTCATTTCATATTGACAAAAGTGTCAACTCATCATGAAGCCAAAACAATATTAAATGTTAACAGATCTAATAAGAGAGCCCCAAAACACTTGAAGCAAAAATTGACAGAACTACAAGGAGAAATGGGCAAATCCACAACTATAATCAGAGAGTTAAACACCTCTCTGTTTCAGTAACAGAACAAGTAGAAAAATCAGGATACAGAAGATTTGAACAAAAATATCAACCAACTTAATCCAACTGGCATGTCCTTCACCTAAATGACACTCCACTCAAAAGCAGAACACACATTCCCAGTGCATACAGGCCATTTATTTTCCAAGATTAACCATATTCTGGGCCATGATACAAATCTCAAAAAATAAAAAGGGTTTAAGACACACAGAGTTTGTTTTTTGATTACAACAAAAACTGAATTAAAAATCAATAACAGAAAGATATCTGGAAAACTCAAAGAGAAGTTAGAAAGTATTCTGAAAAGAACGAAATAAAAACACAACATATCAGAATTTGAGGGATGTTGGTAAAGCAGTACTAAGATGACATTTTATGCTACTAAACACCTATATTAAAAAAGAAGAAGGGTGGTAAACCAAGCACTTCATTTTGTACCTTAATGAGCTATGAGGAAAAAAAAGAAGTGTAAATTAAGCCCAAAGTAAGCAAAAGAAGAGAAATAATAAAAATCAAGCAGAAATCAATTAAATCGAAAACAGAAAAATAAAGAAAATAAATTAATCCAAAACCATATCTTTTAAGATAATCAGTAAAATTGATCAATCCAGCCAGAATGATTAGGAAATAAAAGAGAGAAAACAAACAACACCAGGAATGAGAAAGGTGACTGCAGAATCAGTGCAGATTCTAAAGATATTAAAAATAAAATAAAGAAATACTATGAGCAATTTTATGCCCATAAATTCAACAACTCAGATGAAATGGACAAATGTCTGAAAAGACACAGACTACCAAAGTTCGCTCAAGAAGAAACAGATAACCTGAGTAGTCCTATTGAATTTGTGGTTAAAAATCTTGCCAGTAAGAAAACTCTAGGGCCAGATGATGTCACTGAATGAATTCTACCAAACAATTAAGAAAGAAAAACTACTGATTCTATACAAATTCTTCCATAAAATAGAAGAGGGAATAATTTCTAACTCATTCTGTGAGGTAAGCTTTATCCTAATATCAAAGTTAAAGACATTATGAGAAAGGCATTATGAGAAGACTACAGACCAATATCACTCATGAACATAGATGCAACTATTCTAAATAAAATGTTACTAAATCAAATTCCACAAGATAAATAAAATAATATATCATAAGTTGGGTTTATCACAGGAATACAATACTAGCATAATATCTAAAAAAAAAATCAATGTACTTCACCAAATGAAAAGAAAACTGTATGATCATATCAATAGACAATTTAGGAGAAATAGCCACTCCTACAAATCGTACTAGAACTACTGGAGATCCCTATGCAAAAATGAACTTGAATTCATACCTCATATCTTATGTAAAAATTAACTCAAAATGGATCACAGAACTAAGTGTAAAACCTAAAACTATAAAACTTACAGAAGAAAACAAAAAAAGAAAACCTTTGTGACCCTGAATAAGTGCAAAGGTTTCTTAATATAGCCACAAAAGCACAGTCCATAAAAAGAAAAACTGATGAACTAGACTTCATCAAAATTAAAACTTCTCTTTGAAAGACACTATTGAGAGAACAAAAAGACAAGTCACAGAATGAAGAAAATACTTGTAAAGCAGGTATCTAAGAAAGGACTTGTACTCAAAATATATTTTTTAACTTTTAAAACATAATAATATGACAATCTAAGTTGTAAAAAATTGGGAAAAAGATATGCACAGACACTTCACCCAAGAAAATATATAAATGGAAAATAAGCACATGGAAAAAAGTTCAACATTACTAGTCATTAGAGAAGTGCAAACTAAAAGCACAATGAAACACTACCAAATACCTATTACGATGGCTAAAATGAAAAAGATTGACCAGCTTAAGAGTTGGCAAGAATGAAAAGGAAATGGAACCTTTGTATATTGTTGGTGAGGATGTAAAGAAATACATCAACTTGGGAAGAAAGTTTGTCAGTTTCCCAAAAAGTTAAGCATAATTACCACATGATCTAAATATTCCACTCCTGGGATTTATCCAAGAGAAATGAAAGCCTGCGTCCACTCAAATATAGGTATACAAATGCTTTTAGCAGCTTTATGTGCAACAGCCGAAAGTTACAAGCAAGTTAAATATCCTGCAACAGATGAACTGATTTTTTAAAATGCTGGTGTATCTATAAAATGGTCCATTAGTTAGCAGTGAGATGGAATGAACTGTTGGTATGTGCTACAACATAGAAGAATCTATTCTAAGTGAAATAATACAGACTTCAAGTATATACTATATAATTCTATTTATATAAAATTACAGGAATTGCAAAGTAACATTTTAGTGGATGAGGCTACTTCCGTAGGGTGTGAGAGAGATTTCAAATGGTAGGAGGAAACTTTGGGGGGTAATAATGCACAGGGTCACTATCTTGATTATGGTGATAGTTTCAGAGGTATACATATATCAAACTTACCGAAACTTACACTATAAATATATGCAGCTTATTGTATGTCAACTGTGTTTCAATAAAGCTGTCTTTAAACAACAAATAAAAATAGGTCAAGCATGGTAGCTCACACCTGTAACCCCAGTGCTTTGGGAGGCCAAGGTGGGAGGATCACTTGAGACGACGAGTTTAAGACCAGCCTAGGCAACAAAGTGAGACCCTGTTTCTATTTTTTTTTAATGTTTTGAAAAGAAAATTGAAAAATAAAAGAAAAAAATGTTAAGGTACATATATTCCTTACATACAATTTACGATGCTATAGTATATACATACAAACACAAAATGACAACCATAAACTAAAATTTAATGCATGAGTGAAAAAGTCCTGCTCTTATTTCCCCTCCCTCTCCTTTTCCCCCTACATTCCCATTTCACAAAGAAAATGAAAAAAAAAAAAAAATCAACTATACCACAGCCTAAATAAGGAGAAAGAAGGGCCAATCAGAAGTAAGTCTTTAGGGGGTTTGTTTCAAAATATAGACAAGCAGGAGGTAACAAAGAAGAAAAATGGTTATCTAGCAGAGAAGGAAAGTTAAAGGGTGCTAAAAAGAAAAGTGGGGTCGAGGGAGGGGGGGAATGAGAAACCTTAGAAATACATTTCTTTTCCAATAAAAATGAATTTGTATCTGAATATCTTCTACAAGTTACTTATATCATTGCCATATGTCTAGCTAGGCAATGCAGCATAAAAAAATAAATATTGTTAACATTAGGGAAGCAGCCATAAAAATGACAAGTTCCCCATACAGAATGTATTATGCTGAGTCACTGCAACTCTCAGCCTCCCACCCGACATGTTTTTGAGCCACCTCTCTTTGCCACTCGTTGGGATCTGTTGGGGGATATAAATCATAATATTTATCTAAGCTGGCATTTCCCTCCCAAAAAGTCCCATTACAATTTCCAGGCTTAAAAGAAGTTTCCTCCAGGTAAAATCATTTGACTAGAAACATCACAAAACCACTCATTTGTCCCCTCACAACAGAAAACTGCTGTAATGAACACATCTCTGAAAATCGAAATAATGGTCTGCATAGATAAGAAATCATTCAGAGGGCTGGTATTCAGCTCTCTAAAACATGAGAAGTTAAAAAAAAAAATTGCCTCGTCAGTAGAAGAAAAAGAGGGATGCCACACATCGGTCCACTGCACATACTTTTCCTTCTCCAAGACCCTGGAGGACCTGCTTCTTGTTTTAGTTTGGTGCTTTGGGGCTTTGGCTGTTTTCCTCCCTCCACCTCCAACATCCCATCCAATAAGATAGCTGGGTTATTTGCAGTGAGAAGAATTCAAGGGCAAGAGCTTTTTTGGGTGAGAAAAGCTATATTCAGCTTCACGCCATGGTGCCATGAGTGACAGAGCTGGGGCTCCAACCCTGGCAGGCAGGCTGGCTCCAGACCTCCTGCTCTTGACCATCACACTGTATTACCTCTCATGCAGAAAGAAATACACTTGCTTGGGCCAGAACCCTGCTGCCAAAATGGAGGTAGATAAAAACCCAGTTTTATCCCATTTGATGCATCACCAAAATTTAGAGAAAAAAAAGGGTCAATTAAATCCTAATTACTGCATTTTCCATCGCTAAAAATAACATAGGGGAAAAGAACAGCAACCCAACTTTCAAATCTCCCAAGGCATCTGCCATCTTATGATAATTCACTTTATCACATTCAGGCAGAATGTGTATTTTGTTAGAAGTGAAGTTATATAATAATAACATTTCATAATGTCGTTCTGTAGGCAATGTTTGTTTAAAAGTGAAATTCCATAGGATGAAGCAAGGTAATAAAATAAAAAGACAGAAAAAGCAACACAAGACCAGGGGCAATAAGGAACCAGCTTCCGAGAATATCAAGATCCAAAAAGAAATCCTATGTACTAAATAAAAAGGGCCTCTAGTTTATTAAACAAATTCCTCCCACACAGCAAAAGAAAAGAACCATACGGAATGGAGGAAAAAAGAATGCAATTTATTGCCAAAAAGGTGGATTTCCACCCTTAGTTTTCCACCAATAACTGAGTCATCTCAGTCAATCCCTTTACCTGCACTAGCTATGAGTCTACTAAACAGTAAAATGGATTTAAAGCTATCTCCTAGAGTGGCAGTACGTCTCTTGGTCAAGTTAATATGTGCAATTCATTATATGTTTATATCCCTTACCTACTCTTTCCTTCATGTGTCTAACACAGCTTTCTAAATCTCAGAATTATTGACATTTTGAATCAAATAATTATTTGTGGGGGGGAGGGTGGGCTGTCCTATGTACTGCAGGATGTCAGATGCCACCAGATGCCAGGAGCACTGCAAACCAGCAATGGTGAAAATCAGTAATGTCTCCAAACATGGCCAAACATCCCACTGAGGGACAAAACCATCCTCAGTTGAGAAACACTGTTCTAATTTCTCAGCCACAGCTCCAAGTTGCTGGGGATACTGCAGTGAACAAGACTTAAAAGATGCCTATCTTCAGGGAACTTAAATTCTTATCCTAGAGTTGGGAGTAACAAGATTCATTTTTACCATAATCCTCATCTAAACCACAATTAGTCACTATCAGTGGCAATACTGATATAAGTATACATCCCTTTATCAATCAGGAATAACAATAGTGCACATAACAGTTTCAGAAAAAATTTAGAACAGTGGCTGAAAACATCTTCTTTACACAAAGCACTTGAAAATAGGTAATACATAACTATCACCCACGGATAAATTTTATATCATTAAAAAGTGGGACAACCAGACAACCCAGGCTACCTGATGGGAAACAACAGAAAGAATATACCACCACTACAATGGATTCTGTTTTTTGGGGGTTTTTTTGTTTTTTTTTTTTTGAGACAGAGTCTCGCTCTGTCTCCTAGGCTGGAGTGCAGTGGCTGGATCTTGGCTCACTGCAAGCTCCGCCTCCTGGGTTCCCACCCTTCTCCTGCCTCAGCCTCCCGAGTAGCTGCGACTACAGGCGCCCACCACCATGCCGGCTAATTTTTTTTTTTTTCTTGTATTTTTTAGTAGAGACGGGGTTTCACCGTGTTAGCAAGGATGGTCTTGATCTCCTGATCTTGTGATCTGCCTGCCTCGGCCTCCCAAAGTGCTGAGATTACAGGCGTGAGCCACCGCGCCCGGCCTACAATGCATTCTTGAAATAAAGAAAATAAAACCTGACTCTAACAAAGCCCATTTGAAAAATCTTTATCTACAGGACACAGCATGGCTAAAGAAACATGTTAAATGTTATCATGAAGATATAATCAAAAATGACCCAGGTTCATCAACAAATAAATGCCAGTGGTGGAGGAAGGGAGGAAATGTAGAGATTAAAATAGCCTTAAAACCTATCAACCAAGTGAAAAGTTGGCACAGTTTAAATCCTGCAGGATTTAAACCAAATATGAAAAGACTTTTTGAAGACAGTTGGTAAAAATTGAACATGGACTGAATGCTGGATATTAATTTTGTTGTGCATAATAATTATATTTTGACTGACTTTTTAAAAATGACTTTTTGAGATAAATACTGAAGTATTTATGGGTACAGTAATATGATGTTTCAGAAAATCTTTAAAGTATTATCTTTAAAAAGTGGCAGGTAGATCCCAGCACTTTGGGAGGCTAAGGCGGATAGATCACCTGAGGTCAGGAGACCAGCCTGGCCAACACAGCGAAACCCTGTCTCTACTTAAAAATACCAAAAAATTAGCCGGACATGGTGGCGAGTGCCTGTAATCTCAGCTACTCAGGAGGCTGAGGCAGGAGAATTGCTGGAACCCGGGAGGCGGAGGTTGCAGTGAGCCAAGATTGTGCCATCGCACTCCAGCCCGGGCCAACAGCAAGACTCTGTCTCAAAAAAAAAAAAAAAACAGTGGCAGGTAGGAAGATTAATGAATTAAGAAGGATGGAATGTTGATAACTCAAGAAGCAGGATAATAGAGCCATGAGGGTTCATTACACTAAACTCTCATCTTATGTATCTGAAATTTTTCATAATTTTTTAAAAATACAAAATACGTCATATAAGTTGATTCGAATGTATCCACTGGAACCCAAATAACTTTTACCTGAAAAACAACCCTATGTATGGTTAAAAAGAACTGGTCCTGAGGCCAGGTATGGTGGCTCACACCTGTAATCCCAGGACTTTGGGAGGCCAAAGGAGGCAGATCACTTGAGGTCAGGAGTTTGAGACCAGCCTGGTCAACATGGCGAAACCCCACCTCTACTAAAATTACAAAACTTAGCCAGGCGTGGTGGTGCAAGCCTGTAATCCCAGCTACTCAGGAGGCTGAGACATGAGAATTGATTGAACCTGGGAGGCAGAGGTTGCAGTGAGCCAAGATCGTGCCACTGCACTCCAGCGTGGGCAAAAAGAGCGAGACTTCATCTTAAAAAAAAAAAGAACTGGTCCTAGGCCATTCGTTTGCCATGGAAAATCTAAGTTCCCAACAGAACCACAGCATATAAAAAAACTACAGTTGTGATCTTTTTTCATTTTCTTTTAACTGTCTATATACTTGTTCTTCATCTAACCCTGAGCTTATCATTAAGTTCTTTTCTTTAAAAAAAAAAAAAAAAAAAAGACAGTGACTCATAAAAAAATGCTACCCTCTAACTCTAGTCCTAAATGTTTTCTATTATAAATAGAAAACAACTTTATCTTAAAACCTCACCAAGTAAACTTCTTTTTCAAAGAGCTTTGCATTGACATGTTGTCATAAGCCTAAGTTCAAATCATTTAAACTTTAAAAAATCATTTCAGCATAAAATATAAAGACACAATGAATTCAATAAATAGCCTTCATTCAATCATCAGCCTCGACGAGTTGTTTCATAGTGTTTAATTCCTAAAATGTACATCCACAAAAAATGTCTATTTCAAAACCCAAGTCTATGTCAATTTCTGTTCTGTTGCAATTTACTTAATTACTGATGTGCATCTACTAGTTACCTTTCTTTCTGGGACACTGAGACACCTGATAAATTTTCCCTTTTTAAAATAAGGCTTAATTTAACTATTGATATTTATGTACACAATTGGCATCTGTTTTATGTTACAGATCCAAATAGTCCATTCTTCTTTCTTGCTACTGAGAGGAGCTTACCTCAAATACTGTTTCAAGGCACTTGTTATTGTCTTCACTTCCCAATCTGCAGAATTCTCCAGGTCCACCTCATTGCATGTTTTTACATCTAGTGAGCAAGCAAACAAGAAAAAAATAATTAAAACCTTGATCATCAAAGGTCCTCTTGTCTAGCTCACAAAGCTTCCATTTTTAAATGGGCAAACCACAATCCTGCAGTTTCCTAGGAAAACATTATATATATGATTTCTCTAAAATACTATAAGCTATGTTCTATGACTAGACACTTCTGGCACTTCGTAAAATCTGTAGTAGAGATCAAAGCAAAAAATAAGAGATGGGTTGGGAGTAAGGAAGAATTAGACATAGTATATTATTTCAACATCCACAATGTAATTCATGTATAGCTATTATCATCATCATCGTTAACAGTATCACTCAGTAGCCTTGGCTTATAGCAAGCGGCACTTTCAGTTGTATGCACATGGTTTGAGGTGTTTTAGGTGGCATTGTTGCCCTCATACTGTGTATTGATAGAGGCAGGAGACAGCCAACTAAGTAGGGTAGAGTCCCCAGAGAACCTCCGATCCACCCAGGTCATTGTGCACATAAGGCTTGCCTATACATGCCCACGGTAAAAATTTCGGTCTTTTAACACATGCTTAGAAAGGGAAATAAATCAATGTGGAGTGGCTTAGACTAAGGGCCCACACGCGCACTGGGGGAACAGGGTGGAGCTACTGGGAATTCCCGCCTTATGCAAAGGAGGAGCCAGACCTCTTCAATTCATGTGTGGTGGCCTTGCGTTCAATATGAGAGGTGGGAGCCCGCTGGTGGGACCCCCTCTCTTTGCTGAGCACTCCCCTTAAGCTTAATAAGTTCCACTCTCCTCACCCTTCACTGTGTCCGCATGTCTAATTTTTCCTGGTGATGACACAAAAACACGGATTTAGCTGAACCAAGGAGCAAAAAAATCCTGCATCATCATGACACAGAAAACCGAGGGTGGCACCATGAATGGCCAAATGACTATCAGAATGGCAACAAACTGGTGAAAGGATGATAAACTTGGTCTCAGATTTTCAGGATTTCTGTTCATTAGACTATCTTTCTGAAATTAACATATGATCAACCAAAACAGAAAATAACTACACAGAGACTTAAAAAGTCATTTACAGTTAACCTTTCACATTAACACTATAATATAGTCATCCGGGAAATATTTATTGGAAGCCTCTGTTCAACACTCTAGACATTCATTCTAACTTAAACTAGTTTTCTTTATCCAAATAGCGTGTAATTATGTGTTTCTTACAAACATCCTTTCAAATGGTAAGTCAGTTAATAGGGCTGCTTCTTTATAAAGTAAAAGAAGAAAATTCAAAACGGCTAGTAAGTTCTAAAGAAAAGGTATATGGCACCAGGAAAAAAAAAAGGAGATGGGAGAGTTAGTAAATTGTGGAATGGAAAGTGTCAATTCTGGTAGAAATAAAATGAAAGGATGGCAGGAAAGGCAAACCCCTAAGGAGTATGATGGCTTCTTTGACTCTTAGAACTCTGGGCTGGTACACTCAGCTGTGGCATGGCGGCAGGGAGGAATGCAGCATGGGTATCACAAAGCTGGGCTTACACGCTTCTAACAACCTGGCCCAGCCATACCACCACAAGCGAGTTGCAAACCTATCTGAACTTCAGATCTTCATCTGCACAATGGAGATAATGTAAATGCTCTCACAGAACGATTGAGAGCATCAAGGCAAATGAAGAACGTATACAGATTTCCATAAATAATTAAACGTAGCAGGTTATTGCCACTGCTGAGTCACTGAAAAGTATAAGCAAGCAGTGATGGTACCTACCCAAAGGGAGGAGGCAGGAAATGGGTTACGACGAATGATATTGAGCCATCAATATCAATTTGCCTGGTTTTCTACACACCTACTATGCAAAGGAGAAAGTAAGAGGTTCATGGAAAAGACTATTTCTCCCTCACTCCACGATGATGTCTTAACTAAGACCAAAAAAAACCTCGTTGTTTCAGGGTTTTTTCCCTCCCTTATACTGTATTTGTCTTCATAGAGAAGGCAACATCTTGTTAGCATTTCCTTTTTAAAAACACTAAAAAGAAAAACCTGTCAAAATGGTACCACCACATTAAGTCGTGCATGCTACTTAAAAAGTTTTAGGCTTGGGATGATGAAGGGTGGATGACAACTCAATGTTGGGCTGAAACTTTCTGAAGATAAAGTAAAACAGGAAGTGATGGTTATTTCACAGGCATAGCATCATACATATGAGGTCAATTACTCAAAGGTCTGAAGACTTTTAAAGCACTTCAACATTTCTTGATTACAGCAACTGACAGCAATATGCAATAAACTACAACAATGGCAATTGACACTGATTACATTTTGATCAGTTCCTACAATTCTGAACTCATTTGTTACTGAGCTTGTCAGACAAGCCACAGATACATTCAAGAAATCAAATTAAGCCCCCTGATTAAAGGTGCAATCCTTTATAACTAGGACTAAATAATTCTGTTCTAAAGACTTTGCCAACCAATTACTTCAGTAACTGAATATTCTCTCTCTCATTAAATCAATTATTTAAATCTCGTTTTAACATACAAGTCAGATAACATTTTCAATCAACTTGCTACCAGCAAACCACCTTTTTAAAATCCAAGAGGCTTCTAAAGGAAATCTTTTATTTCCAGCTTTCTACCAAATTATGATTCCGTATTTTGAGAATCATATTCTGTCTATGGAAAAATAAGCCATCATTCTAAATTCATGGAATAAAAAGCAGCTGTCACATCAGAAGCAAATGACTACACAGTGTCTATGTTACTAATTCTCTCTTAAATTTTCAC
Source organism: Homo sapiens (assembly GCF_000001405.40). Lineage (NCBI taxonomy): Eukaryota > Metazoa > Chordata > Mammalia > Primates > Hominidae > Homo > Homo sapiens. The sequence goes on along the minus strand of NC_000004.12, from coordinate 147,943,850 downwards.
TGTTTTCAAATAGCTCAATCATCCCTAGCAGTCCTTTAGAATCAGTGAATGCACTGGGACTAGGCAGAATTTAATAATTATTTGGGATTCAAATGTGAAAATACATTTGGAGGGTTCATTCAGAATACATGTTCTACCATAAGAAAGATAAAAACAATTTGCTTCCTTTCTGACCAAGGAAGGACACTTTATGGGTTTGTTAAAAATCTAAACTAACAAGCACAGATAAAAAGAGTTGACTTTTTATTTGGGTGAATGTTTCACGCTTACGTAACCACTGGTCATTTTTTTGAAACTGAAAATCTGCAGTCCAACCTAAATGCAAAGTGCAATTTTATGCAGCTGCTAGCACCCTACTCAACACTGACTTAGGTCCAATTTTAAAGTACTTGAAAAAGCACAGTGAATGGATGAATTTTGAAAATATGTTTTATACTTTTCAGCTACGTTAGTTCACTTTTTTCCCCAATCTATGCAACAAAGCTGTCCTACAAAGGAAACAAGGTAATGGTTTTCAAGTAAAACTCTTCTCATTTCTTGTTTTCTGTGGTTTTATGTGTGAAAATAAGGTCATCCAGCCCTTCTTGCAAATCAGATTTAGAATTAACCACTGAGCTCACCAGACCACACAAACTACTACCACATTTTCTCACAATTTCCTCTTCTTCCACTCTGATGTTTTAAACTAAAGTAGGGAAGAAGGAAGAATGTATAACAATTCTACCTCGTATCAGTTCTAATCTACCATGAACTATTGTAATTGATATTTTACATTCTCACTCCATTTACTAAAAAACCATGACTCACCTAAAGACAACTCATCTGATATTTCTCCCTGCCTTTCCAAACTGTGCTAAGTTTCTACTTTACAAAAACAATAACAACTTCTACCAAATCTGTGCGCCCTGTCTTAGAGGCTGCAAAGGGGAAGAAAAAGGCAGGCATCTGCTTATATGGGCATGTTCTTTCAGCAGCTTAAGAAGCTTGGTCCAGGGAAAGGCTTAGAGGCTGCTGGAAATCCAGCGGATAGCTGCCTTAGGCTCCCAGAGGGGAAGACAACTAAGAATACCCTCTCATCACCGGATGGAGGAAGGCAGCTGCCTGCTCCTTTACCTGGCCTCGAGGAGAATAACTGCCTCTCTATTTAGACAGTTTTCTATGGTCAATGTCATTGCTATTTCATGCCAGCTGGGAATTAGGGGAGAAGGAAAGAAGGGGGAGAGAATAAAGAGGATAAGGAGGGAACAAAGGGGCAGGAGAAGGAGGACGGAGAGAAGGATAGTGGAAAGAAACATTTTGCTATTTTAATATGAAATATGAAGGGAAAAAACATACCAGAAAAAAGAGACAAGTGAAAAAACATGCAAGAGATTAAGCATATACCCTTTTAGAAATCATTATAAACTTTTACATGAGTATTTAAATAAGACTTAAAACACTTTAACAAACAATACAAAGTACTTTGTGTAAAAATGGCAATAAAAAATTCTAAAGTAAATAATTAGCTCTCAAGAACTACAGAGAATTGGATAAATGGCAGCTCTCCTCAAAAAATAGTACATGGCTTGGGACTGTTTCTCAAATACTTAAAAATTAAATTATTTCCCATTTCTACAAAGACAATGCATTACAAACAAAATGTTCCTTGAAAAAATTCAAATTTGAAATAAACCTATTACCTGCAGGAATAATAATAAACACTAATTGCTTTAAAAAAGCAAAGTTAAAAACTTGGCAGACCCACACAATTTTTTCCTCTTCAGGATATACATGTAACCCTCTAACAATGAGCAAAATGGGAAAAGTTGGAGAAAAAAATGCCCCTAAGATTATGTAGACATGACTATTCAAAACTCTAAAACCCTTTTTTTGGAAGAGGCGTTAAATTATTTCCATTTGAACACTCAATCAGTGTTCAATATGAAGGGAAAAAACACACCAGAAAAAAGAGACAAGTCCACTCCATCAGAATAAAAGGAAAGAAATAAGGAAACATTTAAGTGATTAGGAAATAGCAAATAAATATATTTTGTCAAGGGCTAAGGTTTGTATTGGTAGCATAAGGTAATAAGAAAATGGTATTAATGCTAATGAAAATCCAAAGTTTTTGACTGATAATCTTAAATTCACACTAGGAATTATTTATAGATTACTCAAAACAAATGTATATTGTGTAACCCTCTTAAATGAATGGCTTAATGAGGAGGTAACAAGTCAGTATCTGTCTCACATCAATTCTCTAACTTTCCTCTGATTGCAGAATGGTATTACTGAAAACATAAGCATTTCCCTTGCCAGCAATATGTGTGAGGTTGTGTCACACTCATGTCCTGGGCTTCTCTACTCTGAGGCCCATGAAAAGTAAAAACAGTTTTCCAGGTCACGAATTTTTTGAGGGTTTAGATATTTAAAAACACCTTGTAAGTTAAGGACTGGCTTGGGACATTTCCCATGAGCAGAGCAAACTACCACGCTGAGTTTAGCAATGCTGTACACGTAGAATTTTATGAGATGACCAACAAATTTTGAGACAGCTTAGCACTTCAAGGTGACCACAGAAAAACCCTTGTTCAAACTTTCCTTGAACAGGAACAAGATGATAATAAAAATAATGCCAGGTCCTTAGGACCAATTTACCAGCAAAATGTGCCTTTCAGTCCACATTTCCCATTCTGTTATCAATATACTCTTCCAGTTCTAATCATCATAACACCATCTTGGAAATGAAAGAAGTGATTCCAATTTTAAAATTAAGTAAAAGCAGATGCTGTACTCCCATTAAATTCTTCCAGCTGCTACTGAACCACTGGCAACCTGAGTCTATTTAATTTGGAGACCACTATTGGTAAAAAGGAAAATCTGACTGCCAAAATTGCACACCCAAGTTAAACCAGAGAGGCAGAAAATGAAAACAGCTTATGGAAGTGAATGTATTCTAATAAGGCTCTCCAACTGATGACGGGCAATTTCTCCTGTGGTTAATAGCTTATAAAAGATTGTTGCTTATTAAATCCTTAATTCAAATATAGGCAAACAAGCAATCCTATCTGTAGCATGGCAGTTGATTTTATTCAACTTGGCTCATGCTTCCTAAAAATGACTCTTTGCTGTAATGTTTTAAGATGCAGACAGGTTGGAATGCATTCACAGCACACCTGAGGGCATTGTTAATATTGATTAATTAAAGTAAGGTATCAAATAAATTAATATGTAGCAAGATCATAATGACAGATTGGTTTGATACACAGGCCCTCTAGCCTGATGAGTTATCATCACTCTTCAAGAGGCAGCCTGTTTTGGGGTGGGGGAGAAGTGGAGTGTCTTACAGGTGGCAATGAACTGACAGCAGTGTGTAATGTAAAAGCGCTTTGTCATTCACATAATGTCTGGGGTAATGAAATGAATTCACTTTCTGGCTTCCTCTAGTCTGCGATGCCAAAGAACACTGTGTTATCAGCACAGATGGAGCATGCATGGTTCTGGAGGAGAGCCTGGTGTGAACTACAAACAAGCCACTGTGAATACCAATGAATCCCTGAGAATCAGACCCTTGCTGTCAAATGACAGTTTTGGAAGCTCCATAAAAATGAGCGAGTCCCAGTGGTCTTGTCCAACCAAATGTACTGTCACAATTCTGGACAGGCTATTTGGAAGCCACGCAAATCATAGAGGCCTGACTGCCACTTCCCTGTGAGAAGCAAGCACAGGAAGATAGTCAACCAGGGGGTGCATTCTTTTTTCATTTCTTAATAAGAGGTAATAGACAATCTATGCTGATGCAAATACTAATCTACTTCTGTGGGTCAATTGTCTCTGCTCAGCAGAAAACTCCTGTAGAAAGTAGAGGAATGGAATGACAAGTATTCTCTACATTATTATGAAATATTAAGCTGTGAAGTCAATGAACATACACAAATAACACATGGAAAAATGATTAGAAAAGAGGCATACCCATCAACATACTCAGAAGTCTCTGGACCTTTGAACTCACCCCCACAACTCTGTACAATCCTTGGTCATTTATACCTATGGGAAGAAACAAACTATTAGCAAAATAGAAGACTATCATATTTTAAAAGCCATCAAACAGTTGCATTCAAAATCTTTGCTAACTAACATTAGCAGCATTCCTGTTAACTATAAAAATAACCTTTGAAAAAATCAAGTGTTTAACAACTTGTTTTACTAGCTTTTTATCTGTAAGTTGTGGTTAAAAAAATAATCTCAGCAAACAATGTTCCATGTGGACAAAAATGAAATGCCTCAATGTTAGTAAGTTAGTTAAGTATCATGGATACATTGAAATGAATACCAATCCAATTTGTAAAGATGCACTAAAACTTTTATGTTTACTGTATTTACTTGTTTACATTTTTCTTCAAAAGTTTTAGCCTTTTAAAAATACGGTGATGATTAGTACATAGAAATCATTGTTTGGATGATTTCTGAAAACCATAGAAATTCATTCAAAACTAAAGCAAAACTGTAATTTTTTTTAAAGTTGTTACATGTCCTGTCCAGTGAGGAGCTGTGAAACTTCAAATCAATATCACCACAAAGTATACTGCAAAATGAACCAAATCAATGCATCCTCTCTCTCTACAGAGATCTGAAAACAAATTGTCCCTGAAAACAAGAGACATATAAAAGAAAATGTATTGTCAAACCTAATTTGGTATGCTGAACAAATATCCTTATCATTTGCATTCTGATCTGAACAAATCAATGACGAAAAGACATTTTTGATGCAATTAGCAAACTGAGTAGCATTAAGGGTAAGAAAATCTCCATTTGTTTAAAGTTGCATCCTGAAAGGGTTAAAAGTAACCTTACATTTGCTTTAAGAGGGAAAAAGGGATAGATGAAACAACTGTGGCAAAATCTTGATAATTATTGAATCTGGATGAGAATATGGGAATTCATTATACCAATCTCTCTACTTTTTTATGCTTGAAAATTTTCATAATAATGACTTCCAAAAAATGTGACTTATATTTACTTCTCAAATGAGTTGCAGCTTTCTGGCTGTGTGTTTATTTTCTCCGCTACGAATGTTAAAGGTAACAAGAACACAACTGGCTGACAGGCAGATGATGCCTCTAATCCCCAAAGTTTCCAAAACAGAATAACACAACAAAAGGCCATGGAATTTGACCACGAGGGTTTACTTTCTTTTCACCTCCCTGCTCGGAGTGATGAAAAGAATACTAGTCAGAGTCTAAAGAATTGGATTCAAGTCAGTTCAGTCACTCATGAGGAAGAGAGGAAACCTCTCGGAGTCTCTATGCTGTATCTGAGATCAAGGACTGCATCCTATACCCTATGTTATGCTGGGAGGGAAATGAGATGATACTAACACATGTCCTACAGATTGTAACTCACAGCACACACACAAAAGCATTCATTCTTCCTTGTCAAGTTTTGTTCCTTCTTTTTCTCTTTGCTTTTTTTAAAAATTATAGTTACATATACTATTTTTTTTAACTTTTAAGTTCAGGGGTACATGTACAGGTTTGTTACATAGATAATAAACCTGTGTCATGGCATTTGTTGTACAGACTATTTCATCACCCAGGTACTAAGCCTAGTACTCATTAATTATTCTTCCTGATCCCCTCCCTTTTCCCACCCTCCACCCTCCCATAGGCCTCAGTATGTGTTGTTCTCCTCTATGTGTCCACGAGTTCTCATCATTTAGCTCCCACTTATAAGTGAGAACATGCAGTGTTTGGTTTTCTATTCCTGCATTACTTTGCTAAGGATAATGGCCTCCACTTCCATCCATGTCCCAGCAAAGGACATGATCCTCGTTCCTTTTTAGGGCTGCATAGTAGTCCGTGGTACTTTATGTACCACATTTTGTTTCTTTTGGAGATGGAGTTTCACTCTTGTTGCCCAGGCTGGAGTACAATGGAGCAATCTCGGCTCACTGCAACCTCCACCTCACAGGTTCAAGTGATTCTCCTGTCTCAGCCTCCCAAGTAGCTGGGATTACAGGCATATGCCACCACACCCAGCTAATTTTGTATTTTTAGTAGAGATGGGGTTTCACCATGTTGGTCAGGCTCATCTTGAACTTCTGACCTCAGGTGATCCGCCTGCCTCCGCCTCCCAAAGTGCTGGGATTACAGGCATGAGCCAATACGCCTGACCCCACATTTTCTTTATCCAGTCTATCACTGATGGGCATTTAGGCTGAGTCCATGTCTTTGCTATTGTGAGTAGGGCTGCAATGAATATACATGTGCATGTGTGTGTATAACAGGACGATTTATATTACTGGGTATATACCCAAAGGAATATAAATCCTCTTTGCTTTTTATTCCTTATTTTTTAAGTTTTACAAATGTCCTATTTTTCCTTCTGTTATAGGCTGAATTGTATCCCCACAAATTCATCTGTTGACGTCCTAATCCTCAGTACTTCCAAATGTGACTGTATTTAGAAATAAGGTCTTGAAAAAAAAAGTAATTAAATTAAAATGAGGTCACCAGGGTGGGCACAAATCCACCATGACTGGAGGCCTTGTAAGAAGAGATGAAGACACAGACATGTACAGAGGGGGACCATGAGAAGACACAGGGAGAAGACAGCTATCCCCATGCCAGAGAGAGGCCTCAGAAGAAATTAACCCTGCTGATAGCTTAATATTGGACTTGTAGCCCCCAGAATTGTGAGAAAATTGATTTCTATTGTTTATTCAGCAGCCCCCATCCCCAACCTTTTTGGCACCAGGGGCTGGTTTCATGGAAGACAATTTTTCCACCGATTGGGGTGGGGGGGATGGTTTCAGAATGATTCAAGAGCATTACATTTATTATTAGATTCTCATAAGGAGTACAAAACCTAGATCACTCACATGTGCAGTTCACAATAGGGTTTGCACTCCTATAACAATCTAATGTCGCCACTGATCTGACAGGAGGCGGAGCTGAGGCCATAAGGCTTGCCCACTGCTCACCGCCTGCTGTGAGGCCTGGTTCCTAATAGGCCACGGTCTGGGGATTGGGGACCCCTGATTTAAGTCACCCAGCCTGTGATACTTTATTATGGCAGCCCAAGCAAGCTAATAATTACTCTCCATCTCATTAGAGCTTAAAGAACCAGAAGAGCAAAGGCTAGCCCTTAGTCTACCTAAGTCTACTCAGAACACTAAGGAGTCACAGCATCAGAGACACACCTTCCTGAGGGCGAACATTCAGCAACTATAAGAGAGGAAAAGGGCCGGGCGCGGTGGCTCACGCCTGTAATCCCAGCACTTTGGGAGGCCGAGGCGGGTGGATCATGAGGTCAGGAGATCGAGACCATCCTGGCTAACAAGGTGAAACCCCGTCTCTACTAAAAATACAAAAAAATTAGCCGGGCACGGTGGCGGGCGCCTGTAGTCCCAGCTACTCGGGAGGCTGAGGCAGGAGAATGGCGTGAACCCGGGAAGCGGAGCTTGCAGTGAGCCGAGATTGCGCCACTGCAGTCCGCAGTCCAGCCTGGGCGACAGAGCAAGACTCCATCTCAAAAAAAAAAAAAAAAAAAAAAGAGAGGAAAAGGAGGCCGCACAGCCCTGCCAGGAGTTGGAAAAAAGAAAAGAAAGTTGCTAAGAAACACAAAAATCAGAGACCTTTTGAGCCCGATACAGGAAAAAAGATTGAGCCTCAATCCTTCCTTCTTTTTGGAAGCCAGAAGGGCACATCCAGATAGTTTAAAATACCAGAGGGTTTCAGTACTACTCTAGCTAAGAAAGCTTAAAAAGTTTGACCTCAGTGGTAGAAGCCAAAAGAGCAAATCATACTCTGCATTCAAGCAAACATGCCTCTGTGAAAACGGCCTGAATTATATGGAGAGATGAAATAAGAATGTCACTTCGGCAATAATAATCACTCTGTGCCAGTAATTACTATCAAATAATTGATCAAGTTCAAATTCATCAACCTGAGAGAAGTAATTGCTAATGCATACTGAGAGGTGCAAGGGGGAATTAAAGCTACTCAACACAGTTTCTACATTTTTAAATGAAATTTAAATAAACCTTGCACAAAAGCAGCTTGGAAATCGCACGTAAAATACATACACTCAAGTCTTGTTCGATTTTCTATTTCTTGCTACACTGTTCTCAAAGGCTCTGAACTAAATGAGAGCTGGAACATACTTTTTATCTATGAACACATATATGTTCATATAAAAGGCATCAAATACATCTTAAGGATATAAACCAACCAATATGCCAAGGCATATTAGTGAGTTTATCATGTCCTTTTCCAGCTTCTTTTCCAAATTTCCCTGTCAACCAAAGGGATCACTATTTCTGATCAACAAGTATTAGAAATTTGAAATCTTTGACTTCTTCCCTGTCACTTTCCAAATGCAACAAGTCAATGTCCACTCTTTCTTCAAACTTCAGACTAATGTCTGCCTCTTCAACACAGTCCTGAATTTCATGCACACACATTTATTACGGAATCCCTAAAAAGAAACACACAACTATAATCCATTCTGAACACTGTCTTCTATCTTTTTATTTTCAAACCACTATTATTATCTAATGTCCCCTGGATCCCCATTTAAGAGCCAGCCTTCAGATCCAGCCCACATCCTCTAGCCTTAACAAGTATGTAAGGCACACACACGCACACATCCATGACGGGCCTCACCTCATCTTCCTACAGGGACTGCAGTGTATTCAACTTAATCACAACAGACAGCTCGACCATCACCCACAAATAACCAAGTTCATTGCATCCTCTGCGGCTACATTCAGGCTGAAGTCTCCCCAGCAGGAATGCTCTTCCCCTTCTCTTCACAGATTTATTCAACTGTCATATATTTATTCATCAGATATGTGCCAGGTGCTATTCTGGTTGCCCAAGATTCGACAGTGAGTAAAATTCCCATCTAAACCTTCAAAACCGGATAAAAATCCCCTTTTTGACACCAGCCCACAGTGATACTCCCTTCTTCTAAACATAACTCATAATTGATTCCTTTTAATTTAACACTTGATTACATTTAAAATTTTTTATTTTTAAGGCAGGGTCTCATTCTGTCACCCAGGTGGAATGCAGTGGTGTGATAACAGCTCTCTGCAGCCTTGACCTCCTTGGATCAAGCCATCCTCCCATGTCAGCCCCTCGACTAGCTGGGACTACAAGCACATGCTACCACACTAGGCTGAATCTATTTTTTGTAGAGAGCGGGTCTCACTATGTTGCCTGGGCTGGTCTCAAACTCCTGGTGCAAGTGGTCCTACTGCCTCAGGGCATCCCAAAGTGCTGGGATTACAGGCAAGAGCCACTGCACCCACCAGGGTACATCTTAAAACAAGTCCACAATCTTAGTCACAACTCCCAAAATCAAAAGCGTTAACGGATAGAGGAGTGGCATCACCAAGATGGTGGCACAGAAAGTAACCTGCTCATATCCCCATATGACAGTAAGAATTCTGCATCCATCCACCATCAAAGTCTCTCTGTGGGAATCTCAGGATTCAGGTAAAAGTTTGTGAAACCTTGGTGGAGCCCAAGACCTGGGAGGGTCACTTTGAGAGTGCAGACCAACATCCAGGTGGCTGATGTGCCACAAGCTTGCTCCTAGATTCAAGCTTGACAATGGTCCAGTCCTCCAAGGGACTTAGCTACAGCCCTCTTTGGCCTTGAGCCTGCAGTTGAAACTATCTGCCAAGGGGTCCAAAAGGAATCTTGCACACTGGTGCTTTGGCAGAAAGGTTCGTCTGCATACTAACAGTGGTCTCAGCAGTGAACCTGAGACTTGCCCTGTGGCTTGGCTCCAGGGCCCCTCAGCCAAGGTCCCAACTCAGAGCTGCTTGCACAGGGACCCAGAGGGAAACTCACCCATGTCTCGCAGCCTGGGAGCCTGAGGCTTCCAGATGGGCTTGCCAACCTCTGCCCCACAACAGATCCTAAGGGGACCCAGGCTCAGCTCCCGCCCCTCCCACTGCAATCAGGGAACAATCTCATGTTGAGACCTACTATGAGACATACACCCAAAGAGCCTGGCTCTCCAGCCTCTGCCCCACAGCAGATACCAAGAGGGCCTCATATCAACTCCAGCCCATTCTGCTATAGTCAGAAATTCATCCCACCCATGCAGAGACCTGCTGGGAGACACATCCATCTGGGCCACTAGAACAGTCTTCTGGACTCAGGTCTTGGCCAGTATTCCCACACAGTCCCAGTATCTTTTTTGGGTCTTCCCCAGGTCCATCTGGGGCAGAAAGCCACGTCAACTTCTGAGTCCTGAAGAGACTCGTGGCAAGCCTGGGCTTAGAGCATCCTCTAGTGCTGAGACAGCTACAGTGGTCACAGGCTCAGGAAACCCAAGAGTCAGTCATCTTAGAATCCTGGAAGGCCCTCTGAAGAACAGGCACAAAGCCAGACTGGGTAGATGAAAATAAACAGCTAATCCCTCAATGCACAGACACTGTCACAAGCATCGAGAGCATTCAGGGACTGGCACAGTGGCGAGTGCCTGTAATCCCAGCTACTTGGGAGGCTGAGGGAGAAGGACTGCTTGAGTATAGGAGTTCAAGGCCATAGTGTGCTATGACTGCACCTGTGAATAGTCTCTGGGCTCCATCCTGGGCAACATAGCAAAACCTTGTCCCTAAAAAAATAAACAATTTTTAAAAGAACATTCAGGGAAATATGGCCTCACCTAACAGGCAATATAAGGCACCAGAGACCAACCCTAAAGTGATGAAGACATGCAATCTCTCAAAGAAATTTAAAGAAGATGAGCTTCCTTCTCAACAAACTTCAAGAAAATACAGAAAATCAATTCAGAAATTTATTGGGGAAATTTAACAGAGAGATTGAAATAATTTTTAAAAATCAAAAAGAAATCCTGAAGCTGAAAAAGTATAAATGCATGACCTGAAATCAGGTTATTTAAGTATTTTTTCCACTCAGACTGAATGTTCATATTTCACATGTTAAAAGTAATTTCCACACCAAACCTGCCTGGAGATGTAATATTCTATTCAGTGTATGTCCCATATTACCTTTTTATTGTTTTTTCCATTTTTTATCTCCAACTTTTAAGTTCAGAGGTACATGTGCAGGATGTACAGGTTACATAAGTAAACGTGTGCCATAGTGGTTTGCTGCACAGACCATCCCATTACTCAGGTATTAAGCCCAGCATCCATTAGCTATTCTTCCTGAGCCTCTCCCTCCTCCCACCCCCGCCTTCTGACAGGTCCCAGTGTGTGTTGTTCCCCCCATGTGTCCATGTGTTATTATTTAGCTCCCACTTGTAAGTGAAAACATGAGATATTTGGTTTTCTGTTTCTGCATTACTTTGCTAAGAAAAATGGGCTCCAGCTCCATCCATGTCCCTGCAAAGAACATGATCTCATTCCTTTTTATGGCTGCATAGTATTCCATGGTATATTACATGTACGGCATTTTCTTTATCCAGTCTATCATTGATGGGCATTTGGGTTGATTCCATGTCTTTGCAATTGTGAAAAGTAATGTAGTGAACATATGCATGCGTCTTTATAATAAAACAATTTACATTCCTTTGGGTATATACCCAGTAATGGAATTGCTGGGTCAAATGGTATTTCTGCCTCTAGGTCTTTAAGGAATCGCCACTGTCTTCCACAATGGCTGAACTAATTCACACTCCCACCGATAGTGTGTTCCTTTTTCTCCACAATCTCACCAGCATCTGTTTTTTGACTTTTTAATAATAGCCATTCTGACTGGCTTGAGATGGTATCTCATTGTGGTTTTGACTTGCATTTCTCTAATGATTAATGATGTTGAACTTTTTTTTCATATGTTTGTTGGTCACATGTATGTCTTGTCTTGAGAAGTGTCTGTTCATGTCCTTTGCCCACTTTTCAATGAGGTTGTTTTTCTCATTTAAAGTTCCTTATAGATTCTGGATATTACACCTTTGTCAGATGGATAGATTGCAAAAATTTTCTCCCGTTCTGTAGGATGTCTGTTTGCTCTGGTGATAGTTTCTTTTGCTGTGCAGAAGCTCTTTAGTTTAATAAGATCCCATTTGTCAATTTTTGCTTTTGTTGCAATTGCTTTTGGCATCTTCGTCATGAAATCTTTGCCTGTGCCTATGTTCTGAATGATCTATTATCTTTTTTAATTAAAAAGGTCTGAATTCCAAAACACACCTAGCCTTGGAATTTTCAGATGAAGAATCGTGAACCTGTATTCCACCTTCTCTCCAAATACAGAGGTATTGCCTGGAAAGATACTTGGTCAACCTTGGTTTTTGCTTTTAATAGCTTTTATGGTGCCTTGTATAGAATAGGTGGGCACAGAATAGGTATAGCTAGGTTGATCTGACTTGAATTTGATATAGAACTATAGATATAGACTTGGGCCAAAATGGACATCACAATTTAGAACTGAAAAATTAAAGTTAAAATATCCAAATTATTGTGATTTTTCAGATATAAATGCTCAGTGATGATATTGATATCAATATTGTCTAACTTTTAACAAAAATTTGTAACCTGGTCAATGTGTTTACAGGCCCCAAGTTTTTTTTTTTTTTCTCTCTTAATAAATTAGATTGAGATTCGTTCTGATAGTTAGCAAACAAAAGGTAAGCTTATCTCCATTAGAGTGATGAGCAGCTGATGACAGCTGTCTCTGGGCAAAATGGATAAGGTAAAATCAAATGTGTCTTACTTCCTACCATCTGTCTCCTCCAATCTCCCACAACACTGTCATAGAGCACTACTCACATCACCCACATCTTCCTAGAGGAGAGGGTCAAAAAGTGGGAAGCAGTCAAGTTTCATCATCATCTCTGCTCAGCTGTTTCCCTCTCAAACCCAAATGGTGTTACCAGAGCCAGAGACCACACAGCTCCAGAAAACACCTGCATGGAACTACTGAGCACTAGCAGGCATCCACTGTCCCTGTAGGTGGGCTGGAGAAGCAACACAGAAAATAAGATGTTCTGGGATAGTTAAAAAATCAGATGCAAAAGAAAAATAAAACTTAAGAGGGCTGATAAATGCAGGTAAACAAGAGAGGTAGAGATAAAGGCTAGAGTAGCTACAGCTGGCAAATAAATGTGATGAATTTGAAAACAAAGTACCATTAGAATAAAGGAAGCAGAAGAGAAAAGACAGGTAATTTTTAAAAAATAGAAATGGTAAACAGGGAGAATACAAAATAAAAGGGAGGAAAAATTGGAAATAAATGAGAAGATAGGCTAGAAATTACATAACATTTAATTTCCTGTTAATTTCACAGGAATTGCTGAGTACTTATATTTTAGGCAGTGAGGTGGAATCAAGTGAAGACACAGGGTAAAATTAAACAGACAATTAAAATTAAAAGAGAGTAACTTGAAACTAAATAGGCCAAGAAGTTCTTTCTTATCTTTTCAGCTTCAGGGGCAGTTTTTATACCCGATAGCTCCATATTCTTAATACCTCAACTTGTCCTTAGCCTATGGTATATATTTAACAAATGAATTGAAAAATAAATGAACAATTAATATATTGATGATTAATCAGTAAGGGAAATACGGAAATAAAATACATGACAGAAAAAGATACAACAACAAAGGAGAAGGGCTCAAAGTGAAAGATAAACACCTTTGATGGTAACAGGCATGAAATGATTAAAAAGGATTTTGCAGCCGTATGATTCTACAGAAATACATTCTCAAATTCCATGGTTCTGTAAACTAACATTCAGCTCTCATCTAGTAACCAGCAGATTGCCTGGCATGGAATGAGATGCTTCATCAATATTTGTGGAGGGACTGAATCATTTATTTGCACTCACGTGTGTTGACAACAGGGGCAAAAGGTCATTAATGTTCATACTGGCATTCACAGGATTTACATCAAAAGTCTAACATTTCATCATTAATGAGGCACATGTGCATATATATACACACATGTGTATGCACAAATGCAAATATAGGTTTGCATATCCCTCTAGCACTGTAAAGACAGATTTCTCTATGGGTTATACAACAAACAAACATGCTTTTATGCACATAAAAATATTAATCATTATTTTAGATGCCTTATATGTATATATTTTCATATATAATTACTAACATTAGCTAATCTTGAAATATTCTTGAAAATGAAGGAAAAACGCACTCTTCATGAAATAATTAGAAAAACTTGTGAGGAAATACCTAGCAATCTGGCTAAGAATGATGTATTATGAAGGTAATATTAAGAAAAGCAATGAAGAGACTCATGAATATTGTTTCAGATCATAGGTGGATTACAAAAATGTGATAATGTGTTCCTTACATATATTTATAACTAGTCCTCAGTAAGCACTAATGTTTAAATGTCTGTTTAAGTATAGTAAGCACTTTCTAGGCTATCTGCTGCACTGGGTTACATAAAAATAAACAGGTTCATACACAAAGATACTCTTCCAAGATACTCAGCAATTCATAACATTATAACATTCTGTCAAAAATGTGTATTTATATTAAAATGGTTTTAAATATAAGCAGACAGAAGAATGATTCTCTCTATTCCATCAAAGGGACATATTCACCATCATAAATTTAAGATACGGTATTTACATAATTCTAAAGCTTTGGGAAAAGAATGCATTATTTGTAACACTTACAGTGCATTAAATACTGCCAAGCAGCAGGGTAAGGGATAATTCCTAAGCATTGAGGCAGCAGATAAAGTAGAGCTGTACAAAGATGAGATTCAACATAATACTGAATAACATTTTAAACTTTCTGGACCTTGGTACCTCCATTTAAATAAAAAACAAACATATCTTGGAAATACAAATGTGTTAAGGTTACAAAATATAAATTATTACAAGTTAAGGTTACTGACATCCTGAAAACTTCCAACTCTGCCACCTTCTAGCTATGTGACCTAGCAAGTTATTCAGCCTCTCTGTGCTCAGCTTCTTCATCTGAAAATGGGGTTAATGATGGGAACTGGGTTGCTGTGAACATTAAAGGAGATAATGTTTACAAAGCAAGTGCATGAGCTTCACACATACCAAGCAATCATTACAAGCTTTAATTGTAGTATAAAACTCAAAATTAATTTCAAAATAGCCAGGCACGATACATATAAATGTCCTAACCAAGGCCTTTAATCTATAAGCCCATTTTCATAAAATAAAGCACATGCTGGGAAGAGAGTCAAAATTTATTTAACGAGAATGACTCATGGAAAATATACAATTCCTGCTCACCAATAACATTTGTAAGTTCTTCCCCGGATGATAATTATTTGAACAGCAGATAGAAAAACATTACAGACAGCTATTATTTGCCACCAACTAATCTGTTTTTCCCTTTCCTATATAAGTCTTGCTTTCACTGGCATGTTCGCCTTCTCCTACTCTTTGTGTAAACGCATTTCTGTATTGTGATGATTAGCCTCCCCACCAGCAGGCACTTTCAGGAAAGGTCTTAGGATCTCATTCCCACAGTCTTCCCACTCCCAAACAAACCAGAGACTCAACACAGAAACCAGACAGTTTGGCACGTAAGGGTGGCTGTGCCCACTGGGGTTGTCTGTCACATCCACTCACTACTGTCCCATCCCAGGAGAAAAGTGAGAAATATTTTAAAAAGTGCAAAGCAAATACTCACTTCTGGGTCTAAACCCGTATTTTTGGAAGTACTGACAATTTTAGGCTTCTAAAGATACACCTAAGACTTGATGCTAAGTCTCATCCTCCCGAATCCAAGTCTCAAATACGAAAGGTAGAAAGTTTACTAGCTGTAACCTCTGTATTATGGTCAAAATGGACTGTATACTACAGGTGGCTGGCCTCGTTTTCAGTTTCTAGGCAACACAAGAGAAAGCATTTTAGCTTCAGACCAGATGCCCTAGACTTGTTGCTATTCTTTCTACCCAAGCTACTGGCAAAGTGCCGAGACAGGGCCTAGAGGAAAGCGACGGAGTAACAGGGAGTTTCCGATTTCATTAGTAACCTTTGGGGCCCCACACTCTCCCAGAGGTCTCCCGATCCCAGTATCTAATACAGGCACTGGCTGTGACTCACTCAATGTGCCCTTCAGTTTTTCCTCACAGCATGAACCTTGGCAAAAGGAGTATCTCACAGCCTCTGCGCCTTCCCTTAGGATCAAGCTCCCCTATCACCAATAAGTTGCACTGTCCACCAACTCTTCCTCTCACCCTGTTTCTGCTGCCATAGGATAAGTCTGGCTTAGAGTCGGGAGACTAGGCTCCAAACCCCAGCTTTGCCTAGTTGTGTGACCTGTGACAGGTTTATCCTACCTTGTTCTGGCCTCTGATACCACATGTGCAACTGAGCCTATTAATATATATCTGCTCAGCTACCGAGTTTTATGGAGACTGTGTGAGAGAGTGTGATATACTCCAAAAACATAAAATGCAATACGTTAAAATTTTTAATATATTGTCATATGCAGATTCTGTATTGACATCTTGCCTGCTATGAAGAGACCTCACGAGGTGTTGCAGCAATCCTCAGCAAAGACAGTGCATCTCTCTTGGGCCAAGGATGCACCTTCAGAATCCATGAAGCAGTTGTTATGGAAAAAAGGCAGGTCTAACTTTAGAATGGCTTAATCCTGAATCTAGATGAACACTTTCAGTGGGTGATACTTAAATCTTCCCTCCCAACTTCCCTTTCCTACAGTACTCTCAAACTTTTAAACTTTGTTATTTAACAGCTTGTCTTCTGTTTTTCTTTCCTTCATCTCTCCAACATCCTCAAAAAAAGGTCAGACTATAGTGTCTCCATCTCCTCATGCTCACTGTGGTTAAGAGCGTGGGTATTTAAAACACAGTCTTGGAAGCAAGTTGTAGTATACTGCTCTCTACCTCTGAGACTTAGACAAATCAAATCACGTTTCTTCACTTCAGGGGCTCATGCGAATGGGGATAATACCACCTGTCTCACATGGTTCTTATGAGAAAATAACACCTAAGAAAAAAACAAGTACAACCTCGCTATTATCTAGTTTGACTTTCCAGCCACTAAACCCAATGGTTGTTTCTTGTTCCTCCACCAACCTGACCTTTCTAGAGTATTTGGCACAGCTGACTTCTTCCTTCTTGGAATCTCCCCTCTTATGGATTCCCTTACAACCATCCTTCTTCCTTCGCCTCCTATCCCTCTGTCTTATGTCTCCATTATTCTTCTTCCTCTCATCATCAAAATAGAAGCATTCACAAAGATTCTGTCCTTTTCTCCACTATCATCTTGACTTAGACACTCAAAACCTTACCTCTTTAAAAATAATTCCTGCCATCTCTCCTCTTGCTTTCATTCTATTTCTTATAACATGCCACTTGCATTCAGAATATCTAAAACCAGTCTCTATCCCTCCCAAACCTACTGCTCATCTTGCATTCTGCCTTGGCTAAAGGTCTCATCCACCTGGTCTGGGAGGCTTAGAGTTCGTTTTCACTTTCCTCTCTCCCTGACTTCCAATATCCAGCAGGTCATCAAATTCTGTTTGTCTGCGAAGTCTCTCTTCCTATCCATCCCTTCTTTCCACTGCAAATATTCTAGTTTAAACCTCCATCATTTCTTATCTGAATTACTCCCCAAATTCAAGCAACCGCCCTGCCTTCCATCTTACCCCCATTCTATTCCCACCAATTCTATTCTCTGTCAAAGATCTCAAGACACACTCCCATCCAAATCTGTCAATAGCTCACCACAGCCTACAGAAAGAGTTAAGGCAGACAATGCAGCACAGCACCTGGGATCTGCCACCCTCTGGATACAACTGCTCACAAACATCTCCCCACATCATACCACCCACTCACCACTACCAACACCACCCCAGCATGGTGGAAGCACCCTCTGTTCCAATATCTACCCTCTGGAGCAAAGAGCAGGGTTGCTTGCAGCCTTAGCAAATAGAGATGGTGTCTCCTAGAGCAAAAGGCTTCCTTGCTGGCCATTATAAAAGATCTGAGTTTTCTGCATTCAGAGTTTTTCCTCCTATAACACAACCAACTGTATCATCCATAAGTATCACCTGGCCATCTTTGCAGTGCCCTGAGGAATCAGGGCTCAGGGAATGAGCACAAAATGCACTGCTCTAGCTACTGACAGTAATAAACTGTCCTGTGTCAAAGATCCAGGAGTCTTGTGTCTTCTACTAGTATCCGTGGAACTATGCAGGATAACTGGTTAACATGAAAGTAGAGTAAAATCTCTGTCTTGAATTTAGATTGAAGCTCATCTTTAAGAACAGGAACCATATTTCTAGTATTTTTTCCTCTAATACCTTCCCTGTAAGAAATACCCCAAAATTACAACTAAAATCCATCTAACATGTGTGTGCCCAGGCATAGGTAAGTATTAAAGTAAGCTGGAAAGGATGGGACAGCTAAATAAATTTTCAAGCTCATCACTCATGTAGCTCAGGTTTAAGTACTAGCAAAATTTTACTACAATAAATCAAAAAGAGACTCAAACTCAAGGCAAAAGTGGGCCGTTGCTTTTTGCAAGATTCCTTTTCATTCCTCTGCTGCAGAGATGGGAAACATCAGAAAAGGCCTAATGTTGTGTCTCGCTGCTGCCCTCTGCCTCTCCACCTCAGAGCAGCTGTAGCAGCAGGTACTAAATCCCAGGAGGAAGAATGCCTGCTTTTGGTTTTCAGGGTGTTTTGTGGTGTTTGTTTGGCTTCTGAGGAAAAGCTTGAGATAATCTGAAAACCGTGGTGTTCTTCCTGAGCCTCTGGCTATTTTACTGCTCAGGATATCTTAATGCTCAAATGTCCACAAATCACTGAAGAGGAAGAGGTTAAAAGCCAAACCAGTTAATTTTGCTGTTTGTTCTAAGAGCCATATAAAATTAACAGATAAAGTGAATTTGGGTGATTTATTTCCCAATGTAAATTGCTATTTTAAAAAAAAAAAAATAGAAAGTTCTTCAATCTCCTAGAGCCTTAAATCAATAATGAGACTACTTAATTATAATTGGCCTCAATGACTGGATTTATCTCTAAATAAGCAACTCACACTTACTGGCTATTCAACAGGTGCCAATGTCCTAAGCATTCTCTTTTAGTTCTCACAACAACCCCATGAAGGAGATCTGATCCTTATCCCTTTTCACAGATGATAAAGACACAGAGAGGTTACAGGCAGAGTTAATAAGGAGTAAAACTGAGATTACAATCAAGATAGTCTTTTGGGCTAATGTTCTTCACCACTATGCTAACAGTGTACCATAAAATGTCACAGACCTCATCAGAATGTAATGCAAAAACAAAGCCTAGCATGCCTACTCTGTAGCAAGACAGTTCCACCAAGTTTCTTCTGTTCTAAAAACACCTTCAGCACTACTTGAAAATATACCATTGTCATTTTCTGACAACTACCCAACCTCCAACCCCAAATACACCCAGAAGCAAGATGATTTATTGTAAGGATAGAATAAAGTCCTATTAATTTTCTTCATTTCTATTCTGTGGATGCGTTAAAGAGGAGGAAAACGTATAAAACCATAGGTAACAAAGAGAAAAGAAGGTTTAATTCATGGGCTGAAAAAAAACAGTCACTGGACAACAGGAAAGTAGTAACAGTCCTAAACCAAACCCTAAACCACATGGACGAGGGGTAAAGGCAAGGACTCGGGGTTCGCCGTCTCAGAGGAAGGATGTGCCCCTATTAATTTAATGTGACCATTCATTTGGAAACAAATAGTTTCTCAGAGTTTCCTTAAAACAAATAAGATTACTAATTGTGAAAATGAATATTCAGTCCTGATGTGCCTGGATTTATTATTTCAATTTTGCATTTGCATTTCTGCAGACACCACAAGACTCTTCAACTCCCTCCCACAGAAGACTGTCCTCTATTTCCACCCACGCTCACCTCACACCCATTTTGATTAAAACAGAGACAGAGAGAAACTCTAGTTTACTTGCTGTAAATTTTCTGAGGACAGCTGTTCTTTATTTTCTTCATTGCCCTTGGCAATTTAAAATTAATGCGCAATTGGTAAAATATGTTTCAGGTTCACTCTGGACATCTTCCTTTCCATACCCCTGAAGATTAATACTGAAATTATACATTGTAATCTTCTACCAGAGCCCATCTTGAGAACCCCATACAATTCTAAAGTGCTCTGGAGGCAAAGCAATCTTCAAGCGGTAAGGTTTTCCAAAAATCTAAAACTTTGCTTTGCAAAGGAAGATAAATTTGCTTTTACATGCAACAAATGAAAGATTGTCAAATCTTGTATGTGGCTTCCTACTTCTATCCCATGAATTCACAGCTTGTTACAATGCTGAATTTGATAACTGACAGCTTGCCTAGATCGACATTTTAATGCCATACTCTAGAAAATTAAAGTGAATATTCAAATTATCCACATATGGAAGATTTTTTAAGAGAAACTTCATAAACAAAAGTGGCATCCAAATTTAGTTTTAAATGGTAATGACTATTTTAAAAATAGCAACTAAAAGATGTTTTTAAGCAAAAGAGTGTTACTTTGTTTTTGCATATCATACAGTACATGCACCTAGGTGTCATGCAGGCCCAGAAAGAGACAATGCACTGCTCATGGGGGGCGGCTCATTTGTACTTACTCAAAGAAATGATGTAATTACACTCCAATCTCTGAAACTATAAGACTCTTTCACACATAACATGATGTACTTTTCTACGTCTAATATATTACCCACAGTTCAGAAAGATGCTGACATAAATTCATAAAGGAATGAAAAACAATCCTACATGTTATGTGAAAGTACCAATTCCAACCACATATAAATTCTTCCAATAACTTTAGAAATTGTTGAGACACACAATATTACCAATATGGAATTTTAGTCAAATCTGAATACTGAAGCAAAAAGCAAATGCTTACTGAGTGCTTACTATGTGTGCAAGGCATGCCTGTATTTAGAAATGAGAAGAGGCAAGCAAAGGATAAATAAGACATTTTCTCTGAGTAAACAGTAAAGTTCCAGAAACAAAGTAAACATAGGAAATATAACTTAAAATACCAGGCAATATAACTGCCAAATGAGGCACATGCACATTTCAAGATTAAAACAAATCAGGAGAAGGATGAAGAAGGAAATGAAGATAGGCATTTAATGAATATCTACTATGTGCAAAGACTCACTCTTTAATCCTCACAAAGCTGGGTGGGAGGTAGTATGAATAAAATTTTTTTTTTTTTTTTTTTTTGAGACGGAGTCTCGCTCTGTCGCCCAGGCTGGAGTGCAGTGGCGGGATCTCGGCTCACTGCAAGCTCCGCCTCCCGGGTTCACGCCATTCTCCTGCCTCAGCCTCCCAAGTAGCTAGGACTACAGGCGCCCGCCACTACGCCCGGCTATTTTTTGTAGTTTTAGTAGAGACGGGGTTTCACCGTTTTAGCCGGGATGGTCTCGATCTCCTGACCTCGTGATCCGCCCGCCTCGGCCTCCCAAAGTGCTGGGATTACAGGCGTGAGCCACCGCGCCCGGCCAACTTTTTTTTTTTTTTAAAGGAACTAAGGGTCTGAGAGGTTAAGAATCCTTCCAAATGCTTATCTTATTGCACCACTTTGGAACTTAACCCTGATAGGTCCTTATCACTCAAAGGCAAGGCAACCCTTCAGCAGAGTAATCTGAGTGCCTGCCTCCCTCCCTCCCTTCACTCTCCATTCCTACCACTCCTCCTAACTTGCCTGATGGCCCTCGGGTCCCAAATGTATCACACTGTTTCCATCATCTACCCTTTGACCCTCGTTCACCCCTCTGCCAAAATTCCTTCCTTCTGACACCCCACATCCTTGCAAACCTGGACAATTCCTCTTGCCCTGCAGAACTCAGCTCAAGAGTGAGAGATGTCGGAGGTGCAGGAGGTGCAGGAGGGGCAGGGGAGAAGGCCAAGCCCATTATCTTTTTCCAGAGATGTGGGCAGAGCAGATGACTCCATCATGAGAGAGCTACAAATCATGGTGGCTGCACAGTAATGTTAGTAATGTTGGTTTTCAGCAAGACCAAGACAGTGGAGGAAAGGTGGTGTAAAGCTACTTGAGAATAAGGGGAATGTTTTCCCACATAGGAATAAACGACTACAGGGGCACCAGAAGCCAGATGTCACACAGAGACGGCAGGTGGGAGGGACTGGAGGTAAAACGGTGGGATGAGTGAACAGGAGCTGCCATGAACACTTCTGAGTCTGTCTGGGATTCACCTAAAACACATTTGAAATTGTAACTGCTTTTGGCTTCTGACACAATGAAACATGACTACATTTAGCCATTTTGTTATTTCTTCCCTCAACCTCACATTTTAGGATAGAAGTTCTGCCTTACATCCACATGCTCTCTGTCATTATCCCAAATGCTATATGGCACCATGACCCAGAGCCTTCATAAACCCTACTCTCTCAGGAAAGCCCCTGGGGCATCTTCTGTCCCCGAAAGGCAGAAGATCAGAAAATTCTTCTCTCCACCTGACTATTCCTATTGGATCTCTCATCGTCTAAAGCAGAGAGACCCAATCGTCAACAATTCTGATTCAACAGATGTAGACTGAGACCAGTTATCTGAATTTCCAAGAAGCACCCCTAGTGCTCCTGATATACGTTATGAGATCATGGACCTCTCAATTTCCTTGACATCCTTCATTACCCAAACTAACACTTCAAGGTAAAATTCCTTGCAGAATTCCTATCCTCTATATACAACCAACTGCTAAATGTGACTGGTACAACTTCAGCAAAATCATTCGGCTGTATCTGCACTATCTACCCCACTGCCAAACCTATTATCCAGAATCAGTTACCTCGCTTATAAATACTGCATCCTAAGCAGAACCCTGGGGCATCCCATGCATGACTACCAATATTAGTTTTCATATTTACTTTTTGAATGCCTGTTTCTTTGCTACGTATCACCTTCTAGTATTCACCCAGTTCCTTTACAATCAAATGCATAAGCCTGATTGCCTGCTTTTACTGTTTCTCCATGTTTCCTTCACAACCAAGTTTGTCTTTTCTCAGTCACCCTTTCTCTGTATCTTTGCTGAGTTTCCTCTAAACGCCAAAATATACTTTCCCATCCTTTAAATCTGAGGAAGCCTACTCCTAAAGACAGTCCTCAATTAACATCACATGCTTCCCAATCCTTCAACATGCACTCATATTCTCTTAATCGGTGCAAATTTGCAACATTTTGATCATCTGGTACACTTCAATTACTTACAAATCTTTTGTTTTGTCAGCCACTAATAAATCAAGGATTGTATGTAACCAACGTTGAACACGTATCCCAGAGGCCTAGAGCATGACTATGCATGTCCTGTGATGCTAATAAATACTGGTTAACTGACTGGCTTCTGATTAGAACTAGGGTTTAGCTACGATAAGTCTTCTGCTATTGAGGGAACAAAAAGAACGTTCTGCTATTTTCTTTGGGACTTTGATGATTTGTTTGGATTTAGGTTGCAGGGATTTTGGGTTTTTTGTTTTTGTTTCCAGAGTCTCACTCTTGTCCCCAGGCTGGAGTGCAGTGGCGCAATCCGCTCATTGCAAGCTCCACCTCCCGGGTTCACACCATTCTCCTGCCTCAGCCTCCCAAGCAGCTGGGATTACAGGCACCCGCCACCATGCCCAGCTAATTTTTGTATTTTTGGTAGAGCCAGGGTTTCACTATCTTGGCCAGGCTGGTCTCAAACTCCTGACCTCAGGTGATCCACCCACCTCGACCTCCCAAAGTGCTGGGATTACAGGCATGAGCCACTGTGCCCAGCGAGGTTATGTTGTTTTTTAAAAGACGTTCAGAGAAAAGCTCCCCATGAAGCAGGACACTATCAACATGAAGATAACAATGGTGTATCCCACTTCTCCAGCACACAAGCAACTCTCCCATTAGGACAGTGGTCTCCCAAACTTTGCTACATATTAGAATCATCTGCGGAAATTTAAAGAATCCTACTTCCCAGTCCACATCCAATAGCAATTAAGTCAGGCTGACAGGGTATGAGAGCCTGGCATCAACATTTTTAAGGCCAGGTACAGTGGCTCATGCCTGTAATCCCAGCACTTTGAGAGGCAGAGGAGGGTAGATACTTAAGGTCAGGAGTTCAAGACCAGCCTCGCCAACATGGTGAAACACCACCTCTACTAAAAATACAAAAAAATTAGCTGGGTATTGTGGCACACGCCTGTAATCCCAGCTACTCAGGAGGCTGAGGTAGAAGAATCACTTGAACCCGGGAGGCGGAGACGGAGGCTGCACTGAGCCAAGATCATGCCACTGCACTCTAG
Source organism: Homo sapiens (assembly GCF_000001405.40). NCBI lineage: Eukaryota > Metazoa > Chordata > Mammalia > Primates > Hominidae > Homo > Homo sapiens. The sequence goes on along the minus strand of NC_000004.12, from coordinate 147,919,618 downwards.
TCTGGGCAACAGAGAGGGACTGCATCTCCACAAAAAAAAAAGAAAAAAAAATTGTTTTTAAAAGATCCCAGGTAATTTCAATGTGCAGCAAAGTTTGGGAACAACTGCTTTAGGAAGTCTTTTAGCTCAGTGTAAAAAAGCAGTCACTTCCTAGTGGTAGAGCCGGTATGTATTATTAGCAAATATTTGGTAAACGGATGAAAGACGAGTTGATGTGACTCCCACACATGCCAAAACATCATGAGCAAACTACTCTATGGAAAAGTATGGTTTGTTAATTTATGCTGATACTGTAGCAAAATGGAGTTTTTTCTTATCTCAAAACTAGAATAATTTATAAGTAACTGCCAGTCCTACCAAAATATATTAATATCCATAGGTCATATATTTATTATTTGTTATTTAAGATATGTTATACACTAAAAATGTCATCTTAAGAGTACTGAGAACGATAGTACAGTTTAGACATTTGTCTGAAGCCTTGCAAATACTGCAATAATATCACAAATAAAGTTTTTAATAAAAACGTCAAATGTCATTTTCAAAAGAACATGTTAAGAAAGAGGTAAGGAGAACTGAGCCACCTTCGGAAGCAATTGGAGGCCAGAAGAGAATTTAGTAGAAGAGGAAAAATGAGTCCAATCTTATGTAATTTCTAATTCTTAGTTTTCTACAAAAGGTAAGTATGAGAGAGTAAGGTCCCAATAATTGAATAGTTAATAGAGCAAGTGTTGTGTGAGGCCAGCTCAATGCCAGGCACAACGTGTGTCCTCAGAGATGCTTGGTCCTCTGCTCTAGGAGCTACAGACAGAACTAGATTCTCAGTACCCATGTGAGAGACATGACATATTCTTTCTTTTCTCACTCAATCATAGCTTGGGCTACTCCCAGTGATAGTGAATTAAATTTCCCCAACTGGCTTACTCAACCTCACAGCTGCCGTGATAGGTCTGTGCCCCAGGTAGGCTGGACAGCTAGGGAGATGAAGGGCCCCTAAGTCCAGACCAGGGATGGCCAACAGAAAGACAATGTGACCCACCTATGCAATTATACATTTTCCAGTAGTCATACTAAATAAAGTAAAAGGAACCAAGTCAAAATGATTTCAATTGGCAAAATGTGTTATCATTTTTCGATATGGGTTTACACTGATCATAAAAACATTATTCAAAGATCTTAATGAGGGCTGGGTGCAGTGGCTCACACCTGTAATCACAGCACTTTGGGAGGCCGAGGCAGGTGGATCACGAGGTCAGGAGATCAAGACCATCCTGGCTAACACGGTGAAACCCTGTCTCTACTAAAAATACAAAAAATTAGCCAGGCTTCGTGGCGGGCACCTGTAGTCCCAGCTACTCAGGAGGCTGAGGCAGGAGAATGGTGTGAACCCAGGAGACAGAGCTTGCAGTGAGCCGAGATCAAGCCACTGCACTCCAGCCTAGGCCACAGAGCAAGACTCTGTCTCAAAAAAAAAAAAAAAAAAAATCTTAATGAGAGTTTAAATTATTTTTCTTATTCAGCCTCCAAAATCCAGTGTATTTAAATAAATGTATCTCATTTTATATATACATATGTTGTAGAAGCAGTAAGATTATAAAAATATCTTGGTTTTGATACCGTAACCAAACAAAACCAAACAAAATACAGGCTCTCCTAAGGCTGCCTGATTGCAGGTGAACAGTTTTATGATTTTTTTACAATAAACTTCTAAGTGGGTATCTTCATCATCTTATTCATCATTTTGAATAAAGGACTGGTTTAATAAATGCGACTTTAAGACCTCTGAGTAAATGTGATAAATTAATCAAAATGAGATTTTATTTTCATGATCAAAAACTACATGAAATTAGCTCCATTCATAAAAATTAATTTCAAAGTCAAATATTTCATTTCAAAAGTTTTAGTCATAATCCTATTCTTCTATCAACATCTATAAAATATACAACCTAATCTAGAATAAGATAATATTTTGTCCATACTACTTTCTGAAACTCTTAAGTTAAAATGATCTCCTTTGTTTATGCTAATCTGTCTATGGCTTCAGAAAAAAACTAACTTATGGCAGAATTAAATCAAAATCTGATTGAATTAAGGAGGATTAGTAGAATGTGAACACAGTGGGAAGGGACCCTCTATATACAAGCCTCTTGTAAGTGGAGCTCACTTCACAATCGAGCTGTCAGTGGAAGCAGCTGGAGGACACAGGCGACCCTAGTGGAGGAGACAAGTGGCTATGACAGAACAATTTAGAGATGTACATGTGTTGTCTGTTTATCGTATCTTGAAAAACCCATGTCCCTAAATTGTGGCTCTGTCTGCTGCCTTCAATACATTAGCTCAATTTTCAAGGAACCTGATGGGGGAGGTTCATTGTGGCTCTTCTGCTCTGTGGTCACTCTGAAGAATGCCATCAGGCCCAATTACCAGCTGGGGAAGACAGTTTCCAAATAAAGGAAGTAGAGCCCCAGCTGAGAGCTATCCTACTCCTGAATCAAAGGATGCTGATGTTCCAAGTGCATGCGATCTTTGATGGTGACACAGGAACAATCAATTTCTAATTTTTGATGACCAGAGTTATGTTTGTTGGAGACATTTCTAAAAGAATCACAGAGAATACGCTGAGAGATTCAAACACATAATCTGTATCCTGGCTCCCCTCAGTTCACCTCTGGCCACCATTACTGGGAGGCAGATGTAGGGGCAAGCAAAGAATGGGATCTGGGAGTTTGCTAACAATCTGTTAATTATACTAACAAGGGGCAATTCCACTGTCTTCAGAACTTGGCTTCCAGGCTCTAGGTTTGCGAAAAGAGCTCCTCTCAGGCAGTACACTGTGCCTTTACCCTCTAGATATGCCCCCGCAGCTATACCATGTAGAAATTTTCCTGGATGTGGACTTTTGGAATCACTTCCTTTTATAACATCAGCGATGGACCCCGTATCTTTACCATTCACTGAAGTTTCTGCTACAGAGCCACAGAAATTGCTCCTGTGAATGCAATTAATGATGTTCAGGCTTCCTGAGTATTTGTCCTGTGAATAATCTGGGCACTGCCAGTTCTCCAGTTTATTCTGAGCCAAGGCAAATAAACTTTTGGCCACAAAAACAATTAGAGAAAAATTACTTCGTGCTCAAAGCTAAAAACTTTTTCCGGTTGGTGCAACCCATGGGACAAAGTTACAAGAGGAAAATATGGAACATTTCATAAGTCATACACATACTGAATAGATAGCTTAAGAAAAATGCCATAAAATAGTAAGTATTGTCACAGTAGTCTTTTGAGTTTATGTTTATGTTCCAATAAATATGTTCTAAGCAGTCAGATCAAAAACAGAAAGACATGAAATGAAAAGGTAAGAAAAAGGCTAATGGCTTTAACCGAACCATATGAAATACTAGTTTTTAGATAATCATATTTAGAACATGGAAACGGTGATTAGAAGTAATTCTTCAATTAGATCTCATTAAATGCTTCTGGTCATCAGTCACATAGACTCAAGAAGTGTACAATAGTTATTAATGCTATTTACCAACTATTTCCATCTCTTTACCTGTTTTCCAAGCTCACTGTAGCCTCGACCCCTGGGATCCAGTGATCCTCCCGCCTCAGCCTCCTGAGTAGCTGTCACTACAAGCAAACACTATAACACTCAGCTAATTTTTTTAAAAAAATTTTTATACAGACAGGGTCATGCTATGTTGCCCAGACTGGTCTTGAACTCTTGGGCTCAAGCAATCCTCCCACCTCAACCTCCCAAAGTGCTGGGATTATAGGTGTGAGCCAGTGCCCCCAGCTGTCCTCATCATTTTCAATAATAAGTTCTGTTGATTCTTTTAAACTCTTATTTTTAGTCTATTACTCCACTGAAAGCAAAAGTTTCAGTAATGGAAGACCTTTGGGGGGAAAAATATTCAAAAAGAAAAATATATGCTTTTTGTCTCTTATTTTTAAATGAGAAAAGCTAACATAAAATGTGTAGACCTATTCAACATCTATATACTTATAAAAACATATTCAATGCCTCCAGATTCCAATATATATTTATGCCATTCAATGTATGTAACACTCCATAAAACTACACATACCAATCAGAAAGCCTTCTAGATAGATCTGCATCTATTCAGGCAGAAATAAGTATGTATAAAACATGCCCTTTTGGGAAAGAATTTATCCAAATTAATAAGCATGCAAATGACACAAAGTTCTACTTAAGAAACTCAGAAAAAAAGAAACATGAGTGTCAAGTGAAAGATACTAAAATTGCAGGGATTTTTTCTGAAATTCTTTCGAGGTACCAGGATAAGAAACAAATTGCCAGCTCAGCTTCAGTGCAGATTGAAATGAATGAAAACCTGCCAGTGTGAATTGCCACTGTAAGAGAATGTGGGAAGAATGGCTTTCTGTGGCATACGTTGTTGTTATTGATGGGCAAATCCCCAAATCATACAACAGCTCCTACTCCGCCGATATCCTACACACTAGTTTCATAGGTGGCAGTCCTGTCTTTATAACAAAGACCTTGTTTGGAGAGAGAATGTGAAGGCAGTACTTCACCCCACTAAGGCATCCAAAGTCGGACTGGAATACAGAATATATGAGAGTGAATTAAATATTCCATTTATACATACTTCACTAGATCGCTAAACAAAGAGAATGTCAACCTCCAGAAATAGCCTGTTTTGCAATGTTTAATATTTAGTATCTCCAAAGTCTGCTGGAATGGCTGCATAGCAAAAGGGCCCAATTTTTGCTTAGAGACTTAAAAAAAAATGTTTTGGGTTATTGGTCAGCGGAGGAATTAGTTTTCCCTAAATTTAAAACAGAAACACAAACAACCCAAATATTTATCAATAGGTGAATGGATAAACAAATTGTGGTCTATATCCATATAATGGAATACTACCAGGCAATAAACAGAAATTTACAGAGCTAAGTATCCACCCAACCGATGAATCTCAAAAGCATTACACAGACAAAGCCAGAGTCAAAAGACTATGAACTGCATGATTCCATTTGTACAAAAATGCTGAAGATGTTAAAAAAAAAAAGGGGGGGGGGGGAGCGCAGAACATGCGTAATTAAAAAATAGCTCAGGGACAAGCATGGTGGCTCATGTCTATAATTCCAGTATTTTGGGAGGCCCAGGCAGGAGGATCACTTGAGCCCAGGAATTTGAGGCTGCAGTGAGCTATGGCTCCACCACCACACTCCAGCCTGGGTGACAGAGTGAGGCCCTATCTTAAAAAAATAAAAATAAAAATAAAAATGCAACGCAGCAAATACAGGAAAGGAGGAAGGTAGGTGCCAGAAAAGAACTCAGTGAGGGAAACAGAAATTTTCTGTGTATGTAATAAAGTATCACAATTGTGTATGTTTTCAATTCAAAACTCTTCCATTTGTACAGCTGAAATCAGTGAATTGTACTGACTGCAAATTATACCTCAATAAAGCGGATTTCTTTTTTTGAGATGCAATCTCGCTCTATCACCCAGGCTGGAGTGCAGTGACACGATCTCGGCTCACTGCAACCTCTGCCTCCCAGGTTCAACTGATTCTCCTGCCTCAGCCTCCCGAGTAGCCGCGATTATAGATGCATGCACCACACCCAGCTAATTTTTGTATTTTTAGTAGAGATGGGGTTTCACCATGTTCGCCAGGATGGTCTCGAACTCCCAGCCTCAGGTGATCTGCCCACCGCAGCCTCCCAAAGTGCTGGGATTACCAGCGTGAGCCACCACGTCTGGCAAGCTGATTTTTTTAAACAGGGACCCACACAACAATGGAGGGTGGAGAGTATCTTCAGAGTGCTTCAACCAAAAGTGATTACGATGAGTTGTACATCACTGCTGATTCTTCTAAGGATTCTTATGGGCTGAACTGTATCCCCCTAAAATTCTTATGTAGAAGCCCTAAACACCAGTTTCTCAGAATGTGACTGTATTTAGAGATGGGAGCTTTAAAGAGGCCTTTAGGGTGGGCCCTAATCTAATAGGCCCTTATAAGAAGAAACTTCGACATGTAAAAGAGACACCAGGGACATGGGTGCAAAGGAAAAAAGGCATTCTAAGGACAAAGCGGGAAGGGGGCCACCTGCAAGCCAAGTGGGGAGGCCTCAGAAGAAACCTTGAATTTGACACCTTGATTTTGAACTTCCAGCCTCCAGAACCACGAGAAAATAAATTTCTATTCTTTAAGCCACCCAATCTGTGGTATCTTGCTATGGCAGATCTAACAGACTAAGACAATTCTCATTTCAACACTGACCTCATGTTTTCATATAGGAAAGAAATATGTAAATAAAAAGGAAAATCCCTCATTGTCATAGTAAATGAATAACTGATCCTTCTGATACTCAGAATGAGCATTTGTGTTAACACGTTTCATTCTGTAACACTTAAAAGCAAGAAGTATTTTTAATGACTTTTAGATTTTACATACCTATAGCCTCTCATGAATGAAATGATTCAATCATATTACCTCGTGTTTCAACGGCACTGATGCATTTTCTGATAATTGTGAACCCCATCTTATCCAACTGTGCATCTACAAGAAACAGTTTAAAACATTAAGTGTACAATTATTATTTATCACATTTCTCTTCCTTTTAAAAATAGGAAAAATTATTTAAATCCAAACTAATTTTTAGATTACTATTAAAAAGCTAAAGGCAGATAGGCACATTGGCTCACACCTGTAATCCCACCACTTTGGGAGGCCCAGGGAGAATGATCACTTGAGTCTGGGAGTTCCTGACTTGCCTGGGGAACATGGTGAGGCCCCACCTCTACTGAAGATGTTTTTAAATTAGCCAGGTTTAATGATGGGTGCCTGTAGTCCCAGCTGCTCAGGAGGCTGAAGAAGGATAGCTTGAGCCCAGCAGGTAGAGGCTGCAGTGAGTTATGATCATACCACTGCACTGGGTGACAGAGCAATACCCTGTCTCCCCAAAAAAAAAAAAAAAAAAAAAAAAAGCTTAAGGCTATGTATTTCCTATTTAAATAATATACACAGGAATTTTATATATATATATATATATATATATATATATATATATATATATATATATATTTGTTTGTTTGTTTGTTTTTTGTTTTTGTTTTGAGAGGGAGTCTTACTCTGTCACCCAAGCTAGAGTGCAACCTCTACCTCCTGGGTTCAAGCGATTCTTCCACCTCAGCCTCCCAGGTAGCTGCCATTACAGGTGCCCGCCACCAAGCCCAGCTAATTTTTTCTATTTTTAGTAGAGATGGGGTTTCACCATGTTGGCCAGGCTGGTCTTGAATTCCTGACCTCAGGTGATCTGACCACTTTGGCATCCCAAAGTGCTGGGATTACAGGTGTGAGCCACTGTGCCTGGAAGGAATTTCATATATTTAGAGCACTTGCTGGAATATCAGAATCTCTATTTACCAATAGTATACATATTTGTAATGTAAAATAATTTTAAAATTAATAACTACAATTCATTTTAAAAGTCAAAAAGAAAGTGATACAAATCTCTAAGGGAAGCTATCTAGACACAGTTAAGATATATTTTGCCAAAAATTCCAACAGCAGCTCAGTTAAAGAAAACTATACACACACACACACACACACACACACACACACACACACACACACACGTGAATGTTCTTAAATTACTTGAGAATCTAAGAACACAATCCTTTAAAAAAAAAAAACCTAGGAGGAAAAATTTTAAGAAAAGCTTTTTAAAAATATTTGGGCAATAAGCTTGAATTAAAATTTTGATATTTTACACCATGCTCCAAGCTTTTAAAATAATATTTTATTATTTTCATAATAAATTTAAAACAGATGATTCATATGGCAGAGCAAACTATTTTGGAAATATAATTTTTATACTTTTTCTAATATAGATGCTTATCTATGATTAGGCTGGCATATCTGTATATCCTTAATGAATGACAATTCTTGTTTCAAAAATTAAGTTAAGAGGCCAGGCGCGGTGGCTCACGCCTGTAATCCCAGCACTTTGGGAGGCCAAGGTGGGCGGATCACGAAGTCAGGAGATCAAGACCATCCTGGCTAACACGGTGAAACCCCGTCTCTACTAAAAATACAATAAATTAGCCGGGCGTGATGGTGGGCACCTGTAGTCCCAGTTACTCGGGAGGTTGAGACAGGAAAACGGAGTGAACCCGGGAGGCGGAGCTTGCAGGGAGCTGAAATTGCGCCCCTGCACTGCAGCCTGGGCGACAGAGCAAGACTCTGTCTCCAACAACAACGACAACAACAAAAATTAAGTTAAGTACCCTTAGCCACTGCATTTAGAACCTAGGGAACAGTAACACTAATCCTTGGCTCTCAGAAGGGTTACAAGAACAATCCATGAATATAAACTTCATACATAACCCATAGTGCTAAGCTTGAAGAGAATTTTAATGAATTGGGCAGTGGTTTTCTGCTCAAGAATTCACTATTCACAAAGCTTTATAAAATGGAAGTATTTATTTCTGCTTAGCAAAACCGTGTTTTCTAAAAAAGACATGTTTTAACGTCTCTGCAATAAGAAGGGAAAAAGAGAAAAGAAGGAAAGAGAAAGGGGAGAGGAGGGAATGAGGAAAGGGAAAGAAAAGGGAGGAAGAGGAGGAGGGAGGAAGGAAGAAAAGGTGTCAGAAGAAGAAAAGAACAAAGGAGAGAGGGAGAAGGGAAGAAGGAAGAGGGGTAAGAAGGTGCCTCAGGGGATGTGCTGCTTGTGGCATCCTGTCCATCACCAGTGCCAGGCTACAAGAGTTGTGTTTTATTCAAACACTGGCTCAAGTGATCACAATTATATTGGAATCCTATGTTACATAACCACAGTGTTTACAAACTGTGGACATTTGATAAATGTAGCTTAATTTTTCCAAATATGTCAAAAGTAAATTCATCAGGAACCCAGCAGATCTGATCACGTTTTTATGTAAGTTAAAAAAAAAAATCAAGGGTACAGAGCTGGGCATGTTTCATTTTCTTCAAGTACAGCAGTGGCATGTGAAGATCGTTGTCCTTGAATATTTGAATAAATTTAATTGTTGTTGCTATTGTCCAAGGTGCACTGATAAACTATCTGTATAGCCTGTAGTCAAACACTACAAAGATAAAGCATATCAAGGCTAGGAAACAGGGCCTCGATATAAACAGCTCTTACCCACAGGAGTTAACTCAGACAAGAAGTTGAAGGTTGCATACTTGAAACTCTTATGTGATTGTTAATAAACATTAAAGTAAATGTAGAGAAAGTATTTTGTACAATTTTTTTTTTTTTGAGAAAGACTCACAAAAAAGCCCATAGGCCAGGCAAGGTGACTCACGCCTGTAATCTCAGCACTTTGGAAGGCAGAGGTAGGAGGATCACTTGACCCCAGGAGTTTGAGACCAGCCTGGACAACATAGCAAGATCCCATCTCAACAACAACAAAAAAATTAAAAATAAAAACAATTGGCCAGGTATGGTGGTACATGCCTGTAGTCCCAGCTACTCAGGAGACTGAAGTGGGAGGATCACTTGAGCCCAGGAGGTTGAAGCTGCAGGGATCCAAGACCATGCCACTGCACTGCAGCCTGGGCAACAGAGCAAGACTTTGTATCAAAAAAAAAGAAAAGAAAAGCCCACAGATGGGAAAGATCAACAAGGGCTACAGTAGTCCAAGAAATGTTGAGGAGGTCCCCGTTGAGTAAAACAGAACACATGCAATAGAGGATTATTACGTGTAATACCCCTCTGTCTAATAGAGGGTGCAGAGAGTAAGCTCCCAGCAACAGCTTGACATGCATAATGTACACAAAGTAATAGATGGAAAAGGAGGATACAATCATTTTTATAAATGAGCACTTACTTCCTTCTGGTCTTGGGATGATGGCTGTATTAAAACTATGGGACAGCTAATAAAAGAGAATGGAAAAACAGAATTTTTTAATCAAATCAGCAAAAATTATTCAAGTAGGCACACTGAGGACCATACAAAAAAAAATACATTTTTATAAGCTTGATTCTGGTTAATGTGATAGAATAAGAAATTGGTCTGCATCCCCACTTCCTGACACAGAGCATCTAAACTCTTGGGATTTCCTGAGTAATAAGAACATCTTTTGTTATTCATAACAAGATCCTTTTGGTCACATGTGAGTTTATGCTAATGAGGTGACTTCTTATAGAGCCCCTGGATAGGCCATCTCAGGATGGGGCTGAATACCACAAAGACCCACTGATATTTCTTTCAGCCCTACCCACCAATCTCTTCAGCAGTGAGCTGGCAATTGAGTTCTGAAACAACAAGCTCTGATAAGCTTCCGTGTTGGTGAACATGAGGAAGTGCTGGGAGGCTGGTGTACCCACTGAGGGCATGGGGGCTCCGTGCACCCACCTCAACCTCACTTCAGACTTTATCCTATGCATCTCTTCCACTGGGCCCTTGCAGAGTTGTAACTTTTATAATGTACTACTAAATATAAGTATTTCTCTCAGTTCTGTGAGCTAATCTGGCAAATTATTAAACTGATGAGGGGTTCACAGGAACCCCCAATTTATAGCCAGTTAGCCAGAAGTATGGGAGGGTCCAGACTTGTGATGGGCACCTGAACTCAGGCAGTCTTGTGGGAGTGAGCTCTAAACATGTGGGATCCAACACTAACTTCAGGCAGATAGTGCGCTGTGTTTTCTCAGTTAATAACACACTATCATATGCTCAGATGCAAAGATAAATAACAAAAAGGAACATCTCTGAGACTACTTTTTCTCTCCCTGAGGTATACCAAATGAGCAAAAATAAGATAAAGGGGGCAGGGTCCTTAAAAGGGACTTATTGAAAATTTGTGTATACTTGAAATACTCAGCCGTACAGCTATGGAGTGATAAGGAAACTGCTGTATTCTAACCATTAAGATGGAGCTCATGTTTTCACCAATATTTCAAAAAATCAGTATTTACCTAAAGAGATAACTCCTGCCCATAATTTAAGTAAGTACAGCAGAAATAGCACGGTGATAATTCTAGGCAACCTTTAAGAACTGTAAGGCTGGCAAATTATTTGCAAGGCTTACAACACCCACCAAAAATATGCAGTCCCTTCAGTGTCCCCATATAAATACATAGCTGAATATTGTTTTTCTGCAGACTTGCCTTTGTCTGTGTATCTCTGAACTAATCACTTGGCTCCTGACTCTAAAAGAGAGGTTATATACGTCTTGAAGGTTACACTGACATTGCCAACAGACTCATTTTTCAATGACTTAGTCTTTTCGCTACGCAAACTGACTTTCCAAAGTACCATTATTTTTTTTCTGTATTTTAATGGATGCAAATCCAATATACTTCCTGCATCTCTGGGGCGATACATTCCAGTGAGTGTGCTGTCTTTACTAAAGAAGACTAGTATAACCTGTTTTGGAGTCTCAGTAACCATAAACACTGTAAATACTCTTGATTCACAGCTAAAAATTTCAACAACAAATTAAGAATAAATAGAAATAAGGCTGGGTGTGGTGGCTCATGCCTGTAATCCCAGCACTTTGGGAGGCCAAGGTGGGTGGATCGTTTGAGGTCAGGAGTTCAAGAACAACCTGGCCAACATGGTGAAACCCTGTCTCTACTAAAAATTACAAAAATTAGCTGGGCATGGTGACACACACCTGTAATCCCAGCTACTTGGGAGGCTGAAGCAGGAGAATCACTTAAACCCAGGAGGCAGAGGTTGCAGTGAGCCAAGGTCACGCCACTGCACTGCAGACTGGGCAACAGAGTGAGATTCCATCGATCAATCAATAGAAGTAAAACTACAGAGGCTAAATGCATCCCAAATATGGTAAGACGACACCCAAATCTGACCAAGGATGCTTTGTTTTTGGCGGGGGTGGTGTAAGAGTGATACATTCCCCAATATAGCATCAATTTTTATACTATGTTAATTTAGGTTTTCATTTTCCAAGTACTTCAAGATTGCCACATGCGCTACTGATCAGCCTCCTTGCTCTCTTTTCCTATACACTCACCAATGCGCTCTCTGTTACCACAAGATAACATTAGCTTTTGCCCATTTCATAAGCTCTATTCTGAAACCTGTTTCTGCTCTACATGATCCCTCCTCTACTTTCAAACCATTCTCTTTTTTTTTCCCTCAACAATGCTGAACTGGCAAATGCTTTCCAGATAAGCCTGCCTGGCACCTGCAATGGCAGTTTATTTAGAGTCATACATAATACTTTAAGTAGAGTTTATTTAAATTGGTTCTGTGGCGTTTTCTACAATTATCCTCACTAAATCCCCAATACATGATCTGCCACATTCTCAACTCTCAAAAGCCACTAGTCCATCAAAATGAAAGTAGTGTTTCAATAGTGGCCAACAGACTGAATCTTGGTGCCTCTGGATCTATACCACTACCTTCAATTTATTCCTCAAAGCACTCTGAATACCGAGGCCCATCCACTAAGGCTACATAATACTGCATACTGTAAACTACTAGATGAAACTTTAAATTGTTACATCAAGCAAAACAATTACAGCAGTCACCTATAATATTGCCTGCACTATCTCACATTTCCTGTTCCATCTCCACTGAGATCAAAATGCATTGCAGGCATTTATTGTGTTCATCATCCAAAGTACTGTCAAGTAGGAAAGATGAAATTGAGAATTTAGATGACCTCCTCAAGCAAAGCAAATCAGAGTGGCAAGTCAAGAAAATACAGAAATAAAAACTAATGATACACTAGTCTTATATGTACTGCTGCTTGCCCAACCCAAATTACTAGAATGTTGAATGCTTCCACGATGATTTTTGGAATACCTGTTATAGAAGGGAACTTTTCTCAAATACTACACAAAAATAACATAAAAATGAATGCAAGTCAACTCTAAAGGCTTTGAAATAAAACTCAACCATTGATTATTCTTACAGCTTCCTTTCCACCCAGAGCTTCCAACCACTGCTTCCTTTCCTCTTCGGAAAATGCCTGCATGGTCAAGGAAACGCCAGGCCTGAAAGACACCAGTAACATATCAGGTTACCCCTTGGCCACTAAAAGGCAAGTTTTTCCTAAGATTTAACTGTTGTAACCATTTTTTTTTTACTTTTATCTGTGGTAAAATACATGTAACCTAAAATTTATCATCTTAACGATTTTTAAGTGTAGAGTTCAATGGCATTAAATATGTTCACAATGTTACATAACCATCACCACCATCCATTAACAGAACTTTTTTCATCTTGCAAAACTGAAACTCTGTACCTGTTGAACAATAACTTTCAATTGCTACATAAAAGCCTAATATTCCATTGTGTGTGTATATACCACATTTTTCTTATCCATTCACAATATCCGCAGACACTTGGGTTGCTTCCACCTTTTTGCCTGTTGTGAACAGTGCTGCTATGAACATGGATGTACAAATACCTGTTTAGGCCCCTGCTTTCAATTCTTTCAGGTATATATCAAGAAATGGAATTAATGGTTCATATGGAATATACATATGAATATACAAATGGCAGAGGAGCGTTAAGAAAAGATGCACCTTCAGCAAAGTCTCAGGATACAAAATCAATGTACAAAAATCACAAGCATTCTTATACACAAATAATAGACAAAGAGAGCCAAATCATGAGTGAATTCCCATTCACAATTGCTTCAAAGAGAATAAAATACCTAGAAATCCAACTTACAAGGAACGTGAAGGACCTCTTCAAGGAGAACTACAAACCACTGCTCAATGAAAGAAAAGAGAATACAAACAAATGGAAGAACATTCCATGCTCATGGATAGGAAGAATCAATATCGTGAAAATGGCCATACTGCCCAAGGTAATTTATAGATTCAATGCCATCCCCATCAAGCTACCAATGACTTTCTTCACAGAACTGGAAAAAACTACTTTAAAGCTCATATGGAACCAAAAAAGAGCCCACATCGCCAAGTCAATCCTAAGCCAAAAGAACAAAGCTGGAGGCATCACGCTACCTGACTTCAAACTATACTACAAGGCTACAGTAACCAAAACAGCATGGTACTGGTACCAAAACAGAGATATAGATCAATGGAACAGAACAGAGCCCTCAGAAATAACGCCGCATATCTACAACTATCTGATCTTTGACAAACCTGAGAAAAACAAGCAATGGGGAAAGGATTCCCTATTTAATAAATGGTGCTGTGAAAACTGGCTGGCCATATGTAGAAAGCTGAAACTGGATCCCTTCCTTACACCTTATACAAAAATTAATTCAAGATGGATTAAAGACTTAAATGTTAGACCTAAAACCATAAAAACCCTAGAAGAAAACCTAGGCATTACCATTCAGGACATAGGCATGGGCAAGGACTTCATGTCTAAAACACCAAAAGCAATGGCAACAAAAGCCAAAATTGACAAATGGGATCTAATTAAACTGAAGAGCTTCTGCACAGCAAAAGAAACTACCATCAGAGTGATCAGGCAACCTACAAAATGGGAGAAAATTTTCGCAACCTACTCATCTGACAAAGAGCTAATATCCAGAATCTACAATGAACTCAAATAAATTTACAAGAAAAAAACAAACAACCCCATCAAAAAGTGGGCAAAGGATATGAACAGACACTTCTCAAAAGAAGACATTTATGCAGCCAAAAAACACATGAAAAAATGCTCACCATCACTGGCCATCAGAGAAATGCAAATCAAATCCACAATGAGATACCATCTCACACCAGTTAGAATGGCGATCATTAAAAAGTCAGGAAACAACAGATGCTGGAGAGGATGTGGAGAAATAGGAACACTTTTACACTGTTGGTGGGACTGTAAACTAGTTCAACCATTGTGGAAGTCAGTGTGGCGATTCCTCAGGGATCTAGAACTAGAAATACTATTTGACCCAGCAATCCCATTACTGGGTATATACCCAAAGGACTATAAATCATGTTGCTATAAAGACACATGCACACGTATGTTTATTGTGGCACTATTCACAATAGCAAAGACTTGGAACCAACCCAAATGTCCAACAACGATAGACTGGATTAAGAAAAGGTGGCACATATACATCATGGAATACTATGCAGCCATAAAAAATGATGAGCTCATGTCCTTGTAGGGACATGGATGAAATTGGAAATCATCATTATCAGTAAACTATCACAAGGACAAAAAACCAAACACTGCATGTTCTCACTCATAGGTGGGAACTGAACAATGAGAACACATGGACACAGGAAGGGGAACATCATACTCTGGGGATTGTTGTGGGGTGGGGGGACGGGGGAGGGATAGCATTAGGAGATATACCTAATGCTAAATGACGAGTTAATGGATGCAGCACACCAGCATGGCACGTGTATACATATGTAACTAACCTGCACATTGTGCACATGTACCCTAAAACTTAAAGTATAATAATAATAAAATAAAGAAAGAAAGAAAGAAAAGATGCACCCTATCAGATGTCATCAAGGCAATGCAAATTAAAATGAAATACAACACACTCACTAGAACAGCCAAAACCCAAAACACTGACAACACCAAATGTTGAAGAGGATGTGGAGCAACAGGAACTCTTATTCATTGCTGGTGGCAATGCAAAATGGTACACTTTCAAAGTCTGGTTGTTTCTTACAAAAGTAAAAACATTTTTACTGTAGGACACAGCAATCACATTCCTTGGCAGTTACCTAAAGGAACTGAAAACTATGTCTACACAAGAACCTGCACATGGATGTTTATTCACAACTACCAAATTATGTTTGACTCACAACCACCAAAACTTTGAAGCAGCCAAGATGTCCTCAGAAGGTGAATGAATAAACTGTAGTACATCCTGACAATGGAGTATTATTCGGTGCTAAAAAGAAATGAGCTACTGAGCCATGAGAAGACATGGAGGGAGCTTAAATGTATGCTACTCAGTGAAAGAAGCCTATCTGAAAAGTCTACACACTGTGTGATTCAAGTAGATGACACTCTGGAAAAGGTCAAACTACAGAGACAGTAAAAAGATCACTGGTTGCCAGGGACTGGAGGGAAAGGGATGAACAGGTGGAGCACAAGATTTTTAGGGCAGTGAAATCTTCTGTATGATACTAGAATGATGGATACATTCAGTACACATTTGGGCAAACCCATAAAATGTACAATCCAAGAGTGAGCCCTAATGTAAACTATGAATTTTGGGTGATTATGATATGTCAAGGTAGGTTCCACAGTTCTAACAAATGCAGCATTCTGGTGGGGGTGTTGATAATGGGGAATGCTATGCATGTGTGGGAGTTGGGGGGAATCAGGAAAATCTCTATCTTCCTCTTCTGACTGTGAACTGAAAACTATTCTTTAAAAAGTAGTCTCTCAGAAAAGTTTTTTTTGAATGCAGAGTTGTCCCCTAAGCTGAGAAGGTGCATAGAAGACCAAAAGCACACTCTGGAGGAGCTAAGATCAGCCTCCTCACTGGCGCCATGAGCCTGCTGGAGAGTGGCACAACAGAAAGCTGTGGAGGCAGACTGGGGTCCAGCCACACAGGGCCTCCCTGGCCATGTGGGATGGTTTGGCTCTGGGTCCCCACCCAAATCTCATGTAGCATTTACAATTCCCAAAGTTGGAGAAGGGGCCTGGTGGGAGGTGACTTGATCATAGGGGTAGACTTCCCCCTTCTTGCTTTTGCTTCCATGAGAGTTCTCACAGGATCTGGTTTTTGGAAAGTATATAGCCTGCCCCACACACCCCCGCCCTCCCCTCCCACTTCTCTCTCTCTTCCCCCTGATCTGGCCATGTAAGACATACTGGCTTCCCCTTTGCCTTCTGCCATGATTATAAGTTTCCTGAGGCCTCCCCACCCATGCCTCCTGTTCCTGTACAGCCTACAAAACTAAGTCAATTAAACCTCCCTTCCCCTCCCCTTCTTTATTTTTGAGATGGAGTTTCGCTCTGTCTCCCAGACTGGAGTGCAGTGGTGCAGTCTCGGCTTACTGCAACCTCCACCTCCCAGGTTCAAGCAATTCTCCTACCTCAGCCTCTGGGTAACTGGGACTACAGGTGCACAGCCACTACACCCAGCTAATTTTTCTATTTTTAGTAGAGACAGGGCTTCTCCATGTTGGCCAGGCTGGTCTCAAACTCCTGACCAGGTCACTCCTGACAAGGTGATCGGCCCACCTCGGCCTCCTAAAGTGCTGGGATTACAGGCATGAGCCACTGCGCCCGGCCTCAACCTCTTTTCTTTATAAATTATCCAATCTCAGGCAGTTCTTTGCAGCAGTGTGAGAATGAATTAATACACCATGCTAAGGATTTAATTTATCCTAAGTGCCACTAAAGGTTTTTAGTAGGGGAACAGCCAGATCAGGTTAAAATTGCACATGAACAGTCTGGTTGCTGGGTGGAGAATGGACTGAAGATAGGCAAGAGTTGAATGCAAAAACATATTAGAAGACTAAAAGGATGATACAAAATGGCAAAAATGAAAAAAGAAACAATGAATGGGCTTGGGAAATATTCCAGAAGTGCTTCTACATGTCATGGGCAACAAAATGATGAGTATGAAAGCTGTTGCTCCAAGAATAACAAATAGAAGACAGATCAACTACAATATACCATCAGTAACTAGTAAAGGAATTCAGTGACAATCACGAACCACTGCAGCAAGTAAGGACCTAATATACTTACATATACTTACACTCTCAAAGTCGGCCATGAGCCTAAGGAAATTCCTTGTCCTCTCTAGTTCCTTTTTGTTTTCCCCTAAAGTTTTCCACTGATGCTCATATGTGGAGGAAAAATAATATTAACTCAAGATAGATGGTTGTATATTCTTCACCAGTTACACATAGAGCAGCAAATACAGATGCTGGACAGGAAGAATGACTGATTCTAGTAACCTAAAACACAGAAATAACTGTTGAATGATGAAGGGCTTAAAGAGTTATGACTAGAAGTACAAATACTGAAGTAAGGGAAAAAGCAATTATCAGGCTTCAGATTAAACAGCCATATTATTTCTGGATAAAAATCCAAAGAAGCGTAAAAAGTAAAGTAGTATTATATGTCTTGCCTCCAAGCACAACGACTCAAACTTGAGCCACACAGCCCTTTGTGGAAGCCAGCAGAGAACAAATTTGTTGAAAGATGAGAGATTAAGTAGAAATGGATCATTCACAAGGAAAGAATTCCATTTGTTTATATTTTGGCAAATAATGTAATGATAACTCAAAACAGTTCCACTATTGAGAATTAACTCATCACAGTCTACATTCTTCAGAACACTTCACACTTGCAACGCATTACTTTAACATTAAAGGGATCAGCCACTAGTATTAAATAAGGCTGGGTTCCCACCCTCTCACAAAGACTGCTCATATTCATTTTCTATTTACTGATTCCCTGCCTCTAAAGTATTAGTGTAGGAAAAATAAAACGTTTGCTAGAACATGTTTCAACCATTTCAAATTTCTCAAGTTTTTCTTTTCTAATAATCAATTGCTTAGGACATCACTAAGAAAGAATGAGACTTTGAGAAACATTGGACACATTTCAAACTGCCAAAATCAATAGCAACACACTGTTAAACCAAAATATAAAAATTCTGTAGTTTTTGAAACAAAGGACATATTTTATTAATAAAATTTAATGGATGTAAAGGAAATATGGTGAATCTCAGAATAGTAAAGAACAGAAAACTTTGCAAAGTATATTGGATTATTCGCATTTAAATAAAAAATAAACTTTGGGAAGCTGAGGCAGGAGGATTGCTTGAACCCAGGAGTTTGAGACCAGCCTGGGCAAAATAACAAGAACCTGTCTCAAGGCGTGTTGTTGTTGTTGTTGTTGTTGTTGAATTTATTTATAGACAGAGAAGGGTGGAAAGGGAGGAAGGAGGGAAAAAATAGCAATCACATCTTTGTTTCATGGAGAAGCTAACACTAGTGACTCCATTAGAGCAAGAATTAGAACTGAGAAAGTTCCGACTGGGGGTTCTTGGAGCCATATTGCTGCAATGCATTCTACTGGTTCAGCTGAGAACACTGCCATTTTCTCACTCACCTAATAATTCACTTAAACCACACTACAATCTGAGTACCTACTAAGTTCCAGATACCATTTTAAGCTCTGGATAACTCATCACATACAGCAAGTCAGAACTGATTCCTGGTGAATACACAGGCAAAAGTATAAATTTCATGAACGAAAAAAATAAACCAAGTGAAAAAGGGCAAGCTGCCAGGATAATCTTTATCTAAAACCCTAATTATTATCTGTAGTACCTAAGTTTGGGAATTGGAATCTGAAGAAACAATATTAAACAAGTTCTTAAATTCATAAATTCTTTTTAAAAGAATTCTTAAATTCATAAATCAGCATCTCAACCTCTTTCATTCATTCATTCAGAAAAAAAATACAAATACAAATACATGGTATCACCAATCAGGCACCACCCTCAGCCCAAGCATAAGAAACTGCCTATTATCTGTATTCTACATTTCACTCTGTATCTATTAAGTCTCTTTCAACTGCATGTTCTATAGCTCTATCAAACCATGTAGAAGACAGGCTTTACCCTTGTGTTTTAAGTGACAGATTACTGAGCTTATAAATTCAGAAAATACACAACGAAAAAAGCAGAGAGAAACATTCACAAGTCTAAGGAGACATTATTGTAAACAGAGTAGCTCTTAAGTGAATAAACAAAGAAGCAGATATCAAAACTTATAATGGTAACAATCAGGAATATTCTATTGCTTTTCTAAGAGGAATGTTGAAAAGGAAAAAAAAAAAAAAACCCAGCACGTAACAAGTTCTGCCCTACATTTTATTATGAGAAGGGGAAACTGCTGAAGCCAAAAAAAGTTTTTAAAGTTATAGAAATGTAATCAGTTTCTCATAGAGTTTCTGGGAAAAAAACAAAGTATAAATCTATGAATCATGCATTTTTTCCAGAGATGATAAAAGCATGTTGCCTAATTTTACTCAAGGTCAAGTCTTTATAGTAACTTCTTTCTTCTGTTCACCAAAAAAAAAAGTTTCTAATAGAGCACACGAGCAATGACAGTCAGAAGATTGTATGTTCCAATGAAAGTGAATTCAAGCAATTAATCATTAGAGAACTGTTGCTTCCACCTGGAATGTAAAAAATTATCAGAGAACATCATTCCCACTCTACCAATAAGAACAAGACGGAGAACCTATGAAACCATTGTTTTTCAAAAACTCATTTAAGAGCAAAGATGTAAAAAAGACCTAATGAATGAAAATCCAAAGAGTGACAAGCCACTCCCTGGACAGAAGACAAAGACACACAGACACAGACACAGACACACACACACACACGCATGCACACACACACACACCCCAGCTGCTTTCATCCATGGTGGAGCAGCAAGACAAAGAGGAAACCATCACAGACAAAGAAAACAGTGGAATTTTAACAAAATTTTAAAGGTAGAACACAGGCTGGTGTGATGTTTAGAATTCCTAGGAGACCTAGACACAGAGAGTCTGAACCCGCCCTCCAACTCTTGTCCGTGGGACCTCAAGCGCTCATGAGGAAGTCTGAGAGCAGGACTGAGAGACCACCCTGAGGTGGATCCAATGGGCTACTCTGTGTCCTAATCCACCTACTCTGTGTCCTACTCAGAGATGGCATGGCCTGCCTGGAGGGTTTCTCGAATTGTAATCCCCACATGTCGAGAAAGGGATCTGGTGTAAGGTATAAGGTGATGGATCACAGGAGTGGTTCCCCCGTGCTGCTCTCCTGATAGTGATTGAGTTCTCACAAGATCTGGTGGTTTAAAAGTGTTTGGCAGTTCCTCAACCCATCCCACCCCACCCCATCTCTCTTTCTCTCTAAAGATAACCTAGGCAGAGGCTGAAACAGTTTGGAGGGGTCAGAAGAAGACAGGAAGATGTGGGAAGGTTTGAAACTTCCTACTGAATGGTTTTGAAGATGGACAGAAATGATCCAAACACACACAAATGGAAATCAGGTGGGAAAAGTGAAACAGAGAATCTGAAATCTCCAGGGGCAGTATCAAATGCTCTGACATAAGGTAATTCGAATCCCAAAAAATAAACAGAAAATGGAGTAGAAGACACATTTGAAGAGATAATGACTAAGATTTTCTAAACCGGGCAGTAAGAAATATCAAACCTACACATCCAAGAACCTCAATGGAACCCTGGGCAAGGCAAAAAAAAAAATCATAAAAATTATTTAAAAAGAAATAAGGAAAGCAGCAAGAGAGAAAGACAACAGAGGAGAGAGGAGAGACTGATAAGAAAAATGGATGACTTATCATCAGAAAATAAACGGAAGCCTGAAGACAATGAAATGACTTCTTTAAGATGTATAAGGGGAAATCTATGAAAACAATTCTATATCCATCAAAAATGAAGGCAATATAAAAGACATTTTCAGACAGACAAAATAGGAAAGAAATCTTCTCTAGCAGACCTGCATTACAAGAAATGCAGCCTAAGGCAGCCTAAGGAACTTAAAAGAAATGGAACAAGATAAAAACCCAGTTTTGCAGAAAAGAATAAAGAAAACCATAAAGGACAAATACGTTAGTGTTAAAAAAAATATGGCCCATTCTAGATAACATGGTGAAACCCCATCTCTACTAAAAATACAAAAAATTAGCCAGGCGTGGTGGCAGGCGCCTGTAGTCCCAGCTTCTCGGGAGGCTGAGGCAGGAGAATGGCGTGAACCCAGGAGGCAGAGCTAGCAGTGAGCTGAGAACACGCTGCCTGGGCAACAGAGCGAGACTCTGTCTCAAAAAAATAAATAAATATACACATATAGCCAAAAAAAGTTACACCCACATGTATGCATATACCTGTATGTAAATAAACAGTAAATTTCTTTAAAAGACCACTGATTACTGATTTCATAAAATAAAAGTAGTCATGTATAATTACTTCATAACATATGTAGTTCAAATGCTATGTAATTCCCACATTCATAGTGTATGTAGAATTAGAATATATAGTAACAAGAGCACAGAGAGCGAAAGGATGATTGGAAGTCATCCACTGTTCTAAGGGTCTTTATTTTTGAGAAGGCAGATATTATGATTATTTTAAAATGCATGTTATACTCTGAGACACTATCTAAAAAATACATTAAAAGGCATAACTAAAAATCATTAGAAAAGGCAACAGCAAAAAAAACTAAGAAAAGCAAACATGGAAACTAGAAATCAAAATCAAGATGGCAGATTTAAGCCCATACGTATCAAACATTATATATGGATCAGCTGGGCATAGTGGCTCATGCCTGTAATCACAGCACTTTAGGAAGCCAAGGAAGGAAGATGGCTTGAAGTCAGGAGTTCAAGACCAGCCTGGGCAACATAGCAAAACCCCATCTCTACAAAAAAATAGTAATAATAATAAAATAATAATTATTATATATAAACTAAAACTCTGCTTAAAAAGCAATGGCTAGCATATTTTTTTAAAAACAGAACTCAAGTATATGCTGTTTATAAAAAAAAGTTTAAACATAAAGAATCAGATAAAAGGAAAAGGGTGAAAAAAGACATGCTGTACGAACAGTATAAGAAAGCAAGTGTAGCTATATTACTGTTAGAGGTAGAGTTTAAGATAATTATTAGCACAGAGATATTTCATAAAAGGGTCATTATGCACATATGCAAAAAAATCCTTTCGATATTCAATACATATTGATAGACTATAAACTGTTTTCTCTGACCAAAAGAATACTTAAGTAGAAAAAAAGCAATAATATTACATGTGGAATATCTCCAGCCATTTGGAATTTTTAAAAAATACTTCTAAATATCACGTTTTCGATCTATAGCCTAATCACATAAGGAAATAAATAATTTTTAACTGAATTATAATAAAAACAGCTGAAACAGTCCTTAGGAGAAAACTTATAGATTCAAATGCCCATCTCAAAAACAAGGTGTAAAATTAATGATCTGTGCTTCTAACTTAGGGAATGAAAAGAAAAATTAAATCCAAAGTTGAAAAAAAATAAATTCAGAAACAAATGAAATAAAAAGTGGTTAATATGGATTCTCTGAAAATATTAACAAAATTGATAAACCTCTAGGCAAGACTTATCAAGAAAATATGAAACAAAAATCCCTACCAAGCATAAGTTACCATTATAAATCCTATAGATATGAAAGGAACAAGTAGATATGACATTTATGCCAATAAAGTCAACAATTTAGAGAAAATAAATTCCTTGAAAACCACAATTTATCAAAACCCAAGAAAAATAGAAAATCTGAATATCATTATATCCTCTAAATAAAATGAATTTAAAATTTTTAAACTTCTCACCAAGAAAACTCTAGGCAAAGATGACTTCATAGGTGAATTACCTCAAACACTTAATACCAATATGACACACACATTTATGAAAAAACAGTGAAGAAGGGAAAACTTCCCAATTCTTCTGTAGCCATCTTAACCTTGGTACCAAAACCAGAGAAGGACATAAAAAATGAAGATCATAACGCACACATCTCTCATGAACATAAATTTAAAAATCCTTAACCGAATACTAGCAAAATGGATGAAGCAGGTACAAAAAGCTAGTACATCATGACCAAGTAGAGTTTAATCTCAGAAATGTGAGGTTAACTTACAAAATTCAGTGTAATTCACATCCAAAGATTAAAGAAACATATTTAATGATCATTTCAAGAGACACTGAGAAACATTTTGTCAAAATTCCAACCAATTCATGCTTAAAACTGGGAATAAAAACTTCCTCAAAATGAAAAGGGCATCTACAAGCAATTTTCAGCTAATATTACACTTTAAATAATGAACACTTTTCCTACTAAGATCAGGAACAAGGCAAGATGGCCAATAACACCACTTCTGCCAAACGTTTTACAGGCAATCTCAGGCAGTGTAGGCAGGCAAGTAAAAGAAATAAAAAGCATACAGATTGGAAAGGAAGAAATAAAGCTGTCTTTTTTTTTTTTTTGAGACAGGGTCTCTCTCTGTTGCCCAGGCTGTAGTACAGTGACACGATTATGGCTCACTGCAGCTTTGAACCTCCTGGGCTCAAACTGTCTTCCCACCTCAGCCTCCTGAGTAGCTGGGACTACAGGCACATACCACCATACCTGGCTAATTTTTTTTTTTTTTTTTTTTTTTGAGACAGGGTCTCATTATCTCATTACATTGCCTAGGCTGGTCTCTAACCCTGAGCTCAAGTGATCTTCCTGCCTCAGCTTTCTAAAGTGCTGGGATTACAGGTGTCAACCACCATGCCTGGCCCTAAGGCTGTTTTTGTCACATATAAAATCACTGTGTACATTTAAAAATCCTAAAGAAACTGCCAGAACTAACAGAATAAGTGCACTTAGCAATATTGTAAGATACAAAAACCAAGTATGTTTCTACATGCTAATAGTGACCAGTTGGAAATTAAAGGTAAAACAAATATTTTAAATTATCATGCAGAAACATAAAATATTTAGGAAAATTTAACACCAAAAAAAAAATGCCCATGACTTCTATGCTGAAAACTGTAAAACATTACTGGGATAAATGGAAAGTCTAAATAAATGGAAAATCAAGTTCATGAACTGTAAGGTTCTATATTCACAATATTGACCTATGGGTTTTGGGGGTTTTCTTATAAAAATAAATTAATTCTAAAATTTATATGGAAACACCAAGGACCTACAATAGCCAAAATTGTTTTAAAAAGAACAGAGGACTTGTACCACCTGACTAATGACACAGTAATCAAGGTAAGTGTGTTACTGGCAAAAGAACAGACAAAGAGATGCAACAGAGTAGAGAATCTAGAAATAGACCTACAGATGCACAGTCAAGTGATTTTTTAGAAGGTGCCAAAACAATTAAATGAGAGGCAAGTCTATCAATAAATGGTGATGGAAATACTGGCTATTCACCTGGGGAAAAAATAAACAAACCTCAACCCTCATGTCTCACACCATATATACCCCAAAAATCTTCATGAGTCATGGACTAATTATAAAGCTTTAAAAGAAAACATCAGAAAATTTCTTCAAAACCATAGAGTAAAAAAAATATTTCTTGGTGCAAGAAGCCCTTAATAAAATGTTTTTAAACTGATAAATTCAACCTCAAGTTAAAATGTTCTTCTCATCAAAAGACACTGAAGAAAAAGATAGGCAAGCCACAGATCAGAGAAAATATTCACTATTATTATATCCGGTAAATGATTTGTTTCTAAATAATTCCTACAATTGAGTAACAAAAAGATCAACAACACAATTTTTAAATGGGCAGGAGATTTTAATAGACACTTCATGACAGAAGAAACATAAATGGCCAATAAGCACAGGAAGAAGTGCTCAACATCTCTAGTCAAAATTGGCTAAAATGAAAAAGAGTAACATAACCAAAGGTTAGTAAGGAAGTGGAGCAAATAGAACTCTCATACACTGCTGATGGGAGGGTAAAATTACTTTGTAACCTTAATTGCCTGAGAAGTCAAACATACATATACCATACCCCAGCAATTCCCACACCCAAAGTATTTATGCAAGATTAATAAAAACATATCTCCACAAAAACTCTTGTAGAAAACTTTTTATTCTGGCTTTATTTTCAGAAAAGCTAAAAATTTTTCTATGGCCCATGCTCCAGTATCCTTCAGCATACAATTTAAAAATAAATCCATATTAATGTCAATTCAGATTTCCATTTAAATATCACAGCCCATATAAAATGTGTCTTTCAATACATCACCATCAACAGTATCATCTTTAGGGAAAATTCTTACATTCTATGAAAAACACAGAGACCTATATACTAGAAATGCTGTTTCTAATTCTACCCACTCCATGTTCTATCAGTTCCACTAAAATTCTGTTAAAATAACTTACTTTGCTCTTCTTTCTACACTGGTATCTTGGTAGTTCCCGAGTAACTGATCATCATTGAACAAATCACATGGAAGAGTCAAGACACAAAGCCCTTTCCATCTGGCTTTACTTCATTGCTTATACTATAACCAAATTAAACTATGGTTACTTTTTATTGAAATATATATATATAGTTCTATATATAGATTATATAAATATATAAATATATATGAAATACATATGAAATATGTGAAATACATGTGATATATATTTACTGAAATATATATATTCTTATTATACCTTTTTATTGAAATATGTATTTCTATATATATAGAATAGTATTATATATAGAGAGAATAATAATATATATATTGAAATATATATATTTCAATAAAAAGGTATAATTCCACTTACATAAAAAAAAATTTACATTTAAAAAGTTTACTTCCTGCCGGGAGCAGTGGCTCACGTCTGTAATCCCAGCACTTTGGGAGGCTGAGGCAGGTGGATCACCTGAGGTCAGGAGTTTAAGACCAGCCTGACCAACAAGGTGAAACCCGTCTCTACTAAAAATACAAAAATTAGCTGGGCATGGTGGCTCACACCTGTAATCCCAGCTACTCAGGAGGCTGAGGCAGGAGAATCGCTAGAACCCAGGAGGCAGAGGTTGCAGTGAGCCAAGATCACGCCACTGCGCTCCAGCCTGGGGGACAGGGCAAGACTCCGTCTCAAAAAAAAAAAAATTTACTTCCATTCAATTCCACAAGTATTTGTAGGGGTCTCTATCTTATCACATGCATTAAATCAGGACTTCTCAACAGTGGCACTCCTGACATTTTGGAGCAGATGATGTTTTGTTGCAGAAGCCTGCCCTGTGCCCTGGAGGGTGTTCAGCAGCACAGCTGCCCTCTACCCTCTAGATGTCTGTAGCAACTCCCTGCCCTCTTCTAACCCCCAGCCCCCAAACACACAGTTAAAATACATTATATCAGTGTCTCCAGATATTGCCCAGTGTCCCCTAGGAGCAACATCGCCCACAGTTGAGAACCTCTGATTTAAAGGATTATCTCAACATGTGTTCTCCATACTTCCTGTGATTCCTTTTTGCCTTGGGCCCCCCTTCCTCTGAGTCTCCAAACTGGTTACCTCATCTTCAAGAGTCAATTTTAAAAATCACTTTCTTTAGTAAGCTCTTCCAGCCAACCCCACACTCCCAGCCAACCCCACACTCCCCCATGCTGCTCAACTCCCACAGCACCTTAGACCTCTGAACTGTTACTTGCTTCTAAATCCTCCTGGTCTGTGAGTTCCCTCAATTTCAAGTCTTTTAATTTCTAGTTTATTGCTGTATCCTCAGTGCCAAAAACAGTCAACAATTGTCTAGGTGCCTGGATGTGAGGCTCTATAAAATGCTTACAAATATTAGTACAGTTAATGTGTTATACAAACATTCTCATATTCAGTCAAATTGCATGGGCTTCTGAAGGCAACATGCTCTTAACTCACTCTTTTAAATTGAGAAACGGTACAGCATCATGCAAACAGATACTAAATAAAGTTGCTGGTATAAAATCACTGTAAAACGCCAGTGCTTCAGATACATAGGTGATTTCCTCCTCTCTTCCTCAACATAAAAATATAAATAAGTGAATTCTACAAGTCAGAAGCATCTTGCCATCCTTTCAAGAGTGATATGGGAACCAGGCAAAATGAAACCAAATATAATATTCGAAATGTCAGATTAATGAGAGCAAAACGGGAAGCATTTTCTTTAAGCAGTGCCTGAATGTGATGTGTGGGAGAACTTTCACAGAACGGGTAATTATTTATCAAGCAAATGTGTGGGGGGGTCACAGCACAAAGTGGCATGTGGCAAGCATGCCAGCGAAGCTAACAGCATGTTATATAACACAATTGTTGGGGCGGGGGAAGGGTGATATTCCACCCTTCAGGGAAGAAAGCTACACCTCCTGACAGACTACAACTTGCCATGGAGAAAACATCCATACAAAATACAATGTCTCCAACCTAAAAAAATGAGAGACCTAATCATTTCATAGCCCATGGTCTCTGAAATGTGGCTGACGTCATGTAGTGATAGTTTATAGTGATTTAAGACCCTTCTTTTAGCTATGGTAGGTATTCATTTGCAGCTGTGTTCCATTGTTTAAAATAGCTCTATTGAGATGTAAGTCACACCATAAAACTTACCCACTGACAATGTACAGTTCAACAGCTTGTAACATATCCACAGAATTGCATAACCATCACCAAAATCAATTTTAGAACATTTTTATCACCCTAGGGAGTAAAAAGAAAACCTGTACCCATTAGCCATCACTCCCCATTTCTTTCCAAACCTCTAGACCTAGAAAATCATTCATTTACTCTCTATCTATATAGATGTGTCTGTCCTGCACATTTCATATAAATGGAATCATATATACATGGCCTTTTATGACTGGCTTCTTTCACTTAGCATTATGTTCTCAAGTGTCATTCATACAGTAGCATGTATTCATTTTTCATCATATGGCTATACCACCTTTTATTTATCCATTCATCTCTTAACAGACATTTAGGTTGTTTCTATTTTTTGGCTATTATAAATAATGCTTCTATGAACACTCATTCACAAGTTTCTGTGTAAACATATGCTTTCATTTCTCTTGAATGTATAGCTAGGAGCAGAATTTCTGGGTCAGAGGGCAATGTTATGTTTCGTTTTCTGAAGAACTGACAAACTGTTTTCCAAAGCAGCATTCCATTTAAATTCTCACTCTCAGTGTATGAGGATTTTCAATTTCTCTACATTCTTGCCAGTACTTGTTATTATCTGACTTTTTATTTATAGCCATCCTAGTAGATATAAAGTGGTATCTCATTGTGGTTTTGATCTGCATTTCCCTAACAGCTAACAATATTAAGCATTTTTTCATGTGTTTATTGGCCACTTGTGGTTTTTTTTGTTGTTTTTTTTGTGATGGAGTCTCGCTCTGTTGCTCAGGCTGGAGTCCAATGGCGTGATCTCAGCTCACTGCAACCTCCGTCTCCCGGGTTCAAGTGATTCTCCTGCCTCAGCCTCCCGAGTAGCTGGGATTATAGGCACCCACCACCACACCCAGTTAATTTTTGCATTTTTAGTAGAGATGGGGTTTCACCAGGTTGGCCAGGCTAGTTTCGAACTCCTGACCTCAGGTGATCCGCCCACCTCGGCCTCCCAAAGTGCTGGGATTATAGGCATGGGCCACTGCACCCAGCCAACCACTTGCATATTTTCTTTGGAGAAATGTCTAAATTCAGGTCTTTTGACCATTTCATTGTTATTTGTCTATATATTATTGAGTTACAATGGTTCTTTATATATTCTAGAAACAAGTCCCTTATCAGACATTATTTTCAAATCTGTGGTCTTAAATGGTGTCTCTTAGCTAAGAAAAATTCAAAGTAACCCTTTGGTAAATTGAGGGAGAAAAAAATGAAGCACACATCCATCTAACCATTGATAATCAAAGTAGTAATGGCTAGCTGAGCTCCGCCCCACCCTCCATTAGCCATTCTCCCATTGGTTCTCAGTAATAGTAAAGTACTAAAACAACTCATGGACCTCTGAAAACAAAAGACAGCAATTTCCCAACCTTAGGATTTAGAAGCCTCCCTTGCAACTAGGTATAACCACATAACTCCATTCCAGCCAATGGTCTGTGAGCAAAAGTAGTCTATGCAACCACTGGAAAATGTCCCTACAACCACAGACAGTGCTATGTGATAAATGGAACAGTGCTATATGCTGTCTCGTGCCTCAGGTGACTGATAAAAGTAAACTATGCTCGAGAGAGCAGGATTATATCAGCTGTGATCTGGCAACCTCTGGGCTTCCCAAACAAGAGAAAAAAATAAACTTTAACCCCGTTTAAGCCATTTTGTTTTGACTTTTTCTGTTACATGCAACCAAATCTGATCTAAAATAACGCCACAAATAAGTAAAAGCTCTTGATTTATATCTACACAGATCAAATGCAAGCCCAGCCTCCACTGTGCAGTTTATTAAATATCATCTACTTCAAAATGCTACCCAGCTGCCCTCCCAACACAGGAAATAAAAAAAAAATAGCAAAAACAGATACTTGTAAAGAAGACAAAGTATGTTTACATTAGACATATACAATCAACTGAGAAATTGCTATAAGAAGGTATCCAATATGAGGGCCAGGTGTGGTGGTTCATGCCTGTAATCCCAGCACTTTGGGAGGCAGAGGCAGGCAGATCACCTGAGGTCAGGAGTTCAAGACCAGCCTGGCCAATATGGTGAAACCCCATCTCTAACAAAAATACAAAAATTAGCCGGGCGTGGCGGTGTATGCCTGTAATCCCAGCTACCTGGGAGGCTGAGGCAGAAGAATCACTCAAACCTGGGAGGCAGAGGTTGCAGTGAACCGAGATCGTGCCATTGCACTGCACACTGGGTGACAGGAGCAAAACTCCATCTCAAAAAAAAAGAAGGTACCCAATACGAACCTTGTACAAACTGCATCAGAAATCCATTTATAATACCCACAAACTCCACAACAAGTTAGGTTTATTTTTCTTGAAGCAGAATGAAGACACTAGAGCTCACAGTATAGCGGTGTGGTGCAGAAGAAAAGGATAGTTGACTGACAGTTGCTTGATTGAATCTAATCACAGTTCAGTCACTTTTGAGCAACAATTCAATTTCGTTTAATCCAGTACAAATCTGTTAAATGTCCACCATGTATAAAGCATTACATGTGGTATTGTGATACCAAGTAACACTAAGTAAGACAGTGTTCCTACCCTCATGGAATTCATAATCTAATAGACAAGGAACAAATTTCTTATAATTCCCTGATTCCTGATTCTACCTAGGAATCAGGAGAGTAGACAAGAGAAGAGCCTATCTCATTCACACTTTTCACTAAATAATGCTTTCGAAGCCCCAAAATCACAGATCTCAAAGTACATTCACCTTCTGCCAGCAGATTTTGCTCCACATGAGACTAACTGTAAGACACAGACGGTGGAAAATGGCAGGAAATTAAGGAACCCCAAACAGTATCTACTGGTAACAGCAAACCAGAATAGATGTTTCTCTGTTTAGAAATGAGGAAATAAACCATTAAAGGGCGGGGGGTCTGTAATTGTTTTTAAAAAGCAGCTTCATCTTTTAGACTAAAGGATATGAACACAACAAAAAAATTATTTTCCAAGTTAACCAAGGAGCTTTAGAAAATTTTGGACTTAAAATAAGCATGTATGACTTTTAAGAAAAAATAAAGATTTACATATTAGTATTTATATGGTAGGAATGAATTCATTTACCTATATAACATGTTAGAGGAATGTAACTACCCCCACTCCCACTCCCAAGACTTATTGGAAAACTTTCAAAAAACAATCACCATTCACCACATCGACACTGTTTGAAATGCCTTTTAGACACCCCAGAAGCAATACTGAGTAGGCAGCTGGATATAAGAAGCTGGAGGTCAGGGACAAGATCCAGGTAGAGATAATAAATTTGCAAGTTATCAACATACGGATGGCACATAAAGTCGTAAGACTGGACAAGGTCATAAAAAAGTGTGAGTGAAGAGCGAAAACATCTAAGGGCTGAACTCCAACATCCAGGGGTCTGGGAAATGAAGAACTGGCAAAGAAGTACAAAAAGTGAAGAAGCCAGTGATGCGAGAGGGAGTGTGATGTCCTTGAAGCAAGTGTATGATGGAGGAGAGAGTGATGGGCAATGTCAGGGATGCTGCGAGGGAAAGACCATGAGCACTGGGAATCGACCACCAGGCACAGCAACAGGGAGACCACTGATGGCTTCAACAAAAACTGCAGTGGAGAGAAAGGGCAAAGGCCTCAGTAGACAGCTCAAAAGAGAAGAGGGAAGAAATAGGAAAAAAAAAATTTTTTTTTTTTTTGAGATGGAGTCTCGCTCTGTCGCCCAGGCTGGAGTGCGGTGGTGCCATCTCAGCTCACTGCAACCTCCGCCTCCCAGGTTCAAAAAATTCTCCTGTCTCAGCCTCCTGAGTAGCTGGGACTACAAGCGCCCGCCACCACACCCGGCTAATTTTTGTATTTTTAGTAGAGATGGGGTTTAACCATATCGGTCAGGCTGCTCTTGCACTCCTGACCTCAGGTGATCCACCCACCTCGGCTTCCCAAAGTGCTGGGATTACAGGCATGAGCCACCGCACCTGGCCAGGAAAGAAATGTGAGACCATAAATATGATAGCTTTTTGAAGAATTGTTATGTTTATAGGAGTTAAAAAATGGGCAGTAAATGAAAGGGAAGGGTGGTTTCATTGGTGATGGTGGCTGTAGTGGCTTTTGTTTTTTTAAGATGAATGAAATAAGAGCATTTCACTTGCTGCCGGGAGCCAAAACTAATGTTAACAAGAAAGAAAAAGTAGAGTTGCTTGAGTAATATCCTGGAGCAGTGGAGAGAAGATGGGAAGAGGAAATGGAAACACCTGAACAGAGGAGTTGGCCTCCATCAGGAACACAGGCAGCTCCCACAGGCAGGGAGGAAAGGCAGGGTGTCTGGGCACTGAGGGTGGAGGTGGGTGTCTAGAGCGGGAAACAGCTCTTGTTACAGCTTCTATTTTCACAACAAAATAGGACACAAAGTCATCAGGAAAGGAAGGCAGTGTCAGAGCTTAAGAGAGAGAGGAAAATATAAAATATTCAACTGGGAGTATACAGCAACTAAGGAAACATAGCATGGGCCGGGCAGGGTGACTCGCGCCTGTAATCCCAGCACTTTGGGAGGCCGAGGCAGGTGGATCTCTTGAGTTCAGGAGTTCAAGGTGAAACTGAAACTCCGTCTACTAAAAATACAAAAATTAGTCAGGTATAGTGGCACACACTTGTAGTCCCAGCTACTCAGGAGGCTAAGGCATAAGAATTGCTTGAACCCAGGAGGCGGAGGTTGCGGTGAGCAGAGATGGTGCCACTGCCCTCCAGCCTGGGTGACAGAGCGAGACTCTATCTCAAAGAAAAGAAAAAGAAAAAGAAAACACAGTATGATCAGTGGCTACCATGAATGGCCGCCTATTGTTGGACAGTGGTCATGTATTTGAAGTGATCCCATGAATACAGTAGAAATTGCTTCTCTAGAAAGAGAGAAGGCAGAACTGAATCTTAAGTTGGGATTGTGCAAACAAGCAAAATAAAGAAGGAAAGAAGCAGTGGAGTGAAGGGTATTAAAAAGGGACTGTGATGAGTGACTATGAAATTTCAACTAGTTAAGGAAGAAAGTGAGTGCACGACGAACAACAGACTGTAGGGCTTAACTGGGGAATCTAAGGGTACTTATTAGGAAAGAAGGTGGTAGAAAGAGAAAGTCTTGCAATCAGGATTGCGGAGGACTGCAGTTCCTTGCAATGACAAAGTCTAAGGAATGAACACCGGAGAGAATGGCTGAGGTACGGTAAAGAACAAGGTCACTGAAGGAGAGGAACTTAACAAGTCAAGAAGCCAAGTGCTGAAAGCATCATCTGAAGCCATACTGAAATTACCAAGACTTGTAAAAAGAGCAGAATTGGCAATGCACCGGTTGAGTATCCTTTATCCAAAATGCTTGCAATGAGAAGGGTTCTGGATTTCAATTTTTTTTGGATTTTAGAATATTTGCACATACGAAATGAGGTATCTTGGGAATGGAAACCAAATCTCAACAAGAAATTCATGTACGTTTCATATACCCCTTATACCTGTAGCCTGTAGGTAACTTTGTACATTTTTAATAATTTTGTGCATGAAATGAAGTTCTGACTACAACCCATCACATGAGGTCAGGTATGGAATTCTCCACTTGTGGCATTATGCCAGTGCTAAAAAATTTTTGCATTTGGA
This sequence comes from Homo sapiens, assembly GCF_000001405.40. NCBI lineage: Eukaryota > Metazoa > Chordata > Mammalia > Primates > Hominidae > Homo > Homo sapiens. The sequence goes on along the minus strand of NC_000004.12, from coordinate 147,885,925 downwards.
AGCATTATAGATCTCGGATTTTAGGATTAGGGAGCTAAACATTCTAGAAGCAGTTCAAAACACAGAAAAGGGTAAGGAAACTACATATTACAAGAGATATACTTTCAAGTGTGAAACCATGAGAATGGATGGATACAGAAAAACAACTATAGGAAATGGCAACATTTAAAGGAGCAACAGCTGAACTGGAGAGGACCAAGAGATCTGAGGGAGAACCAGAATGGTTAACTGTCATGGAAGTAAAAGGATAGAGAGTTTCAGGAGGTCAAACGTGAATAACAAATCAAATGCTGCCATAGCCGCCAAGCTCTGTACCCAATTTCTTCCCAGGTTTCTCTTCATAATGACCCACAGCAATCTAACTCAACATGACTGATATGGTTTGGCTGTGTCCCCACCCAAGTCTCAACTTGAATTGTAGCTCCCATAATCCCCATATGTTGTGGGAGGGACCTGGTGGGAGGTAACTGAATCATGGGAATGGGTTTTTCCCATGCTATTCTCATGACAGTGAATAAGTCTCACAAGATCTGATAGTTTTTATAAAGGGCAGTTCCCTGCACACGTTCTCTTGCCTGCTGCCATGTAAGATGTGCCTTTGCTCCTCTTTCACCTTCTGCCATGATTATGAGGCCTCCCCAACCATATGGAACTGTGAGTCCATTAAACCTCTTTTTCTTTATAAATTACCCAGTCTTGGGTATTTCTTCATAGCAGTATGAAAATGAACTAATACAATGACCCAAACTAATTTTACTGTCTTCCCCCATCCTTATGCCCCCACTTTGTTTCCCACCTTAGTGAATGGTACCATCTAGCTACTCAAGCCAGAAACCTTCCCCACTCCTTCACCCTCTACTGCAACATCCAGTTTATCCCCAGAAATCTACCCCACTTGGCTCCACCCCCACTGCCACCACACCAATCCTGGCCCTCTCACCCTGTCCTTAAACTACTTCCTCTTGTCCCCTCTTGCTACCTCCAAATCTTTCTTACTCTGCCAGAATGAGCTTTGAGAAATACAAATATAATTGTCACTCACTGCCCTGCTTAAAACTATTTAATGGATTAAGTTCAAAAACTTCAAGTTCAGGCCGTTGCCCCATCTCAAGCCTCTTCTCCCACTCTCTCTGGCTCTTGCACTAGTGACGCTAGGTGTCTCAAATACATCATGCTCTCTCCTGTCTCCAGGCCTCCACATGTGACACTCACTCTACCTGGCACATGACTCTCAATCCCAGCTGACTCCAGATAACCCTTTAGTTTATGAATTTAGATGTCAGATCCTCTGTGTGCCTTTATTTAGCCACCTAAACTAGATTAGGTCCCCCTGCCAGGAGTTCCCAGAAAGGAGCTGTGAGCCTCAATGGAAGTAAATTAGAGACTTTTGCAAGAAAAAAGACGGAAGCTAAAAGGTGGGGAGGAATCCAGGCCCCTATGCCTCTTTAATAAGGGAACCCACTTTTTTTGCTTTATATACACATTAACATGAAATTTTATTTGAAAAGAGAGTCTCCCTATAAAGTACTTGAAAACCACTAGAATAGATCCCTGACCTAAAGTCCTCCCCTGTTCCAAGAGTCTCCCTACAGGTATTATCCTTCGTATGTGTAAGCACCTCCATAGGAATCCCTCATCAATGTCTTTGAGGGGTGGAGAGTGGTTCCAATCATAGCTAGGATCATGGCTGACAAAAAAAGAAAAGAAAATTGGGCATGATCAAGGTCTCAGAGAAAACCAGAGACTCTGGATGATTAAAATGATTAAATTGCATTATAGAAGTACCCTGCTTTCACAACTAATCAGATTCACCTCACTTAACATATTCTCTAGTAGACTGCTAGCTCATCTTTGTCAATTATTTAGAAAACATTCTGATTATATGGTAATCTGCAGAGACTTATGGCACAGTGGTTAAGAGGTAGGGCTCAAGCTAGGCACAGTGGCTCTTGCCTGTAATCCCAGCACTTTGGGAGGCCAAGGCAGGTGGATCCCTTGAGGTCAGGAGTTCAAGACCAGCCTGGCCAACATAGCAAAACCCTGTCTGTACTGAAAATACAAAAATTAGCCGGGTCTGGTAGTGTGCCCCCATAATCCCAGCTACTCAGGAGGCTGAGGCAGAAGAATCACTTGAGCCCGGGAGGCAGAGGTTGCAGTGAGCCGAGATTACACCACTGCACTCCAGCCTGGGCAAAAAAAGTGAGACTCGTCTCAAAAAAAAAGAAAGAAAAAAGAAAAAGGTAAGATGTGGGGCTCTAGGAGGAGAATGCAGGGGCTCAAATCTCAGCTCTTCAACTACCCACTAGCTACGTGACCTTGGGGAAATTGCTCAAATGCTCTGTGCCTCAGTTTCTCATCATAAAATGGAAACAGTAACAACTACCTGAGAGAGCTATGGCAAGGAATTAGCTGAGATAAAACACAGAAGCATTTAGAACAGTGGCACTCAGAAAGGAATCCAATGCCACCCATGGGTGTGTGCGCACAGATGTATGCTCGACTTGTGTTACACTGACTAATTCCCTTCTTAAAGTTTGGAAGAGTTCTTACTGGCTTGAAATTTAGGCCAGGCATGGTGGCTCACACCTGTAGTCCTATGACTTTGGGAGGCCAAGGTGGGAGGATTGCTTGAGTCCAGGAGTTTTGAGACCAGCTTGGGCAACATAGCAAGACCCAACCTCTTTTTCACTGACATTCTCTTTCATATTTTTCCTATCTTGGCAAAACGCTTATTTAACCACTTGTCCTTTTCACAGTAGTGCCAAACTTATCATGGTGCTTAAGGGCCTGTTTTTATGTACAATAAATGGTCTTCAATTCATTTATTACAAAGTGAACCACTAATCCTTCCTCTCTGCACTACTCCCAGAGACTCAACTATATCATCTAAGAGAGGAAGCAGCATTAATTACTTTTGTATTCCTGGGTTCTGACCTGAACTTTTGCTTTAACAAATCTCATAAGCTTTTATTATACAAACATAGAACAGCCTTACCTAAAAACTATCACTGCCAAAACCAGGGCTGGCAAGGAATCACTGTACTGTCAGCCATTAAAAAGCAAATATTCTATGAACACTAGGATTTTCCTTAATGCTACTGGAGGACATAGAAATTAATGCCAGACAAGTAGTAATACTGATGAACAAAATTTTCTCTTCTACTTCTTCCTCTCTGGCAAAGATTCTTTTACAACTAAATAACTGGAAGTCATGCAATAAGGAAAAAAAAGAATTCACCTTTGAATAAACAGAAGGAGTTTGCCTAAGACCCTCCATCACGTACAGGATGTAGACACTGAAAACCCCCCCACACACAAATGAATGTTGTTCTGTATTAGTAGCTAGCTACCTATCACCCCTTTTTAGCTTTGTCACCCAGTTCCTCTCGCCATTGTTCTCTTCATGCTACAAATTAGGCTTGGATCAACAATGAAAAGCTCCAAGGCAATTTTTTTTTTTTTTGAAACGGAGTCTCACTCTGTCGCCCAGGCTGGAGTGCAGTGGCACCATCTTGGCTCACTGCAGCCTCCGCCTCCTGGGTTCAAATGGTTCTCCTGCCTCAGCCTCCCATGTAGCTGGGACTACAGGTGTATGCCACCACGCCTGGCTAATTTTTTTGTCTTTTTAGTAGAGACAGAGTTTCACCATTTTGGCCTGGATGGTCTTGAACTCCTGACCTCATAATCTGCCCACCTCGGCCTCCCAAAGTGCTGGGATTACAGGTGTGAGCCACTGCACCTGGCCTCCAAGGTTATTTTTTAAGTGACAACCCTGGTTAGAATGACTCCTAACTAAATCAAGATGAAACTATCACCCCATAGCTAAACCCGGTGATCAAGACTAAACAGCTTATAATGAACACACAGCCTGGAAATATAGCAAGATAACATTCTCCCAGGCCACAGAAATCACAGTTGCAACTAACCTCTATTTTTTTAAATCATTTTTTTAAAACGACTCTTTCACCATGTCCAATAATTCCAATAACTTACCGATCAGCAGCTTCTATGTCAAAACAAAACCTTCTGTCAATGGAGTCAGTATGCCTCTTGGTACATTCTTTCAAAAAGAACACCTCTCCGTCCCCCTGCAAATAATCATTTTGAACATTCTCAAAACCTACAGGATAAGTATATACACACTCAGCCATTCTATACTGGAGAGCAGGGGAGCAAGGTTCAAGATCTTAAGTCCTTCTCTTTACCCTATCCTCTTTCAAACTGGCTTATTTAAATGCTATTTAGAATCTAAAATATTAATATTTTTGTCATTCTCCTGATTCTTTTGAGAAGGGAGCCTCGCTCTTTCACCCAGGCTGGAGTGCAGTGGCAGGATCTTGGCTCACTGCAACCTCCATCTCCCAGGTTCAAGTGATTCTCCTGCCTCAGCCTCCAGAGTAGCTGGGATTACAGGCATGCACCACCACACCTGGATGATTTTTGTATTTTCAGTAGAAACAGGGTTTCACCATGTTGGCCAGGCTGGTGTCAATCTCCTGACCTCAGATGATCCACCCGCCTCAGCCTCCCAAAGTGCTGGGATTACAGGCGTGAGCCACCGCGCCCAGCCATTCTCTTGATTCTTAAGATTTTCTAGACCTTACTGATGATGGTAATGTTATGCCAGACAATACCAATGTTACTTTTTTTTTTTTTTGACAGTCTTGCTCTGTTGCCCAGGCTGGAGTGCAGTGGTGCAATCTCAGCTCACTGCAAACTCCGAATCCTGGGTTCAAGCAACTCTGTGACTCAGCCACCCAAATAGCTGGGATTACAGGTGTGCATCACCATGACTGGCTAATTTTTGTATTTTTAGTAGAGACAGGATTTCACCATGTTGGCCAGGCCAGTCTCAAACTCCTGACCTCAAGTGATCTGCCCACCTCGGCCTCCCAAAGTGCTGGGATTACAGGCGTGAGCCAGTGTCCCTGGCCAAATGTTAATTTTCAAAGGTAGATTAACAGTACAGTTTTAAGATACTGGAATACTGTTAGTCTCTTATTGTACTCTTTTTTTTAGTGTAAAAATTTATTTCTTACCACATGTCACAAAAAATATGTGACTATTTTTGGCCTATAAAAATTGCAATTCCATACACGTCAGCCTAAAAGTACACCGATAACCCTAGATTAAATATTTTCATAATCTAAAGCTAGAACCATTTAATCTATGCAATTTCTCTCTTCCCTATGTGAATCACCCTGAATTTATCTTTACTTAATTTGCAATGCAGAAATACAAGTGCTCAGTAAAAGAACAACTATATAAAGTGTGAGTACACACTTATTGAACATTTTAACATTTTCCAGAACGTGAAGATCTCTAAGTAACAAACATTAAGATACACAAATATTCAAAATCTCACAGTTATATTCCATAACATATTTATCATTATTATTTGGAGGCTAAAACAGAAAGATATCACTAAGCAGAAATATCTTAGGACTTGAACTGGCTCTGACAGGAAACTCAGTCTCAAACCTGATGCTTCAAGAGCCATCTCCTCACTTCCTTCTCCTCACCATGACTAATTTTCCATGTCTGTTTCATTATTATATAAATGTGTTTTTATTAAAAGCTGCTTTAAATATTTTTCAGGGAAAGGCATAGTACAAGTAAATAGAAGTGAACATAGGTTTTTCTTTTTTTATTCACCTAAGCAAAACCATACCCATTCACCCAGTAAGCAATGAATTAAGCTGCTTTCTTAAAATGTGTTATCAATTATGTTCAACATTGGTGGGAAGCTTTGTCTCTAGGCCATTAATTATTGTAATAAGCTGCAGATTCCATTTAAAATACATATAAAGATCACCTTTCCTACACAGCCAACTCTGTGAGGTCTTCTTGCTCTTTTCTTACTATCATGCTTTGCTGTTTTAGTTTCAGGGGGAACAGTTAACTAAATGGTGAATACCTATGTGAGAACTTTGTAAGATGAACAGAACAACAGTAAAATTTATCGTAGATCACTCTTCTTTGTTTTCAGGCTATGAACAGCAAGTCAGTTCCATTGTATAAATGCTGAGGAACCACTGAGTCATGAAAGCTTGCTGTCAGTGTTACCTTTATCTTCCAAACAGTGGCATAAAAAGGATTCTATTGTTCACCTAAAAAATATCTAGTGGTTAAAACCACATATTCTCACTCTTAAGTGGGAGCTGACAATGAGAACACATGGACACAGGGAGGGGAACATCACACACTGGGGTCTGTGAGGGGGCTGGGGGCTAGGGGAGGGATAGCATTAGGAGAAATATCTAATGTAGATGATGGGTTGATGGGTGCAGCAAATCACCATGACACATGCATACCTATGTAACAAACCTGCACGTTGTGCACATGTATCCCAGAACTTAAAAAAAAAAAAATCTAGTGGTTTAAAACCCATGCATGTAATTCAGAAAACATATATATTGTTCTGTCTTCTGGCCCATTTCACTCAAAAACAAAACAAAGATTTTAATACTAACAATTTATTTACCATCCATGAATATAAACCATTAAAATATAAACCATTAAAATGACACCCTCAAACACTACCTCTGACAGATTATAATCTATTCTATGTTGAATCAAATACTTACAAGTTTCCCTCCAGATCTGTGCTCAAATGGGATCATGTTGAACTTCTTTGCTGCTTTTCGATACATGCAATAGTGTTTGACCCAACTGGAACCAAACGGAGCAGGCCCTTCAACAAAAAAACAGCCCTTTATATTTTCCCTCATAAATAAGCAGATTTGCAGAGCTATAAACACATTACTAAAGAGGAAATGTCTAAAACGCAGCAACGAATACAGCTGAATCAATGAAACAAATCAGCAATACTGCTAGTTCTAAGAAGAAGAGGGGAGGCCGGGCACGGTGGCTCACGCCTGTAATCCCAGCACTTTGGGAGGTCGAGGCGGGTGGATCACAAGGTCAGGAAATCGAGACCATCCTGGCTAACACGGTGAAACTCCATCTCTACTAAAAAAAATTAGCCAGGCATAGTGGCAGGCGCCTATAGTCTTAGCTACTCGGGAGGCTGAGGCAGGAGAATGGTGTGAACCCAAGAGGCAGAGCTTGCAGTGAGCCGAGATCGCGCCACTGCGCTCCAGCCTGGGCAACAGAGCGAGACTCCGACTCAAAAAAAAAAAAAAAAAAAAGAGGAAGAAGGAAAATAAGAGATACTTTGAAACAAACCTCTAAGATTTAGCAAGACAGAAGTGATTTAAAGACATACTGTTTAAATAGTTTGCTAGAAAAATCAACAGTTATGTCCTATCTGAAAATCTCTTAATTGTAAGCTCTATTTTTTGTTTGTTTCTAGGTATTAAGAGCTCACAAGGGTTTCAAAAGTTCCATCCCATATATGAGATGGTTTGGGATTTAATTCTGGCCTCTCAAAATGATAGAATTATAGAATCATAGTGCTAAGAAGCATCTAGTCTAAAAATCCACCTAGTGCTTTAAGTCCATGAACAGCATCCTAGTAAGCAGCTGCTCTTACTGATGATTGAAAGCTAGCCTTTAAAAATGAAGTATGGGCCAGGCGCAGTGGCTCACGCCTGTAATCCTAGCACTTTGGGAGGCCAAGGCGGGTGGATCACGAAGTCAGGAGATGGAGACCATCCTGGCCAACGTTGTGAAACCCTGTCTCTACTAAAATACAAAAAATTTAGCCAGGCGTGGTGGCACGCGCCTGTAGTCCCAGCTACTCGGGAGGCTGAGGCAGGTGAATAGGCTGAACCCAGGAGGCAGAGGTTGCAGTGAGCTGAGATCGCGCCACTGCACTCCAGCCTGGGTGACAGAGGCTCTGTCTCCAAAAAAAAAAAAATTAGCTGGGCGTGGTGGTGCGTGCCTGTAATCCCAGCTACTGGGGAGGGTGCGGCAGAAGAATGGCTTGAACCCAGGAGGCGGAAGTTGCAGTGAGATGAGATCGTGCCACTGCCCTCCAGCCTGGGTGACAGAGCAACACTGTCAAAAAATAAAATAAAATAACATTGGTATTGTCTGGCTTAACATTACTGTAATCAGTAAGGTCTAAAAAAATCTTAAGAACCAAGAGAATGGCTGGGCCTCGTGGCTCATGCCTGTAATCTCAGCAAAAAAAAAAAAAAAGTATGAAGAATAAGAAATCTAAGACTCAATAGGAGTGACTGTCCAAGTATGCCCCAGAACACTCTCTGAACCCCTTTTCCACTCTTACTAAGTCAGCAGTACCACCATCAGGGCTCACAGGACAATGCTGTATGTCAGAGGGACCTCTAGCATCTGGAACTTCACATGCCAATAAAAGTCCAACCATAACAAATTAAAGGTTAGGCCCAGCAGAAGTTGACAATTTCTTACTTTACTGAGTCAAGACACTTTTAAAAAAGCAATTAACATCTGTTATCACAGTAATTTCATGTACAAACAAACAAAGTTTCTACACCTAAAAATCAAAAAAGCCCAGGAGGGGAAAAATAACTCATGTAAAAGGAATGCTTTTAGCTAGCTTTAGGAAAAGCTAATTACATTATTTGGGACAGGGGTAATAGATGAAAAGGGTTACCAGACCACTATCAATTTTATCTCAGACCATCATCAGTCCAAAGACCTGAATTTGGGAAACATTGCTTTGTGTTTTAAAGAACCAGCATTTGTACTGTGTTCTATGGTTGACAAAAAAAATATTGCACAGATATTTTATTTAACTCTAAGAAAAAAAAAACTGCCCAGAGAGGATGATACTGTCTATTTAATCCAAAAAAAATTTAAGCTTAGCCCAAATGCCTGGAAAATGACAAAGCCAAACCTTAAATCAGAATCTCTGGCCCCAAATATCAAGGTCTTTCCACTACTTAAGCCACCATTCCCTTCTGACAACCAACAGGGCCTATTCAACCAGCTCTGGGCATACACACTAATGATGCTCTTTCACGCCTGTTCAAGCGCCAAGCAATTTACGGGAGACATTACCAACACAGACTCCAGGTTCAGAATGACAACTCCAGCATTTAGTAGTTGTATGACCTAGGGAACATTATTTACCTCTCAGTGCCTCCATTTTCATTTATAAATGGGCAACAGTAATAGTACCTTATACTTCATAGGGCTGTTTTATGGATAAATGAGACAAGTTGTATACGAATTTAGCACAGTGCTGGGTATACAGTAAATGAGGAAAGAATTTTACCACTACTGTTATGTTGTTTCAGTCCAATTTCTCTCAAAGGCAACAGTGATGAATCTAAAAATTAAAGTTTCCTGTGATTTTCACTTGGGCATATAATACAAATAATTCTAACATTCTCAAGACTATCGAGGTGGTTTTTTGTTTTGTTTTGTTTTTTTCCTTTTTTTGAGACAGAGTCTTGCTTTGTCACCCAGGCTGGAGTGCAGTGGCGCGATCTTGGCTCACTGCAAGCTCCGCCTCCCAGGTTCACGCCATTCTCCTGCCTCAGCCTCCCGAGTAGCTGGGACTACAGGTGCCCGCCACTACGCCCTGCTGATTTTTTGTATTTTTTAGTAGAGACAGGGTTTCACTGTATTAGCCAGGATGGTCTCGATCTCCTGACCTCGTGATCTGCCCACCTCGGCCTCCCAGAGTGCTGGGATTACAAGTGTGAGCCACCGCGCCCAGCCCTATCTTGAGTTTTAATTTATTTCTTTCAAATTCAATTTTAAAAACTGAGATTAAGAAGATAATGTATGAGAAAAATGGAGACTTCTGCCATATCATACAACTGCTCACAAAAGGTGAAGGCTGCGAGATTCCAGATTAAATAAGGGCAAATGGAAAAGGCACAACCATCCTGCTGCCTGCATAGAACATTAACTTCTATTCAAAGCACAGATACCCTGTAACCGTTCCCTGAGTCATGTCTACCACTAAATTTTTAGGTCGGATTGAAAGTCCTGTAAATCAGCCACACTTAAATGAAGTGAAAACTGTAAAACACCCTAATCACAGTTAAGGGTGGAGAGGGAGGGAAATAGTAAAGAGACCCATTTCACATTCTCATCCCTTCTGCTAACTAGCAATTGGGTTGTACAGTTGACGTAGTAAACGTTAAGAACTTAGCTGTTAAAATAAGACCAAATGTTCAAAGTCTGAAAGAAATACAGGTCTTTTAATTTTCAAAATGAGAACAATCTATGCACTGCATATTTGCTAAGACAGCAACAAAGACTAAAAAGCCTACAAGTTAGGATGCCACGTAGGAATATCTTTTATCACCATCTGCAATCTTCCTGATGATTTTAGTAAGAACCAGCTATCTCAGACTGGTGGGAACAAAAATGGTATGAAGGAAGAAGAAAAATACTAATATGTCCCTCTTGACCTTAAGATGACAGAGAGGCAGGGTTATGGGAGGGAGAGGACGTATACGTGTGTATGAATGAATGTGTGTGCCTGTGTGCATTGGTGATGAGGGTAGAGGTGAGGGGGAAGGAGAAAAAACATCATACCCTCGTAACTCTGGCTCATTTTCAGCCTTACACCAAATTCTGACTCTCTTACAAGCATGTTCCTGGGGTGCACACAGTGTAAAACAGAAGCTAGTGGGGTGTCTGAAGAACAGGGTGCTCACAGCCACTCCTAACCTCACAGTACCCCCTCTCTCCAGGGCTGGAATGTGTTTCTCCTAAACATGAAATATACACCCATTAGGTGATAGGAGCAGGGAGAGAAAGAGGTAGGAATAATTGCCCAAAATGTCACAGTAATGGCAAGAATAGCAGAGTTTTCAATAATTTGCATTTTTAAGCAGCCACGCAGCCACTGCTGGAGGGCCTCTTACTTTTTTCCTGGACATACAGGTAGCCTTCGGCTGTAAACTGACTTGCTCGTTTGTGGTCCTTGGGATTCTGTCTGATTTTGTTCATGAGCTCTTCCACTTCTGACCTTGTTCCTTCAAATCGATTCCGTGTCTGAAATGGATTAAAAAACACACATAAATGTTAAGTTCTCATATGAGTTTTCTCATGAACATTTTAAAGTCTCTGCATAAATGTAATTACATTTTTTAACTCTAAATAACTTTTTTATAAATTTCTCAAAATACCCCCATTCTTTCCAGTGTGCCTCCTGAGATTCATGTGCAAAGAAAAAAAAATAGCAGTAAAATAGCTACCAGAGGAGTATAAGCCAAGGTTACTACAGGTTACTTTGGAGGCTTTCTAACACCATTAATAATTTTACTATTCAACATAAAAATTCCTGCCTTCAGGTCTCACACTATTACTAAATTTTAGGTTTAAAACATAAGTTAGGTTTTAATATAGCTACCTGAGAAGAATTTCCTTTGCAACAACCAATCTGACTCAATCAATCTGTTTTGTTACTGTTACATTAGCAGTCTGTAAATACTCAGAATCTGAAAAAGTTTAATTCTTCTTTGCAAACTAATAAATACAAGTGTCAGTTTTTCCAGGTCATGGCAATTGCACTTGAAAATGACATTTCTTCCCTGAAGACAGAAGGGGGAAAAAAAATCTCACCTACACAAATAATGTCTTTGATATCTGAAGAGACAAATCACATTTCTGAAACCCAGGACACTTGGTGTGCCAATATCTGTCAAACGGCTACACCGAAAACATATATACAAGGTGAAGTGACAGAATTAGCAAGGCAATTGTGACGAGTCAGCACCACCGTGTTCCTGGACACTTCTTTCATCCAGGCTCAAAAATAATTGTATTAATACCAAAAAACTGCTGATGTGAAACTGTGGAGGAACTGAGACAGAAAATTATTATTGAAATTTCTCCTCTTTCCTCCCTACAATAAAAGGGGCTGCCAAGGGTCCTAAGCGTGGCAAAATGTTAGAATGGCACATCTTTTTTGTAAAGGGATGGAGAGTCTGATAAATGTAGATTGTAAAAGGGAAAACCTGTCTGCAGAGGTTTGTTGTTTTTTTTTAAACACAAACTAAGAGCTGCGAGAAATATCAGCTTATGTCCTGTAAGAAAGTGTAAGCCCGCAAAGAAAGTAGAACTCAGTTGTTGACGGCTAGGTTCCCTCTCGCCTTCCATTTCTCCAGGTTTTCTTATCCCCCCTTTTTTTTTTTTTTAAAGACAGGGTCTCACTCTGTCTCCCAGGCTGGAGTACAGTGGCATGATAATACCTCATCACAGCCTCAACCTCCTGAACTCAAGTCATCCTCTCACCTCAGCCTCCAGAGGAACTGGGACTACAGGCGCACACCACTACACCAGGCCAAGAGTGTGTGTGTGTGTGTGTGTGTGTGTGTGTGTGTGTGTGTGTTTTGTTTTTTGTTTTTTTGTAGAGACAGGGGTCTCATTATGGGGCCCAGGCTGGTCTCGAACTCCTGGGCTCAAGCAATCTACCCGCTTCAGCCTCCCACACTGTTGGGATTATAAGCATGAGCCACCATCCCCCACCCTTATCCCCATCTTTGTAATAATTTCACCCTGACTTTATTCCCCTCCTTGGTCATTTTGCTGAGATTCCTTCCAACCCTCATCAACCCTCATTTCCCCCCATGTGTGTATAATATATATACACATATGCATATATGTGCATGCCATACATGTATGGATGCTATCACAGGTGTGAACATGTACACACACTTCTATTTAAGCCAATAATGCTATTATTTATGTTCATGCTCAAATTGCCCTAGATTTGAGCAGCAGGAGGTCCCTTCGAACTGGCTTCTGTCTTTTGACTGGTCCCCTTGATTCTTCAACCAGTTCCTTACCTTCTGGTCCAATAAGGTACCCTAGGCTCATCTTATACTTTCCCTGCGCCAGTCCTGGAAAGGAGCTCTTGTTCTTTTTAGTGGAGGGTATTTAATATTTGGAAACCAAGATCTGGGCACAGTGTGCTCACAGCTAAGGACTTCTCAGCAGACAGCCTTAGGAAATAGATGTACATACAGTTCAGCCTTAACACAGGCTTGAACTTTGTGGATCTACTTACACATGGATTTTCCTCCCCATCTACAACTCCTGCGACAAGATCTGGGCACAGTGTGCTCACTTCTAAGTCTTCTCAGCAGACAGCCTTAGGAAGCAGATGTACATACAGCTGAGCCTTAACACAGGCTTGAACTTTGTGGATCTACTTATACATGGATTTTCCTCCCCATCTACAACTCCTGTGACAGCAACTCTTCCTCCTCAGCCTACTCATTATGAAGACACACATGAAGGCCTTTATGATGATCCACTTCCACTTAAAGTATATTTTCTCTTCCTGATGATTTTTGTAATAACATTTTCTTTTCTCTAGCTTACTTCATTGTAAGAACACAGTATATCATACATAGAACACACAAAATGTGTGGTAATCAGCTATTTCTGTTATGGGTGAGGCTTCTGATCAACAGTAGGCGATTAGTAGTCAAATTTGGGGGAAGTCAAAAGTTACACGCAGACATCCAATAGCGCAGGGGTGCTAACCCCAACATAGTTCAAGGGTCAACTGTATACACAGAGCACACGTGTTTATATAAACACACAATCACTACTTCTTTATCTACCTATATATTTGAAAACCCATGACTTCCTACCAAGAAATCTAATTCTACTCCAGTTCTTCAGGTTTCTTTCCAGCCTCTCTCCTTCCAAATTTGTGAATTTTTTCCCAGACAGTAAGAAGCCTGGTTCTCATTCTCAACATGTCTGCTTACGTGCTCACTTAACATCTCTGCTCAGCATAAGCAATCTCCCAAATGCCCCAGCAGCCACCTCTGTCTCATCACCACTCCACCATCCCTGCCGCAGACGCCTCCATGAGGTCCCCCTCTCCCTCACCACCCAACTTCCTCAGAGGTTTATTTTCTGCACTGGGAATGGAAGGCTTTTTTTTTTTTTTTTTTTTTGACCGAGTCTCACTCTGTTGGTCAGGCTGGAGTAAAGTGACACAATCCCAGTTCACTGCAGCCTCGACCTCCCAGGCTCAAATGATCCTCCCACCTCAGCCTCCCGAGTACAGGGACTACTCACATGTGCCACCACCTCCAGCTAATTTTTCTCTATTTTTTGTGGAGACAGGGTCTCACTACATTGCCCAGGCTGGTCCTGAACTCTGGGGCTCAAGTGATCCTCCCGCCTCAATGTCCCAAAGTGCTGGGATTATAGGCGTGAGCCACCATCCCCAGCCACTATTTTTTAAATGTACCATTTTTAGGTAAATTATGAATTGAAAACTTTGCATAAAATCAATAGAATGGCTAAAACCTTGCAATTTCCAATTATAAGTTCCAAGTACATATGAAGGCATCTTCTAATTACAATAATGTTAGACCCCAAACGTTACAATAGGTAACATTTGAGCATTTACATGGTTCTTTAATCCTCACAATAATCTATACGGTAGGACACTGTCTAATGCTATCTTTCCAATAAAAGATCACTGCTGCCTTGTTTTCTTTACATCCTTTAGTAATTAAACATTTCCAAATAAACTAGCTTTAAATTAAGCCTTATTATTTTAGTATTTTAAATCTGATTGAAAGAGAAAACATCTTTAAAAAACTTTTTTCTGATTATAGAAACTAAACCATATCATTGTAAAATAGAGAGACGGACACGAATAGTCCTACTTGGGGGGCAAAAACAAAAGGGATAAGTAAGACTAAAGCTAACCACAAGCCCACCCCTCAAGTAACTGCTGTTATATTTTGATGTGGCCATTTCTAATCTCTTTTAAAAACACACACACGGCCGGACGTGGTGGCTCACACCTATAATCCCAGCACTTTGGGAGGCCGAGGTGGGCGGATCACGAGATCAGGAGATCGAGACCATCCTGGCTAACACGGTGAAACCCCGTCTCTACTAAAAATACAAAAATTAGCCGGGCACGGTGGCGGGCACCTGTAGTCCCAGCTACTCGGGAGGCTGAGGCAGGAGAATGGCGTGAACCCAGGAGGCGGAGCTTACAGTGAGCCGAGACTGGGCCACAGCACTCCAGCCTGGGCAACAGAGCAAGACTCCATCTCAAACACACACACACACACACACACACACACACACACACACACACACACAGTCTGTAGTTTTGGTATTCTACTTTCCTTAGAACATTGCGACAAAAATATTTTGCCCATATTCTTAAATACTTCCTACCCATTCTTGTTATCTTCTAGGGACTCTTTACAAATCCTAAAATTTTGCACACTGTATTTCCTTCCAGGAAGAATTCTATTCTAGTCTCTTCTTCCCCACATTCTTCGGGAGACAGAAATCACAAAAGTGCAAAATTAGTTTCTTAAAATATTCTTTAAATTTGAGGCAATTTCCAAATTTCTTCTGGAAAACCCATTTCCTAAAAGCCATCTTGCTGCTTTCTTGATTTCCATTTATTACTCTAGATTATAGAAAATGAAGACTCAATTTCTCAAAAAAAAAAAAAAAGTCTAGCCACTTTTACAATACAATAGGTATTATCAGATGGGGAAAAATAGGTTTTCGCTTTTAAATACCTTTTACCTTTTTCTGATTATAAAGTTTTGCTTTTTTACTAAAATTAAATACTTAAAAGATGACCAAAATATTTATGATGTTATAATGCAGAGGCAGTTAACATTTGATTATGTTTCCTAAAATACATATATGCGGCCGGGCGCGGTGGCTCACGCCTGTAATCCCAACACTTTGGGAGGCCAAGGCAGGCAGATCACGAGGTCAGGAGATCAAGACCATCCTGACTAACACGGTGAATCGCCGTCTCTATCAAAAAATACAAAAAAATTAGCCGGGCATGGTGGCAGGTGGGACTACAGGCAGAAGGATGGCATGAACTAGGACTACAGGCAGGAGGATGGCATGAACCCGGGAGGCGGAGCTTGCAGTGAGCCGAGATTGATTGGGCCGCTGCACTCCAGCCTGGGTGACAGGGCGAGACTCCCTCTCAAACAAACAAATAAATGAAACACACACACACACACACACACACACACACACACACACACACACACAAACTGGGACTTTTTTCAACAATATGTTGTTTTATATACCCAGCATTTTCTCTTTATTATAATAAAAAACTGACATCAAGGAATGAGATGAATGGCCAAGAAATGAGCAAATTACAACATCACTGAGGTATAGCAGATGATACAGAATGAGTGACCTGCTTTTCATAAGTGCTTGTGTTTCTGATAAAAAATTAGCTAAAAGCTAAAATTTTGAAGAACAAAGACGCCACCTAGATCAGGTGTTCTCAATACTGAAGGTGACGCAGAGAGAAACTCTGAGTTGTAAGAGTGTTTATTAAGAAACAGCCAAATAAAATCAAGAGAGGAATATTTAGAGAAAAAGTTGAGAATGTAGGGAGATTTACTGATGACCACATCCTTAAGTGACAGAGAATACAAAAAAGGCTTTTTTTTTTTCAATAAACTGTCATTTCCCCATTTCTCTACAGAAAATGATCACTGTTGTCAATTGTGTAAGTTCTCAATATATTAAGGATTCCAATCAGGTCATTTTGTGAAACATTTCAAATGATAGCTTAGCTTCAAGGTTTGCTCATAAGATTTCCAGACAGAATATTGCTCATTCCCATCTAAATATTTAATGCCTCTGAAAGTTTTTTGGTTTATATAAGGTAAACAGACGCCCCCCCAACAGGTGTGTTATAAACACACTTCCACAAATAAACGAGCCGTGCAAGGAGTTTCACTCAACATCCCAAGAGACTGATGTTTCCCCACAGCTCACCCCAGAGTCTGAGGCAGAGAGCTGGCTTCAGGGCATTCACCTATGCAGTCCACAGGGCCCTGCGCTCAGAAGAGCTTCTGCTTGCTTTAATGATCAAATGCCTCTGATCTGAAACTCTTAATTATCTCTAAATAAGGGGCACTATCTTCTTCATTTTACCTTGATTCTAGAAGTTGTATATACAGTCCTGCCTGAAGGTTCTCATTCTGGCCAGCCCTGCACTTAACAGATGAGGTCCAGACAGACAAGGTGAATTTCCACAGATTATATAGCCAGTAAGCAGAGGGGAAAACATAAGTTATAATCTCAAGCAGGGGTCCCCAACCCCCAGGCTGCCGACAGGTACCGGTCCATGGCCTGTTAGGAACCGGGTCACATGGCAGGAGGTGAGCGGCAGGTGAGCCTGAGTCCACCTTCTGTCAGATCCGCGGTGGCATCAGATTCTCATAGGAGCATGAACCGTATTGTGAACTGCGCACGTGGATCTAGATTGTGCAGTCCTTATGAGAATCTAATGCCTGATGACCTGAGGTGGAAAAGTTTCATCACGAAACCATCCCCTACCTTCTCCCACCCCCACTGCATCTATAGAATTGTCTTCCTTAAAACCAGTCCCCGGTGCCAAAAAGGTTGGGGACCACTTACGTGAACTATCTACTGTTCTTTTTACATAACTGTTTTCTGCTGCCTGCAAAAATATTCTGAATAATCTCAACATCAGCCAGGCATGGTGGCTCACCCCCGTAATGCCAGGATCTTGGGAGGCTGAGGAAGGAGGATCACTTGAACCCTGAAGTTTGAGCAGCCTGGGCAACACAATGAGATGCCATCTCTACCAAAAAGAAAAAAAATTAGCTGGGTGTGCTGGCATGCACCTGCAGTCCCAGCTACTCAGGAGGCTGAGGCAGGAGGAGTACTTGAGCCTAGGAGGTTGAGGCTGCAGTGAGCAGTGGTTGTGCCACTGCACTTCAGCCTCAGCGACAGAGTGACACCCTGTCTCAAAAAAAAAAACAAAAAAAACTCAACAACATTAGACTCAATATTCTACTACCTGCAGGGACAATTTTGGGGTGACTAGAATGAATCCACACATACCCATTTTGGATTTTTAAGTTTTGTCACATTATAGTCATACCACATATTTTATAACTGTTTTCACAAATTGTGAGACCACAGCAGCAGAAAAAGAATCTACTCCAGAACTCTATCATTAGCCCAGCTGAATGTCCAAACAATCCTCAAATACAAGTTGACACATAAATTATAAAAATAAGGTTTTATCAGCTACACTCCTTAGTATAAGGAACTGTACATAAAAAAAAAAAAAAGTTAGAAACAAAATCTACACAAAAGGTATTCACTCTCAACTTTTTTTTTTTTTTTTTTTTTTTGAGACAGAGTCTCACTCTGTCGCCCAGGCTGGAGTGCAGTGGCACGGTCTCGGATCACTGCAACCTCCACCTCCCGGATTCAAGCAATTCTCCTGCCTCAGCCTCCCGAGTAACTGGGATTACAGGCGCACTCCACCACACCCAGCTAATGTTTGTATTTTTAGTGGAGACAGGGTTTCACCATGTTGGCCAGCATGGTCTCAATCTCTTGACCTCGCGATCTGCCCGCCTAGGCCTCCCAAAGTGCTGGGATTACAGGCATGAACCACTGTGCCCGGCCCACTCTCAACTTCTAATTGTGAAAGAAATGAAGAGCAGGCAACAACCACAGCTTCCCATCCATCTACCTGTGTGTCTTTCACTATGTGCTGTGAGTCTGTCACAAAGCTATCTCACTACATTCCTAATGAGACCTCAAATTACACTCAACATACCCTGACCAGCTTGTCAGTGAGGACGCTTCCAGGATCAACTAGCACTGAGAGGAAAAACATATACCACCTGATCAAAATGACATATAGTGTACTGCTTAATAACATTCTCCTAAATCTCTTTATCCGAGACCTGGCAGAAAGCACACATTTTCCAAAGGAAAATATTCAAGACCAATAGCAACTGTAAACACCAATGCATTAGTAAATATGCATAAAATGTAGGGAAGAAATTCTACTCAAATGATAAGCCTATCTGGGAACAAAAATCAAGATGCCCAGTTAAGTAGTGCATTATAAATTCAATGCCTTAAAGTGGAGTGCTCTTTTGTCTGTAGCAGACATAGCTGATTTAGAGTTAACATAACAAAGCTTATCCTTAGAATTGACCCAGAAACTGCAGGAAAAGCCGCCAGGTGGCAGAATTTCCCAAGCCTCAACCAACTGTAGAGCAGTTGGTCACACCAAGAGTTGACCAGCAGGTGGCAGCATACCCTCAGTTTCTCAGTACAAACAGATCAGCATTGTCTTCATTTAATTAAGGCTTTTCATACAACACACAAATGAAAAATACTTTTCAAACATCTTTTTATAAAGAAAGCTTTCACTTCCTTACATTCTGAATGTTGATCTGTAGTTCCATTTTGTAGTGATTGAAGTCTTTGGCAAGTTCATGGCCCTGATGATAGAAGGTAAACATCCCCTGAAAAAATGACAGCATCTAAGACACAGGAAGAAAAGAGATATTAGCACAAAAAAACTCAGGAGAAAAAAAGAATCATATAAACAACCAAGTGTTCCCCCCGCCATCTCACTGTTATTCCACTGAAATAAACTGATTAAAGGGAAGTCACTAATATTCAAGTAAACACAAGTACATATTATCTATTAATTGGTCTTTATAGAAAATGATGCTTTTTTCCCTTAAATATCACAGCCATTAGACAGCTTATATGGCATGTTCTGCAGGAAAAATTGAATTATTAAGTCATCCATTTGTCCTCTTTAGTCAGGAGAATCCCAATATTTGTAATTGAAATCTTATCACTATAGGTTGACACAATCTTTAAGAAAGTAAAATCACAGAATCAAAGAGCTCCAGGCTCTCCCCAGCCACATCCAGCAGACTGCAACCCCTGTGTTTTGTTGACAAAGATATTCCATGACTTGCCAGGGGCAGCCTCAAACCCGTAATTAAACCTTTACTTTCCTACCAACTCCCAACCTGTCTCTGAATTAGAGGGCTGTTGCCTCTGCTCCACATGTAAGTCAATAAATCTAGAAGTAAAAAGAAGTGATCTGGGGAGACAGTTAAGGAAATCTTGAGATTCATTTTCTTCCAAATGCCACACCGTGGGTGGTTAGGAATCTGGGGCTCTGACACCCAGCAGGCTCCATTCCCAACGTCAGCCATGACCTGTTATGGGACCTTAGGCAAATTACTCAGCCTTTCTCTACTTCTATTTCCTTATCTCCTCATTGAGTTATAGTGTGGAATAATGAGTTCGGTACAACACTTAGAACAATGGCTTGAACAGAGACTGAGCATTATAAATGCCCAATAAAAGCAGGCCATTATTATTATTTCACATTAAAAAGAAAGCTTTGAGGAGGTTGAGTTTTTCTCTAATGGTTTAGGTTAATGACTATCGCTCCAACTAAACCATAGCTCCACAAATGCTCATTTTTAATCATTACTTGGTTATTCTTGTTTCTATAAACCATACTCACAATGAGTAAATTGTATACTGTGTGAATATTATCTTAATAAAGCTGTTTAAGAAAAAGAAACCATTCAATAAGTCGATATTAAAATTAAAATGAATCCTGAGAATGAGATCCAGTGTTTTTTTGCTGAAATCCACATGAAATATCCTTTACATTATGATATATACATTCATGTGCATACATCTTCATATATAAACAACTGAAGCTACTAGAAAACATCTATATAATCACAAACAAAAATCATGTGTTTCTAATATAAGTAAAAAGAAATGTTAGAGTAACTCACAAAATTGTCTCAAATGTTCCATATCCTGCTTCTAAACTTAGATTGCCATAAGCATTGTGAATTGTGTTTGAAGTCATGTTACAAACGATTGTTTAAAGTACCAAAGTTTGAACCGGTATAAACAACCCATGTTCACTCATTCTAGTATAAATTATTTCAGAGAAATTTTTAAAAGATAGAGCTATAGGCTAAGGTGGCAGAAATTGCACATGGTTGCCTTCCTTGAGATCATGTAGCAATGGGAATATTACGTGTATTATCAGTGCAAATACAGCTGAGAACCACTGATTTAGAGGCAATTCCTTGACTTCATGGCTATCTGTGTCTGCCCTTTTTAATATGTCTCTTTCATGTTTATGCACTATGGCCTCTAGTAACTATAAACCATAAATCAGATCTAGGAAAATAAATACTTATCTTACATTGCAAAAATCCACCAGCAAACAACTTGGCAATACTCACAGGTTCCACAAACTCAAACTTCTTTCTTTCTTGGATTTCCTGCAGCTTACACACATACTCGAGAGACAGTTCATAGAAGTGTTGCCGGTTCTGCTCTACTTGGATATCTGCCTATGTTAAAATCACAGAGGTTAGTCAAACTGGAGATGGTGAAAAGTGAAACGCTACATCAGAGGTCATCACACTGTGGTCCATGGGCCAAAATACGGTGTGCTGCCTGATTTTGTAAATAAAGTATTGCAACACAGGTACGACAATTCATTTATGTATTGTCTGCAGCTACTTTCCTGCTGCAACAGCAGAATTGAGCAGGTGCAACAGGAACTTTATGGTCCACAGAAGTCTAAAATATTTACTATCAGTTTCTTTGCAGAAAAAGCTTGTGACTCCTACTCTGTTTGTTGAAGTTGACCCCCAAGAACTGAAGATCAAAGGGACTTCTCTTCTTGAAAAACTCACCCCAACCACAACTGATGCCCCAAGGCTGAACCACATGCAATCACAATCAACAAACATTTCGATGAACAAATCCTCTAGGAATAAAGTCTGCCTGAGAAAGGGCCCAGCACCTCAGCGCTCAGGGAGTGATGGCGGCAAGTGAGAAGGAGCCAGCCATGGCAGCATCTCAAGAACCCGGCTCTCAAAGGCGGGCCAGGGCTGGACGCCCATCTGCGGCCCTCAGAACGTCTGATCCCCTGGGAGAGAAGGGGGCACCAGCTGGTCAGGACGCTATTCCAAAAAAAGCTTCCAGCTTAGCTTGCCTAACTAGAAAGGAACTGGGAGAAGAGCAGGACTCCACAGAGAATAGTGGAGAGAGAACTCATGTCCAAGAAACCATTCTTACTAGGTATCATGTGATATTTTTCCTAACTTAGCTAATTTTACTCTTAAAAATATTTATCTGGGCATTTCTCCAGAGAGGATATACAAAAGGCCAATAAGCATGTGAAAAGACACTCAACATCGCTCATCATTAGGATGCAAATCAAACTCACAAGGAGATGCCACCTCACACTCACTAGGGTGGCTACTGTACAAAAAAGAAAAGTAGTGGTGTTGGTGAGGATGTCAAGAAACTGAAACCCTTGTGCATCATTAGTGGGAATGCAAGATGGTACAAGCACTGTGAAAAATAGTGCTTTAAGTAAAATAATATTGAAACATAACGTGTTACTAAGCTAACATGAACATTTCTACCTAACACTCCTCAAAATCATATTTTTGTGGCTTCATTAACCAGAATTCAATAGTTCAGCCACCAGCAGTTAACAGGCACAACTCCCAGCAAAAAATTAAAATAAATTTTTCCCTCAAATGAAAAATAGTATTACCACATGACCCAGCAATTCTACAGCTGGGCATATACCCAAAAGAACTGAAAGCAGAGACTCGAACAGATATGTGTACACCCCTGTTCATAGCAGCAGGGGGCAAAGTGACCCCAATGCCCATGGATGGATGGATGAGTAAATAAAATGTAGCCAATCCATATGTATAACAGAATATTATTCAGCCTTAGACAGGAAGGAAATTCTGATACATACTACAACATGGATAAACCTTGAGGACATCAGGCTAAGTGAAATAAACTAGTCACAAAGGGACAGATACTATATGATCCCACTCACATGAGACACCTAGAGTAGTTAAATTCATAGAAACTGAAAGCAGAACGACGGCTGCCAGGAGCTGGAGCAGGGGAGAATGGAGAGTTATTGTTAATAGGTACAGAGCTGCAGTCTGGGAAGATTTTTTAAAAAGCCCTGGAGATGCATGGTGGTGACAGTTGCAAAACAATGTGAATGTACTTAATACCACTGGGCCATAGACTTTAAAATAAAATCATACATTTTATTGAAATTTTATTCACGTTTTATAACCAAAAATGTGTTGTTTTTGAAAAGCATTTAACACATTTGAAACACATTTCAAAATGTAATAAAAACCATTTCAGCAAATACTTTAATATATATTACTAAGCTAAAATGAGAATTTCTACCTAACACTCATCTGAATCATATTTTTGTGCCTCCAATAACCAGAGTTTGATAGTTCAGCCATCAGCAGTTAGTTGGCACATCTCCCAGCAAAAACACTGTAATTTTGTTGACTATTTAATAAAGACATAAGAAGGGTGATTTCCTCATTTGTTATTACTGCAAAGGCTCTTGAAGAAATTTATACCAGCATCAGATTTATCAATTTGATTTTATCTTTTAGTAAATTCTCTCTCCTGGTTGTTCTTGCTACTGTAATTACCCTTGCATTACCAGTCAACCTCTATCACCACCCCCTTAATGTTCTGAAAATCCAGAACTGTTGTGCCACATGCTCTGTGATTAAATCACCAGAATCCCTGGGATTACTGGCAATGATGGCAGCAGCGGCCAGTCTGGAGCAGCCGCTGTGAGGACACCAGCTGCAGAGGGCAAAGTGCAGCCAGGGCTGCGCACTCCATGGTGCCCGCGGGGGCCAGAAACAGGCAGGAGCCCCAACTTCTACAGAGTTATCAGGGCAGGAGCCCCATGCTCCCAGACACAGCTGCAGCCGTGCAGCCACAGCTCTGGACCAGGGCATCCCTGTGCTCTTGGGGGCCGGCGAAGGCCCACTGCCCCACCAGCAGGCTCAAGAAGTGCCTGCTCCTGCTCCCTGGCCTCTCCCGGCTCCCGGCGCCTGATGCAGTGTGGAGCAAAGTTGTAGCCAAGCCCAGGTACTGTTGCCACCCAGCCGGGTATGCATGCACACAGGGTGGTTCTGACATGCCAGCGCCCCTGGTAACCCCAACCTCCAGCTCGGCCCCCTCTGGACTTTGGATGCCAACAAGCACAGGAGGGAGGCCAGGGGGCTGAGAGCAGCTTAACAGGGGCCTGCAGGCACCTCTTGGCACAAATACCTTGGGCGCCATGGATGACATGTTGACAGCTGCGGGAGACAGGTTCCTAGGTGGGAAGGGACAGACAGGTCCCTGGTGAAACCCCAGCTTCAAGCCAGGGATGGCCTGAAGCCTGGGAGCCGCTGGGCTGCCAGTTCTAGGTGGAGTCTGCAGCCTGGGATGAAAACTTACGGTGCTTTTTCCAGGCCCACTCATGGCTGCGCATGGGCCAATCAGCACACTTCCTCCCTTCTGAGCCCAGAAAAACTCTGGACTCAGCCAGACTCAGAAAGACATGGGGACTACCAGCTGTTGGAAGGAGCAACCCTCTGGGGGTCTCCTCCACTAGTCAGGATGACCTGCCTGTGGAAAGGAGCTATGCACTACAGGTCTCCTCTCCAGTGAGAGCTGGACACTCATTACGTCGACCTGCCTGCAGAAAAAGGCTACTCACTTCAGGTCTCCTGAGAACTGTTCTGTTGCTCAATGAAGTTCCCCTGTACCTTGCTCACCCTCCAGTTGTCTCCATACCTCATTCCTCTTGGATGTGGGACAAGAACTTGGGACCCAAGGAATGGCCAGACTGAAAGAGCTGTAACACAAACAGGGGTGATCCTCCCCCTCCCCTGCTCACTACATTGTGGGCGACGAGAAGGAGAGAAGAGCTGCGGCCCTTCGGGGAGCCCAGACCTAGGGGCTCCCTAAGCCAGGGCTGTGACATCCTCTTTGGGGCTCTGCGGTTCCTGGTGTCTCCAAGTTTCCGGGTGCCACCGTGTTCCCAGTGCCCACAATGGAAGCGACCTGCAGTATGCCTGGTCCAGCCACAGCCTTGCACGGAGCCAGTGCCTGTGCCTGGAGCTGCCTGCCCCACCACAGTCGGCATGCCCGGCTGTGCACAGTGGCCGGATGACCCTGAACTCACTCACGAACTCCTCGCCACTCCGTGCCTGGCTCGCCCTTGGCAGGCATGAGATCCAGGCCAGTAGCACAAGCCGAGTGCAGCCTGCCAGGAAGAGCAGGCAGAACAAGCCCAGCGGGCCAGAGCAAAACTTGGGCAAAGGCATCACCAGACACAGAGATTTCTGGCTGGAAAAGAGACATCCTAAAAATTCCGTGACAACAGCCCTCACTTACAAGAATGCCATGGACGTCCAAGTTGTAACTAGGGTCACAAAATGATTTCCTTCAGCCTGACCAAATCTAAAAGGCAATCACTATACGTTTTACTACTCCAAGCAAATCACTAGTTTTTAACAAATACACAATTTCAATTTGATTATCAACTAATTTCTAGCCATTCCTGCTGTAAATATATGTAAGAAAGTAGACAAGTCTCACATAAAGTTATTTAGGAAATCTGCTTCTCAAGTAGATTATTATTATACTGAAATATCATTTGGCTACTTGGGAAGAAAAAATAGACTTCAAAAATAAACAGAAATGGAATTTTCTCAAATATCCAATACTTGTTACAGTACAACTATTAAGTAGAATGTAGGGGTGTGGATGGAGGTAGAAGCTATTATGCCCAATAAACATAGAGGTATAGCAGCAAGGCCTCAGAGAACTGCCAAAATAGCCAGCATGGTATATGCCACAATTTTCTCCTGGTTTTTTTTGTTTTGTTTTGTTTTGTTTTGTTTTGTTTTTGAGACGGAGCTGTCGCCCAGGCTGGAGTGCAGTGGCCCCATCTCGGCTCACTGCAAGCTCCACCTCCTGGGTTCACGCCATTCTCCTGCCTCAGCCTCCTGAGTAGCTGGGACTGCAGGCACCTGCCACCACACCCAGCTAATTTTTTGTATTTTTAGTAGAGACGGGGTTTCACCGTGTTAGCCAGGATGGTCTGGATCTCCTGATCTCGTGATCCACCCGCCTCGGCCTCCCACAGTGCTGGGATTACAGGCGTGAGCCACCACGCCCGGCCTTCTCCTGTTATTTTCAATTGAAGCAAGAGGAGAGAATGAATTATGTACGTTTCTAAGCCTTTGTTCAGTATCATTCTCTGCAACTCTTATGAATCTCTTGAGCATCTCAATTCACTGAAAATTAGCATTACATTAACCACTGCCAAAAGTAATGAATATCCAAACCTAACATTTTCCCCTTTAAAAAGCATCCCCCCTATTAAGGGCTTCACACTTAAAATAGAAGGCTGCTTCAGTGAGAGCATGTAAGTTTGTAAAAAGCAAACAGAGCAAGATTAAAAAGTGTATGTAATTTAAATGAAACAAATTATTCATCGTTAGGATCTCTTCATGTTTCTAGAGGTTAATTATCCTTGGGACTGATAAATTGCTGGAGCCCCAGCTCACTGTACAAGCATCTCCACACTAGTTCATTCAATAAATATACATTAAGTACCTACTCCTTAACAGGTACTGTTCTAGGAACTGAAGATAGAACACTGAATAAGACAATGTTGTTGCCTTCAAGAAGCTTACATTCTAGTGGAAGAAGCCACGTAACAAATGCACAGTTTGTCAAACAGTTTTAAGACTATGAAAAAAAATAGGCTGGGCCCTGTGGCTCGTGCCTGTAATCCCAGCACTTTGGGAGGCCAAGGTGGGTGGATCGCCTGAGGTCAGGAGTTCAAGAACAGCCTGGCCAACATCATGAAACCTTGTCTCTACTAAAAATACAAAAAATTAGCTGGGCGTGGTAGTGGGCGCCTGTAATCCCAGCTACACAGGAGACAGAGGCAGGAAAATCGCTTGAATCCGGCAGGTGGAGGTTGCAGTGAGCCAAGATCTAACCATTGCACTCCAGCCTGGACAACAAGAGCAAAACTCCATCTCAAAAAAAAAAAAAAAAGGAATATGAAAAAAATATAAAGCAGAGTAAAGGGGACATTCTAAATAAGAAGGTCAGGAAAAACTTTTAATAAACTGACCTCTGAGTGGAGAGTATTTGGAAGAGTAATTGAAGGTTTGAGACACATGGATCCCTGTTGAAAACATACCAGGCAGAAGGAAAACAAATACAACGGCCCTGAGTATATGCTATGCTGACCCCAGCTGGGTTGGGTGCAGAACATATAGGATCTTGTGGCCCTGGGGCCTCTGGAGAAGCCATTAGGAGGGTTTGGAGAAGAGCGAGTCATGAGAAGTGGACACACTCTGATTATATTCTGGAACTAAAGATGACATACTGATGGACTAGATGGGGAGTGTAAGAGAAAGGGCCAAGGTGACTCCAAAGATGTTGCCTAAGCAAAGTTTAAAATGAAATACCTAATGAGAAAGTGAAGTGGATTTGGAAATTCACTTGGGGAATGAAGATCTTTTTTTGGATACCTGAAAATGGAGGTGAGAGCAAACACAGGTAGAGAACTGCTAGCATAAAGGGGGCCTGTAAAAGCTGCAGCTGTCATCTCAAAATTGACAGAGGGCAGGAGATGAGGGAGCACACAATAATATGCAACAAGGAGAGAACAGAGCCCTACCCAAAGTACTGCAGTAAGGACGAAGAGGTGTAAAAGCTCTTTTCTCTTTTATGAACTGTCAAGTGCCATCCAAATGTCAGTCAAAGGTATTAGAGACACAAAAGAAAAAGTCACATGTGGATAATGTCAAACAAACCATACACACACAGAGTATGTAACTAAATAGCTAACATTTAAATATAATCCAGGTTTACACAAGACTTAATACTGTGTCATTTTGATAATACTTCAATAAGTGTTTATGACAGTAGTACATAATGTCCAGATTCCTTATGTGTTAAAAAAACAAGAAAAAAAAATACAATTTTGTGGGATGAGACTAAATCCTAACAATGGCAAACAGCATTATTTTTAATAAAAGCATTTTGTTTTGAATTGTAAACAACTGAGTTTCCATCCAAGTGTGTGAGTGAGAGAAACAAATGGCAGGGGATTTAGAAGTAAACAAAGAGAAAATGAAAAATAAAATATAAATTCCTTCCTGCTTACATATGGCTGCCTCCAAAATAAATGAGTCTATTAATACAAGTAAAACAGATGCTCTCTTTCCAACAAAGTTGAACCTCCTGAATCCTCAGCATTAAATAAGATTAATGCTGCCTTCACATAAACGCATAATGGTATATGAGCTTATTAAATTCAATTCATTTCTTCAAGAACTCCCAAAAGCCAATTAATTGATCTATTCCTGCAAATAATATATCTGTTCTTCACTAATGCTGGTTTAAAGTTATGTTCCTATAAAATAATGCTCAGAAACAAAAATTTTACTACTATGAATCCATAGCTCATTAATCACTATAAGATGTATTCATTATTTTTTCTTGTTTCACAAGGACTTTTTTCTTAATTTATGACAATACCTGTTCACTTTTTGTTATCTCTATATAATGCCAGATGAAAAGTTATCCAAATTAAAGCACATTTTTAAAAGACATGTATTGCTTATCAAATTTTGAAAACGTAACAGAAAAATAAAAAATTATACCTCTTGTAAATGTGAGTCTTTCTTTTTTGCTGATAAATTCAAATGTTTATCAATTAGACTATAATTCTTTTCTGTCTCTTTGTCAAACTTCTTTTTTTCTTCCTACAAATAAAAAAAAAACTATGATTAAACAGAAACAAAAGGATACACATGGTTAATCCACTGGGAAGCTCAAATTATGAAAAATATCTGAAAATAAAACAAAGCACCACTCTGAATGTGATAAAGCTATCTAAAAAAACATATCTGTACCAAGCCTACTGCTTAATCATCAAGACAGCATTAGGATAGAAGAGACACTTTTATTTCTTCCTTTAATGGACTTTTTTCCAAGCCTATGTTATTTTTCAGTTCTTCAGACTTAGCAATGTTAAAAATTAATTCCACGTCACTCACCCCTCACCAACCGAATGAAACAAAATACGTAAGAAAAATAACATAAAGCTTAAAAAAGCAAACTTGCTCCAGATTTTGGCACAGACGTGGAATTCGTTTAAAATGGAATAATAGGCCAGTGGCTCACACCTGTAATCTCAGCACTTTGGGAGGCCAAGACGGGCGGATCACCTGAGGTCAGGAGTTCGAGACCAGCCAGCTATCGTGGTGAAATCCCGTCCCTACTAAAAATACAAAAGTTAGCAGGGTGTGGTGGCACACACCTGTAATCCCAGCTACTCAGGAGGCTGAGGCGTGAGAATCACTTGAACCCCAGAGGCGGAGGTTGCAGTGAATCGAGATCACACCACTGCACTCCAGCCTGGGCAACAGGGTGAGACTCTGTCTCAATCAATCAGTATGTTTTACTCTAGATTTTCAAAAAATCATAATACATAATCAGTGTTGGAAAAAAAACATCTTGGGAAAGATCTTCCCTAATGGTCCAGTATGAATACAGGTTAAGTATCCCTTCTCTGAAATGCTTAGAACCAGAAGTGGTAGAGATTTTTGGATATTTTTGAATTTTGGAATATCTGTGTATACAAAGAGAGGTATCTTGGGTATGGGGCCTAAGTCTAAACGTGAAATTCATTTCTGTTTTGTATACACCTATCACACATAGCCTAAAGGTAATTTTATACAATATTTTTAATAATTTTGTACATGAAATAAAGCTTATGTACACTGAACCATCAGAGAGCAAGAGGCCAGGTGTGGAATTTTCCACTTGTAGTGTCATTTCAAATTTTGGAGCATATCGGATTTCAGATTCAGGATGATCGACCTGTATAGCAATAAGATTGTCTACCAGAAATGTCATCTACTTTCCCAAACCTTTCCAGTGATTTCTGTAACGCTATTTAAAATACGTATCAATAGGTCAACAGGGCCTAAAATAATATTGATATACCAGTACTCACCCTTTGGTTAACATCACAAACATTTCTTAGGTACTGTCTAGAATTAGGACATACTTGCATTCCTTTTGCTATAGAAGCTTTTTGAGAAAATAAGTATACACATTTATAAATGCAGAGAAGATGGGTGTCTCCCCTAAAGCTGTCAGCCAACTTGACAGATTTTTAATAAACATTCTTGAGTATCAATGAGAGCACACCATGTCCTCATGCTGTCAAAATGTTTCCATTAATTTCAAATTCTCCCTAACTCTCCACACCTCCTAAAAAAGGAACATTCTCTTCCCTAATTTTCCAACTTGTATTTTCCAAAGCAAAAATAATGAACTATTCCAGCCTTTTCTGGTATGATTTCCTTCCTGTTAGGCAAAGAGATTAAACAAAGCATGTTAATTCTCTACTTCTTTTATTTATCTTTTTTCACCACATGGGACCACACGCTGTTCTTCTGGAAACCCAGGACAGTATGTCCCCTGTCAGGTCATCTAAAAGCCCTCAATTAACTCCCCCACACTGATGGAGGAGGAGAGACTCAGGAACTGAGGTTTCTTCCCTTTTCTACTCCAAGGTTAATTACCAACTAGCTGCACAACTTAAAAAAAAAAAAAAAAAAAAAACCATCTGACAATATAGAACCTAAGTTTTCTTACCAAAAAGATCAGGGACTTTTCTTTAACTGCCTCATAGATCCAGACCTAAAATTCTGTGATCCTATGGTTCACCCATGTGTAGAAATGGAACCAAAAAAAAGCAGAAGTTGTATTTTAACCTCTTTTACTTAATAGTCACTCTTTTGTTGATACAGAGGATCAGAAGACTTTATTTTTCTTTACGCTCTAGGTTTTTTTAATTTACAACTAAGTCCAATGTATTGATATTACATAGTTACTCTCTTTTCTGCTTTTCATTATGCTCTTCCACTATTTTAACAACTAACAGAAAATAAACTGAAACAAACAGATGCCCATTACCTAAAAATGTCCACTATTTTAAAAAGTTGATGCTGTGAAGTACACACTGAATTAGGTGTCAGAAGACCCAAGCTGCAGTCCTAGCCACTCATTACTCTGTGACTCTGTAGCAAGGTCACAAACATTCTCTGAGCATCTGTTTCTCAGACTTAAACAAAAGACAAATGGAAGTCAGGCCCCTGCATTTGCCCACAAGACTGCTGCAAAGCAAGGTCACATAGTAAGAAGCACTATCACTGCAGACTAGTACTTACCAGGAACATGGAAAACATTTTTACCACCTTATTTGATTTAATCTGAATCACAGAAAGGGGCCGAGGAAGGGGTGACGCTTTAATCAGCGGTCAAAACACCCAGCACACTCAGCAATAGAAGGCTATGAAAATCAACATGTGGGTAAAGTTGGGAATGAAAGAAAAAGGAGACATCAAGCCTTTATGAAGAAAGAATTTAGCCAAGAAACAACAATAACAACATCACACCCACCAAGCTTAGAATAGAAATATCTTCGTCCATATATGGTATGGTATTATACAAATGCTGCTGTGTTTTGTTTCTGAATCTTAAAACGCAGGTAATTATTTCTTCCTGCATTTGTTCTTAATGTCATTATAGAGTATTATTGTTTCTTTGTGCTCATATGATTTCTTGTGCTGAAATGATACAAATTTCAAAGGAAACTATTCAAGTAGCATTCAATAAAGAATGGAGCTTTTTTTTTCCCCCAATACTGCATTACAGAAAAAAATATATAAATGTAACAGCGTAATCCAAAAAGTTCCAACAAGGATCAAGTTAAATACAATATGAAAACTTTTCTTATAAATCAGACATTACAAAAACTGAAATGAGTCTGGGCCAGGCAGTAATCTAATGAGTGAAACAGGCTGGGAGAGAAATGCAATCAGGAGTGGTAGGCAATGAAAACCAGATAGTCCTCGTCTACTCCAGAGAAGAAGGCAGCCATTACTCAGCGCCAGAACATTTTTGCCTCTTGAGAACACAAGCCCAGTATGTTGGCCATGTCTTCTGATTTCTCTGGAACTGCTGAAAAATCCAATGATTTTTATGGTGGCAACACATTTTTTCTTAATTGTAACAACACGAGGAAGCCAAACAAAATTTATAAGTTGAATATGGTAGAAGTCAGCTTTCTAATCTGTTATAAAATTGCACATGCAAAACCTTTTTTAAAAGTAGAGCTACTACTTAGAACAGCATTTTGGGTCAAAAAAAAGACATACGTTATATAAATGGTAGAAGAGAAGAACCTAAGAACCCCAATTCAAATAACCAGATCTTCTGAATACCATTAGAGGTCAAAAACTATATAAATTTGTCATTACACATCACTGGGTTTAAAAAAAGGAAGAGACGATTCAACCATTGGTGCTGGCATGACTGTTTACTGGGAAGCAGAAAGAGAACCTCATCTCATATCAAAATTAATTCCAGATGGATTGAAAGAGTCACAAGTAAACAATGAAGCCATAGAGAGTATTTTCAACAAATCTCAGAATAGAGAAGGATCTTCTAAGCAAAAAAGGAAAGAAAGAAGCCATAAGAACTTGCCAATATAAAAAAAAAATCATAATAATCAAGCAAAGGGCACACAGCAAAGGGGGGAGGATTACAACCAATATGTAAGAACGTAGGGAAACATTTGTAACACAAAATATATTCTTCATTAAGCAGTTTTTTGCAAAAAACACACAATAATGCTTCCACTGAAAAATGGATAAAGAACACAAAGAATTCATAAAAGTTTAAACATAATTGTGAATTGCCCATTTTTCTATAGGGTACCAGATTATTTTGCTTTAGAAGAGGAAAGAATTTGTTACTAGATGACTTTTTTTGAATTTTCTTTATTTTCCAATTGTTTAGGATGAGGAGATGGAAAAGGCTTATTTTCAAACTACAAAATTAAATAATGTTTACTGTTGGACTCGTCTAGAGAAGAACTTAAATATGGCAGGTCCTTGAATAGCATCATTTCATTATAACATTAATAAGGGAAAAATAAAAACCGATTCGTGGCCAGGGCCACTGTCCGTGTGGAGTCTGCAGGTTCTCCCGTGCCTGTGTGGATTCCTTCTGGGTATCTACTATTTCCTCCCACATCTCTTAGGTCAGTTCACCAGCATGTCTAAATAGTACTGTGTGAGCGAGTGTGGGATCATGCCCTGTCCAAGGCTGGTGTCCACCTTGCACTCTGAGCTGCTGAAATGGGCTCTAGCCACCTGCGACCCTGAACAGGAGTGAGTAAATGATTATCTTGTTTTCATTAATCTTTCTTAAATGTATGTATAGCTCACATTTATTTCAATATTTAATATTAAAAGTGTTGTGGTATTGAGAAGTTTGGTGATGTTGAGGTCAGGAGTTTGAAATCAGCCTGACCAACATGGTGAAACCCCCCATCTCTACTAAAAATACAAAATTAGCCTGGCGTGCTGGCGCATGTCTGTAATCCCAGCTACTTGGGAGGCTGAGGCACGAGAATCACTTGAACTTGGGTGGCGGAGATTGTAGTGAGCCAAGATCATGCCATTCTACTCCAGCCTGGGTGACAAGGGCGAAACTCCGCTCCATTTTAAAAAAAAAAAAAAAAAAAAAAAAAAGTTTGGTGATGTTCTGAGACCAGAAATATGACATAAAAACTTTTGTTTACGTCAATCGGCCCATGGTAAAACTGGCTTCCTTATGTGTTGCTTTGCTTCAATTCAGTTTCCAAGAACCTACTGATAATGTTAAGTGAGGACTCCCCACTCCAGCAGGGAGAAGGCACACCCTCCCTTAACTCCCAAGGCAAGTGTCACTCGTTCCTACTTGACACTTCATTTGCCCTATCCTACCCCAACCCACCCCTTTCCTTTAAGCTCCTCTAGCCTCTCTAAAGAGATGAGAATTCAACTTCATCCTCACAGAATGGAGCACTTGAATCCAGACCCAGAAGGGTGCCTGGCAGACACCTGTCAGAGCACAAGTGAACGGCCAGCACAGGACTGCAGCAGCACCAACGCTGGCAAAGTGCCACCTCGGTTCCTCAGTGGTGGCTCCAGAGTCACTAATCCAGTGCCTTAGCACTATTTGTCCATAAAGGTCATAAGCCACATGCTATGGCTTGTCACCCCTAAACCCAGAATGCAGAGAATGGACAAAAAGCTGAGCAACTCCTGTTTGGCAAGGTGATGGGGAGCAAGTCATGAATGGGATAATAAAATTACTCTATGGATACCAGGTCCCAAACTAGACACTTCAGGTACATTATCAAATTCACTCAACTCTCACAATAACCTCCTGAGACAAGTGTCGTAAGTCTCATTTTACAGACCAGGAAACTGAGACTTAGAGGCCTTAAGTCACTTGTCCCAAATCACATGGCTAATTAAGGCACCGAAAGAGGATTCAAACCAGGAAGAATTAACTCTTCCTGAAAGACTTTCTGGTGCTCCAAAGATGAGATGGTAGAGTACATCCCAGGACACCTATGCTTACCGCTATTACAGCACTTTCCACAATATATTTTTATTGCTTTTTTGACAGTCTCACAAAAAGTTGCTAACTTCCTGAAGGCTGGCCAGTGTTGTAATTCCTAGTTGTATCTCAGGGCCTCTAATACTATGCTGTATGATAGGCACTAGTGTGTTTTATTACTGAATGAAAGAAATGTAATTAAACTAAATCAATATTGTTTCTGCTCTATTAAATACAATGTAATATGAGAAATTATCCAGACAGGTTTAAGTTTTACTCATGTTTTGTAGTAATTTATAGAATCTTTGGAAGTCTGTATTTAAAATGTATTCATTAGGCTGGGCACAGTGGCTCAAGCCTGTAATCCCAGAACTTTGGAAGGCCGAGGCAGGAGGATCAATTGAGCCCAGGAGTTCAAGACCAGCCTGGGCAACACAGAGAGACCGTCTCTACAAAAATAATTTTAAAATTAGCCATGCATGGTGGCAGGCATCTGTAGTCCTGGCTGCTCAGATCATCTGACCCAGGAGTTCAAGGCTGCTGCCCAGCCTGGACAACAGAATGAAATCCTGTATTTTAAAAAAAAAAAAAAATTATTAGTCATAGTCTTGGAAAGAAATTTGGAGTAGAGGTCTGGTAATGAGCTTAGGTGATAAGTCATAATTTGTGAAATGAACATCTATTAAGTTTTCTGCCTAAAATTCTTCTTCTATTTGGATAAAATTATAATTGGCTCTTTCCAAGATAGCATCTGAATAGATTCCATTCTCAATCCAGTTAGTTGCATCCACCTGTCATCTGTGTGCTGCTGCTTGCCCAAACCCATATTTTCATTACTTGGTCAAATGTCCAAAAAAGCAATTTATCCCATGTTAACTCTTATCACGTTCTGGTATTTCTCAGAGTTTTTGTTCAACATACTTGGCCCCTAAGTTGTTCAGGATCTGTACTGGTTCCTGTAGCTACCCACAAAGTCCTGTGGGACATTTGGCAATAAGTGCCAAGCTCAAAAAGGGTGAAGGAGCTTCAAAAGAAAATAAGAACTCAGCTAGGCCTTAGAGAAACTCTTGACGTGATGCATCAGGCAACAACCTGTGTCCTGTTGTGTCCAGAATTGGTTCCTTCTGGTGGGTTCTTGGTCTCACTGAATTCAAGAACGAAGCCGCGGACCCTCGCAGTGAGTGTTACAGTTCTTAAAGATGGTGTGTCCGGAGTTTGTCCCTTCAGATGTTCAGATGTGTCCGGAGTTTCTTCCTTCTGGTGGGTTCGTGGTCTTGCTGACTTAGGAGTGAAGCCGCAGACCTTTGCAGTGACTGTTACAGCTCTTAAAGGTGGCGCATAGAGAGTTGTCTGTTCCTCCCGCTGGGTTCATGGTCTCCTGGCTTCAGGAGTGAAGCTGCAGACCTTCGTGGTGAGTGTTACAGCTCATAAAGGTAGTGTGGACCCAAAGAGTGAGCAGCAGCCAGATTTATTGCAAACAGTGAAAGAACAAAGCTTCCACAGCATGGGAAGGGACCCAAGCATTGCCCCTGCTGGCTTGGATGGCCAGCTTTTATTCCCTTACTTGGCCCCGTCCACGGCCTGCTGATTGGTTCATTTTACAGAGCGCTGATTAATCCATTTTACAGAGTGCTGATTGGTCCATTTTTACAGAGTGCTGATTGGTGCATTTACAAACCATTAGCTAGACAAAGAGCACTGATTGGTGCATTTTTACAGAGTGCTGATTGGTGCATTTACAAACCTTTGGCTAGACACAGAGTGCTGGTTGGTGTGTTTTTACAGAGTGCTGATTGGTGCATTTACAAACCTTTGGCTAGATACAGAGCGCTGATTGGTGCGTTTACAATCCTTTAGCTAGACAGAAAAGTTCTCCAAGTCCCCACCCGACCCAGAAGCCCAGCTGGCTTCACCTCTCACTGTGATAGCAAAAGGGCTTTTTGAACAAAAGCTAGAACCTAGCAAGCACATAAGAAAATGCAGCAGAACCCATAAAATGGAGGGATACGTCCAAACCAAACAGATAGGGCTCAAGGAGAGCATATCCAAATATAAGCAAAACAGTAGACAATACCTGGGGGCTTTTCAAAATCCAATTTACAAAAACCACCTAGCCACTTAGAATAGATTTAAACCACAGTTAAACATGGAACTGGGCTTCTGGAAACCGGAGAAGGTAAAAGCACAGGGAACTGAAAGAGCTTCAGGCAAGGGCTACAACATTATCAGATGGGAAACAGGAGACGGGGAAAGATCAAAATGTTGACCCCCATATCTAAAAATTCTGATGTGGTCAACTTTTAGAGACCTTTTTCTTAAATCCCCACGTGAAAACTGTTTTATGCTGTTTACAAAAAGCTCTTTAACCTAAGAGAGTAAAGTCTTTTTGAAGTATCCCATGTAAGCAGATTTAATCAGAGGAACAAGACTGTGTGCTTGACAAAATATGACTGAATGTTTAGGCAGCACAGATGTGGAAAGTAATTCAAATACCCAAACTTAAGCCCTTTCCTGTTTCTTCTAGAATTATCAGTTGGATAGGCTATTTATTAGATACTTTATGTATTAAGGCAGGGTAGGGGCTGGTAGAGAATTTAAAAAAAAAAAAAAAAGCAGAGTCTTTTAAAGATTTAACAACCTAATGAAAAGGACAGATGTTTACATAGTTTACATATCATTACAGAACACAGACAACCACCTTTCTCTACTGTTTATTATGGTACACAAAACTACCAGGAAAAAGGGCTTCTCCCTATGACCTACAATGACGGGCTCTTCACAGGTGACATCCATAGGTACAACAGTCAACACACATACTGTACTGAGCAAGACTGCACATAACATAAACTCTTTATAAACTTGAAGCCAGAAGAACAGGGAGGGATACAGAAATAGGACTTCAGGAAAGAATTTGGTCATTAAACAGCTCAAAGCACAGAATAAACTATTGTAACCATTTCTCCTTTTAAAAGGATTACTTATTGTGCAAGTTGCTTTGCAGGATATACTCTGAACAAATGTTAACATCAGAAGCTGGAAAGTTTAGGGGGGAAAATGAGTCAATAGAAGATTCAAGGTCAGACATTTCTAAATTCCAGTAGAATAGATGGCAAGTAAAAGTAAATATATTCACTCGCACTCAATTTTCATTTCCATAATATAACCGTCACACATATAGCACCATCCAATTCAAATGAGAAAAATAAGAAATGGATGTTGTTTACACGGAATACCTGCCAATGAAATGTTAAAAGAGAATGAACCAAAATGCAACAAGCTTTAAAGAGCTTAAAGAGACACAATCAAAACAAAATCATAAAACTATAAAACAGTAGTCAGATCCCCCAAGTCCTTCATTTTACATATAAGAAACTAAAGCCAATTACTTAGTCAAGGTCGCAGAAGTGAAAGCTGACCTCCGATCTCCTGCTGCAAAGCCAGAGGGGACAACCCAGCTGCCTGCAGCACGGCAAACTATCCAAGGAAGGAGCCTGGGGTGGTGCCCCCAATGATCTCCCACTGTTCACAGGGTCTGAGCCTCAATTCGTAGCCCTTCATTAAAAACTGTAATACGGTATGCCAAAAAGAAATGTCTAATATTTTCACAAGTCACTTAAATGAGAATTCATTCCATAAACAGCAATTACAGAGCTGGAACTCCTTGGGTTCATCTGTGTGGTTAAGCTA
The DNA here is from genome assembly GCF_000001405.40 of Homo sapiens. Classification (NCBI taxonomy): domain Eukaryota; kingdom Metazoa; phylum Chordata; class Mammalia; order Primates; family Hominidae; genus Homo; species Homo sapiens. The sequence continues at coordinate 147,848,161 of NC_000004.12, read as the reverse complement.
CTGAGGCCACAGTGTTTATTTCCACCAAGGGATTTTAGTCATTTCTTTTAGGAAGAGAAAAAAAAAAAAACTCACATCCCCAGCCACGTGGGGGGAAAAAAATACAAATATAAAAACTCCCTTCCCTACCTAAAATTGATGTTAATTCCCCTCTCCTTGGGCCAAGCCAAAAATGGTCAACAGCATGCAAATGTTACTTTTTCTTTCTCAAGTACATACACAAAATTCAGGAAAGACCGGTGGAAATTATTTCTCTGGGGTAATTTCAAAGCTCAGATTGCACATTTTAAATAAGTTGCTAAATATATCTCAGGCTCCTTGTGGCAAAACCACTGCATTATTCCTGGAAATCACGGTTAAATCCCAGATACTTAAGTACAAAGTCTGTGGTTCACTCACCTTTGAATCCCCAGCACAGTACTATACAACACACAATATAATGCACAATACCATAACAATACTTGCACATAATAGAGGCTCAATAAATTTTTGTTAAATTGAAGGAAATTACATCCCAGTAACTTAATAGTCTCTTCCTAGTTTCAACGGCATCACAGTGTGGCAGCGTCTATAATCTTAAACCCTACTGTAATGCTACACTCCTCCATAAAACTGAGGTGCGCACAGAAATAACTACACTCCCCCCAGTAATAAGCTCCTTCTATTCAGAGCAAATGTGTTGTTTGGTTACAGGTATTTTTAAAACTCTATATGGAAAGGTGTAGCCCAAGAAGATTACTAGAGGTTTTACCATCTTGTCCAGGTGTTTTTGTTTTGTTTCCAATTCCATATCCCCCAAAGGGGGAAAAGCACATTTCAAACAAAACAACAGATGGTTTGCTCCGGCATCTCCTTCAAAGCTGCCAAATGTGAATAAAGTGTACCATGAAGCAGCAGAGGCATCTATGTTTTCTGAGTGTATTCAAATTAGACACAAACCTTTACAGCTCCAAGTTGCTCTTTTCTGAATTTTTCCAAGGGTTTAATCAGGGTTTCAGTTACACTTAATGCCTAGAGAACAAGAGTGATAACAAAAGAGCACAGCATTAGGTTTCCAAAAAGGAAAAAATTAGTATTTCATTTCCCTCTTCCATCCCACCCAGAAAGAAAATGAACGTATTTAACGGCTTTATCTCACTCTGCCAATGCAACAATTAAATCACTTCTCAACTTATTAAAGCACTAGAACTCCATAAATATTTTCAGGGAAGAGGAGGTGGGCAGATTGCCAGTGAAATGTACAACACAGCCCCAACTCTCTTCCACAAAACAGCAAGACGGCTGTCTGTAAACAACAAAGGGGTCTATCACATTCATTAACAGAACACTTCTGTTTGAGATTGTTTTTTTCCTTCCCCCTCCTTAGAAATTTAAAATTCAATTACATTCCTTTATTGATAATCAGACTACATTATGTAAAGAACTAGGACTGTAGCTACTTGTTCAAATACAACCAGTCTGCCCTTCATTACAGAAACCTCCTAAGGATTTAAGGTATATTAGCAAAGTAGAGTCACTGGAGGCTCACGAAAAAGTCAAATGCTTGGGCGTGCTAGCAAACATGACATCAGGGAAGCTCACATGAGAGAAGCCACACACACAAACTCCAGCCACAACCACATTTTCTTTTTATGTTGGCTGGTTTGGGGATTTTCATGTTAAGCCACAAAATGCTGAAAATGCAAATAAAAGAAAATATTCATCAAAAGAAAACATACTTAGTAACAATATAGTGGTGAGAGTAGTGGCTTCTCACCCTCTGCTTCCAGGAGACCAGAAATATCCAAAATAGAAAAGAAAATCTCGAAACACTATTTAAGAATGTGCCATCCCTCTTTTTAGAAAGGTGATCAAAAATCCAAGCTTAACATTACAGAAAAAATAAGTGATTTGGAATAGGAAAAGATTCTTAATGTAACCAAAGGCTCCTCAGCAGTGTTTCATTATGTGAGGGTTTCTCCCAAAGAGACCTTCATACTCTAACGTAGGGAACACTCAAAATAAGCGACTATGCCCACATTCAGGATGCTCAGTTTCAACTTTCTACCCCAGGCTGACCCCTGGATTCCCCTCACTCCCACCTGGATAATTTGCTGCTTGGGTGTAAAATAGCTGGGGCAACAAAGCTCTAAAAGAAAGAATTAAGAGCAACAACTAGTCAGGGAAAAGGGATCATCTTTCAAAATATCATTTTATCCTCTCTACATTTTAGACCATGTGACCTACAGCAATGGCAAACCAAAGAGTCCTACAAAGCACCACCAGCCAGGAATCCTGACTCCCCAAATAATATGGAATGTCCCACATTCCATTTGAGAGTACAGATACAAGAAGTGCTAGCATACGTTTTCACAGTGCATGAATTTACACACAGTGTCTCATAGATAACTTAAGGCACACTTACATGAGCACCTGTGTCATTTTTTAAGCTCCCACATCTGGATCTACCCAACTAGTGATCCCAAATAAACCTCCATATAATATGTCTTCTGTGAAACTGGTACACTCAAGAAAGAAGTCGGCCCAGAATGAACTGCAGGGATCACAGAAGCTAACAACTGCTCAAGTTCACAGAAGATAGGAATAGGGATTCCAAGTCATGTAGGTCTGGGCCCACCAAGCATAACCACCATGCAACATGGCAATAAAAGTACCAAAGAGGTGCTTCTCCAAAGTTGCCATCTTAATAAACTTTAAATATTTATCTATTTTACGAGATAAACAGCTGTTAAGCATGCAATGCCAGGTGATGGGGATACAGCTATGAACAAAACAAGCACAGCCCCCTGCCTTCGTGGAAATTACTGTTCAGTAGAGAAGATGTAAGCCAGATACATGAACACCTAAGGAGATATATAAGCGCACATTCTAGTAATTCCTTCCAATGAAGAAAAGTAGGAGTACAGTGAGGAATGCATTAGAGGAGGTCTAAGGAGAAATGTGTGCAAAGAGAGCTTCTTCAAAGTAGTGACATTTAAGCTAAAACCTAAAAGGTGAGAAGGAATCCGTGGTGCAAAGGGCAAGGGAAATTGTTTCCTGCTGAGATCAGCAGAGGCAAAGGATGAAGGTGAGGAGTTTGAGCATTACAGGGAATGTCAAAAGGCCAGAATGGCTGAAGCGTAAGGAGCAATGAAGTGAGCCTGTAATGCTGAGTGATGGCAGGGGATCAGAGCGTGCCGGGCCTTGTGGGCTCTGGGAAAGGTTAGCATTTTATTGGGGGTACAGTGGAAAGCCACAGGAGGGTTTTCAAGCAGTGAATTGACAGAATGATAATTAGAGCTTTTCAAGATTACTCTGGCTGCTGAGGGAGAGATGAAAGGTACAGAAAACCGGAAGACAGACTCGTTAGGAGGCTTCTAGAGTGGTACACGAAGAGATGGCGGTGGTTCAAATGAAGGCAACCAACAACAGAAGTAAAGACAAGTAGACAGATTTGAGAGATATTTGCAGGTGGTGTCAAAGTAATGAGAGATTGACCGAATGGAAAAGGTGAAGATTTCCAGGATCCCTCCCAGATTTCTGGCATGAACAAATGAAGAGATAACAATTCTACTTATTGCCAGGCACAGACAGACAAGCATCACATGTTCTCACTTATTTGTGGGATGCAAAAATCAAAACAATTGAACTCATGGAGATAGAGAGTAGAAGGGTTGTTACCAGAAGCTGGGAAGTATAGTAGGGGGGAGGTAGGGATGGTTAATGGGTACAAAAAAATAGTTTGAAAGAATGAATGATACCTAGTATTTGATAACACAACAGAGTGACCATACTCAAAATAATTTAATTGTACATCTTAAAATAACTAAAAGAGTATAGTTAGATTGTAACACAAAGGATAAATGCTTGAACGGATGGATACCCTATTTTCCATGATGTGACTATTATACATTGCACGCCTCTATCAAAATATCTAATATAACCCCATAAATATATATACCTATTATGTACTCACAAATCCTAAAAATAAAAATAAATTTAAAAATAAAAAATAAAGGACACTATTTACTGCAACAGGGAAAATCTTGAGGGAAAGCAGCTGGGAGCACACACTAAGGGCTCATGTTAAATCCCAGATGCTGAGAAACGCCCAAGATCTTAGTAAAACCAGCTGTCAGAGACACAGGTCCACAGCCTAGAAGAGACACCTAGGTCAGAGATACCAATTTTGTCCTCATCAGCAAGTAGATGGCATTTGAAGTCATGCAAGTAGAGAGGTAGGACGGTAGAAAAATGGAAATGTCTCAGACCAAGTACTCAGATCAGGAAATGAAAGAACAGAGGTAAACGATGGCAATGAAACTGGAGAAAGCTACCAAGGTGTTGGATAAAAGAAGAAAGGGGTTCAGGCCGGGTGCAGTGGCTCACGCCTGTAATCCCACTTTGGGAGGCCGAGGCAGGTGGATCACCTGAGGTCAGGAGTTTGAGACCAGCCTGACCAACATGGAGAAACCTTGTCTCTACTAAAAGTACAAAATTAGCCGGGCAGTGCCTGTAATCCCAGCTACTCGGGAGGCTGAGGTAGGAGAATCGCTTGAACCCAGGAGGCAGAGGTTGCGGTGAGCTGAGATCGTGCCACTGCACTCCAGCCTGGGCAACACAGCGAAACTCCGTCTCAAAGAAAAAGAAAAAGAAAAAGAAAAAAAAGGAGTTCAGCTGTGTGGGCTGCAGAGACGTTTTAAAGAAAGAATGAGAGCTCAGCAATATCCATGGCAAGGTGGCAGAAAGGGCTGGGCTGGAGTTGATTTATGACTGACAGGTGAGACCACGTGGGGAACAACCCTTCCTCAAAGAATGACCAGGTGGGGCAGTAGAGAGAGAGGATGACTGCTGAAAGAGAACATGCCATAAAGTAAAGGCATGTATTCTTTTAAGACAGCTGGTATTTAAGAGATGAGAGCATGTCTAAATGCCCATGTGAAGAATCCAGAAAGAATGGTTCAAAATCTCTGACACGGGAGGAGATGGGATGCTGAGCATGCATGGAGGGTTGGCCTGTCATACGAGTCAAAATCCTTCCTTCCCTGTGATAGAAGGAGAAAAGGGGTGCCCAGTACAAACGGGTTTGTGGGCTTCATGACAAAAAGCTGAGAGTTGCTACCAAATGGCTATTTTTTCCATAAAGTACAAAACAAGGTCACTTGCAGAGAGTTTGGACATGAGAAGTTTCACGCCCAACTAACTGAAGAATGAATGAAAGAATCATTACAAATGAGACAACACTTCTTAGAGAAACAAGAAGTCCTTTTGAGATAGGTGAGGAGGAGTTTATGAAGTTATCATCTGCCTTATTGTGGGATTTTCTCCAGCAAGGAAGGGAAAAGGTGGGTGGCTGAGTTCATCCCAGGCGAGTGTTTCTAAGAGATGTGAACACGTCAGCACAGTATGACGTGGCAGACAAAGTGCTGGCAAGCTGCGCAGAGCTTCTGGGGAGCAGAGGAGGAAGGCCCCCTGGGTAAGAGAAGACTTCCTGAAGGAGATTATGCACAGCTCAGCCTGAAACAGAGGGACGGTGTTCTCCAGGCAAAGGCCTTCCATGTGGAGAGGGGAAAACAGCAATTTCAGGGCATGGAACCTAAGCAGCTCGGTGTCACTAAAGCAGATGAGGAAATCAGAGAGGATCACGAGACAAGGCTAGAGATATCGGATGGTCTCCATTAGCCATCAGAATGGGACCCAGGAAATGCTCAGAAAGTAGAGGTAGGTTATAAATAATATAGACACATGAAGGCATTTTAAAATAAGAACCCCAAAACTCCATACTCTGGAGTAAACACTGTCTTCCACCAAAAGAACCAGGCTACAAAGATTACACAAGAGCAATCTTAGGTCATTATATTTTTCCTTCATTTGGAGAATTCAATGCAATATCCGTCTGAGCCCCAAAGGCTAACACTAGAGTAGAAAAAGAATATAAGGGTTTCACGGCCAGGCATGGTGGCTCACACCCCATAACCCTAGCGCTTTTGGAGGCCGAGGCGGGTGGATCACTTGAGGTCAGGAGTTTGAGACCAGCTGGTCAATATGGTGAAATTCCATCTCTACTAAAAATACAACAAAATTAGCCGGGCATGGTGGCAGGCACCTGTAATCCCAGCTACTCATAAGGCTGAGGCAGGAAGAATCGCTCAAACCCAGAAGGCAGTGGTTGCAGTGAGCCAAGATTGCACCACTGCACTCTAGCATGGGTGACAGAGCAAGACTCCATCTTGGGGGTGACGTGGGAGGAAGAATATAAGGGTTTCTGCCTTACTATCTTCAGATCGGTAAGCAAATTTCCAAAACAAGGATAGTAGTAGTTGTGGCAAATAACACTATATCCAACTCATTTATAAAAAACTTTTTTATTAAAAATACTTTGAAGAGCTTAAAATTATGATTTTCCTTCTTTAGCAAAGCCTGATTTTATAACTTCTAAACTGAACCTAAAAATTATATTTAAGAACAAAATAATAAAGAAGCCAATAAATGTTTCAATAAGGCAATGTCAACTGAGCAACAAGAATTTCCTTTTCTCAAAATAGACTGGAAGCTCCACGGAATCTCTCACTTCCTGCTATAATTTCACAGAAATATTATATAATATTTGTTAGTAGTAAGTGTTACTGATGTTTCCTAATGGTGAAACATGATCCTTCTTCCCCAGCAACAAATGAATACCAAATCTAGGACTGTCCCTAAAACTTAAAAGGCAATTTACAGTGATGACAGTTTCCCAATGTCAAGGAGATGGATGAAGTAATAATATTGAGAAGTTTTCAAATACTAACATATTAGAAATTAGATAAGAGAACAAGTACAGAATGTGATTTTATAACCACACATACAGATTACATAATCATATTCCTATAAAATACTTGAACCAGCCAAGAAAAGAAGTCGCAAAATGCCTTGGCTAGTGAGCCTTGGAAAGGGTTTTGGATAGCTCTGCTTGGAAACAAAAGGAAGCTTCTTGAACATGAAATAATCAGATGCTCTCTCCTCACAGCAGAAGTCAGCCAACTTTTTCCATAAAAGACCAGGTAGTAAATAATTTAGGCTTTGCAGCCATGCAGCTGCAGTTCCAACTACTCATCTCTGCTGTGGTAGCACAAAAGCAGCCACAAACAGCATATGAATGATGGGTCCAAGTGTGTTCCAACGAAACTTGACTTACAAAAAGAGGAAGCAAGGTAGGTCAGGCCCATGGGTCACTGTTTGCCAAACCCTGCCTGAAAGGATCATCTTGAGTATCATGGCAAAACAATGCTCTTACGCTTATCTTGTATTTTTAAAAAATATACATTTACAATATTTGCAGCCAATCAGAAGTTGGGAAGGAAGAAGGAATGCTGGATAAAAGAATCACAGTTCAAGGAGCTCTCGAGCTAAAGAGAGGGACTCAAAAGTAGCGCCGTTAGGATTTGCCTGGGATAAGCAATCTACAGGATGCTGAAAGGCAACTGCTCAGGTGTGCAAGATGTCTCGAGAACAGGTCACATGAATTTCATACTGGGCTCAAATCTCCTAAAATGTTCTCTTAACTGAAAGTTTAACATAAGCCAATGGAGCCACAAATTGACCCTGTAACATACACTGATGACACATACCGCCTGAATCCAAACAAGGTAAGCACTCGACTGCATCCCCCGTTAGATTAGAGCTTACCTCAATAGCATGGTTACCACATTTTAAAACAGCCATTTCCAACTGGGGTAAAGCAGGAATGTAACCAGAATGCTAAAAAGGTTTAGGAGGAAGAAATAAAAAAAACTAGATGTTTCATGTGAGTGGGGAGGAAGAGAACATTTAGTGGAAACATGAAAGCTGTCTTTAAATATTTAAATGGGTACTGCATGAGAGAAGAAAAAAAATCATTCTGATTTGCTTAAAGGGAGCAAAGCCAGGTTTGATGGGTAGAAGCTGCAGAGTAGCAGATTTGGGTTTCCTATCATAGGGACTCAAGAGAACTATAATGAAACAGGCTGCCTGGCAAGGTGGTGACCTCCAGCTCCCTCCACATAACCAAGCAGAGACTAGATGACCCATGACCAGGAATACCCTCTCACACATGCCTGCACTGGGAGAAAGCTGGCCAAGAGGACAGCGGAGGTCCTCATCCATCTCTATCAATCTGGGATTCTAAATGAGCTGGGAGACACAGAAGTACAAAGTACATTTCCATGCTGTAGTTTTGAGAATCATGCTACAACAGCAAACTAGAGAATCCATTAGAACTTCACAATTCAAAGTAAAAAGAGTATTATGTAACAGTGTGGAGGATTAAAATGTTTCCCACAATTACTCAAGTCTGAAATCCTTTTTCGTCAGACATTCGGATGTAAGGATCTTAAATGTCTAAAAAGGAAAGGAAAGTTATGTTATCTTAATCTATCCTCCACAGTCCACGCTAGAGCTAAAAAATCTGTTGAGAATAACAACCAACCTGCAGAGAATCAGACTCCACTGTGGGGAGGAACCACTCCAACAACTTTACATTCCCCCACACTGGAAATCAAAGTCTAAGTTCTGATGTCATAAATTCTAAAGACAATAGGACTTAGGGCTATAACCCCATACCCAGTAAAAACACAACAAAGGCATACCTACATCCTATAGTATCTTTAGTAACAATTTTCTAAAGTCTCAGTCTAGGTAAAACTGAGTAAGTCAGTATAACTACTAAATCATGCCTTTCTAATCACTCAGTACTAACAAGGATAGGCTGAGTATAGTGAAACAGAAGGAATTTTACATCCGTTCCCCAGAACACTCATTATTTTAAGCCTGGATTCCACGTGTTTTTGACCCCAGAGGAATGCATAATCTGAGAACAAAGGAATATCTCCCCTATTTTCTCCCATGACCTTCCAGATACTTCCCATTTCATTAAACTAAAGGGAAAATTCTGTTTTCCAATTCTAATGTCAAGAATAGCAGCAAAGAAACCATTCAGCAAAAACACAGCTCTTGTTTTTCCTTGAAACGGAATCTTAAATGGTGCCTAGAAACTTTATATATACATAGACAGACAGACAGATAGATAGATAGATAGATAGATAGATAGATAGATAGATAGATAGATAGATACGATAGATCTAAACATAAAGGAATCTTTTTCCCAAAATGATCTGTTAGGAAAAAAAAGAACTTGCCTCGTGTAAGAGTTCTTAAGAGTCTTCTAAAGGAGTGGACTTTCCCATTATTTTGATCAACAACTGTTTGAGGAATCTTAGCCTAAAATAGCCCTAATCACATTTAGTTTCAGATACTTAGAGATTACAAACAGGACTAAGTTACAAAAACAAAGGGACACTAAGAAATTTAAGATATTTAGTTACAATTCCAGAGATGACTTCAAAATTTTGTATTCAGTAATTTTATAAAGCTCACTTTAAAAGGAATAAGATCAGTGGTTACATTAAACAAATCATAGCCTGGGCAACAAGGCATAAACCCCATCTCTATAAAGAATACAGAAAATTAACTAGGTGGGGTGGCATGCATCTGTAGTCTCAGCTACCCAGGAGGCTGAGGTGGGAGGCTAGTTGAGGCCGAGAGGTTGAGGCTGCAGGGAGCAGTGACTACACCACTGCACTCCAGCCCAAGCAACAGTTAGACCCTGTGAAGAAGAAGAGGAGGAAGAGAAATCATGGAAACATATCCCAGAGTTAAGTCTTTGGTGTGTGTGTGTGTGTGTTTTTTTTTTAAGAGACAAGGGTCTCACTCTGTCACCCAGGCTTGGAGTGCAATGGTGTGATAACAGATCACTACAGCCTCGAAATCATGGGCTGAAACAATCCTCCTGCCTCAGCCTCCTAAGTAGCTGGAATTATGGATTCAAGCCACTGTGCCAGGTTCAGGAATAAGTTTTTTAAAGAGACTGTCCAAATGGGCTGCTAACATATACTTTTGGCTTGAGATAAAATTTCCAGTGAAAGCATCAGAAAGATTTTAGGTGCTATAGCTCAAAGAACTCAGGCAGATGTGGCCATCAATGCTCTGGAAAGCTGTACTGAAAAATTCAGAATGTATCCATGATGAATATACTAATCTCAAAGGTGCCAAGAGCTGGGACAAATTTTTTATTAAATAAGTGCAGAAAATGTTTCTAAAATATATGCTGACTTTGCCTATTATTTGATTTTAAATATGGACACATATTTAATCAAGTAAATGATGAAGGGAGACATCTGATTATCTAGCAGATGTACATATGCATACCTAAAAGTATACGTGTTCAAGTTGTCTGAAACAATTTTATTATGTTTAATCTTCTGGGAAAATAATGTTGTCTTACAATCAGGCACATACAGGAACATCAGTCCTTTTGGGCTGCCCAGCACTTGAAACCCCTTCCTATGTTTGAGGAATTCTCCTTCCCACTGAAACAAAGTCCACCTCCCACCATAAAAGCCAAAAATGACAGACACTGGCTTGCAGTAAGGTAATGACACCTAGCTAGGGTTCCACTAATGAGATGGTCCCATCCAAGACTTGGATTCAAAAGCTACTGCTTTAAAAAAAAAAAAAAAAAAACAGTGACCAGAGATTCTAGCGAGGTGGCAGCAACTAGTCTAATTTCCAGAGGCAGCAGTTCTTCCAACAGCCACAGGGCAGTGAGGCTCTTGGTGCAAACTGTAGTGTCCACATCCAGTAGCAATAGTGGCATCTGCTCTAAGCCCAGCTCTGTGGTACAACCTGGGCATCATTCCTGGTTCCCCACATCTCTTAAAGATACTACAAGAAACCCAATACCCTTTAATGAATTTCCTTTATGTTCAAACTAGCTAGTGCTTGCAATTGAGAATCCAGACTAATAAAGGATTAGTATTTTTTAGAATTTCAGAACCGTATAAACAATCTTGACAAAATGCTTTCGTATTCTTTTCTCTATACTCCTAACACAAGAGTTCCCCTAATTAAACCAATTCATTATCAATTAATTACATCACTCTCCCTCCACACTCACCCTTTGGTACCTCTTTCTCCATCTATCCAGCCTCCCCCGGCCTATACCTTCCCCATCATTCTAGGCTCAAGTTTAAATAGAAAGATTAAGATGGCCAATAAAGTTCCCCCACTTTAATACCTGACATAAGAGAAAGAACAAGAGTCAAAAGACTAATGTTGACAAAAAGTGAAAAAGTTTCACAATCGATTTCGCTACGAGGGCCCTCCAGCACGGAAAAATAGGAGGCCAACGTGTTTTCATTTTGGCTCTGCCCTAACTAGTTCTATTTTTAGATGACAGAAAATAACAATTTCCTTTTGTTACCTGAATATTCTCAACTATAAAGCCAGGAATAATACTTTCTCCCTACCTAAAACAATTTAAAAAAAAAAAGGCACATCATACTTGAAGCAATTGTAACTTCCCAACAAATCCCAGTATGGTATTTTATTTTCAAGCACAGCTCAAGCTAATCTAATTTTCCCAGTAGAGAAACTAATGTAAAAACGAAATTCAATTTTATGATGGCAATAGCTCACACTCATTAGCTAAGTACTAGCTTACTTGGTACTTAGATTTAAGGAACCCACGCACAAAGCTCTAACTGGGACACAGGTGCTCAGGTGCTATAAATTAATTCCACAGGGTTCAAACTTGAAAATCAGGAGCCGATTAATAGGAAATGGCTGTTGAATAATGCCTCATTCTTTCAGACCAAAGACGACTCACATAATAAGCTAGAAACTATGATTTTAAAGTATATATCCCAAATCGACTAGTTCAATTATCACACTTCTGCTTTCATACAGATAATCCAAGAATAAAATGTCCCCAGTAAGAATTTTATCAACTTTCAATCCTGAACTGTGAAAAACTTGAAACCTAGTCCTATTAAAGAGGATTAAGGCTGAAATTCTGACAACTTCTGGTCTCTGATTTAATTCCCTGAATATCTGCCTATGACCTGGCTCTCTCAAAAAATAAAAATAAAAAAAAAGGTCAATGTATCACCAAAGTCTACGATTCTCTTAGTATCTATCTTCTACGAACAAGTATGTTAGGGTGTGTTTGCCTCCCACAAAAGAAAAGCTAGCATCCATTCTGAAGGACATTAACTGAAAAAAGATAGCAGAAATTTTATTCAGATTATTTAAATCAAACACAATCTACCTGTAAAGATTTGTTTTTAAGTACACTTAGGAAAAAATGAGAATCATAAAACAAAAGCTACTGAGTATTTAAGGAATGAGTCTGCCTAATAAGGATATGCAGCAGATGCTGAAACTTGATCTTCCTTCCCTCTGTGCATAAGGGACAGTAAGAACCTCGCTTCGATATTTTAAACAAAATAAATACTTGGGAAGAATATTATTATGAGAGGAAATAAAAACCCCATAGAAATTAAAGTTTCATGAGGCAATTTTGAATTTTTTTTTTGTTTTACATAAGAGAAAATTTTAGTTTCTGAAGTGAATGGTATGACTCAGTGGCACAGCTAGAAATGGAACCTCGTGCATACTAAGGCAATAAACTGTTAAATCAAGAAAATAAAATAGGCCAGGCGCAGTGGCTCATGCCTGTAATCCCAGCACTTTGGGAGGCCAAGGCGGGCAGATCACCTGAGGTCAGGAGTTTGAGACCAGCCTGGCCAACATGGTGAAACCCTGTCTCTACTAAAAATACAAAATTTAGCCAGGCATGGTGGCACATGCCTGTAACCCCAGCTACTCAGGGAGACTGAGGCAGGAAAATCTCTGGAACCTGGGAGGCAGAGGCTGCAGTGAGCCAAGATCCTGCCACTGCACTCCAGCCTGGGCGACAGAGCAAGACTTAAGGGAAAAGGAAAAGAAAAAGAAAAAATGTGAGAGAAGAAAAGAAACATTCAGAAAAGAATGGCTTTAATCAATGACAAAAGCTTTTCTTTCCAGCCCATCTGTGATGCACGGGTTAAGAGAAAAAAGTGGCAGTCAACAGTAAAAAACAAGGGCTGCAGGGTTGAAAAACTCTTGGGAACTCATTCTCTACCAGGCGGCCACTAGCTGAGCACTCTGGACAAGGGTTTCCTCATTGTATCCTCAGGTGTGAGAACACGGTGGCTCATAGTAGGCACTCAAAATATTTATAAATGAAGTGGGATTCTCCTATAAATTTAGATAATTTAAAGAACAGCATTTCTACATAAAAGCAACATTTTCTGCTTATAGTGATAATAGCAACCGATGAATGACAATGCTAAGTACCCTGAATCTTTTACTCCAAATGGTTCATTTTTGTTAGTCCAGGTCCTCTAAGAAGCAGACACCAAGACAGGATGAGACACACAAGAAATTTATTAGGGGAAACATCTGTGAGAGAAAATGGGGAGGGAGCCAGGGAAGACTGGAGGGGCCATCAGACAGTGATGCAGGTCTGACCCAGGGGAAGGAGACAGGGAAGGAAAGCAAGCCGGATGGGTGGGTGTGTATGGGTGTGAGGGTGGGGGCAGGTGGGTGGGTGTGCGGGTGGAAGTGGGTGGGTATGTGTATGGGTGTGGGTGTGAGTGTGGGTGGGTGGATGTGTCTGTGTGTTTGTGTGTGTGGGTGAGGCTGCAGTGCCATTCTGGGGTAAGTCTAACAAGGCTGCCGTTAGAAGGCTTGGGACATTCAAACAAGTTGAAACTTAATCCCCAGTCTGGCATTATTGAGAGGTGGGGCCTTAAAAGATGAATGGATTCATCCACTGATGAATTAATGGGTTAATGAATTTTATTAATTTTTTTGAGATGGGGTCTCACTCTATCACCCAGACTCTAGAGTGCAGTGGCACAATAATAGCTCTCTGCAGCCTCAACCTCCCAGGCTCAAGCAATCCTCGCACCTCAGCCTCCCAAGTAGCTGGGCCTACAGATGCGTGCCACCACCACACCTGGCTTCCCCCTGCCCCTGCAGAAATGGGGTCTCATTATGTTGCCCAGACTGGTTTTGAACTCCTGGGCTCAAGCAATCCTCGTGCCTCACCTCCCAAAGTGCTGGGACTACAGGTGTAAGCCACCATTCCCAGCCTAATGAGTTAATGGATTAATGGGTTATCACAGGAGTAGACTGGTGACTTTATAGAAAGAAAAAGGAAGAGAGACCTGGGTCCCCCACTCTTGGACTTCTCAGCCTCCATAACTGTAAGAAACAAATTCCTTTTATTTACCTAGTTGCAGGTATTCTGTTATAAGCAACAGAAAACAGACAAAGATAGGCAGAACGTGGGAGGCATGGCTTTCACACTAACACAACTGTACCACAGAGCAGCTGGGCCTGATAGTCAATGTCACTCCTCCTTCCTCTATCTGAGAGGTGCCCATGGCTGCCACAGCTTCGAAACCATATTTTCCCACTACATTGGCATTTTCTTGAATATCTAACACAATCTCTACCACCAACTTAATATATATATCATTGAATCTAATCACCACCAACTGTAAAACACTCCATTATTTTATATCCTACCACAAAAAAATCCTGCTAATCTTGAAATAATAGCTTAACACTTAGCACTTTTATATACATTGAAAAAGCTCTTTGAAAGGTATGTTTTCATCATGTATCCCTCTTGTGCATAAAGAAGTAAGCAAACTACTTTTGTTAAGATATTTCTAAAACTTCTTCAAAGTCCAACTCCTCTGAATCACTTTTCATCTCAGTCATCAAAATCTGGTTTTTCCCACATGAATTAGTCTGTTTTCACACTGCTATGAAGTTACTGCTTGAGACTGGGTAATTTATAAACAAAAGATGTTTGACTGACTCACAGTTCCACATGGCTGCAGAGGTCTCAGGAAACTTACAATCTTGGCACAAGGGAAGGGAAAGAAGGGCACGTCTTACATGGTGGCAGGAGAGAAACCAAGTTCAGGGTAAACTGCCACTTTTAAACCATCAGCTCTCGTGAGAACTCCCTCACTATAACAAGAACAGCATGGGGAAAACTGGCCCTATGACCCAATCACCTCCCACCAGGTCCCTCCCTCAACACATAGGGATTACAATTCAAGGTGAGATTTGGGTGGGGACACAGAGCCAAACCGTATCACCACACATATTTTTCCTCTGTGCCACTGAAAATACTGGAGATGCATCATTTCTTCAAAGGGTGCTCTTAAGGAGCTCCATTCTTGTATCCAGGATTTTCTTCCAAGATGATGGCAGGCACCCACTCTTTGGATACTGATACCAGCACTTCCTTGACCTAACCAGGTCTCAACGGAAGGTTTTCAAACCACCACCAGCATTCATATTTCTTCCTTAAGTGGTCTGTGGACTGAAATACTGAGGAGCTACAGTTGTCCAAAGAGTAAAAGAGAAGTAACCTCATGTCCGTTTCATGACTGCTGCCTGGTGGATAGCAACTATAAGATACATATCCATTTCACTAATGTTCAAAGGTGGAAGGAAAAATATTATGTCTTACAAAGAGAAAAAGGTAAGGCATAATGTCGTTAGGATACTAGAAGATGTGAAAGATTCTATTTTCATCTCTGTCACAACCTTATTTAGTGATGTAGAAACTCCACCCTCAATGAGCTCCAATTTCCTTTTTTTTTTTTTTTTTTGAGACAGAGTCTTGCTCTGTTACCCAGGCTGGAGTGCAGTGGCACGATTTCAGCTCATTGTAACCTCCGCCTTCCAGGTTCAAGCGATTCTCCTGCCTCAGCCTCCTAAGTAGCTAGGATTACAGGTGCCCGCCACCACGACTGGCTAATTTTTGTAATTTTAGCAGAGACAGGGTTTCACCACATTGGTCAGGATGGTCTTGAACTCCTGACCTCAAGATCCACCCACCTCGGCCTCCCAAAGTGCTGGGATTACAGGCGTGAGCTACCGTGCCTGGACTCCTCTTTTTAAAAAAAAAAAAAAATTAAGTGGTCAAATATGTCTCCCTAAGTTCTCTTCAGTTCTTTGTTTTCAAGGCTATACCATCTAATATTTTCATGACATGGTCTAAAGGCTGATCCTAGGTACCTTGGCTCATCCCGAAATATTTCCCTAGTGAAACAGCAGACTCAGCTGCACACATTCCCAATAATCGAATCACTCCTCTGGATTAGACAATTAAATGGGCTGGTTACATTCTAGGGTCCCTTGTGTGTGTGTGGGTGGGTGTGTGTATGTCGGGCGGGGCAGTCAGGGGGAAGAAGAGAGCAGAGTTGGCCGATTCCTCAGAAGCAGAGAATACACCCTAAGGATATGAAATTCAGGAAATGTAAGTTTCAACAGGGAAGTAGAATCTGATGATGACAAGGCTGGAAGGCCACAGATGATAATGAGTCACCAACAGAGAGGACACTGAGTCATGGGGCAAGGCCTTGCAGGGAAAGGGGTCCAAGAAGGAGACAGGCCTCCTGCCTAAGATAATCTTCACTCATTTTAGAATTTTGATTTGAGTTATTCCTGACTGTGATCTCTATAGGATTCTGAGTCAGTAAATTAAACTCTCAAACGGTACATTCCTGAAAAACAGGTTTTACAAAGACATCCCTATCTGACTGAATAACAGGCTTACGGGAAAAAGAGAATTGTAAGAAAAAGCAATGCTGTCCAATTGTAAAGGTCAGTTCCAAGGAGGAAAAAGTCTTCATAAAATTAGGTCACTGACAACTTTTAAACCAAACTGAGAAATGTTCTCACAAATAAGTTCAAGATGAATTTCCTCCATTCTGAATGTGCCTGCCAACAGAAATCCACATAAACTGTAAAAGAACTGATTAAAACAAGCTTCACATGCCATATAAAATACTGTAAATATAATAAGATGAAACTAAAGGCATAATCTTTTTAATGGCATCTAATGCCTTAGGTACTTATCCTATAAGAACTCACAAGCAATATTAAATACAAAGTAAGTAACACTAAAAATCCTACTAAACCTATTCCATTAACACAAACCAGCTATAGTCTCAAATCCTTTGGAAATGAGAAGTCAAAGCTTAGGCTTTCCATCACTATTTTAACCTCCTGACAGGGACACAGTCATCACGAAACAATTTAGAGTGTATCCAACGTCCAGACAGATCTAACCCTAAGGAAAGGATTGCCAGCCAAGATTTCACTAGCACCCTAAGCCAGTAGCTCTGATTTCAGCCTGCTTCAGAATCACCTGGAGAGTTTCATGAAAGACCAGCTGACAGAGTTTCTGACTCAGTAGAGTTCTGGGGTGGGCCTGAGAATGTGCATTTCTTGCACGTTCCTAAAGTGATGCTGGACCAGGGACCATACTTTGATGACAAGTGCCCTAGGGCATACTAAAGAAAGAATAGCATATTTGCTCCTAAAAGGTGGAATGCATTTAACTCATTTTAACCATCATACATTCTTTTAGTAATACTCTGAAACACTTTTTAAAAAATATTTAGGTAAGTGCAAAAGTTAACTGTGGTTTCAACTGGGTGCGGTGGCTCACATCTGTAATCCCAACACTTTGGCAGACCAATTCGCACAGATCACGTGAGATCACGAGTTCGAGCCCAGCCTGGCCAACAAGGTGAAACCCCGTCTCTACTAAAAATACAAAAATTAGCTGGGTGTGGTAGCAAGTGCCTATAGTCCCAGCTGCTCAAGAGGCTGAAGCAGGATAATCACTTGAACATGAGAGGCAGAGGTTGCAGTGAGCCAAGATCCCACCACTGCACTTCAGCCTGGGAGACAAAGCAAGGCTCCCCCCATCAAAAAAAAAAAAAAAAAAAAAAAGGAATTGTGGTTTTGACCATTTAAAAAAAAAGTGGCAAAAACCGCAATTACTTTTGTACCAACCTAATAGTTTGGAACAAAAATCCGTGTCAAAAGTCCAAAAACTTATGGAGGAGATTTGAGAGCATGAAAGGATGATGAGAAGGGGGTGCAGTAAAGCACAGGCCAGGGCTGAGAGAGCAGGCATCACGTCTTGCCTGTGACCGACCATCTAAATGCTAACAAAAGCCTTTGGTATGCAGCAGCTTAGTACCTTCCCTATAGGGGCAAAAGGTCAGGGCAGGTCACCCAGGAAGTGATCCCTGGCCTGGTATTTTCACAAGGGTAAAGTCTGTGGTAGAGAAAAACAACAGAAAAAGAAAAGGGTCTCAAAAGCCTGAAGAGTCTGCATAGGCAAAGGGCTTTCCTGCCCAAATGGGGAAAGGGGTGCAGCCGTGGACAAGACACTTCCTCACATCTCCTTAGCAGCCCAGTCTGCCCCCAGCACCCCCAGGATGAGAGGGAGGCGGAACAGCTCCATCTCAGGCACCTTTTGTGCACCATCAGGCAAGCTCCACCTTCTCTCTCCTGGCACTCCCGCTTCCCCGCAGTTTTCCTGAACCTCTGGGTCTCAACCAATTGCCCTTATTTGCCAGAATCCTGAGAAACTGGGCAACCATTTTAGGCTAGGGATGAAACTCAATGATCTGATAAAAGAATACATGTAGAGAAGTAAACGCAATATGAAGGGCTTTTAAAAGAACAACATAAACACTACAGCACTATTTTAAAAGTCCTTAGATTCCTGGACAGCTGCCCACCTCAGATAAGTACAACATGTCCTGCCATGCCAGAGAGAACATCTCTGGAATTCTGGCAGCAACACACCACACAGCCCTTTCCTCTGAGAACACGCGCAGAAGTGAGTAGAGCAGTTGCAGCCACTAACTGTATCAGATCTGACTCCCCAGGTTGAGTTCTTCACCTCCAGAGTCAAGGGTGGCAACATGATCAGCAAAAACTACTCACTCAAAAACACTGTCCTGGCCGGGCGCGGTGGCTCACATCTGTAATCCCAGCACTTTCAGAGATCGAGGCGGGTGGATCACCCGAGGTCAGGAGTTTGAGACCAGCCTGCCCAACATGGTGAAACCTCATGTCTACTAAAAATACAACAAATTGGCTGGGCGCGGTGGCTCACACCTGTAATCCCAGCACGATGGGGGGGTCGAGGCAGGAAGATCACAAGGTCAGGAGATCGAGACCAACCTGGCTACCACGGTGAAACCCTGTCTCTACTAAAAATACAAAAAAAATTAGCCGGACATAGTGGCACCCGCGTGTAGTTCCAGCTACTCGGGAGGCTGAGGCAGGAGAATCGCTTGAACCCAGGAGGCAGGGGTGCAGTGAGCTGAGATCACACCACTGCACTCCAGCCTGGGCAACAGAGCAAGACTCCATCTCAAAAAAAAAAAAAATACAAAAAAATTAGCCAGGCATGGTGGCAGGTGCCTGTAATCCCAGCTACTGGGGAGGCTGAGGCAGGAAAATCGCTTGAACCTGGGAGCCAGAAGTTGCAGCTGAGCTGAGATCATGCCACTGTACTCCAGCCTGGGCAACAAGAACGAAACTCCATCTCAAAAAAAAAAAAAACTATCTTGACTTTTTAAAGGGTGAGGCATGTGTATTCATAGAAATTACACTTCTTTGAGTGTGGAGGGAAACACTGACTTTTTTTCTTAGACTGGCAATTGCTCTACTTCTCTCTCCAACAATTCACTTTAGTAGGAACAAAGCTGGACATTGTAGGGGGGAAAGGAAGGGGCTATGCAAACATATCCTTCCCTCTTTTCGAAATTTCAACAGTTTCCCCTCAAGGAGGAAACCAGACATAGCTAAGGCTCATCCTTCAACTCAGCCCAGATATCACCTCTCCAAGATGCCTTCCCTGAATTTCTCAATCACTTGATTACCACGAAGCATGTTGGAAATTACATGCCTTCTTTCAGCCATCTCCTCCAATGGATGAATCACTACTTATGTCTTTATCTTTATAGCATGTGGCACAGTGCTTGGCATGTGGCAGGCACACACTATTTGTTGAACTGTATACTTAATACAGCCTATTTAAGCATAGAGATGAGGCGTATGAACTTATATAACTGGTGGCTCAAAACCAACAGGGATTGCTGAGCATACACACAGATGACTTTATCCCTTAAAACCTAAAGTCTCATCTTACCCTTAAGATTCAGAAAACATTTTAAAATAGTTGACATTACTGTTTGCCTTCTAAAATAGACATATGTAGTTTTAACATTTTAATGACTCAGTCTTAATTATGAATATCCAATTATTAATATTATGCTGCACCATTATTCAATTTAGGATTTCAGAAAATACTAAACTAATTGCTTTTAAAGATAAAGTGGAATGGGCACAGTGGTTTATGCCTGTAATCCCAGCACTTTGGGTGAATGAGGCGGGCAGATCACAAGGTCAAGAAATTGAGATCATCTGGCCAACATGGTGAAACCCCATCTCTACTAAAAATACAAAAATGAGCTGGGCGTGGTGGCGCACACCTGTAGTCCCCGCTACTCAGGAGGCTGAGGCAGGAAAATCGCTTGAACCTGGGAGGCGGAGGCTGCAGTGAGCTGAGATTGCACCACTGCACTCAGGCCTGGTGACAGAGCGAGACCCCATCTCAAAAACAAACAAAAAAAAAGATTAAGTGACCACTATGAAATCCTTGGAACCAATTTTAGACTATTTCTACCTCCATTTTACAGTCATTTTGCATTCCTTTCTTAATCTGTGGCTTTTAACATGCTGATGGTTTCTAAAACTTTTAAGTTAAAAAAAATTTAAGTAAAACAAGAGTCTTTCAAAGTTCTCAGAATGTACTGGCAACCATTTTAGCTGCTTAAAGACATTCCTTTTCTCCTTGTCCCGGTGTCGGGGGTATGGGCTTACTAAACTATACAAAGGCCCTCTGCTGTGTCTCCACCCCACAAACTCTAGCTCCAATACTTCTTCCATAAACCCTTTCCTAACAGCCACAAGCTTAGGGGCTGCCCACTCCATGTGAGCCACATTATCTTTGCTGGCGCACTTTGTATATTGTTTTCTTTTCCCATTCCTTGTCTGAAGCACTTAGTATAGGCTATTTAATTAGCTCTTTACCACTTACTCTCCAGTATCACACTGGAAATTTCTTGAGGCAAGTATCTATTCTTCCTCAAAAGTTTCAGGCGAGTGTTCTGCAATGCATCAGTTATGTTTTAGTAAGCATTCAAAGGTATTTAAAGAAACAAAGGTAGCCACAGTGATTCCACTTTAAAAAAAAAAAAAAGTGATCAGTGACTATCAAGATGAGAAGTACCCAAACAATGTCAATATGGGTTAAGAATCCAACTTTTCAACTTTTACTAATTTCATTATTGCAACTCACTGATAACTTAGGAAAGTACTATTTTAAAGGTTTCCGAGGCAAATATAAAAGGATCAGGAATTCTTGTAAAGGAGAAAAAAAGCGGATGGGGAGAAGAACCTATAGATTGAAAGTGACTTGGAAATGTATCAGTCAAATGTAATATGTTTGGACTCAGATTCAAACAGACCAACTGTTATTGAGGGCGGGGCTTGGGGAGGGAAAGAGGCAGAATTGGAATGAGTATCAGGAAAACTTGAATATGACCTAACTTTTCACAAAATTAAGAAATTACTGATTGTGATAAGGATACTGTGTTTTTTTAAGTGTCTGCTTTTTGAGATATATACTGAAGTATTTGTGAATGAAACTGGGCTTTCTGTCAAAATAATGAGGAGAGCAGGGGGTCAAGGGGAGTAGGGATCACAGGAGAAACGAGACTGGTCTGAGGCTGGATGTCGAGTCCATGTAGTTTCATTGTATATTTCTCTCGACTTTGGTACATGTTTGAAATTTTCCAAGCTAAAAAGGAAGAAAGCATTAGGAGGTGTCCTGTTAATTCCGTGGTTGGCTGTGGCTGCCACCCACCCCAGCTTTGGACAGCGTCCTGCTTTCCAGCAGGTGTTTCTGTTCCCACAATGAGTTGTGTATGACACACCACACCACTCCTAAGGTTCATGGCCTTATACAGACACCACCCTATTCTCGTTCCTACCCTGCATGGGAACCCAACCTTGTCTAACACAGAGACCCTATCAACCTCCATCACAGCTGGAGCTTAAACCAGCCAGTTGGCTAACAACAGCTCTGCAAACCATGCTGTCTACTCCACACAGCCTGGAGCCAATACCATGTTCCTGTTTTTGGACCTCATCGCTCTATTTCTAGGAACCTAAAACAGAAACAGAATACTGAGCCTAACAATGGTCACACGCTATTTCTGTAGAGCTAAAATCCAGCACCACTCTGCTCAGAACTTTTCCTCCAGACACCAGGATGATGCCCTTTGTGCAGTATCCTACTGAAAAGGCAGTCCGCACCTCACCACTCCAGATATGCTGTAGCCCCGCCCCACCTGGCTCCTTGCCCTGTATTGTTTTGTAGCATTTTTCACTGCCTGCCAATGGATTACAGGTTTATTTCTACTTCACTACCCCCGCCTAGAATCTAACCTCCATGAAGGCAGAGACTTTTGCTTTCTTTGCCTTTACCTTTGTCCTGAGATTCTCAACAGCAACTGGAACATAAAAAGAGATCAATAGGTATGCGCTCAATGTTCAGGATGCCAGGGAAGTACAACTATCAAAGAGGGTTAAGAAAAAAAATTGACACTATTAACATAAACTAAGAACACGTACCTCACCAGCCCACACATCGGCTCCATGTACTAGAAAGGTGATGTCATGGCACTATTTTTATTCACCATCTTATTTAGTCTTTCCTAAATAGCTGAAAAATTGATGACTACAGGATCACATGAATAATGACTGTATCTGTCAGTGTGTGCCAGAAAAACCTCATGGGACCACACTGTCTTCACACACCCTCTACAGTATCTACAATATATACACACAAATTACCTCAAAATTTAGGAATGAGTGCAAATTATATTAGGGCTTTTGAGGACATATGTCTCTGTCACTTTTTTTTTTTTGAGATGGAGTCTCGCTCTGTCGCCCAGGCTGGAGTGCAATGGCGCCATCTCAGCTCACTGCAACCTCCGCCTCCCGGGCTCAACTGATTCTCCTGCCTCAGCCTCCCAAGTAGCTGGGACTACAGGTGCCCACAACACCCAGCTAATTTTTGTATTTTTAGTAGAGACGGGGTTTCACCAGGTTGGCCTGGCTGGTCTCAAACTTCTGACCTCAGGTGATCCACCCACCTCAGCCTTCCAAAGTGCTGGGATTACAGAGGCATCAGCCACTGCGCCCAGCCCTCTGTCACTTTTTAAATCCAAATCAGTGTCCTCCCGCAGCCCTAGCCAACATAAACCCCCACCAGCCACCACCCAGGAAATTAGAGTGACACCTACGAAGCCAGCTGCAGTGACAGGGAGGGCAGTTCAGAGTGCCTGCTTCTTAACACATACCAGCTCTACCTCCTAGATGCCATGTGATCTAGGGCAAGGTAATGTGCCTCAGTTTCCTCATCCTTTAAATGGGGAACAACAGCAGAATCTATCTCATAGGGTTGATGTGAGAATTCAGTGACTTAGCATTAGGTAAACAGCTTAGAACAGCTCCTGGCTGATATGGTTTGGCTCTGTGTCCCCACCCAAATCTTACACGAAAGCGTAAACTCCATAATCCCCACATGTCAAGGGCAGGACCAGGTGGAGGTAATTGGATCATGGGGGTGGCTTCCCCCATGCTGTTCTCATGACAGTGAGTTCCTGTGAGATCTGAAGGTTCTATAAGCATCTGGCATTTCCCCTGCCTGCACTCAACTCCATCCTGCCACCTTGTGAAGAAGGTGCCAGCTTCTCCTTTGCCTTCCACCACCATGACTGTAAGTTTCCCGAGGCCTCCCCAGCAATGCGGAACTGTGAGTCAATTAAACCTCTTTCCTTTATAAATTACCCAGTCTCAGGTATTTCTTCATAGCACTGTAAGAACGGACTAATGCACTGGCACACAGTCAAGGTAAACCAACTTAGCTAATATGTCCAGTATTATTTCTACCACATCTAGACCCACTCATACACTTACACTATAACGTAATTCTAGATAGTACTCATTTTCAAGAATATAGAAAAAAGAATCCGTATTTTTTTTTTTTTGAGACAGAGTCCCACTCTGTTGCCAAGTTTGGAGTGCAGTGGTTCACTCTCAGCTTACTGCAACCTCCATCTCCCAGATTCAAGCAATTCTCTTGCCTCAGCCTCCCGAGTAGCTGGGATTACAGGTGCATGCCACCACACCCAGCTAATTTTTTTGTATTTTTAGTAGAGATGGGGTTTCACCAAGTTGGCCAGGCTGGTCTCGAACTCCTGACCTCAGGTGACTCGCCTGCCTCAGCCTCCCAAAGTGCTGGGATTACAGGCATGAGCCACCTCGCCCAGCCTGAATCTGTGTTTTTTTTTAAGCCTGAAATAAATGGTGAGAATAGATGGTGTGTCACAACCTGGTAGCAATTCTGCTGTAAATCTGGTTTAATTAAAGAATATCATTAGGAAGGTAATGTAAGCTTTTAAGAAAAGCAGACAATATTCAATAACCCCAAAATTTACAGTTGAGTGCAAATGAGATCATACACTCAAGGCACTCAGCACAGCACTGCATATGAAGAGCACCCCATGGGGGACAGCTGTTTTTTGTTTTTTGTTTTGTTTTTTCTTTTTTTTTGAGACAGGGTCTTGCTCTGTCACCCAGGCTGGAGGGCAGTGGCACAATCTCGGCTCACTGCAACCTCAGCCTCCTGGGCACAAGTGATCCTTCCACCTCAGCCTCCTGAGTAGCTGGGACCATGGGCACATGCCACCATGCCTGGCTAGTTTTTGTATTTTTGTAGAGATGCGGTTTCACCATGTGGGCCAGGCTGGTCTCGAACTCCTGAGCTTGTGCAATCCACCCAGCTTAGCCTCCTAAAGGGCTAGAATTTCAGGCATGACCCACCATGCCTGGCCAAGGGTAGTTCTTCTTATTCTTGTTATGATCATGAATCTTGATGCAAAGTGGGATCTCAAAGACCTCCAAGGCCCAAGTTCTCTCCCTTTCCACACAGCCTAGAAATCTACAGGAGTATGAGTCAGGCACTAACATTGCCCAGCTGTCCTCTGTTTCTACATAAGCTTTTCTGCTTTTATCCCGCTGATATATTAAGCTTCTGCATGAGAGCCTACATAAATTAAAGTGCTCTGCTGCAACAAAAAGCTAGAAAGCAGTGATGTAGTCCTACTGTCCACTTTACAGATGAAGAAGTAAGGCCTTGGTCGAGAGGCCCAGCAGCTTCTCCAAGTTCTGACCGTGGTCAGCACCCTCAAGGAACTAGAAATCAGGGCTCCGGAAACCTCATCTTTCCATTACAATGCACTACTGTACCCAGGGATAAATGCTTCACAACTTCTACCAGAACAAGCTTCCAAATCCAGATTTTTTTCCCCCTTGAAAGCTGACTTATTAATTTACACCCCTCTCAACTCACCATAATTTCTCTCTGTTCCTCCAGATTCTTCAAAAAATTTGAAAATTCACGTAAGGAAGCATCTGTAAGAAGAAAGGAGTGATTATTTGGTGGCCATGGCAAAGGAAAACAAACCAAAATATCATGTTTAATTACCTATGCATCGTTCATCATCTGTCACAGCATCACCGATAAACTCAAACTTAAAGTCTCTGAGTGAATGAGCAAACTTCCGCTGGGCCACTGACAGACCTAGAAAGAAAAGTATAATGATGACTTGGGTTCTTGTTTTATGTCAAAGCATAAAAGAAATTTATTCTTCCTAAAATTGGTAAAGCTGTAGAGCTCTCCTCCGCTCAATCTATGAGAAGGCATGACCCAACTCCCTTGCCAAATGGCCCGCCATCTTCAACCTGGCACGCTCTGGGTAGCCTCTGACTTCTAGTTCATACCCTGCCACAGAACAGATGCTGAAAAAATGTTTATTCCCTCCCCTACCTCCTTCTTCCTCAGATCTGATTATTTCACATTGTTCCCTAAAGTATTCTCCCTTTCTCTGCTCACTCCAGTCAGGACTTGCCCAATTCTGAAGTTCAGGCTGTGATTAGGAACACACACACCTGATAGTGGCTTGATGCAATCTGGCTGCCTGCCATGGTTTCAGACATAAGGAACTCAAAAGCCCAAGGTCAGCCAACCAGCTGCTCTTAACCAATTGCCAAATAACCACTCCAGCCAGAGAAACCCAGAAGATTCAAAAAGAATGTTCATAGAAAACAGCATCAGAGAAGTAACTGAAGGCCAAGAAGAAATGGTAGGAAGAATTAATTCTGCAAAAGACCTACAGAGGTCCTCATCTTAATTGGAGATTAATAGTGGAAAACTCTACTTCTAAAATAGGCTAACATTTATTTTACAGGCCTTGCACCGTGCTAGGTGATACACATTTCATTTCATTCAAAAATTCTCAAGAGATATATAAAGATTATTATACCATTTTACAAACAAAGAAGCCAAACCTCAAAGATGTTGAGTAATTTGCATAAGGTTGGCACAGCTACAAACAATAGCAGCGAAGGCTTGCTTCTTCTTCAGAACCACTGGTCCAAAGGCCATGGCCTGAGCAGTATACAATCCTGCCTCTGGTTTAAAGCACTTTCTAAGAAGGTGTTGACTGACTTCTGCACTTCACACAGCTGCTGTCTTCCTGTGTGTCTCCTTCACACATTACTGTCATAATGAAGACTGAGTCATATTATGGTAATAAAATTGTTTAATAGACTATTTTTAGAGCAGTTTTAGGTTCACAGTAAAACTGAGCTGAAGATACAAAGGCTCCCCATATAGCCCCTGCTCCACCACGTGCACAGCCTCTAACCTTTTGTTCAACATTCCCCACTGTAAGTTTCTGAAACTTCATTTTTCCTCTAATTCATGTTTATCGTGCTGTTTGCAATTTTTAAAAATAATATGTGAACACTGAAAGACCTAAATATGAAAAGGCAAAACTGTAAAACTTTTGGATCATACAGGATTTTAATTTCTTACACCTAAAGTATAGAAGAAAAGCACCAAGCATAAGGTGAAATGGGATGGATTGCAAGCATGGACCAATCCTCCAGCCCTCCTTGCAGGCACATCTCAGTGCACTGACATTGCAGCTCCTCCCATGGAAACTCATCTATTTCCCACCCCTTGAACCTGGGCTAGTCTTGTAGCCAATAGAATACAGAGAAAGTGACACTGTGCCAATTCAGAGCCTCCACCTCAAGGAATGTTACACACCTCTGCTCCACTCTCATGGAACCCTCAGTCCTTCACGAGAACAAGCCCAGGCTCGCCGGCTCACTGATGAATGACTCCTGGCTCAGTGGCCCCGTATAGTTGCCGCAGCAGCAGCCCACCAGCCAGCCAGCCAGCCAGCCCTGTACATGCATGAGGCTGTTTGGAGGGACATGTAACTGCCCAGTGAGTAAAGCGCACAATGGAATAAATGGCTGCTATTTTAGCCATTAGGTTTGAGGGTAATTGAAAAGATAACTGATAAAGAAAAATTAATAAAATTTGGTTGTGTTAAAATGTAAAATATGGCCAGTGTGGTGGTTCACGCCTGTCATCCCAGCACTTTGGAAGGCCAAGGTGGGCAGATCACTTGAGACCAGGAGTTTGAGACTAGCCCAGCCAACATGGTGAAACCCTATCTCTACTAAAATTACAAAAATTAGCTGGACATGGTGGTGCATGCCTTTAATACCAGCTACTTGGGAGGCTGAGGCACGAGAATCACTTGAACCCAGGAGGAGAAAGTTGCAGTGAGCCAAGATCATGCCACTGAACTCCAGCCTAGGCAATAGGGAGACCCTGTCTCAAAAAAAAAAAAAAAAAAAAAAAAAAAAAACTGGCCGAGGTAGCCCACGCCTGTAACAGCACTCTGGGAGGCCAAGGCAGGTGGATCACCTGAGGTCAGGAGGTGGAGACCAGACTGGCCAACATAGTGAAAACCCATCTCTACTAAAAACACAAAAATTAGCCGGGCGTGGTGGCGGTTGCCTGTAGTCCCAGCTACTTGGGAGGCTGAGGCAGGAGAATCGCTTGAACTCAGGAGGCGAAGGTTGCAGTGAGCCAGGATCACACCACTGCACTCCAGCCTGGGTTAGAGAATGAGACTGTCTCAAAATAATAAAGTAAATAAATAAAATAACTTAGTTCCTAATGTAAACCAGGCAAACATGCAATTGTTCTCTAAGATCTAGACACACTGGTTGCTCTTGGTTCACACATGCCAAACTCACTCCAGTTTGAAAACCCTTTACTTGCTATTCCCTGAGGCTACATCTTTACTAGCCCACTCCTCCAACACCATGGCTCAGCTCAGGAATCCTCCCCACCTCAGCCTTCCTAGGATAGGGCTAGTCCTAGGCACCGTGGCCCTCTCCATTCTACTGCCGTCTTATTTCCTTCATAGCACTTACTCATTCACCCAAACTTATTTAGTCAATATTTGCGCATTGTCACCTATCTTCCCACTCCGGAACCTCATTTCCCTGAAGCGACGGCTGTCAGTCTTATGCTTCTCTACATCCCTGAAACAGCAGCCAAACCTGTAAATAAGATACAATAGGCTGTGCACGGTGGCTCAGGCCTATAATCCCAGCACTCTGGGAGGCCGAGACGGGCGGATCACCTAAGGTCAGGAGTTCAAGACCAACCTGGCCAACACGGTGAAACCCCATCTCTACTAGAAATACAAAAAGTAGCCAGGCGTGGTGGCAGGCACCTGTAGTCCCAGCTACTCAGGAGGCTGAGGCAGGAGAATGGTGTGAACCCGGGAGGAACCCGGGAGGCGAAGCATGCAGTGAGCTGAGACAGCGCCACTGAACTCCAGCCTGGGTGACAGAGCGAGACTCCATCTCAAGAAAAAATAAAATAAAATAAATAAATAATAAAATAAAAATAAAAATAAAAAAAGATATAATAGGATGATTTTATTTCATGTACCTATTTCCAAATACTGATAGTTTGTGGGCTTATAATTTTTAGTAGTCACATACACATTATTCTATTTTGCTGTTTGCTTTGCCAGATCGCAACAGGATCTTGTTTATATGTGCACATTTACACATAATATATACGAACATGTTTGTTTATATTTACTTACCTATGTATTTTTTATATATTGCTATGAATAGACTGGCATAAGCTATATAGTCTTCCATTGGAGCTGTTTCATTATTTTATCCAAAATCACTAGATCAAAGGCTGCAGGTTATTTTAAAGATGGTGTTTCATATGGTCAGAATAGTAGGTTCTCTGGAAAGTTAAAACTGAAATGCACCAATTTTTCAGCATTTCATGCCTAATTTCATTAGTTGAAAATGTTTGTAACAGATTAAATTGGGGCTCATTTGCATAACTAATCTGATGTATTTCTCCCTATGTAAAGAGCATGCTTTGTACCTGTGCTAAGAATTATAGTTATATCATTTCTTCATTTTAAAATATAAGCATTTCTATCACTCATTTTCCCCTTTCTGGTGATCTCCTCTTAGGGTTTTACCAGAGTTCATTATGCAAAATTTCCACTGTTAAAAATCTGACCACACCATATTCTATTTCTTTTAATAATTATAAATGTAATTTCCTTTCCATTACTTTATACATTTTAAATTTATTTTCCCATGCAGTTCATATTTTATAGATGTCTTCTTCTTTTCAAAACAAAAGCATAAGGCAGTTTGCTAAACTTAATGCAGTCCATTAAATGTATTTTCTTTCCAATATCATTGCACATAAAACTCAAGCAGTTTCTGACTAAGTTAGTTACAAAGACCAGCAACATCTCTGCCTGGGTTAGATGCAGGGCAGGGAGAATAGAGGAAACTAACAAACTAACTTTTTTTTTTTTTTTTTTTTGGTGACAGTTTCACTCTTGTCACCCAGGCTGGAATGCAATGGCAAGATCTCAGCTCACCGCAAACTCCGCCTCCCGGATTCAAGCAATTCTCCTGCCTCAGCCTCCCAAGTGGCTGGAATTACAGGCATATGCCATCACCCCCAGCTAATTTTTTTATTTTTAGTAGAGATGGGGTTTCTCCATGTTGGTCAGGCTGCTCTTGAACTCCCGACCTCAGGTGATCCACCTGCCTCGGCCTCCCAAAGTGATGGGATTACAAGCGTGAGCCACCGCGCCCAGCCTAACCAACTAACCTTTATTGAGCGCCTGCTCTACGCTAATTGACTTACAAATATTATTTCAATTATTCTTAATACACCAGCAGGGTAGGTGTTGCTGTTACCTTTAAAAAAAAAAAAAAGAAAAAGAAGAAGAAAAAAAAATAGGTTCAGAGATAGTTTAGTGACTCAGTCAAGTCACAGACCTCTTTACACTGCTGGTAATAAGTCCTGGAGGCAAAGGATCAACTCCCTGGTTTCTCAGACTCCCACCAATGTCCTTTCCATTACACCATTCAATCTTTCAAGAGATTTCACGTTATTCCCAGGTCCTTTTGCCCAGATCTCAACTGGTGTGAAACCATCAGGCTCTCTAAATGACTCTAGTGCAGAATTGCAATTAAATGGAAAAATCATTTATTTGTAACTCCATGCCCCCTATTCTCTTCTGCCTGCTAATTCCTGAGTATTGTGAATTAATACTGCTCTTGAGATACCCTCAAGGCTGTTATATATTGGTGGATAATGCCAAGTCTGACTGTGCACAAAAAGCACAGCTAACATAAAAGAATGAATGTGACCTGCACCCTTCAAATGAACTTGCCACTTCAGAGTCTTCCAGACTTGAATTTTTGTGTCTTGATCCACAGGCAAATAGGAGAGACAATGTAGGTGATCTAATTCTTCCCAGGGTTAGGAGCAGTTTGAGAGATGAGGGGTTATATTTGAGATGTGCTGAGTTTGAGAGGTAGGATACCACATGGAGAGAGCCAACCTCGTTTTGAATTCAGGTGTGGACAGCCTCCAGATTCTGGCCTGAACTGCCACTGCTTGTCCTTGATTCTACAACTGAGAAAATTATTTCTTATAGCAGAGCCACCTATTTATCAACAATTTTTAGTTAAGACCATGAGATATTAGACAAACAGACACTCTGCTGGGGGGATGGGGAGCATCTCTGTTTGGGTCACCCTACCTTGACTGCCCATCTAGGCAGCACTGTCAGTGCAGGATAACCCCTTAAGTTACAAGCCTGAGCCCTCGTCATGAAGTTGTCACTATTAACTCCTACAACTTCCCACCCCAGCAACGAAAGCACTAATGGGGATGCTTTTAGAAATGCAGCATGTTCTATAATCCTGGGCTTGAAAAGAAAAAGGGTATGGTTAATAAATATACTCTTGTCACTCATTAAATCTGAATACAAGATTCTTTATAAATCATAATAGATTCCATAGCCCTTTTTAAAATAGACAAATTGCACCTGGAAGCTCATATTCTTTATGTAGAGAGCCACATAATTAGATTATCAACTACGCAAAGGTCTGCTGAGGGAGCTGCCCCTGACTCTGCACATCAAAACACGCACCAAAATTCTTTCATGTTTTATCTAAAGAGGAACAGGGTACAGACTCTAAGAATTTAGTACCCTTCATGCCAGTGAAATAATGTTGACATTAATCCAAGTAACTTGGAAGTGAAATGAAATTCCTCTAGGATTGTAGACTAGCTTCATATTTTCCTTCACGTTTTCCTGTTTTACAAAACCAGCAGTGGTACTATATGCAAAAATGGCATTATGGCTTCTCTGTACAGGTTAAAAAATAAAGCAAATAACTAACTCATTTTTTAGATTTAAAAAATGCTGCAAACAACTCATAAGCCCAGAATGCATCACAGGGCTAGGTTAGGCCTAAAGGCCAAATCACAGGCTGTTCCAGAAGCAGCTCATGGGCCAACATTGTCTCTGGCTCTATTCTGGTAAAGCATTCCTGGCCCTAACTCTGAGTCCAGCTTGCCTGGGGTGTCTGTGTAATGAATTCTTATCACAGAATACACATCTGAAGTCACTTGAATGACTTGAAGTGACAAATTTATGGAGTAAAAGGAAAACAAGGAGAGCCCACAAAGGTGCATAGGCCCCAAAAGAAACCCATAAACCTGGAGCACAGAGCTCAAGGCCAATATTGCACATGACAGACAACCAAACACCAAAATAGCCAAATAATTATGAAGAATCCTTCAGGAGTGATGTGGGGACTGGAGAGAATCCCACAGGCAGCTCCACACTGGAGACCACCATCCAGCCTTCCCTAAACATTCCACAAATGCTGAGAAACTACTGGGGCTAGGCACTGTCTGGAGAGAGTACCTGCCACATCAGGATGGGAGATAGGACGAGAATGCTGGCGACCACCTAGCCCACTCATTTTCCAACTGTCTTTGGCCACAGATTCCTCTGTTTAAAGAAAATCTCATTTACAGTAGGAACAGGAAAACCAGATAAAACAGCTGACACTTACGTATTCATTTCTTATTGCTGTAGTAACAAATTGCCACAAATGCAGTGGCTTACAACAACGCTAACTTATTATCTAACAGTTTTTGGAGGTCAGAAGTCTAAAATGGGGGAAGTCTCATGGGGCTAAAATCAAGGTGTCAGCAGGACTGTCTCACTCTGTCACCTAGACTAGCGTGCAGTGGCACTATCATAGCTCCCTGCAGCCTTGAACTCCTGGGCTCATGAGAAACTCCCACCTCAACCTCTTGAGTAGCTGGGACTACAGGCATGAAACCACCACCACCACGCCTATCGCCTATTTTTTTATTTTTTGTAGAGATGGGGTCTCACTACATTGCCCAGGCTGGTATTGAACTCCTAGGGTCAAGTGATCCCCCTGCCTTGGCCCTCCAAAGTGCTGGGATTACAGGTGTGAGACACAGTGCCCAGCCTGACCTTTGTTTCTGTCATCACATCTCTTCTCTCTTTTAAGGACCACTGTGATTACAATGGGCCCTACGATAATCCAAGATAACCTCCTCCCCCCGCCCCCCGCCTCCGGCCAATAATCTCAGGGTCTTTAATCACATCTGAAAGTCCCTTTTGCCATGTAAAATAACATATTCACAGGTTCCAGGGATGATTAGGACAGGACATCACTGGAGGGCCACCATTCTGGCTACCACACCTTATAACATCAGGTACTCTACTAATCACTTTACGTTTGTAGATTCGGTTAACTATCACTACAACAGAAGAGGACACAGACACAGGTTACCCAACTTGCCCAAGGTCATACAACCAGGAAGTAGTGGAACCCAGAGATGTGTTGAGAGCAGACTGAAGGTGGACAAGGGCGGCAGCAGGGTGACAAGTTAGGAGGCTCCTGTCCTGATCCAGGTGAGAGATGAGGAGGGTCCTTTAAGGATTTTCTGGTAACTATGCCAACACCTAGTGAGACTCAGAAGTCTCAACCTAATGACTGTGGACTCTAGGGGCAAACAAATCTTTTAAGCTTCTTGGCTTCGACGCCAAGAAAGCCTGGTTTAATGGGTGCTATGGTAATTAGTAGGGTGGTGGTTCCTCTGTATTATGGGTTGAACTGTGTTCTCCCCAAATTTATATACTGAAATCCAAACCCCCAGAACCTGAGAATGTGTCCTTATTTGGAACTAGGGTCTTTACAGAAGTAATCAGTTAAAATGAGGTCATTAAGAATGGGCCCTGCTCCAATATGACTTGTGTTCTTATAAAAAGAAGAAATTAGGACACAAGAGAAACAATATACAGATGAGAACACTATTTCAAAGCATTGTTTTTAAAGATCATGGAAGTTACGCTCAATGACAAAACACAGCATTATTCAAACATTTTGGTAGCAAATATAGTAACTTGGCAAATAAAGTGGTTTCCCAAATATGCTAAGAAAGGGAATACCAAAAGAAAAACACTCCCACATGTGGGAGTAATGTCAAGACAAGTTACCTTGTTAACCACAGAATACACTTAGGGCCCAAAGCAAATATTAGTAGGGATTTAGCTGTCAGGTGTTCATCTCGCTTAACAAATGAGTTTGTTCACTCCTCTGCCATTGGAGTAACAACATTCACGGCACAAATGAGAAACTTAGTTCCCAATCAAAGCCAACAGTTACTGTATAACTCCCTCATTTCTCTCAAATTCTTTAATATTTATTTTCCTTCAAATAAATTTAAAGCTTGGAAAAAAAAAAAAAGATGCATCCTAGCAAAGGGCTAAAACATCCTCTTTTGTGATCCAAGACAAGCCACGATGATAAGAACTAAATGAACCACAAGAAACGACCAACGACTTGTTGGGCATCTATCACTTGCTCAGCACAGCCCATGGTGCTGTACGAATACAAAGAGGGTGAGGCTGCTGCCCTAAGGAGTCCATGCCCTAGATCTGAGAGAAATCACCAGCCCGTGTTGCATAGGAACGGAGGGGTCCAGATTTGCAAATTTCACAGGAGTGCAATAGAAGACATATTCCAAAAAAAAGAAGAAAATAAATTACTGCTATCAGGAAAACACAGCATGGAATATGGAGACTTGAAGATAGTACTAAAAAGTGAGTTAAATTTATATCACTTTAAATTGCAGAAGAGGTATTAAGGCAATAAGAACAAAATGAGAGTAATCCTTTCGATGGGAAAGGAAAGGACTACATATGCTATATAGCTGCTGTTAAGTTAGGACCTTTTGAATGCAAAGCCTTAAATAATGAGAATACAATTACGAAGAGACCAGGAAAACATGTGAGCAACTTGCTTTGAGAAAAAACTCACAGTACAGCTATGTCTGAGATCTTCTCCCTGGGCCTCTGCCATTAACCTAACTTGGCTTCTCTCTGTGTGTTTAGTTTTCTCTGTCGCGTGCAATTGTCACATCTTCTCTTCTACTTCTATTAATTCTTGCTGTCAGACTCTGGGTTTGCTGCCATGTCACTGCCTGGCAGGCCTGTCCTCATGCCATTAGTTCATGGCATTCTTTCAATTTCGGCTCCCACGGCTTTTTCCTTCTGATTTCCTAAATTAAAATTCTCAAGAGAATCAAATTGGCTTGGCTCATGTTTTTCCCACGGAAGGCCATGACAGAGGTAGCTATCTGGTGTCCCATCCCAATCAAATCAGCCACCCCAGGAAAAGGAGAAGAGGGAGGACACAGTCCTCAGAGAGCTTTCTCCCCAGCAGGGGCTGTGGGCAGAGCAGTGTCCTTCACAGGAGCTGTGAAGTAGCTAGCAGAGGCCATGAGTGACAACTCGGGTATAGGCCAGTGAGTATAAAAACATCCCTTAAAGGCCAAAATTATGTTTGAAGACTTTACTACATTAACACATACAATTCTTTTATTTAAAAAAAAAAAAGGCTCCTAAAGGCAGAAACCAATCCATGTAAAAAATTGCAACAGGCAGTACCTGAGTCCATGAGATGGGCCACTGAAACATAAGGAACTGTGTTCAACATAAAGAAATTTGAACACTCATTATTAACTGGAAAATTGTTTCACACCAGTGCTTCCAAGCAGGTTAAGTATGTGCAATAACCATCTAATATTTATTTAACACTCCCTTTGTGCCAGTCGCTGCTCCAAGTGAGTACTCTGCATGTACTAGTGCATTTAATGCTCACTATAACAAATTACATGGACATTTTCACACTGTATTTTAGAGACAAGCATAAGAAGGGGCACAGAAGTCAGATCACATTAAATGGTAAAGCCAGGCTTTGGGTCCTGGGTTCAGTTCTCAGTCTAAACCATCAAAATATGCTGCCTCGGTGTGGGGAACAAACACTGCTCAGACCACAGTTGGGCCACAAAGCCCTTTCTTTACAATGTCCTTGTAAAATGTATGTGAATAATCAAAATATCTTGACTATGTTGAAATATTAGAAGAGAAGAAAGAAGCAGAGGTGGGGAAAAGGCTTTATGGGCAGCTCCTGGGGAAGGAACAGTTCCCAGGAAGACTGGAAGGAAACGGAGAGCTACACTGAGGAACACAAAGCCAACAGGAGGAAAGAAGGAAGGAAAGGAAATCTGGAAATGTGGCTGTTAGAAAATGAATGTGCTGGCTGGGTAGTGAGGTCTGTGAAGTATTCCTCACAAGCAAGGTCAAGCTAGACCCCAGAATCAACATCATCCACAGCACCCTAGAGCATACTGACACGGGCCTGGACCTCCTGAAAACTAGCTGTGTTCAAAGAGGGAGAAGGTGTTACATAAATATGTAACCAAGTACCCCATTTTTCAAAGAGATGTTTTCTTTTTTTCATTCCCCACTTCCTACGCAGCCTTTTAGAAATGCTAAAAAATAGCTTTTTACTCCCTCCTTCACCAGCCATTCCCTACTAAGTTCATCCAAGTCCTCGAGAGTTAGTCAATTTACAGACCAAGGCATGCCTGCTATGCAACTCTCACCCATCAGGAGGTTGCCTCGAGAGAACAGTCGAAAAACATTCCCACTACTCTCTCCCACCTGAGGGGTTTAGGGCCTAGTCACACCCATGAAGACCCCAGCAGTCACCAGCTCAGCCGCCTCGTTGATAAGGCACCAAGCTAACACAGGTATCCCCCACCTTGCTTACACCCTCCCTTGACTTTTAAAAGTGCCCACTTTCTGCTCCAAAAGCTAAGGGGTACATTTGGAGGTGGGACACCTGTGCTTCTTCCTCTAAGCTAGCTTTGGAAATAAATCACCATCTTTATATCGGAGCTCACTCTTGTTAATTGCACTCTGCAAGTGGCTAGCGACCAATCTGCAAGCAGGTTACAGATAAGACACAAATGTCAACTTGTAAAACATCAATGAAAGCAGGAGAAAAGTATGCAGTTGCACATAAAACAGCTGTTTAGAAGGTAAGCTCCCCCCTCAAAAGAAAACCTTAACCAGTGTTTTGTTTTTTGTTTTTTTTTTTTAAAAAAAGCCATTGCATATTTGTCAGTATTTTTCAAATATTCTTCACTGAGCATAAACTGCTTTTAAGTAAAACAAAAAGAATGGATGGTACCCAATTATCAGGACAGTCAGGGCTGCAGGATAATGTGGCCATGCTTACAAGTCAAGATTGTCATCCCTGGGCTGTTACTTGAGGATCTACACAAATCACATGCCTCAGGTAGACCAAACTCCCTAGGGAGCAGTGAACCCCAATATACACAGTGGGTTCACACATGTTCTACACTTATTTCAGAAGCCAATGTGTTAAAAGAATGGCCAGTATTCCAACGAGGAGCTACTAGAAGACAAAGAGAATTCTCACAAGAGGACACTGGGGGCCTGGGGCCCGCACTTACCAGTCTGACTTGGGTGGGACTGAGGGTTGCAGCTAGGACATGGTGAAGCCAGGAATAAAAGAAGTCCCTTATTAACAGAAGCTGTTGAACTTAGTAGCAGAACACTGAAAATGAAGAGGAAGCCAGGCTTGATCTAAGGGCCACAGGAAAAAGAGGATTAAGGCGAGGAGCTAGGAAGCAAAGAAAGAGTTAGACTTGAGAAAGTCAAGTATGGAGAGCCTCCAGGGGAGCTAAACTTGTCCCCGAAGGGAAACTCTGAGGTCAGGGATATTTCTATTCATTTTGTTCACTGCCATAACCACAGGATCTAGAACAAAATGAGGCACAGAGTAGATGCTCAATTAGTATTTGTTGAGTTAATGAAGTGACAGACCCTGTCATGATGGCTTTAGGAAGATTCCCCAGATAGATCTTGCAAGAACCCAACCCTGTGGGCTCTGTTCTAAAAGATGGGACAGTCACTGAGGGCCCTCTATCTGGACTACTGCCCTCACCATACCCTAAGGCACTACAGAGAGGTCTTTGATGTGGAGGCAAATCACTGTATGTGCATTTAGGTTCTCCACAAATAGGTTTACAGTTGTGTTACTTCAGGCCCAACACATTCTCCAGCTGAGCCTGAATCTCTCAGACTGGCAACTCTGCACCACCACTTCCAGAATTTGTATTAAAGATGAGATGTAAACGTTCAGATGGTTAATATAAAAGTTTGTTAAATACTCAGAAGCCACAGGTTCATGTAAGACATCTTCAACCCAATTTCTGATGCAGAAGTTAGAAGACTGGTTGCACCTTTTAATTCATCTCTACCAAGTTTCAGAGCTAAGGGCCAATGATAATAATGGGGATAATGTTAACTGTGAACAATGAATGCAATTCACAAAATAAATAGAAATCACTAGTAAACACCAAAAAATGTTTCCAACTTCACTAGTAATAAAAGAATGCAAGTTTTAAATAACAGTTTTTGCCAGATGGCCAACTATGTTTCGAACAATGAAACAGTATTTGCAGGAGCAAGGGTAAATGATCTCTCGCCTGTAATGGTAGGGAAGAAAAAAGGGAGAATCTTGTGCCCACCACTCAATATCACTCCTTTCTTCTTCCCGCTCAAAAAGGGTGAATGTAAATAAGCTGCTATAAGAAATTGAAAATCTCTATAAAGAGATACTATATGTGACATACTTATAGAGAAAATACTAAATAATAGAATGACAGTTGTTAATAGCAGTAGTCTCAACCTTAAAATTTAGCATATATTAAAAACAAAGTAAAGTTAGGTATCTTTTGGAAAAGCGTTATCCTAAATCTCCTTGGCGTATAGCAGGGGTCCCCAAGCCCTGGGTCCCAGATCAGCAGGGGCATTAGATTCTCAGAGGAGCGTGACCCTATTGTGAACTATGCATACGTGAGGGATCTACGTTGCACACTCCTTATGAGAATCTAATGATAAATGTCATGCACTTGAGTCATCCCAAAACCATCCCCCAACCCAATCCATGGAAAAACTGTCTTCCATGGAACCAGTCCCTGGTGCCGAAAAGGTTGGGGACCGCTGGTGTACAGTATAGTGCAATGATTGAGAATGTGGGTCTGAAGTCAGAGTGGGGCTCACAAACCCGTGTCACCAGTGACCAGCTGTGTGACTCTGGGCAGGTGACAATGCTTCTGAGCTTTAGTTTCTTCATCAACAACCTAGAACCAATATTGGAGTTTACATGTTGAATTGCAGTGAAGGAAAATAATGAATCAAATATTACTAAGTTATCCTGTCTGGATGACAAAGATTGGTGGAACCATTAAAAAGAAAAAGGGAAGTCAAGAGAGGAAGCTAATTTAAGATCAAGAAAAAAAATGCATGTTAGCTATTTCAGAATGCAGCAGATTAACTACACAAATTCCACAAACGGCTGCAGATAGAGGTCAGGGCCAGAAATTTTGACTGTCGATTATTTGAAGAAAGGTGATTAAAATTAAATAAGGAATGGTGTTTTGTTTTTTATAGAGACGAGGTCTTGCTATGTTGCCCAGGCTGGAGTGCTGTGGCTATTCACAGGCATGATGCTATACTGATCAGCACAGGAGTTTTGACCTGCTCCATTTCTGACCTGGGCCAGTTGGCTCCTCCTCAGGCTCCCAAGAGGTCACCATACTGATGCCAAACTTAGTGCAGACACCTGATTAACATCGCACACTACACTACAGCCAGGAACTCCTGGGCTCAAGAGATCCTCCTGCCTTGGCCTCCTGGGAAGCTGGGACAACAGGTGCCACCAGGGCAGCTGGCAAGAATAGTTTTTAAAAGGAAAAAGTAGAGGAAATCTAGAGTTGAAAATAGAGAATTAAACTAAGAAGGAGACACAAATGGAGAGCAGAACAGAAGGGAGGGGGCAGAGGGAGAAAAGGCAGCTAAAATGAGGTCCTAGAAGAGTGCAGAACCAGAGGGGGCCCAGAGTTGAGAATGCTCCAAAATGCCAAATGTTTTTAGGTTGTCATTTTTGGCAAGAAATCATTCTATGACAAATCATGCTTGATTCCTGCCTTTCCCTTAACCCCCTACACATTCACTCTACATGCAAACATCCCACGGATCTGCTCACTTCTCTATCTCCACTGTGAACACATTACTCTGCTCCCACTCTTTCCTCCAACCCAACTCCCACACAGCAGCAAAACTTAACTTAAAATATGAATTGGATCTCCTTACTCCCCTGCTTAAAACCTTCAGTATCATTCTGTTGTATTCAGGATAAAATCCAATTCCTTCCTAGAGCCTGAAAGACCCTGCATGATCTGACCTCTGCTCACTCTGCAGCCTCATCAACCCCTAAGCTAACCTAACTCCAGCTTCAACAGCCTCCCTTCTGTTCCTGGAAAAAAAAAAAAATGCCAAAGTTTTTTCCTTCCTTGCAGTCTTTGTACATGCTCTGCCTTCCTCCTAGAATGCACTTCTCTCACCTTCTCCAAAACCCACATACAACCTGCATAAGAAACCCCCTGCCAGCTCTCAGTGGGCTCACCTCCGACAGCCTTTGTAACTGGGGTCCCACAGTTGTTAGTTGTATATAAAGTAGATGCACACAGTGGCAGGATGTGTGATCCATACTTTCTAACTTCAACTAGCTTTGATTCTAAATCGGTAGATTACTGAAAAGACCACAAAAAGACATGTAAGAAATAATTATTCATTGAACAAAGATCCACATGCCTATAAAGCACATTTTCCCGTTACCTTTTTATTACTGATACTCTGGATTTAACTTCATCATTGATTCTCTCTTCCCCTATACACCCATACAACCAAAGGAGGACGAGGACCTTCATGAACTTTTTCTGGACCATTAATACAATTCAGGCTCCAGTTCAAAGGACACTAGGCAGGAGACTGCTAGCATCCTCTAGTCACCAAGTGATATGGGGTTCATTACTCTATTTGTTCAACTTTTTTCAAAATTGATTTTGTGTG
This sequence comes from Homo sapiens, assembly GCF_000001405.40. Taxonomy (NCBI): domain Eukaryota; kingdom Metazoa; phylum Chordata; class Mammalia; order Primates; family Hominidae; genus Homo; species Homo sapiens. The sequence goes on along the minus strand of NC_000004.12, from coordinate 147,807,746 downwards.
CTTTTTTCTTATTTGATTACAATTATGTCTCTGGTATAAAATGCCATTGATATACAGTCTTTATTTGCTCTATTACAAGTTTGATATATAATAATTTGGTTTCAAATATTTTCCTCTTTATGGCCTTTTTTTGGATTATGCTTTTGAACTCTCTATTTTTAGGTAGTCAAATGTTTTTCCATTATTTTGAAGAAGGCAATTCCTTCTGTCACTTACACACTTAAAATACACCGACCTCTTTACGTTCCTGACCATTTCAGAAAAATTCTCTTTAATTTTCTAATTTTCCTACATTTAAAAAAAAAATAATTCTGGAATATAAGTTCTTCTGTTCCTTTTTCTTCTTGTATCACCTTTTGAACAATAGTTTCATGTCATACTTTTTATTACCTAATACAATCACCTATATTTTTTCTTTTTTAGAGCTTTAATTATCATTTCAAAATTCTTAACAATAGTAAGCATCTACTGTTATGCAGGATATTTCATATAAAAATCATTCCTAATCCTTAGAAATCCTACAAGGTAGATCTTATGTCTCCATTTCATGAATTGGGGGGTGGGAACAGACCTCAAGGGAAGCAAAATATGTCACACAGTAAAACCAGAATCAAAGCCAGGTCTCTCCAATTCCTAACTCATGACCTTGCCATTTTCAAAGTTTCATTCTCAAACTGTTCAGCAGAATTACCTGCCCCCACACTAAATGGCACTGGGCTGTTAGGTTTAATTTGACATATGAATTAGGCGTAGCATCCTTTCACCGGGTTTCACGCTTACTAGAGACTTGGAAAACCAATGGATCTACTTCTTAGAACTGGGTGGCAGGGGCAGTTTCGTGGCACCTACAGGCAATGCTATTCAAAATGTTGGCCCCTTTAGCTGGGCAGGATGGCATACACTTGTGGTCCCAGCTACTCAGGAGGCTGAGGCAGGAGGATCACTTAAGGCCAAGAATTCAAGGTTGTAGTGAGCTATGATGGCATCCCCACACTCCAGCCTGGGCAACAGAATGACATCTTGTCTCAAAAAAGATAATATGCTGGCGCCTGAAGGGTTTGTCACAGGGTACCTGCCAGACAAGGAATCTGTATAGAATGTAAATTAACCAAGTCACTAAGCACCTTTGTTTAGTTTAACTAACATTTTCCCACAGCAATACTTTCTTGATGAAAGCAGCAAACTCCTTATCATAAGCAACAGTCTTCAGACAGGCATTGATCTATAAGCAGCAACTCCATCCCCCGCCCCCCCAAAAACAGAAAAAAAGCCCCTGATTACTTAATCTGGTACTATATAATGCCAGATTATATTAATAATGAATTATATATTATACAATATTCATATATAATAATATATGTTATCTGATTACTATAATCTGGCATTACTATAATCTGGTATTGAAACACTTTTGGACAAACTAACACAAAAGTCTAAATGAGACTAACATTATGAAAAGTGAGATAATAGATATATGTAACTATAATGTCTGGAGAGCCGATTTAGACAAATTTAGAGTAAATTTGATCCGACCTGGAAAGCCGCCTGGACTCTGGACACTGAGGTGGTAAGATGGGTGGGGAGAGCTCTCAGCATTGCAAATCTGCCCTGCCTGGATTCAGTCACTCAGCTCCGTCAGTATGTGTGCATGGTAGTTCTTGTGAGTTAAATAAATATAAACAAAAGGCTTAAAGTATGGATTTTATAAATAAAAATTTTATTATAATAAAGGGCTCATTGGGTGGAAAATATTGTATAAGTACAAACATGGGCTTCTTTTTAGCCTTCAGGGTTGGAGAGTAAATAATCTTAAATTTGAGACAGTTTGGGATTATTAGCCCTTTGTGTTAGCATAAAGTTTCATAGGCGTGTTATCCACACTGTATGCAATATTACATGAGTAAGATAGTTAATTTACCTTTTTTATATCTTTTTAAAGAGACAGGGTCTTGCTCTGTTGCCCACGATGCAGTGGTGTGATCATAGCTCACTGTTGCCGTAAACTCTGATCTCAAGTGATCCTCCTACCTCAGCCTCCCAAAGTGCTGGAATTATAGGTGTGAGCCACTATGCCTGGCCTAATTTAAATTATAAATTATTATTTTGCTTTGGTTTTCTAAGAACTAGTTTTTTAAAAAATGAAGAGAAGGGATATGACGAATCAATATTGTTAAAATGGCCATATTGCCCAAAGCAATTTACAGATTCAATGTTCTTCCTATCAAACTACCATTGACATTCTTCATAGAATTAGAAAAACTATTCTAAAATCCACATGGAACCAAAAAAGAGCCTGAATAGCCAAAGCAATTCTAAGCAAAAGGAATAAAGCTGGAGGTATCACATTTCCTGACTTCAAATTGTACAACATGGCTACAGTAACCGAAACAGCATGGTACTGGTACAAAGACACACAGACAAATGGAACAGAATAGAGAGCCCAGAAATAAAGCCTCACACCTACAACCATCTGATCTCTGGCAAAGTCAACAAAAACAAACAATGGGGAAAGGACTCCCTATTCAGTAAACAGTGCTGGAACAACTGGCTAGCCATAGGCAGAAGACTGAAACTAGACCCCCTTCCTAACTCCATATACAAAAATTAACTCAAGATGAATTAAAGACTTCAATGTAAAACCTGACACTGTAAAAACTCTTGAAGAAAACCTAGGAAATACCATTCTGGATAGAGGACCTAGCCAAGATTTCATGATGAAGATGCCAAAAGCAACTGCAACAGAAACAAAAATTGACAAATGGGACCTAATTAAACAAAAGAGCCTCTGCACAGCAAAAAGAAACTATCAACAGAGTAAACAGACAACCCACAGAATAGGAGAAAATATTTCCAAACTATGCATCTGACAAAGGTCTAATATCCAGAACCTATAAGGAGCTTAAATTAACAAGCAAAAAACAACCTCATTAAAAAGTGGGCAAAGGACAAGAACTTTTCAAAAGACGACATACATGTGGCCAACAATCATATAAAAAAAAGCTCAGCACCACTCATAATTAGAAAAATGCAAATCAAAACTACAATGAGATACCATCTCACATCAGTCACAATGGCTACCAAAAAGTCAAAAAATAACAAATGCTGGCAAGGCTGTGGAGAAAAGGGAACACTTATACACTGCTAATGGAAATATAAACTAGTTCAACCAGTCTGGAGATTTCTCAACTTAAAACAGAACTACCATTTGACCCAGCAATCCCATTATTGGGTATATACCCAGAGAGGAATAGAAATCATTCTACCATAAAGACACACATACATTTATGTTCATCGCAGCACTATTCACAATAGCAAAGATAGGGAATCAACCTAGATGTCCACCAACAGTAGACTGGATAAAGAAAATGTGGTACATATACACCATGGAATAATATATGGCCATAAAAAAAAGAACACCATCATGTCCTTTGCAGCAACATGGATGGAGCTGCAGGCCATTATCCTAAGCAAATGCAGGAACATAAAACCAAATATAGCATGCTCTCAGTTATATGTGGAAGCTAAACACTGACTACACATGGACACAAAGAAGGGAACAACAGACCTGGGGGGCTACTTGAGGGTGGAGGGTAGGAGGAGGGTGAGGATCAAAAACAAACTACCTATTGGGTACCATGCTTATTACCTGGATGACAAAATAATCTGTACACCAAACCCCCGTGACACACAGTTTACCTATATAACAAACCTGCACATGTACCCCTGAACCTGAAAGAAAAAAAAAAAAAAAACTAAAAATACAACTACCATATGATCCAGCATTCCCACTATCGAATATTTATCCAAGGCAAAGAAAATCAGCATATCAAAGGGAAACCTGCACACCTCATGTTTACTACAGCAGTAGTCACAACAGCCAAAACATAGAATTAACTTAAGTGTCCATCAATGGATGAATGGATAAAGAAAACATGGTCTATAGATAGATATAATGGAATACTATTCAGCCACAGAAAAGAATAAAATGCTGTAATTTACAGCAACATGGATGGAACTGGAGGTCATTATATTAAGTAAAACAAGCCACACACAGAAAGACAAGTATCACATGTTCTCACTCAAATGTGTGGGCCAATAAAGTTGACCTCATGGAGGTAGAGAGAAGAATGGTGGTTACCAGAGGTAGGGAAGCATGGGAGAGGGGCAATAAAGAGGTTGGCTAATGGGTACAAACAGAGTTAGACAGAAGGAATAACTTCTAGTGTTTGACAGTACAGAAGGCTGACTATAATTAAAAATATTTCAAAATAACAAGAAAAGATATGAAATGTTCCCAAAGCACATGATAAATGTTTGAGGCAATAGATATCCCAATTACCCTGATTTGATCATTACACATTGTATGCATGTATCAAAATATCACATGTATCCCATAAACATGTACAGTTATGTATCAATAAAAAAAGAAAAATAAATAGGCTGGATGCAGTGGCTCATGCCTGTAATCCCAGCACTTTGGGAGGCCAAGGCGGGTGAATCACTTGAGGCCAGGAGTTCGAGACCAGCCTGGCCAACACGGTGAAACCCCATCTCTACTAAAATTACAAAAATCAGCTTGGCATTGTGGTGCACACCTGTAATCCCAGTTACTTGAGAGGCTGAGGCATGAGCATCGCTTGAACCCAGGAGGCAGAGGTTGCAGTGTACCAAGATCACACCACTGCCCTCCAGCCTGGGCAACAGAGCAAGGCTCCATCTCAAAAAAAAAAAGCAATAAACAAAACTAAGGGAAAAAAAGTGGAGAGAGGTTGATAAATAGAATTTACAGACCCCAAACCCTTACATGTCACAGTCCGCACTTCCACACAGCAAAGGAGTTCTCCAAAACTTTGGGGGCACCATGTTTCATTTGGAGGACCACATTTTGAAGGGATACCGGCAAAACAGAACATGCAGAAAACAGCAGGATAAGGAGTCTTCAAGATTGATGAGAAACAACTTTGAGAAGGTAAAGTCACAACATCTGTTCTGAATTTTGACAGATATTAACAAGAACAATTATTAGATTCACCCTGCATGGTCCTAGAGACCCAACAAAAAACCAGTGTAAGTAGAAGTTACAGGGAGGCAGAGCTGGTTTCCTGCGAAGCAGAGCTGGCCACCTGCAATACAACAGGCTGCTTCATTACAAGTAACTACGAGACACAAATACCACTATTTATATTGTAGAGACACTCTGCTGAGGACAGAGAGGCTACAAACATGGTCCAAAGGGGGCCCTGCCCAATGCTAACAGTCTTTGAGTCTGAGCCAGTAAACAGTCAGTACATTGCTGGCATTAATACTACCTACCACCTTACCTTTAGGATCATAGCTCAGCTATATTATGCTTTAGAGAAAACAAGTTTGCAAAATCAACCATCATCACACTATCACTTTTTTAAGAAGCTTCACCCTAACTTCTGAACATCTCATTTTAGCCTATGGATCACCTATGTTGGAGTTTTACTATGAGTGATGGGAAAAGTTCTCCAAAACCCAGTATGTTTAATTCCATTCTTCAATACAGGTCAGATATATTTTTCAGCAAGACTATTAAGTAGGGAACAGGAAGGAAAAACAAAAGTAGAAGCAAAAGGAATAAGTCCATATGGAAAGAAGAAAAACAGAGTCAGTCCATCCTCATACGCCCCACTCCTCCGACCTGTCAGTCATCATTACTCAAGCATCATTACTCAAGCGACATTAAACAGGGCCAGTGTTTAGTCCTATTTACTCTGCCTAGTTCTTGCTGTGCCTCAGGGAGAGAAATCAATGCCTCCCATCCCAGACATCCAAAGAGTTTTGGGATGAGTTCAACTCCGGCTCCATTTTCTGTAAAATCCCTGGGGACTTCAAAAAACATTACAAACAACTTAACAGTTAACTTCTGGGTTTCTCCATTTCTCCATCTCTGCAGCAGAGGAAAAAAAGCTTCATGGAGAACTATTTTGAGAGGTATCTGATGTCTGTGGAGTAAACAGCGATGACCTGATGAAAAGTCCCACATAATGCTAAGCTATGAGATTAATTCGCTTGGGTGGTGCCACCAACCTTCATTATATTCTTTACTCTCTTTGAAGTATAATACAAATGGTGATGATAACCAGTGAGAGAACTTTCTTTTGCAAGAAACATTTTATAAGGCCATTCAAATGTTTTATAGTAAAAAACAGACGGTATGTTATTTTACACTTTACAAAAAATGATGAATACTAAAATTGGAACAAACACAGCATGTTATTCACTCTTAATATAATTGAACACTGGATTCTTTTCCTGTATTCTGAGAGGTTTTCCACTTGATATATAAATTATTTTGTGTGTTAACATTATAAAGCCCAGAGCATTACAGCACAGCAATGGTTCTCTTCTCTTTTCTTATAGAGAAGTCTTCAACTTAGTTTGCTACAAAGAAACAAATAGTGGATTCATTAAGAGGAGTCTAACTCTAGTCTGTGTTCTGTAATTAACGACCAATAGAGCCCCAGGACCAGTCATTTAACCTAACTGGTTCTCATGTTTCCTTACCTCCATAAGACCCCTGAGAGATATGTTTTACTGAACGTAGAAAAATAAATGCTAAATTTTGCTGACATTTTTCATTGCTTTTTAAAATTCCAACATCTAAGAATGAATAAGGCTGGGCACGGTGGCTCACGCCTGTTATCTCAGCACTTTCAAATGCAGAGGTGGGCAGATCACTTGAGGCCAGGAGTTCAAGACCAGCCTGGCCAACATGGCGAAACGCTGTCTCTACTAAATATACAAAAATTAGCCAGGCATGGTGTCAGGCACCTGTAGTCCCAGCTACTTGGGAGGCACAAGAATCACTTAATCCCACGAGGCGTGGGTTGCAGTGAGACAAGATTGTGCCACTGCACTCCAGCCTGGGTGACAGAGTAAGACGCTGTGTCAAAAAAGAAAAAGGAAAAAAATAATGAATGACAAGGCACAAGACAGCATAGAAAACTATGTCTCTCTGCTCCTCCCTACTAAGCGCTATAAACCCTGGAAATAGCAGAGGAGATAACCAAAGGAGAACTCTGAAAGATGGTAAGAAGAAAACAAACCAGTTTGTGACCCCAAAAATGGAAGAACAGCTCAGTGAAACAGTATCTTGCATCCCCCTATGCAAAGTGGTCACCCAGACCCACCATTTCCCAACCCATGACATGAGAACAAAAGGCAGCTCAGGTAGGCTCATTCCTATGACCCAGATCAAACACGAGTCCCCCTCACATCAGATAAGTCCTACACCATCCAAAAGAAGGACCAACCTAAAGCCCCACCAACAATAACTAGGGGAGCCTCGACATATGCAATAGGGCAGACACAAGACTCCCCAGCCACAAGTGACCTGGCCCAGGAAGCCTCTCTGGTCACATGGGCCTAAGACGCCCTTCCATTGCACACAGACATGAGGAAAACCGTGGGGCACAGGTAGAGAGATTCCATCTCAACAAGTGTCTGGCTCAAGAGCTCTCTGTCCCCCACAGGAAGGGGGACTATGCCACAGTCAGGAAAGTCCCTCAGTCTCCAGGGTCCTGAGACTACGTTTCCCCCACTGGGAGACACCTAGTAGCCCAGCCTAGGGAAATCCCTTCTGCCTCCACAGCCAGCAATAACAGCAGGGGGAAATGAGACGGCAGCCCTAGCGGCATCTAACCACCAAGCAGACAAACACCACAAAGGCTCTGAAAGTTAAACTGTCATTGGAACCACAGCCCACAAATGTAGGGCAGGACCTGTGTGCTAAGACTAACTGGGTGGCTGCCTGCTAAAACAAAAGATTTAAATGGGATTCAGAACATTCCCACTGCCCGCACCCCCCCAAAAAAAAGATAGGCAAAATGTCCAGAATACAGTCAAAAATCACCCACCATACCAAGAACCAGGAAAATCCCAAGTCAAATTCCCATTTTAGCCAAAAAACTGACCCTAACCCTGAGATAAATCAGATGTTGAAATTATCTGATGAGGATTTTAAAGCAACCCTCTTACAAGTGCTTCAATAATCAATTATAAATTCTGTTGAAACAAATGAGAAACTAGAAAATCTCAGAAGTGAAATTATTTTAAAAACCAAATATAAATTATACAACTGAAAAGTACAGTAACAAAAACTCACTTGATATGCTCAATAGTAGGATGAAAATGACAGGATAAAAAAAATCACTGAACTTGAGGAAAGACAACAGAATTCACTCTATCAGAACAATAGAAAACAGGCTGTGAAAATAAGCAGAGCCTCAGAGACCTGTGGAACAGCAAAACATCCAGCCTTGTATCATTGAGCCCCAAGAGGAAAAAGAGAATAGGGCTAAAAGAATATTCAAAGAAATAATGGCTGAAAACATTCCAAATTTGGTAAAAGACATAAACAGATTTAAGAAGCTGAGCAAATTTATGATCAGAATAAACAAAGAGAGGCCATCCCAGCATTAGGAAGGCCAAAGCAGGCAGATCACTTGAGGTCAGGAGTTTGTGACCAGCCTGGCAAACATGGCAAAACCCCATCCCGTCTCTACTAAAAATACAAAAATTAGCCAGGCATACTGATGCATGCCTGTAGTCCCAGCTACTCAGGAGACTGAGGCAGGAGAATCGCTTGAACCCGGGAGGCAGAGGTTGCAGTGAGCCGACATCACACCAATGCATTCCAGCCTGGGTGACAGAGTGAGACTCCATCTCGAAGAGAAAAAAAAAAGGACAAAAAGAAATTCAGGCCAAGGCTAGGATCAATGGTAAACATCAATAACTAGTCTTCTGAAAACTAAAGACAAAGAAAAAAATCTGCTTGAAAGCAGGCTGTGAGAAATGATACATGATCTGTAAGGAACACCAATTCGAACAATGGATTTCCCATCTGAAACCATGGAGACTAAAGGAAGTAGCACATTTTTCAAGCGTGGGGGGGTAAAAAGTCTATATATATATATATATATATATATATATATATATAGAGAGAGAGAGAGAGAGAGAGAGAGAGAGAGAGAGAGAGAGAGAGAGAGAGAGAGAGTGTCTCAAACTCCTGACCTCACGTAATGCACCACCTTGGCCTCCCAAAGTGCTGGGATTACAGGCGTGAGCCACTGCACCCAGCCAAGGCTAATCTTTTGTATTTTTAGTAGAGACGGGGTTTCATCATGTTGGCCAGGCTGGTCACAAACTCCTGGACTCAAGTGATCCACCCACCTAGGCTGCCCAAAGTCATCATGTTGGCCAGGCTGGTCACAAACTCCTGGACTCAAGTGATCCACCCACCTAGGCTGCCCAAAGTGCAGGGATTATAGGCATGAGCCACCACACCTGGCCAAAATTATATTTTTTAACACAGAAGATTCAAAATTGTCTATAAGATGACCTCTAACTTCAGAGTTTATAATCTAAGGAGGGATGAAACATATAAAACAAAAATACAAATAATAATAGCAGGTGTTGTATAAGTAACACAGCCAGAGACAACGAAGATGGTTCAGAGGCAGGTACCGATATTTTGGGCTGCCATGATCAGAGAAAATTTCAAAGAAGGTCACAACAAACGGTCCACACACTACATTTAAATAAAGCTACTGAAAGAATGTATCCCTTACGAAAAAAAAAAAAGTAAAAGCAAAACTGAAGAGATGTAAAAGCAAAAAGTATGTTTACAGGAGAGTACAGGGAGGAACTATTCATCTGCCACTTAAGAAACACCTGAACAGGGGACAAAGAAGCATCAGTCACAATTCTTGGTCCTCGATCTAATCAGAAATGCAGAGGAAAATGTAAGAGACAGATGAAATGGGGAAACAGGACAAAGAGGAGAGGGATGGGATGAGATGGCATGGGATGGGTTGGGGTGGGATGAGCTAGATGAGATGGGATGCCACTAAAAAAGATTGACTGTACAGACCCTCAGGGAACATAGCAGAGGGCACAATTAACTCTTTCTGGGAAAGGCAGAGAAGGTTTCGCAGGGTTAAGACTGGATCTCAAAACATCAGACCGAAGTGACAAATAAAAAATGGGGAGGGGGCCGGGCGTGTTGGCTGGCCAGGCGCAACGGCTCATGCTTGTAATCCCAGCACTCTGGGAGGCTGAGGCGGGCAGATCACGAGGTCAAGAGATCGAGATCATCCTGGCCAACATGGTGAAACCCCGTCTCTACTAAAAATACAAAATTTAGCTGGGTGTGGTGGTGCGCACCTGTAGTCCCAGCTACTCCAGAGGCTGAGGCAGGAGAATCACTTGAACCTGGGAGGCGGAGGCTGCAGTGAGCAGAAATAGTGCCACTGCACTCCAGCCTACTTCATCTCCAAAAAAACAAAAACAAAACAAAACAAAACAAAGTGGGGAGGGTACGTTGGACCATGAGAAAAACAAACAACTCCAGACATGCACACAGTAAAATGGTGGCAGTGGAAGGGTGAGGAACATAGAAGGCATGCTGGGGTCAGTGTAAAGACCTGGCTAAGAGGTTGGATCTTCATCTGGAGGGTAATAAGGAGTCATGGAAGAATTTTAAACACAGAAGTGATACCAAAAGAAAAAAAAAATTGAATAACTTTGAGGACATTGAATAGAATTAAATGAAAGGAAAAGGCCACTAGAGGAGAGAAAACCAGTTACAGGCTATTCAGTTCCTTTTGATTTAACAACTTTGAACCCCATGATATGCCATGCTCCAGGCCGGATGCTTCAAACACAAAGATTATTTCCATCACTGTCCTTCCAAACCAAGGAGACAGCAATGTAAGCAGAGAGAAGGGAAGAGAAAGAGGAAAACTACATCCTACAATCATTTCAGAGCTAAAATCAACAAGCCTCCGTGGAAGGGCTCTATGGCATGAGGGAAAAGACAAGAACGAGGTTTTTACATTAGAAATCATAGAATGTTATAACTATGGCCAGTACTAGCATTCCAGAAATAAGGAACAGGCCGGGCGCAGTGGCTCACGCCTGTAATCCCAGCACTTTAAGAGGCCAAGGCGGGTGGATCACAAGGTCAGGAGATTGAGACCATCCTGGTTAACACGGTGAAACCCCGTCTCTACTAAAAATACAAAAAATTAGCCGGGCATGGTGGCAGGCGCCTGTGATCCCAGCTACTCGGGAGGCTGAGGCAGGAGAATCGCTTGAACCTGGGAGGCGGAGCTTGCAGTTAAGCCGAGATGACACCACTGCATTCCAGCCATGGGCGACAGAGTGAGACTCCTTCTCAAGAAAAGAAAAATAAAAAAAAAGAAATAAGGAAAAAAAGAGATGAACCAGTATTTGGGTACCAGACTGAGGAGGAATTATGTACCTCCTCTAAGAGGAAGCTCCGTTGTTGTCTCTTCCAGGAGGGCCCTCCTCCCAACCTCCCAGGTGTCTCCTTCCACTACGCTTTTAAAAAAAATGCTCACAGATATATAAATATATTTTACCACAATGGGTAAGTACACGTGTGTTTGTCTCTCCCACTAGATTATATATTCCCCAAGGGCAAGGATTAATTATATTCATCTTTCTATCCCTATTGCATGGGACCCAGCAAGGTTTCAACAAATGTTCAATGAATGGAGAAAATAGAAGAAACTTAATATTTTTACAAAACTATTATAAACTTATTTTCTATCACATTACTAAATAATTCCTCCTCTACTACAAGAAGGGGGGGAAATTATAAACAAATAGCTCTAGGTCTTCTATTTCTGTTTGAGAAGTCTAAAAATTAATCATGTTCCCAAAAGCAAAAAAACATAATATTGTAAAGGTCAATCAAAAGGAAGCTGGGCATGATGGCTCATGTCTGTAATCCCAGCACTTTGAGAGGCCGAGGTGGGCGGATCACGAGGTCAGGAGTTTGAGACCAGCTTGTCCAATATGGTGAAACCCCATCTTTACTAAAAATACAAAAATTAGCTGGAGGTGGTGGTACACACTTATAATCCCAGCTATTCGGGAGGCTGAGGCAGGAGAATAGCTTGAATCTGGGAGGCAGAAGTTACAGTGAGCCAAGATCACGCCACAGCACTCCAGCCTGGGCAACAGAGTGAGACTGTCTCCAAAAAAAAAAAAATTAAATTAAATTAAAAAAATAAAAAATAAATAAAAATCTGAGGCTCCAGCAGCTCCTCATCCAGTCACCTCACATTTACTGAGCACCTACTACGTACCAAGCACCACGTGAATACTACACAGCTCCTACCTTCAAAGAGCTCACACTCCAGAAGTTGCGTTTGTAAACTGCTGCACCGGAGAATGTTTCGTAAAAATATATCTCCTCTGAAGGACCCACAGAGACCCTGTAAGACTCATTAGCAGGCCAAAGAGCAGAGCTAACCCTCAAGGAAAAAATATAATTTTTGACTGCAGCAGAACCAAGATCTCCTTACAGGAAGTTTTGTAGGAAAAAGGGAGAGGAGGTATAAAAAGACAAACGTAGGATAAAAGGTAAAAAAGTAAACACACTAGTAGTACTCTTACAAGGCACTTTCAAAAGGCAAGTAGATTACATATCAAAACTCAAATGGGCATAGCATGGTGGCTCACACCTGTAATCCCAGCGCTGCAGGAGGCCAAAGCAAGAGGATTACTTAAGGCCAGGAGTTCAAGGCTGCAGTGAGCTATGATGGTGTAACTACACTCCAGCGTAGGTGACACAGTGAGACCCTGTCTCTAAGGAAAAAAACTACAAAGGCCACCCTTGACCGGCAGCTGCTACCTTACAAAGAAAGCCACAAAGGAAATTAATATTTCACTAGCTGCCACACTATATGGAACTGACTATAGTCAACTGCAAAAGCAGCTGGAAACCTCAAAACGTACTTTAAATATTGAATTTTTATGGTAAAGTATGAGTGATAACATGTTGGAAACCACCTAGATGTCTATCAGAAGGGGAACTGGTTACACTGTCCTATACTTACATGATAGAACACCACAAGAACATTAAAATCATGTTTCAAAAAACACTAAATGGTACTGTAACATGTTTGTTACTGCATGATCCTGGGCTACTTTAACATCTCAGTCTCAACATTCCTCATCTGTAAAATGGAGATAATGGAATACTCAATGGCAATGGGAATGAACAATCCCAAACTACATGCAATAGCATGAAACATAACAAAATATGTACCATATAACTCAATTTCCAGAAAACACAAAAACCAATCCCAAAAAATCTGCTACTAGAAGTCAAGATTATGGTTCTTGGGGGCTTTGAAGCCCTGACACTTGTCGAGTGTGTATATGTTCTGTTTTGCTCTGGATGCTACTTACACTGGTGAATGTGACTCATGAAAACCTAACCAGTTGTATACTCATAAAAGTGCACATATATATGTGGTACATTTCAATAAAAAAAATTTCATGGAGATAATTATAGGATCCTCTTCATAGGAATGTTGTGAGAATTAACATTATGTTGCAAAGATTGACATAAAATGTTGCCTGCCTAATCATGAGTGAGTGCACAATAAATATTAGGTATTCTTATAATCCTCCTAATGCTGACAACACAAGAAGCTCTACTAAGTGTTCTCTCAATGAACAAATTTCTGAAGTGAAATGAATCACTCACAACCTCTGCAAAACCATAACCGCTCTGTAAATTTCCTGTGGCACTTACTTTGCACTTTCCACCATAATTATTTGTGTTCGAGCCTGTCCCTCCCCTACACTTACAGCTCCCGAAGGGTAAAACACTTGGCAGTCTTTGTATCCTTCACAACACACACAACAGCAGGCTACTCAATCACTGCAGTCTGTGATCTGCAGAACATTTTAAGAATAGTAGAACTGTTTGAAAATTAAACATTTTACTGGGCAAAATAATGTCCCTTCTACACTTTATTTTTTAAGGTGCTGAACCTACTTTGCAGGTGGAACTTTAGATTCTGTTAAGAATGCCTATGTGTTTCTACTTGTTCACTTCTTCATTCCACAAATACGTATCAATGTACAAAGGTCAAGAAGCTTACTGTTAAGGGGGAAGGCACGTACACAGGCACGGATGATTTGTTTCTGCAAGGCGCCTCAGCAGAGGAGGATCCATGGCTCCGCATTATGTTAACTCCCTGACTTGGTGATTCCTGGACAGTTGAGCAGTATACACATGAAGCCTCAGAAGTGAGGGCAGGCTGATACTTTCTCATTTTAGGAGGGGATCTGAGTACTTTTATTCCCTACTCTGAGTCCAGGCTGAGATGGACAAACTTCTTTGTATTTTTGGCTAAATAGCTATGCGGGGAGATCCCAGGTCCAACTCCTCCTTTCAAGGCCCCATTCTTTTTCTAGATATAACTGTTAAGGCTCCAGGCATTTTGTTTCTCACTCTGATGCAAGTTCAACTCCTAAGATATTGCTCTGAAATTCTGTTCTTTCTTCACTGGCACATCCTGGGTATTCTTTCCAGAATTTATAATCACAACTGTACATTTGTAAAAAAAAAAAAATATATATATATATATGTGTGTGTTATATTTTACCCCAATATTGCTAAGTATTTTGTGAACTGAAACACCTACCATACATATATATACACACACACATATATACATATATACACACATATACACACACACACACATATATGCACACACACACACACATACATACACACACATTTTCTTTTTTTCCAGAGAGTCTCACTCTGTCGCCCAGGCTGGAGTGCAGTGGTGCAATCTCTTGGCTCACTGCAACCTCCACCTCCCAGGTTCAAGTGATTCTCCTGCCTCAGCCTCCAGAGTAGCTGGGACTACAGGCATGCATCACCACACCCAGCTAATTTTTGTATTTTTAGTGGAGACGGGTTTCACCATGTTAGCCAGGCTGGTGACATCAAGTGATCCGCCTGCCTCGGCCTCCCAAAGTGCTGGGATTACAGGAGTGAGCCACCTCGCCTGGCCAACTACCTTGTATTTTTAATACACCTTCAACCCACATTCCCCAGGACTCCTACAGAGAAAGCTCAGCTGAAAAGGAGTTCACAGAGTGAAACTAAAAACACAAAAGAAAAAAATCCCCCATAAGCAAAACAGAGCAGACACTACAAAAGAACAGGAATGAGACCAAAGCCAACACAACAACTTGGATAAATCATAATAATGGAGAATAAGAAAAGCAAGGCCCCAGAGGACCACAAAGAGAACTAGATAAGGAATAATAAAGCTCAGGTAGCATATATAAAGAGGGAAGAGGCCGAGAGACGGAGTGAGGAGAAGCACAGGAAGTTGTTGGTAATGTCTCAGAACCTGATGAGCTCGTAGGTGTTCATTATATTATAAATAAAGCAAATAAAAGGGCCATGCAAACACAAATGATAATAATGGGTTGTGAATCAAGGATTATGATTAATCTACTTCTCTGAACCTGAGTCCCTGTCACCAATAAAGAAGGAGGGAAGGAAGAGGACATGTTATAAATAGGCAGCTCAAAAAGAAAAAGCCTGAAAGGCCAATAAATACGTGAAAAGATATTCAACCTCACTCCAATCAGGAAAATGCAGCATTCAAGTTAGAAACAATAAGGTATCACTTTTACATCAACAGATGAGCAAAAACTCAAAAGTTTCACAATACAAAATACTGGAAAAGATGCAGCTCAACAAAATCACCAGTACAATGCAGAGGGAATGTAATCTGACTACTGTGTAAAGCAATGTGTACTATCGAGTAAAGGTGAAGACAACCCTGGAGTGAAAGACGCTCACGTGCTACCACACAGCAATTCTACTCTCACGTGATGTCCCCAGAGAAACGCACATACACATCATACACGCGTCAGGAGACATGTATAAGAATGTTCACCAGCAGTGCTATTTACATTAATGAAAATTTGGAAACACTCCAAAAATATCTGACAACAGAACAGACTAAGACACTGTAGGACAGGCTGGGCACGATGGCTCATGCCTGTAATCCCAGCACTTTGAGAGGCCAAGGCAGGTGGATCACCTGAGGTCAGGAGTTCGAGACGAGCCTGGCCAACACAGTGAAACCCCATCTCTACTAAAAATACAAAAACTAGCTGGACATGGTGGCGGGTGCCTATAATCTCAGCTACTCGGGAGGCTGAGGCTGGAGAATCGCTGGAACCCAGGAGGCGGAAGTTACAGGGAGCTGAGATTGCACCACTGTACTCCAGCCTGGGCAACTCCATGCCCCGCAGGGAGGAAAAACAAAAAACAAACAAACAAACAAACAAAATATATATATATACACGCGCGCACGCACGCGCGCGCACACACACACACGGAATAACCATTCAATGGAATGCTATATGTTAGGTTTTTAAAAAAGAACTACAGAATGTAGCAAAAAGGAAAAAATAATGTGGCTTTTTTTCCTCCTAAAGTACAGAAGAGGCCGGGCGCAGTGGCTCATGCCTGTAATCTCAGCACTTCGGGAGGCTGAGGCAGGCAGATCACCTGAGGCTAGGAGTTTGAGACCAGCCTGGCCAACATAGCAAAACCCTGTCTCTGCTAAAAATACAAAAATTAGCCAGACATGGTGGCAGGCGCTTGTAATCCCAGCTACTCAGGAGGCCGAGGCAGGAGAATCACTTGAACCTGGGACACAGAGGCTGCAGTGAGCTGAGATCGCACCACTGCACTCCAGCCTTGGTGACAAAGAGAGACTCTGTCTCAAAAAAAAAAAAAAAAAGTAAAGAATATGTACAGTTTGCTGTTATTTTCATAAAGTTTCAAAACAATATACCTTACATTACTCATAAACTCATACATATATAATATGTATAATATGTACACATATAAAAACATATGTGGCAATGAAACATCCCAAATCCACAATAGTGGTTACTTATAGAATGGTAAGGACACAGGATGAGGAGGGGTCACAGGAGCCTTCAACTCTCACAGAGATTTACTTATATTAAAAAATATTTTGACTTGTTTCCTTCAAATATTAAAATCTGATAAGGCCAAATGCAAGTACTGAAGTATTCAGTATAGTATTCTCTATGTACTATGTTTACAATATTTCATCCAAAAGGAAAGACACGACCAGAAGGAAACTTGATAAAACTTATTTGAATATGATAGTTAGAAAATAACAGCATATAACTTTAACATTGGCCACCAAATGTGGGCTACTCTAGCTCAGGTTTTTATTATCCCTTTGGCACAGAATCTAGCACAGGGCCTGACTCATAAGAGGTGCTCAAGTAAATATTTGCTTAATGAACTGGACAAGCAGGTAGAAAAAAGTCGAATTATTAATCTAGTCACCTCTGAATATTTTCAAATGTTTTGTTACATCTTAGAATATTTGAGAGTATGAATAATAATTACTGATACACTGGATCTTCTCAACAATTGAGAACATACTTTCTGCCAGACAGCCCATTTTTTAAAGGTATTACTAGGTGTTACGAACTGAATGTTTGCGTTTCCCCCAAAATTCATATGTTGAAACACTAACCCCCATGTGAGGTGGCACCTCTGGGAGTTGATTAAGTTTAGATGAGGTCACAAAGGTGAAGCCCACCTTATGGAATTATTGTAAGAGAAGGAGACTCAAGCATGTGTTTTCTCTTTCTCTCTTCCCGTGTCCCAAGTGAGGACACAGCAAGAAGGTGGCGTGCAAGTCAGGAAGTGGGCCCTCACCAGATACCGAATATACCAGCACCTTGATCTTGGACTTCCCAGCCTCCAGAACTGTGAGAACTAAATGTCTGTTGTTGGAGCCACCCAGTCTGTGGTATTTTGTTATGGCAGCCTGAGCTAAGAGACTAGGATTTAAAAAAAAAAAAAAAAAAAAAAAAATCCACACACCAACACACCTTTCTGTTCATTACGAACACACCTTCTTAATTGCTAATAGGAAAGGTTCCGATGTGAGCCCTCATAAATCCCTGCCTTGGGGAGCTGATGAGACTCCCACACATCATCTGCATCCTGTCTCCCTGGACCAACAGGAATGCTCTGATTTTTAATGACTTCCATCTGTTTTACAGATGAAGCTTTGCTTATTTGGTAAAGACCCAAATAGGAAGTGAAAATACAAAAGGTCAGAGTTCTGATACCACCTAGCTGTGTGCACTGGGCAGGCCAGTTAGTCTCCATTTACCTGAAAACTATCTAAAATGTGAGATTTGGCCAGGTGGCCAAAGTGTCTTCAGTTTCTAAATCAGAATATTGCATTAGTTAGGAATGTCATTTAAAATATGTCATTTAAAACATGTGGGCCGGGCATGGTGGCTCACGCCTGTAATCAGCACTTTGGGAGGCCGAGGCCAGGAGTTCAAGACCAGCCTGGTCAACAGAGTGAAACCCTATCTCTACTAAAAATACAAAAAAATTAGCTAAGCATGGTGGCACATGCCTGTAATACGAGCTACCCAGGAGGCTGAAGCTCAAGAATCGCTTGAACCGGGGAGGCAGAGGTAGCAGTGAGCTGAGATCGTGCCACTGCACACCAGCCTTGGTGACAGAGTGAGACTCTGACTCAAACATAAATAAAATATGTGGAAAACACAACCAAGTGGCCCTCAGCCCACTTAAATAGAAATGCACCTTGATGAAATATTGCTTAGATAATAATTATGCCATGCTGAACTTAAGCTTACAGTTGAATTGACTTCTCCACGACTGAATGGAAAGCAGCAGATAGTGTTCACAAAAATAGCCTCCTTCCCCAGTGCTCACTCCCAAAGACAGTGGGAGACGCTAAGAGGGGAGGTCACACTCACAAAAGCAGTCACCACCTTGCAGTTTTCAGTGATATCATCAGTTCTGTGAAAATTTCATTAGCTGAAGAGAGCTGCTGCTGCAAGAACCGGATAAGTTTATGGCATGAACATCATGTTTATAATTCTTTCATAATATTAACTGATGTTTCAACCAAAACCTGGTTTTATTCCATCTGAGTGACTTTCCAGATGTTGCTGTACAGCTTGTAGCTTAATAAAGCATGAATGTTTTCTCAAGCATGTGAAAATATCTAGATTTCCTGGTGTCATGGGAATCTGCTAAAGTACTGATAATTAGAGCTCTCAGCAAATACCTCAAGAATATTGTTCCCCATTTTTACCAACAAGAGAGATCAAGCATGGATATCATTTGAGATAATCAGACTGTTTATAACCCACTGTGCAAATTCTACACACCAAATACCGCAAATGTGTAAAAAGGAGCAGAGCAGGCTGGTAGAGGTTAATGGAGGAACCTGCCCTTCCCAGCCCCATGTGCTGATCTCCTTACCCTTGGTCTCACCCCTAATCTCACCAAGGACTGGACAAACAAAAGTGCTTTCACAAGTTTTCCTTCATACCTTCACTGGACCTCAGAAGCACTTTTTTTTTTCTTTTTGAGAAGGAGTCTTGCTCTGTCACCCAGGCTGAAGTGCAATGGCGTGATCTCAGCTCACTGCAACCTCCGTCTCCCAGGTTCAAGCAATTCTCCTGTCCCAGCCTCCTGAGTAGCTGAGATTACAGGCGCATGCCACCACACCTGGCTAATTTTTTTTTATTTTTAATAGAGACAGGGTTTCACCATGTTGGTCAGGCTGGTCTCAAACTCCTAACCTCGTGATCCATCCACCTAGGCCTCCCAAAGTGCTGGGATTACACGTGCAAGCCACCATGCCTGGCCCTTCAGAAACGCTTTTTAAAAAAAAAAAATCAAATTTTTTAAAAGGAGCTATTTATGGTGTCCATGTGGAACGGCAGGGGTGTGTTTGGTTTGTGGATATAAGGAAAAGAGATGTGGAGAGGAACCGATGATAAATCCTAAAGTAAATTCTCACGAAGTTTTCTCACATCCGGGAACTATTTGGGTTTTAAATTCTTAGCCCTGATTTTGCCTTAAGCCCCTTATTCCTAATCCTATCAAAGGTACCCTCCTTATTCACTTTCTAAGTCACAGACCCTCTAACCCTCACAGGTCGGGTGCCTCACATTAACTCCAGTCACGCTGCTGCTGTCTTCCCCCCAGGCATCATGACTTCCAAAGATGAGGTTCTGTTACTACTCCATAGGCTGTGCACACAAGGCGACAGGATTCAGTGGTCACTGGTCATGGCACCAGGTGGCCAGGTGAAATGAGAAGGACAACAGGGGAATTGGTTGTGAGGGCTGAGCCAGGGAAGCACGAAGGCAGTGGGCTCAGACTTTGGTCCCCTCCAGAGCTGAGACCAAAATGAGGTTTTTCTCATTCTAATCCCATCTGACTCAACAAACTGCTGCCAGATTAGTTTTCCCAATTCCAACCACCTCTCCTGCCCAGAGTCCCCCAGATTCCTTAGCTGATCCTCACAGCCTTCCACAGTCTGGCAAGAACACATTTGCGAGCCTCCTCCCCCACCGCTTCCATCACTCCACTCAGCCAAGAGAGTGATTCATTTTCACCTTCATGAGCTTCATCTTCTCCCCCTGCTGATGTTGTGTTCATGTGTTTCCTAAACTGAAAATACTCCTCCCTCATCTGTGTGTTTCAACCCTGCCTTTATTCATTCAAATATTGAGCCCTCACTGTGCCAAGTGCATCTCAAATCCCAAGGAAAAGAAAAAATAAATAAATAAATACTACTTCTACCAGAATGTCACACCTGATCCTCCCACTGAAAATACCCTCCTTGCTTCTAAAGCCTCCAGCACCCGATTATGTGACAACCCTGATCTTCTAGCTTCCACCTTGGTCATCTGCTGAGGAGATATGACTAGTGAGAAGAGCTGCACATTCTTCAGCACACAGGCCGAGCACTCCAGGTCCCTTCACAATAGAGAAGAAAGCACTTCAGGAACAAAAAAGTGACTGACAACATATCACATGCTCCCAAGAGGTGGAGATAAGAAATGAAAAGCATCCTCTAAACTGAGTCCAGGGAGGTCAGAGGTGTGACCCTGGAGAAGGCCACTGTCACAAGAGTGAGGACAGCAGAGAACTGTGGAGCAGGGAGTGTTGAACAAAGAAAGGGCAGGAGGAAAGACAGCACAGGCTGAATACAGACTCATTTCTGTAACCCACCTTTCCTCCACCCATACCCTCAAATAGCTTTAACAGGTCTTACAGGTTCAAGATAGTAATCACTGTTGAATAAATTCCAACACAAAAACTAATCTATGCCATCCCATATGTATGCCATCCCATATGCACGACCTGCATAATATTTACCAATGCTTTAAGTTACCATTTATCCTCCATTATCCTTTGAAACATTAAAACTTTTTTCCTACTGCTGTACATTGAAACTCAACGTTTCATGGAATTTTCCCCCCTTTTGCTCCTGCAGATGGGAAAGTATCTGGGTTAAGGGAAAGAGATCAATGAAAAAGCGGAAAAAGAAAATCCTTCCTACAGATTTTGAGACTCACGCCACTTCTCCCTGCCATTGCTAAGAACTAAGCTGCTTTTCAGGATGCCGCAGCAGGCTCCTAGACTTCCCAGTCTCACCGGGCAGTTACTCAGGTGGTCACATAACCTGAATGTTGTTGTTTCCAGATTCACAAAACAAACACATTTAGAGACACAATTTGATCTGTTTTCATAGTAACATGAATGCAAATCAGTTCTTGGATATGATGCAGCTGCTTAAGAGAGGCTTCCAGGCTCTCCAGCTACCAGCTAATAAGGTTACTTCCTCTTAATAACCTACTTCACAGACCTCTTTAGAGATTTCACAGCTCCTCAGCCCAGGGTCTCCCCCTGTCTTACTTTTAACCAAAAAAGCAACCATGCACCTGGAAATTAGGAAACCAACAGCTTTTCAACAATCTACCTCAGAAAAATTCTTGTCAATAAACACACAAATCTCAATTTTCCCGAAATCAGAAAGAAGTTTGACCTGTAAAAGGAGTTAATACACTCAGTTTTTCACTACTAGAGACTTGAAAAATGTATTTGGTGACAAATTATGAAAATAGGGAGTGGTTTGCCTATCTAAAGGATAAAGAAAATGAGCATCACTTAAGTCAACTATGAGCTATGCCTTTATAATTATTTAGAAATCTATTATATTAAAATCTCAGAGTACAATCTTCCTTATATGAAATAATTGCTGAAAATCCACACTAATTGGCCAAAGTCACAGCTAACAATGACAGAGTGAAAATCAAATGCCTGTCCTCTTAGCAGTACATTTCTTCAAGCAGCTTAGTATTTTCATTTTAAGAAAAAAGAGCTCAGACATGATAATGTTGTAGGGGGAGGGAAGGTTGTCTGGATGACTTCTGTTTGAAAGCATAAACTACATGTCATTTATGTCCTAGATATCATATACATACACCCATGGGATGCTCAGGGAATTCATGGCAGGACTTATGGTATCATAAACATTATCTTTGCAATATTTGTGTTCTAAAAGTTACACACTATTGATCTGACGGGCACAATACAGCTTTCACTTATGCCTAAAGTTCTCAAGGCACCTTTTGAAAGCAACTGGGAATCTGTACCAATACATGTCAAATCCGGGACCAGAGAACAGAAAGAAGCAAAAATGGAGCACTGGATTGGAGACACAACAGAAGAAATAAAACACAACAAGCCATCACTTGAAAACTGGGAAATCTAAAAGCAAAACTACAGCCTTGTGATTTTATTTTTAGATTTAGTGATGCCTGAACATTCAAAAACTCTGTTTCAATGTTAAGTACTAATGAAAGCTAAACAAGTCAATATTCAGAGCTGTTCTTTCCCTTTAGCTTAGATGTTATTCTTTTTTTTTTTTTTTTTAGAAAATAGTCGTCCATACATTTCATCATCTTGGAATCAACTGCATATATATATTACATATATTTTATAATATATAACATATATTTCATAATATATATTTTAAAATATAACATATTTCATAATATATTTTATAACATGTTTTATATTTTATAACATATATTTTATAATATATTATATTTATAATATATATTTTATAATATATTTATAATATATATTTTATAATATATTTATAATATATATTTTATAATATATTTATAATATATATTTTATAATATATTATATTTATAATATATATTTTATAATATATTATATTTATAATATACATTTTATAATATATATTTATAATATATATTTTATAATATATTATATTTATAATATATATTTTATAATATATATTTTATATTTATAATATATAATATATATTTTATAATATATATTTTATATTTATAATATATAATATATATTTATTCTATTTTAAATATATAATATATATTTATAATATATATTTTATAAATTGCATAATATATATAATATATACTATAAAATATATGTTTTATATTATATATATTTTGCAGTATATATTATATATAAATTAAATATATATATAAATATAAATTATATAATATATATCATATATAACTTATATATTATGTAATTTAAAAATTATATATAACTTTATATTATATAATTTATAAATTATATATAATTTAATATGTATTATATAATTTATAAATTATATATAATTTAATGTTATGTAAATTATGTAATATAAAATTTAATGTTATGTAAATTATATAATTTAATGTTATGTAAATTATATAATACACAATTTAATGTTATGTAAATTATATAATACACAATTTAATGTTATGTAAAATATATAATACACAATTTAATGTTATGTAAAATATATAATACACAATTTAATGTTATGTAAAATATATAATACACAATTTAATGTTATGTAAATTATATAATACACAATTTAATGTTATGTAAATTATATAATACACAATTTAATGTTATGTAAAATATATAATATATAATTTAATGTGTGTTATATAATTATATAATAATTTAATGTGTTATATAAATTATATAATAATGTGTGTTATATAAATATAATACACAATTTAATGTGTGTTATATAAATATAATACACAATTTAATGTGTGTTATATAAATATAATACACAATTTAATGTGTGTTATATAAATATAATACACAATTTAATGTGTGTTATATAAATATAATACACAATTTAATGTGTGTTATATAAATATAATACATAATTTAATGTGTGTTATATAAATATAATAATTTAATGTGTTCTATAAATTATACAATACATAATTTAATGTGTTCTATAAATTATACAATACATAATTTAATGTGTTCTATAAATTATACAATACACAATTTAATGTGTTCTATAAATTATACAATACACAATTTAATGTGTTCTATAAATTATACAATACACAATTTAATGTGTTCTATAAATTATACAATACACAATTTAATGTGTGTTCTATAAATTATACAATACATAATTTAATGTGTGTTCTATAAATTATACAATACATAATTTAATGTGTGCTATATAAATTATACAATACATAATTTAATGTGTGCTATATAAATTATACAATACATAATTTAATGTGTGCTATATAAATTATACAATACATAATTTAATGTGTGCTATATAAATTATACAATACATAATTTAATGTGTGCTATATAAATTATACAATACATAATTTAATGTGTGTTATATAAATTATACAATACATAATTTAATGTGTGTTATATAAATTATACAATACATAATTTAATGTGTGTTATATAAATTATACAATACATAATTTAATGTGTTATATAAATTATACAATATATAATTTAATGTGTTATATAAATTATACAATATATAATTTAATGTGTGTTATATAAATTATATAATATATAATTTAACATATAATTTACATAATATATAATTTAACACATAATTTATATAATATATATAATTTAACATATAGTATATAATTTATATATATAATTTAACATATAGTATATAATTTATATAATATATATAATTTATATAATATATAATTTAATATATTATATATAATTTATATAATATATAATTTTATATATTATATAATTTATATATTATATATAATACGTAATATATGTTATATATATTTTATGTTGTTTTTATATATATATGAAAATTTTTCCTGGGTCTTTGGAGTCTTTAGAGACTAGCTGAGCTGTGAATAACTCAGGAATGCTGTCAAACTAACCAGGAAGTCTTTACACACATAAATTTTCCAGAAGTCTCTTCTTTCCTGTTTGCAAACTGGTCTGACCCCTCAGAACAAGTTGTACCACAGTCAGTACTGGGCATCTCAGACTGCTAATATATAAATGCAGCATGCCAGTCCCTGCATCTCAGGACTGGCATGCTGCATTTAGATATTAGCAGTGACTGAACCGATTACCACACAGGGCTTTACAAAACACCTTCAGGTCATTTGACCCAGCGATGTACACAGTTCTCACAAAGCAGATTTCTCAGCTTTAGTTCTTGCTGATGTTAAGACGACTCTTTCTGCTGACAACTGTTTCCACAAAGTATTCTCTAACTAGTAAATGACTCATACCGGAAGAACCCACTCCTGAAAATGTATTAATTTCATGCTGATAATAAAACGCATATGCCATGTGGAAAATGCCACCAGCACTCCATGACACTACACAACTTCAAAGACATAGAGTCTTGCTCCTCATGAAAACTCAACGTAGTTCAACACGCCCAATACATGATCTTTCAACCATACTGTGCCAAACTGTCAATTTTCAGAGTCAAGTATTTGTATGCCTAAACCCCACACACCCACCACAATTAAATTCAGTATGATTCAGTCTCTCTGCAGGACATTCACCTTATGGCAATGTGGCAAATGCTGCACTAGCAATAAAACTGTTCTCTTCATTCAAGTTGTTACTTTGCTATATTACCCCTTTGCAAGGCAAGGTCACAAGAGACATACTAAGCGGTAAAACTATTCAGCGACTTTTTAAAAGCCACTTATTTTACCGTATTTCAGAAATCAATGAAACTCAACTGTCAGTTTTCCAATGTGGAAACTCAGATTTAAAATAGATACCTAGAGTTTAGCAATATGTATCAAGAATTATACAAATCTGACTAAGAATTTAACTATGGAAATACTGACGCGTAAAGATGTACTTTGCTATCACTTATAATAACAAATAGCTGGAAAGAAATCTAGATTAGTAATTGTATGCAATTAATAAAGAAAACTAAGCCGAGATTGCGCCACTGCACTCCAGCCTGGGCGACAGAGCAAGACTGTCTCAAAAAAAAAAAAAAAAGAAAAGAAAAGAAAAAAATGAAAGAAAACTGGTACATTTAGAAGGTGAAACACTTAGCCATTAACGATATTCTTAGTAAAACATTTAGTATGGCAACATAGTCATAATAAGGACTACTATACCCTTTTTTAAAAATGGAGAACAAAACAAAAATGTCATAGTATGAACATAGTTGAGGGTCTTGACAAGGCGGTATTTAAGATGTAAAAGTAGCTCCCCGTATTTTTAAATGTGTATATATGACTTGCATATTCCCCATATGTAGGGTGAGCCTACATCCTGGCTTGCCAGGTCCAGCCCAATGTAAATATGAAATCATGTCCCAGTTTGGTCAAAAATTAAACGGTTGCCACACCTACCTATCCCCCAATAGTTTCTGGCACAATCTTAGCTCACTGCAACCCCCACCTCCCGGGTTCAAGTGATTCTCCTGCCTCAGCCTCTTGAGTAGCTGGGACTACAGGCACAGCTAAATTTTGTATTTTTTAGTAGAGACGGGGTTTCACCATGTTAGCCAGAATGGTCTCGATCTCTTGACCTCGTGATCCGCCCGCCTCAGCCTCCCGAAATGCTGGTATTACAGGCGTGAATCACCTTGCCCGGCCCCGCCAGTAGTCCTAGGTTAGGTCACTAACAGTTACTCCCTAAATCTATAGGGTTAAGTTTCCCACCATCAAATGCAAATCTGAGCCCTTGCGTCTTCTCTCATTCTCTGGAGCGTCTTCTCTCATTCTCCCAAAAGTGGGAGGTGGAGGACAAATGGCTTAACCCACACAAAATTGATGATACCAGCCTAGTGAGGCATCTTCCCTTGGCCCAGTCCACCCTAGGTGGACTTGCTCTCAGAGGATGCCATGCCGGCAGCACTCCTTTAGGTACCTGCTCACCCTGCTGTGTCTCAAGTTCTGTTACTACTTGCCTTTTCTGTCACCCCATGGCTGCTGCCCTGCTTATACCACCCACAAGATGAGGCAGGCTTGTTATGACCTGGGTATTTCCTTCTCTCTGGATAGGCAAGTGACTTCCCCTTCTCAAGTCCCTCTCCATGCAAAGGAGAAGAGGGGAATCCCACAACAGGGCTGCCTGCTCCCTGCACTGATAATACAGTTCAGTCTTTTTTTCCTAGTCTCCTTCTTCCCAAGGCCCTAAAGTCTCAAAAAGACACGCAAATGAGACCAAGCTGAGCACAGCATTTCATCACCTCTATAAACACTGCCCTCTTTCCTTCAAGCCTGCTGACCGGGCTCCCTCCTCCACTATGGTACCATTTTGTTTCACCCTTAGCGGGGCTACTGTCACTCCCAGTAATGTGACCGCATGCAAAGTTGGGGTGTAGCTAGATACTGGGTAGGAGAGGAGAGGTAGGGCAGAATCTGTCACCTAACTCCACACACTGGCATGCTGAGCCTCGGCCCTGATCCAGACACGGGACCAGCTCTGCTCCCAGATCCACCCACAGCCACAGAAAAGGGGAAGTGAAACGAGTGCAGCCATCAAAGGAGTAATTTATGGGTAGCTCACAGATTTTTAATTTTATAATTATGTTCCAACTTTTCTACAATGAGCACATATTACTTTGAAAATGAGGGGAAAACTGAAATAAACAAATCTGTAAGTGTTCATAATGTTCAGATAATTAGAAATTAGTAACTTCCAGAAAAATTAAAGATACTGCAATCCCATGTAACAAGGCTTATGTACGAAGAGCAAAAGTGACATTGTCCCACTCATACTCGGGCAAGACTATAAGGGTGTAAGTGTCTAGGGAAAATTACAGTGAAATGGCTTAGTGCATTTTTAAACAACATTCTTCCATTTAAACCTCAGAATAAGAGGAAATTTCAGGGTCAACAGATTACATATTTAGAATCATGAAAAGCTTAAACATTACAGACAAAACAAAAGGCATGGTACATTCATAGACCCTTCTGAAAACAGGATAGGCAATCATCTTTGGAAGAAAATAACTTAAACTCAGTTTTAAAGTAACTGATCATTTGTGCTCTTGCTCTGACTTCCCCTTTCTGTCAATGTGATCACCACTCCCCAGACTCCCAAACTGAAGGAAATGTTGGGTCACCTTTGCATTCTTCTCTCTTCCTTACCTTCCTCACTGAACATCCAGCCTTCCAATTCTCTCTCCCAAATGCACTCCTGAGATAATCCATCTGGGGGACACTGCACTATGCTACAGCTTGCTTTCCCCCCTCAGGACCCTTCCCCATCTACCAAATTAACTGAAAGGAGATGCCAATAATATTCTCCTGATCAAAATTTGTCAATGGCTTCCCACTGCCTAAAGAGAGTGCCAGCTCCTTAGGCTGGTACTCAAGATCCCTGGGCCCAGGGCCACTGCTTCATACAAGTCACAACGCAGTGCACACCTGCCAAGAGTGGTCCCTGGAGGTGGGTGCCAGGCTGTCCTACCCTCCACCTCTGCTCCAGCATGACTCCTCTGGCCGCAGCTTACATGCTCCCCACAGCAGTGGTTCTCACGTGCAGCCCCTGAACCAGCAACATCAGCATCACCTGGGAACCTGCTAGAAATGCAAATTCCAGGGCGCTACCACAGGACCTACTGAAATGGAAACTGAAGATGCAGTCCAGCAGATGACTGATACACACAAACCCTGGGAACCACTGCCCGGAAGAAACCCTCCACATCTACCAAACACATATTCGCTATTCCCACGTCATGATTTCTACTTTCCTTTTCAGTACCTTAGTTCACAGGACAGCTTCCTCCCCGCCACCTACCTAAATCCTATCTACCCTTCAAATTAAAGTTTAAGTCCTTCCACCATAAACTCTTTACTGGTCATTCTAAGTGTTCTTATTTTTTGGCCTCCAACAGAATTCATTCCCTGTACCACTCACTCAACACTTATTAAAATGAAATGGAGCAAGAGGATAACACTGCAAAGGAGATTACAAACAGATTTTATAAAATGTGCCAGTTTGGAGCAAAAAGGAGCGACATCCAGGAATCATGTGTTAAGAAATACTCTAAGGCTATACCCAGGCAGGAATAGGACATTTTGATTAGCAACACCCCTATGAGCAGCTTCTTGGGGTATGAGGGAGAGAACACGTGCATATTTACTACAAATTTCTCATCCCTGCTCTAGGGCTTTAACAAAACTGAAATATGAAAAAGGGCTGTGAAAGACCCTAAGACAAAACAGACTTCAGTTAGCATAACTTTTGCCCACCATTTAATGCTCTGTGCCCTTGGCAGGCAGGTCTCCAACAGGACTGTGAGAAAGCGGCTCATGTCATGGCAGATCTCGGTAAGTTATGTCCCAGGTTAAAGAGTTGTAGCACACTGTAAACACAATGCATATCTAATTGTTTTCCCAGAATAACCCCCCAATTACACTAGGCCACGTGATATGAGGGGCAAAAAGAGGCATTTTATGTCAGACATCTATCATACAACAGGCAGCACCCACTCTTTCAAAGGTGAGGAAATTCACACACATGCAAAAATCCTGTCTGAGCAGGCATGAAAAAATGCCATCTATTTCAAATCATTTTGCTCCTCTCAGCGCTAAACCGACACTTCTAGCAGGATCTCCCCTGTCACAAACCCATGTAGTTTTTACATCACTGATACCTCCACCTAAAGTATAAGCAACTTGAAGGCAGAAAGCAAGACTTGTCTGGATCCTCATGTCATCTAGTTGAGTGCCATGCATAGACTAATGAACAGTAACTACACACTGGCTGGACCTGCAACGTGCCTTTCTAGCATGAGGATTCCAATTCCTCAAGTTTTATCTCCCCATCTATAGGAAAGAGTGTCTTTAGAAACTTGGATTATTAAAAACACAAAATTGATGGCACAATAAGGACCACAATGTATAATTTCATGTATATTATTCAAAGAAATGAAAAGCAGAGTCCACTCCCCCAACACCTCCTGGTTCACCTTTTACTACTTAGAGAAGGAAACTATCCCTCCAGAGGTATACTAAAGATGCTGCTGGAAATGACACAGACATGAGTCACCCTTAAAGGTCAGTCAGTGTGATCCAGTGTTAAGAGATCTGACCGTCTGACAGGAAGGTTATATCTTTAAGCCTTAGGTTCAACGTGAGGTCAACTTTGGAAATTACACCCTACCCGGCCAGGTGTGGTGGCTCACGCCTGTAATCCCAGCACTCTGGGAGGCAGGCAGATCAGGAGGTCATGAGATGGAGACCATCCTGGCTAACACAGTGAAACCCCATCTCTACCCAAAAAATACAAAAAAATTAGCCAGGCATGGTGGCGGGTGCCTGTAGTCCCAGCTACTAGGGAGGCTGAGTCAGGAGAATGGCGTGAACCCGGGAGGTGGAGCTTGCAGTGAGCCGAAATCGCGCCACTGCACTCCAGCCTGGGTGACAGAGTGAGACTCCGTCTAAAAAAAAAAAAAAAGAAAATCACACCCTACCCAGACGATTCTATCCAGCCACACAGACTCTAGTTCAATTAGCAAAGACAGAAAACCAAATTTCCTAATGGTAAAAGGCCAGAGATACATAGCTGAAACGCAAATCATGCATATGCACCTTAAAACAGTTTAACATTAATGTAAATTTATGTCCAAGAAGAAAACTGACTGTAACAGCTATCAGCATAGCAGTTATTTTCTGCTGCCAGGACACGCCCAGTCATAGGTTGCTCAGATCAGTGATGAATATAGCCACTTATCTCCAGAGCGTCAATGTCACTGCAGGCCACCAGGAAGGAAAGACACGCTCTCTCGTAGGACAGAGCCCACCCCAAAGCTTTTACCATAGTACTATCGTCCTAACGAAAGTCCTCGAAACTCTTCACAGCATCTGGACGAACTGCATTTTGCTGTCTCAGCCTCCAACAGGCAAGGTGAAGTCCATGCTGCGATACAAGTCCCAGTGCACTAAGCTCCCAATGCTGCCCCATGAGCGAGGCAGCTGTTCCCTATCAAACCTTCACCCAACAGAAGCAGCAGAGCTTCAAGTCACATGGGCAAGGAAACAAAGGGAATAGGAGAGTCTCTCTTGTGCACATTTATCAAAAGTTCTAGAACAATGATTTCTAGTCAGCTTGCTGTCTTGGGGGAGCCCCACAGGTAAGTCTCTGAAGGGAGAAATATGCTTCACATTGAACCAGAACAAGTATTAAAATTCTATCACTCAGGCTGGGCACGGTAGCTCATGCCTGTAATCCTGGCACTTTGGGAGGCCAAGGTGGGTGGATCACTTGAGATCAGCCTTTCGAGACCAGCCTGGCCAACATGGTAAAACCACATCTCTACTAAAAATACAAAAATTAGCTGGGTGTGGTGACGCGTTCCTGTAATTCCAGCTACTCAGGAGTCTGAGGCAGGAGAATTGCTTGAACCCAGGAGGCAGAGGTTGCAGTGAGCCGAGATCACACCACTGCACTCCAGCCTGGGCGACAGAGCAAGACTCCGTCTTAGAATTTTTTTTTCCATCATTCATTCGCAAAAGGGCAATTTCCTCATTAGCAGTAGGTTGTATCTGTTGCCACTAGCAGGTCTACACAAGATAAATACACCAGCTACAAGTTAATGATTACGAGGAGGCCATAAATGATTGCAAGTAGTGGTATTTTATATTATCAAAAGTCTTAGAAATCTCAAAAAATTCTCCATCTGAAAAACTGTGGAGCTAACTTTTCGGAGCCTGGATTTAAATCTGGGCTTTGTGCTCGGTGCCATCATAGCCAGCTTACGGAACTTTTCTATGCCTCAGTTTCCTAGTGTGTAAAACGGAGATGTTGTTGTGGGAAGGGTCAAATAACATACATTATATCTCATGACAATATCTGGTATATAGTAAGCATTCTATCAGTATTAGTGATATTATTATCATCATCAGAGCCTGCCACTATCCAGATGTGCTGCATACATGCTGTTTTATACCATAATTCTGTGCAAAAGGATTTAGAGCCCCCATGCCTAGGGAGGAGGAAACTAAGACTCAGTGTGCATTATTTATTTGTACTAATAGGCTGAGTGGCAGAGCCAGAATTCAAAACCAGGTCAGCGTAGCCAAAAAGCCTGTGATCTTTCCATATACCCACTCTGCCTTCTGGGTGAAAAGGAAACAAGGACCAGGGGTACTGACAATAATCACCTTTCTCCTACCAGGCCAGGCTACAAGGTGCTTATTCTGCATATGTGAGAGCAAGGCTTGATAGGCCCCTAATGCAGCTCTGAGGAAGAGTCTTAACTGTCACTGGCCCCTGAAGCTGGCCCCTAAGACAACAGGTATTGCTTTCTCCTAGCAGCCTCTCACACACAGCTCTGCTCATGCAGACAGACCACCTCCATTAGCCTCAGCCTAGGGCAGAACAGCAAACAGCAGAACTCATTTAAAGCCTATTTATTTCTAAAGGCTGGGGACTGGCCAGGAGGAGGGATGCAAGCTTTAGGCCTGGACTCCAGGAGTGAGAATGCTGAGGGCACTTAATGACCATCAGGCCGGTGCGGTGGCTCACGCCTGTAATCCCAGCACTTTGGGGGGCCGAGGCGAGTGGATCACGAGGTCAGGAGTTCAAGACCAGCCTGGCCAACATGGTGAAACCCCGTCTCTACTAAAAATACAAAAATTAGCCAGGCGTGGTGGCGAGAGCCTATAATCCCAGCTACTCAGAAGTAGAGTACTCCTGAGGCAGTAGAATCACTTGAAACTGGAAGACAGAGGTTGCAGTGAGCCCAGATCATGCCACTGCACTCCAACCTGGACAAAAGGGCGAAACTCCGTCTCAAAAAAAAAAAAAAATACATCAAGGAGGAAAGGGCTGTGGCAAAGGATCAGCATGGAGAAGACAGCAAAACAAGTGTTTCTATGTCAGCTGGGGGTCCTGTTGAGACTCTGTCAATGACAAAATGTTCTTCTCATCTCTGCCAAGAATCTTTGCCCCAAGAGGTAATCTTGCTTACCTCTTTAAGCAAGTTCAAGGAAGAAACGAAACACACACTAGTGCTCAGGTAAAAGCATTATTTGAATTTTATACTATCTTCCACAACACACAAGAAGCTTTGTAAATCCTGGGTGGTCACCCTCTCATGAAATAAACAAAGTCACAGGAAATAAAGAGGCTGAGCCCTAAAGGTTATAATAAATAAGTAAATATGTTATAGAATAAAGAAACCTGAGGGGAAGAAAAAGAGATTAAAACTTTGACTTCAAAATTGTCCTTATATAACCCTTGTCCTAAACACATACTTTAAACCCTACAGACACAAACCCAGGTCATGTTTTCCACCTGCACACTCTTACAGGCAAACCAAACCCATCCAACAACATTGGATACCTGCAGAAATAAATTCTGCCACACAGATTCCACTAAGAACAAGAGTTCATGCTTGCCTAGCCTGGGGAATCTTAGATTTTGGCTGGAGACCCCAAGACAAATTAGGTCAGGAATGTGGAACAAATGGAAGTGGATATCAACTTGGTCTGAACATGGTCAAATATAGGAATTTAACATGTACCAAGATAATAAGAGTCAACATTTTTATACAGGGCTAACTATGTGCCAGGCACTATCCTAAATTGCCTTACATTTATTAACTCATTTCATTATCACAACTATCTTATGAATATTATTATTATCCCATTTTACAGCTGAGGAAACTGGGGCAGAGAGAGGTAACTTGCCTGAGATCACAAAGCTGGAGTGGCAGAGCCAGGAATGACTCACCCAGGCAATCAGGTTCCCCAGTCTCTGCTTCTAACCAGATGTGCTGCTTCTCAAATGGCTGCAAGACATATCTCAAGCTTCACTTGACAACAAATCAAGGACTAAAGAACAAAGACAAGGAAATAATCCTATAAAGGGGTTTCCAGGAGCTCTCAAATGTGCCTCTGTTTCAGAGCAGTCCAGGTTCTTAATGTATTGACTCACATTCTAAAGAACCAAGGTAGAGAATCAAGAATCTTCTCTTTACCCCATAGGGATTCCCTATCATTCCACTTTAAGGCTTTTGGTACACAGAGTGCATGCTTTTTAACACTGTTTTAAGTTCTGCCCACGAAAAACAG
Source organism: Homo sapiens (assembly GCF_000001405.40). Taxonomy (NCBI): domain Eukaryota; kingdom Metazoa; phylum Chordata; class Mammalia; order Primates; family Hominidae; genus Homo; species Homo sapiens. The sequence continues at coordinate 147,773,642 of NC_000004.12, read as the reverse complement.
ATAACTGTTTTTAAATCCTTATGACATCATGGCAACAATGAAAATCACATATTGGAAAACATTACAATGTCAGTTTGCTGTGTTATAACTCAGAATACAATATTTAAGTGTACATCGAGTTGATTTCTAATAGATGCTGTAAAACATAACACTGTTTCCCAAGCTGTCTCTGGGCAGCTGTAATCCTAAAACACAGAGCCTTCCATGGCCCCTTTGCTATGGAGGGTAACATTCCAAGGGATGTTTATTTATTAGCACAAAAGCCACTTTCCACAAGATAATGTCTCTTCCCGTGAGGCATATAGGATGCAGCAAAATTCTAACTTGTGATGAACTGGGTGAACTTACTATAAAGCTCTGTAAAGTGTTTAAAAGAAGACATGATAATATATACATACATATGTACATTAATGAAAGTAACGTCACATTAACCTACAAGAAGTCAGCATGTTTAGAAGGGAAATCTGCTATTTTTAAATATTTTCAAATAACTCTATCTTGACAATACATTGTAACAGCTTCTTAATATAAAGTGTCCCTTCTACCAACAAAGAAAAAACTAAAGCAAAATGCAGAAGACATTTACCCAAATACTCTGTACATAAAGTGTTCTTTTTACCACTGAACTCTGGAATGCAGGAGTTCCGTCAAAATCTTTCCTACTTAATTCCAAAAGAGTTCCACCTAACTCCTATATGTATTGCTTTTGGAATTCTAATCAGTTCCGCCCACCCAATGACTCAAACTGAAATACTAAGAGATACGACAGCTGCACTCATCCACCCCACCAAGAATAGCTTTCAGGAAACCAAGCTCCAGTTGGAAAACTACATTTAGTAACCCCACTAGACTTAAGAGAATGCTCCAGGAAGCTTCCCATCATTAATAATAAAAATGCCTGTAAAAACTCTGTAATAACATTTGTAGAATACATATTTTCCCCTAGAAGTCAACAAGTTAAACAATTCTGTGGCCGTTTATACCCTAGGATTTTAAACTCATCTGTTTTTGTTTGGAATTCCCTGGGCGACAGATGATTGCTAATGCCTTGTCAAACATTCAAGAGAGACATCCTCAGAGGAATTACAGTTCACTCGCCACAAGGCACAGGCCTGTGGTACAAGTCTGAGCTAGAACATTAAGTCAATAAGCCTATACTCATTTTTCTCATGTTGCTTTCTCACTCGCCTATCCTACCTTGCTCTAAACTTCCCATCTGTCTGTAGAACTGTGGCTTAAAAAAAAGATAAAAAACTGCAGAGAGGAGAGAGGAGAAAGGCAGAGCAGACCTAAAAATCACAAACTGTGTGATGTAAAGTGTCAACTGGCAGATACACACTACCGCCAGGTGGAAACACGGAACCTAGGGAGAGGGAGCTGAAGTCCACTGCTCTTATCTAGAGAAGTCTCAGATAATCCTGCCAACTGGGAAGGGAACAAGGGCCTAGCGCAGTTTAAAGGTGGAGATGGCACGTCCCAGTGCGCAGAGAGCAGAAGTAGAGAGAACTTCTCAGGAGAGATCCCCTTAAATTAGCATTAAATTACTCATTTAGGGCCTGGCGCGGTTGCTCACGCCTGTAATCCCAGCACTTTAGGAGGCCGAGGAGGGCAGATCCCGAGGTCAAGAGATCAAGACCATCCTGCCCAACATGGTGAAACCCAACCTCTACTAAAAATACAAAAATTAGCTGGGCGTGGTGGCGCACGCCTGTTGTCCCAGCTATTCAGGAGGCTGAGGCAGGAAAATCGCTAGAACCTGGGAGGTGGAGGTTGCAGTGAGCCGAGATAGCACCACTGCACTACAGCCTGGTGACAAGGCAAGACTCCATCTCAAGAAAAGAAAAAAATACTAATTTAGTTGCAAGAGTGGAGGCGAGGAAGATGAGAATTATGAAAAGGGGCACCTACATACTTAAAACACAATTTCACTGACATTTATTTACTGTTTATACTTGGATAGAATATAAAGAAAACAAGATTCTACCCCGCTCTAGCAAGGAGAAAGCTAACATTATGCATGCACTAAGCTCACATGCATATACTATTTCATTTAATCCTCACAACAACACAACACTTGAATGGGTACAAAAAAATTGTGCCACCTAGTATTTGCTGGCACAACAGGGTGACTATAGTCAAAAATAATCATACATTTTAAAATAAAAGAGTATATTTGTTTGCAAGAACAACAACAAAAATGCCTCAGGTGATAGATACCCTATTTACCCTGATGTAATTATTACACATTGCATGCCTGTATCAAAATATTACAGATAACCCACAAATATATATACCTACTGTGTACCCACAAAAATTAAAAAGTAAAATAAACCCACTTGAGCACATGTCATTTTCACTGCTGTTACAGGCGGCTGGACATGTCCCTCAAGTACTCATGTTGAATTCCTTACCCCCCAGAATGTGACTGTATTCAGACACGGGATTCTTTTTTTCTGTTTAAACAGAGACAGGGGTCTCGCCTTGTTGCCCAGGCTGGTCTCAAACTCCTGGGCTTAAGTGATCTTCCAACCTGGGCCTCCCAAAGTGCTAGGATTACAGGGAACATAGGGTCTTTAAGGAGGTAATTAAGTTAAAATGAGGTCATTAGGGTGGGCCCTAATCCAGTATTACTGGTCTCCTTAAAAGAAAAGAAGATTAGGACAAAGATACAGGCACAGAGGTAAGACCATGTGACAAGAGCCACCTACAAGCCAAGGAGAGGTGCCTCAGAGGAAACCAATCCTGCCAACACCTTGATCTCAGACTTCTAGCCTCCAGAATTACTAGAAAATAAGACTGCTATTTAAGCTGCCCAGTCTGTGGTACTCGGCTATGGCTGTCCTAGCAGAATCATACAACTGTCATACAGAAAAAAACAAACACCGAAGCTCAGATGGGCTAAGTAACTTGACTGAGGTCATGAAGCCAGTATGTAGCAGAGGTGGAATCTGAATCCAGGTCAAAATACAAACAAGTCTTTCCAAATTACTTAGCTTGGTACAAAGAAGTGCTCAATATATACTGATTACTTTTTTTCATAACACCACATGACTATAAGTTAAATACAGGATACAGAGATATAGCCATAAAACAATGTGATACAGGCTACCATTTCTTTGAGATCAAGTCTCGCTCTATTGCCCAGGCTGGAGTGCAGTAGCACAATCTCAGCTCACTGCAATCTCCGCCTCCCGGGTTCAAGCAATTCTCATGCCTCAGCCTCCCAAGTAGCTGGGATTACAGGCGCCCACCACCATGCCCAGCTAATTTTTCCATTTTTAGTAGAGACAGGGTTTCACCATGTTGGCCAGGCTGGTGTCTAACTCCTGACCTCCAATGATCCTCCCAAAGTGCTGGGATTACAGACAGGCGTGAACCACTGGCACCTGACCACAGGCTATCATTTCTAAGTGCTGTGATAGACAAATACTACTGTATCAGCAAGTCTACAGACTGGAGTTGAGCTCAAAATTGAGGCAGATTCTCCAATTACAACATTCATACTAAGGCCCATGTGTCACCTGGTCTAAGTCAGTGGTGGCAAGGACGGACAGGAATGGCTGGTGTATGAACACACACTCCATCTCTATGTGATCAAAGATGACAGCCCCAGAAAACTTTTTTCTTGCTTTTCATAGGTCCTTATGCTGTTATCTGGAACATGTGCATAAAATACAGAATGATCTTTCAACACTCCACATTAATTATTCTTAGCTCAATGAAGTACTCCTTATTCCACTGCTAGAGAAAAGTGGCAGTCCCTTCAGGCTCCTCTCTTTTCCCTTTTCCTCCCTCAACACATGTCTTAATTCCAGCCACTGGTTTTAAAACCAGGGTACAGGAGAAAACAGGTTCCATGATAGTATCCTATAGTTTCTTATCTGAAAAGTTCAGGAAACGGGTCATTATAACCAAAAGAAAAAAATATCTCAAACAGATGCCCAACTTTCAAAACAATTAAAAGACAATAAATACATGGCATTAAAGTTACAATGAGTAGAATGTCATCTCTGATGATTCAAGAGGGTTTTGTGGAACCTCAGGGTGATCACCGTAAGTATTAATCATCTCTGTAGAAAGAACTTGTTAACATACGGAAATCCCCGGGAAACAATGTCAGTTAACAAGGAATTTATTACATAAAGAGAAGCAATGCAGCACATACCTGAAATAAAATCCTTGATGCACAATTTTTAATGTATATTATACCATTAAAACCAAACAGAACAGAGAAACATGAAAACCTTAGATGCCTGTAGAATGTATACTTATTCTCTAAATAGGGGATCATCTTGAGTTATGGATGGATACCTTCATTTTTCCTTCTTCCTCAACAACATTTACTGAGTAATTTCCCTAATTACCTTCATTGGTGGTAATTAGGATCATGATGGATACCTTCATTTTTCCTTCTTCTTCAACATTTACTGAGTAATTTCACTAATGACCAGAACTGCTATGTATAGTGAGAAAATGTCTCATCATTGAAACAGATTAGTCCTACCTTAAAGCATTATCCAGTTCCTGAGAGCAATAATGAAATCATGCTGCATAATTCATTTCTGCCCTTTTTTATGTTTTTTTAATTTTCATATGCTGAATGAAGGCTGGACGCAGTGGCTCACACCTGTAATCCCAGCACTTTGGGAGGCCGAGGCAGGCAGATCACTTGAAGTCAGGAGTTCAAAACCAGCCTGGCCAACATGGTGAAACCCTGTCTCCACTAAAAATACAAAATTAGCCAGGTATAGTAGTGTGTGCCTGTAATCCCAGCTACTTGGGAGTCTGAGGAAGAAGAATCGCTTGAACCCAGGAGGCGGAGGCTGCAGTGAACAGAGATGGCACCACTGCACTCCAGTCTGGGTGACAGAGCAAGATTCCCTGCCAAAAAAAAAAAAAAAGACAAGAAAATTTGCCCCCATTTTTAAGCACTTAAATGTTTAAACAAACTCAAAAACAAAGTTGTCACCAAATTTATTCAGCTTCTACAATTTCTACCATCCATTTCTACTTTAAAAGGACAAAAATATTATGGTTTTGAAAAATGAACAATTATTTCATTATGTTCAAGTCTCTGGCTTCAGAGAAAATTTAGTAAGTAAAATTCATTAAATCTCAACCTTTAATTACTTTTTTTTTTTAATTAGGGAGACCACTGTGATGGGGCAAGGAATTTGGCAAGTTACGTTACTAACAAATCTTTAAGCTGATGTTAACAGCGGAATCTTTAGAATTATTTGACAGGTTTACAATGTTTCCAGACACTCAAAAAACCACTAGTACGTTCTTATCAGGAAGTATTTTACAACGTAATAAAGTAATGTAAGTACTGCCATCCTCAGATAGCTCCATGATTCATTCAGCCTGACACTCAGCTGTGGCAATAGTAGTGGGGAGCAGGAACCAGGGGGAGGGCCCAGAGAGGAAGAAGATGCCACTCACAGTATAATTGCACTGAGAAAGCTACTTTCACCAGAAATCTAAGCTTCTCAAGGTCAGGAGCCATCCCTTATTCTTTCCTGAATATTCAGCAGCTAGGACATGGGCCAACCAGATACAGGTATTTATTCAGTGTAAATATTTAAAAGTCATCCCGGAATAGTCCATTAACAAATATATGTTTCATGCCTGAAGACTTATACTGCACCATGGGTGCAGGGAAAGGTACTCCCTAGTATATTCATATATAACACATTTCATAATTTGATAATCTCATATCTTTGCTCCCTTTCTAAAGGGCTCTAATGTGTCTGTCCTGTTATTTAAGAGCTATTCCCTTGATAATACAAATATGTTATTCACTGGTCCTCCACTGCCATCACAATTATTTTCAATTTTGCCTTTTTGCTAGGGAAAGGACTCCAGTTGGACAAAAGCCACAGGTTAGAAGAAAACTAACATGTTTTATTTTTTCAGGTATGTAATCTCATTATATTGCCCAGAGTGGAGTGCAGTGGCTATTCACAGGTATGACCATGGCACCCTACAGCCTCGAACTCCTAGACTCAAGCGATCCTCCTACCTCAGCCTCCCAAGTAACTGGGACTACAGGTGCACACTTATGCCTAGATTTTCAAGACGATTCTTGATAATCTTTTAATATAGGCTCAGTCTTCTTTATAGGAGCAAAACCAGCTATTTTTTAAAGTTATTATTTAGGTAACTCTCAGTCCTCACAATGTTTTTCAAAATTCTGATACTAGACATGCAGGGAAACTAAGTTACCACTCAGAACCCCTATATGATTTTTGCCATGTGGATTAAAAAAAAAAAAAGATAAATTCTGCAGCCCACACATATTAAGGCTTCACTTATGTTTCACCCAGCCAACTTTAATTAGAAGTTAAACTAGTATTTACCAATCTTTGTCCTTTGAGAAAGAAAAGAATGCTTTGAGAAGAGAGGCCCTGGTTAAATAAACTTAGGAACTGATGGGTTTAAACAAAGCTGAACAGATTTCTTTGCTGCTGGATTTGCTTTAACATACAGGTAGACTGGGCGCGGTGGCTCACACCTGTAATCCCAGCACTTTGGGCGGCCAAAGTGGGTGGATTGCTTGAGGTCAAGAGTTTGAGATCAGCCTGGCCAACATGGAGAAACCCCATCTCTACTAGAAATACAAAAAACTTATCTGGGCGTGGTGGCAGGCGCCTGTAATCCCAGCTACTTTGGAGGCTGAGGCAGGAGAATCGCTTGAATCTGGGAGGCGGAGGATGCAGTGAGCCAAGATCACACTACTGCACTCACTCCAGCCTGGGCGACAGAGCAAGACTCCATCATAAAATAAATAAATAAATAAATAAATATATATATATATATATATATATATATATATATATATATGTGAATATATGTATGAATATATATGAGCTCAAAATATATATGCATGAATATAGTTACGTATATAATATATATTTATATTATATATATTTTTTGAGATGGAGTCTTGCTCTATCGCCCAGGCTGGAGTGCAGTGTGTGTGGGTGTGTGTGGGTGGGTGTGTATATACGTATATATATGTGTATACATACACATATACACACATACATATATGTATGTGTATATATACACACACACCCACACACACCCACACACAGTTATACAGACAGCCCTCCATATCCATGAGTTCTGCATCCATGGATTCAACTGACTGCAATCAAAACAATTTGAGGGAAAAAACTGATGGTTGCTTACATACTGACTTTTTTCTTCTTATATTCCCTGAACAATACAATATAACTATTTACATAGCATTTACATTGTATTAAGTATCGTAAGTAATGTAGAGATGATTTAAAGCATATGGGAGGACATGGGTGGGTTATATGCAAATACGACCTTTTTTACCCACCTCAGATGGAGTCTTGCTCTGTCGCCCAGGCTGGAGGGCAGTGGCATGATCTCAGCTCGCTGCAACCTCTGCCTCCCAGGGTCAAGCGATTCTCCTGCCTCAGGCTCCTGAGTAGCTGGGACTACAGACACCCACCACCACACCTGGCTAATTTATTTATTTATTTTTTTTCCAGTAAAGACAGGGTTTCACCATGTTGGCCAGGCTGGTCTCAAACTCCTGACCTCAAGTGATCCACCGGCCTCAGACTACCAAAGTGCTGGGATTACAGGTACCGCACCCAGCCAATAAATACTACCATTTCATAAGGGACTTGAGAGCATCTGCAGATTTGGGTATTCAAGGGGTTCCTGGAACTAATCCCCCGAGGATATGGAGGGATAACTGTAATCACAGCATTGTGTATCTCCAAAATGGGATAGAACATGTCATGAGCTATAGAAGAATTCTGACTTCAGATACTGTTTGCATGAAACTTCTTTTGTTTTTATCGAGACAGGGTCTCATCGTGTCGCCCAGGCTGGAGTGCAGTTGTGCAATCATGGCTCACTGCAGCCTCAAATTCCTGGGTTCAAGCAATCCTCCCACCTCAGCCTCCCGAGTAGCTCGGACAACAGGCATGTGCCACCACACCCAGCTAATTTTTGTATTTTTTGTAAAGACAGGCTTTGACCATGTTGGTCAGGCCTGTCTCGAACTCCTGACCTCAAGTGATCTGCCCACCTTGGCCTCCCAAAGTGCTGTGATTACAGGCATGAGCCACCACACCCAACCTCATGAAACTTCTATCAGCACTAGCATTCTTCAGCAAATGCTCAGAATTGCTGAGTTATATCCCACCTTGTGTTTTAATCAGAAGACGTAACACAATAGACACACCCATTACTTTGCAGTCTGTCAGGAATGAAAATGGGCGTGGCACATTGAAATACACACACTCACACCCCCCCCCCCACACACACACACACCACAGCACACACACCCATCCCTGTTCTAATGTGTACTTTATATTTCCAGGTATGATATTGGAAACACCTGGCTGTGAATTATGTAAACTTCATTCAAAAATATTTGCTAAATAGATCTTAAATGACTCACAATGATAAATTATGCCTAACAAGAAAAACTGAAAATAGCGTGGACTCCTAGATTTCCCCATTTCCCTGTCCAACATGGTCCATCATTAGTCCACAGTCTATTCTAAAAATTAACTTGGAATCTACGAACACCTACAGAGGTTATGAGTTGACTTCAGAGTATCCAAAAGCCCTAAAACTTATGCAAGATTACTTGTACTTGGGCATTTTTGTGGAAAAGCAGCTCCTACTTTTATTTCTCAAAGGGTTCCATGGCCCAAAATATTACTTTTAAAAACACTCTCAGCATGTTACTGAAAAATAAACTTACAGCTCCTCAGCACATCTGTCATATAAAACACACTTAATAAATGTTTACTGGGCTGGGTGCAGTGGCTCATGCCTCTAATCCCAGCGCTTTGGGAGGCCGAGGCACGTGGATCACTTGAGGCCAGGAGTTCAAGACCAGCCTGGGTAACATAGCGAAACTCCGTCTCTACTAAAAATACAAAAGTCAGCTGGGCATGGTGGTGCACGCCTATAAACCCCAGCTACTTGGGAGGCTGAGGCACGAGAATCCCTTGAACCCAAGAGGCGGAGGTTGCAGGGAGTTGAGATCACGCCACTGCACTCCACCCTTGGCAACAGAGTGAGACTCTATCTCAAAAAATAAAAAAATAAATGTTTGCTGAATTTTAATTGATTCCAGATTTGGAGGTTTTTTTTTTTTACCTCAAAGTCACTATTACTGCATGGGAGCCGATGGGAGATCAGCCACACTTCAAAGTCACCTCCCACAGAACAGGCACTTCCTATAGTGTTAGGTGTGCCTGGTCTTCAGGTGCTGTTTACTGACCCACCTCTCTCCTGGCAAGCTCAGACTAGGGTCTCCAGCCTCACCTATCTCCAAGTCTAAAAATATGAAATCTAAACTCAAAGTGGTATTGAAGGCTACTTTCCCACCCTCATCTCACATTACTCCCCCACCAAAATTAGCTCGATCAATACCCCAAACAGACCTTGTATTTTCCCACCCAGCTTTCTCACAAGCTTTATACATTACTCAGAAACTTGCTCACGTCCTACCTTCCAGGAAACCTATCCAACTCTATTCAGCTGATTTTGATTCCCACTAAAGATCAAGAATCACTGTCTGGGCCAGGCATGGTGGTTCACCATGTAATCCCAATCCCAGGACTTTAGGAGGCCGAGGCAGGCAGATCACCCGAGGTCAGGAGTTTGAGACCAGCCTGGCCAGCATGGTGAAACCCTGTCTCTACTCAAAATACAGAAATTAGCCAGGCATGGCGGCGTACGCCTGTAATCCCAGCTACTCAGGAGGCTGAGGCACAAGAATCACCTGAGCCCAGAAAGTTGAGGCTGCAGTGAGCCGTGATGGTGCCACTGCACCCCAGCCTGGGCAACACAGCAAAACTCTGTTTTTAAAAAAAAAAAAAAAAAAAAAAAAAGGAATCACCATCTGTCTATAAAAATTATTCTCAATCCTGACTACATGTTAGAATTACCTGCAGGGTTCTCAAACAAACCAATGCCCAGCCTTCATCCCAAAGCAGGCAGAATAAAATCACTCAGCCAGGCCAGGCCAGGCCAGGCGCAGTGGCTCACACCTGTAATCCCAACACTTTGGGAGGTCAGGGCAGGCGGATCACAAGGTCAGGAGATCGAGACCATCCTGTCCAACATGGTGAAACCCCATCTCTACTAAAAACACAAAAATTAGCTGGGTATGGTGGCACATGCCTATAGTCCCAGCTACTCGAGAGGCTGAGGCAGGAGAATCGCTTGAACCCAGGAGGCGGAGGTTGCAGTGAGCTGAGATTGCGCCACTGCACTCCAGCCTGGCGACAGAGCGAGACTGTCTCAAAAAAAAAAAAAAAAACTATTATCTACTCCTACTACAAACACCACCATTATCATTAATTCCAGCAAACTTGTTTTAGTACATCTCAGATAATGTTTAACAATAGCTAAACTTACAGATTATCAGACCAATTAAAATATAACAAAAAAACAGTCATTTTCTTAAAGGCATTAGTATTTAAGTTTCTCAAGTGATTCTAATACATACTGAAAGTTGAGAACCACTGTTCTTTAGTAGCCATCTTGCAATAAATCTTATACAGTTTTATTATGGGTTTTCTGTTTTCATATTATATAATTAGCTCATTCTGCTTTTACTTTCCTTATGTTTATGTCCTGTCAAAGTTTATGTCCTGTCTCCTTAACCATAAAAGTCTTTTGTTATCCTTCATTACCCCTAGCAAATGGAATCCAGAGTAGATAAGGGCGACAGATGTTCTGATGAGCAACAATCTACCCCACTCCCCATCACAGTCCACTTAGTCAAGTTAAAAAATAAAAAAGCGGCCAGGTGTGGTGGCTCACACCTGTAATCCCAGCACTTTGGGAGGCTGAGGCAGGTGGATCACAAGGTCAGGAGATCGAGACCAGCCTGGCTAGCACGGTGAAACCCATCTCTACTAAAAATACAAAAAAAATTAGCCGGGCGTGGTGGCAGGCACCTGTAGTCCCAGCTACTTGGGAGGCTGAGGCAGGAGAATGGCGTGAACCCGGGAGGCAGAGCTTGCAGGAGCCGAGATTGCGCCACTGCACTCCAGCCTGGGAGACAGAACAAGACTCCGTCTCAAAAAAAATAAATAAATAAATAAATAAAAATAAATAAATAAATAAATAAGCAATTATCTTTTTTTTGCTAGTTCACCTACCCAATCAACTCTTGTTTTCCTTTTGTTAAACCTCCACTAGGCTATAATTCCATACCTTCTAAAACTAATTATCTTTAGGTCTACCAATGCTAAAGAGTATAACCAGTTAGAAATAACATTAATTTGTGGCATACCTAGATTTCAAAAGGAATGAATTTCTGGGCAGGACGCAGTGGCTCCCACCTGTAATCCCAGCACTTTGAGAGGCTGAGGAAGGCAGACTGCTTGAGGCCAGGGGTTCAAGACAAGCCCAGCCAACATGGTGAAACCAGATCTCTACTAAAAATACAAAAGTTAGCTGGGCATGGTGGCGCATGCCTATGGTCCCAGCTACTCGGGAGGCTGAAGCAGGAGAATAGCTTGAACTTAGGAGGCAGAGGTTGCGATGAGCTGAGATTGTGCCACTGCACTCCAGCCTGGGTGACAGAGCAAGACTCTGTCTCAAAAAATAAAAATAAAAAAAGAGGGAATGAATTTCTAATGGAGAATCTGGCAGTTTCTGATCTGGGTGTAAGCATGAAAAGTAGAGTCAAGAGAATGAACAAGAAAAGATGCTGTTGCTGCTGTTACTGCTACATAAAGTCCAAAGCAAGTGGCTACTCATTTAATTCACTTAACTTTTTCTCCTTCGTTTTTCCTAGTAATGCCGTCTTTAAAATCACCTTCAAAGTCACTTAGTGCCAATCAGCACAAAATCTTAAGAAAACTCTACTACTATGAAAGGTAAACTAGCCCGTATATTCCAAATGGGCAGATTTCCCAATTCATTCTGTTTGCTGTTATTTGGTTACAGAATTCCAGGCAATTATATTTTATGGAGAGTAAATTTAAATGCCTGATATAATTGCTAACTCAACAAAAACATTCCTTCCTTTCCTGAAAGACTGCTCCTTCACCTGTGGAAAAGAGAAAGAGATAAATTCAAATATCAAGTTTTGAGAATCAGAGAGGAACCACTAAAATAATGCTTCAGACCCACAAGGTTGAAATCAAATGCTGTTGGCGCCACCCAAAAGTACCAAAGAAGCCACATACAAATGTGAAACATACACAGAACCCACTTGTGGTCAGTACAGCGATTACTACTAAAAGGAGAAAAACCTAGAAAAGATTTTTAAAATTTTAAACAAATTTAACTCTATATAGAGATTACGCCGGGTGCAGTGGCTCACACCTGTAATCCTAGAGTGTTCAGAGGTCAAGGAGGGAGGATTGCTTGGGGCCAGGAGTTCAAGACCAGAATGGGTAACATAGCAAGACCCTGTCTCTACAAAAAATTTAAAAATCAGCTGGGCATGGTGGTGCATGCCTGTAATCCCAACTACTCGGGAGGCTGAGGCAGGAGGATTGCTTGAGCCTGGAAGGTGGACGCAGCAGTGGGTTATGATCACACCACTGCACTCCAGCCTGGGCAACAGAGCAAGACTCTGTGTCAAAAAAAAAAAAAAAAAGTTAACTCTAACTTACAAAATAAACTGCCTCTTTTTACCTACAACCAGCTCTTTTACAGTTCTCAGTTGAGAGCTATTAATTTCACACTCAGCCTTTTGTTCCAATACACATAGTTTGCCCAAGTCTGGCAGGCTGGCAGCCACCCAGGAACTACCATCTCTCAGCCACTGAAAGCCCCACCGGCCATTCACAGCAGAGCAGTTTTCCTATCCCTCCCAGAGGAGACTAACATAGCCCCCCTTCAACTGGGACTTAGGGAAACCAGCCTGAATGAGCCTAAAAGAAGAAATAAGACATGAATTAGGGTAGGGAATAAAGGGCAATGTTCAAAACAAGAGGGAAAAATGGGAGAGGTCAAAATGAGCCAAGGCTAAAATCATGCACAAGGAATCTCTGTGTATGTCCAACAGAGTAAGTCCATCAGAACACCAGGTATGGACTTGGGGGACAGACAAACCCTTTATGTTGAAGGACTACCCCACACTTAGAAAAGTATGGCCCCTCCCCTTCTACCTTCCCACCCAGACTCTGCCTCTCCCCAATCTGCCGCTCTGTCCACAAGCAGCACACAGTGATGTGGACTCACGGGAGCTGCTGGATTCAAACCCTGACGTTGCCAAGTAGAAACCTGATAAATCTGGACAAGCTGGTTAAGCTCTCTAGATATTGACATAGTCATCTGTAAACATTTCTATACTAACTGGATATTGTAACCCGACGCACTTACCTCCTTCAGTTATTGTGAAAATCTAATGAGCTGAGTGTGTAAACCTAAGCTTTTTGTAAATGGTCAGCCTCCACAAATGTCAGGTGTAGATACTGCGTATTATCCTCCCAAAATGGAAGAGTGACAGCCTGAATACAGGGAAGCAGCAAGGTTACAGATGCAAGACCATGGGGCTAGTGGGCACTGAAAGGTACCTGGGCTGAATGGATTTGTACTATATGTATAAAATACACAGTAAAAGGCCAGGCCCAGTGTCTCATGCCTATAATTCCAGCACTTTGGGAGGCTGAGGCGGGTGGATCACCTGAGGTCAGGAGTCTGAGATCAGCCTGGCCAACATGGTGAAACACCGTCTCTACTAAAAAATACAAAAATTAGCCAGGCATGGTGGCAGGCTCCTGTAATCCCCGCTACTCAGGAGGCTGAGGCAGGAGAATCACTTGAGCCTGGAAGGCGAGGGTTGTGGTGAGCTGAGATCCCACCACTGCATTCCAGCCTGGGCGACAGGGTGAGACCCTGTCTCAAAATAAATTAATCAAATTAAATTAAATACACAGTGAAGTCCAAAGACTATCTGAAAAAAAGAGCATGCAAAATATCTCAATCATTTTTATGCTGGTTACACGTTGAAATAATATTTTGGATACGCCAGATTAAGTAAAATATTAAAATTAATGTCACCTGTTTCCTTTTTAAAGGGGGGGGGGGGCGGTGTATCACTATGCTACCCAGGCAGGAGTGTGGTGGCTACTCACAGGCACAAACATAGCAAACTACAGCCTCGAACTCCTGCCCTAAAGGGATTCTCCCACCTCAGCCTCCCAAGTAACTGGTACTACAGGCACATGCCATTACACCTTCACCTGTTTTTTAATTTTTTAATGGGGTTACTAGAAAATTTTAAATTATATATGTGCCTTGCATTATATTTGTATTCATAGACAACAATGACTTATAAATTCATTCTGGCAGTTTCCTGGTTTGGGAAAGTTATTTCACCTCTGAGCCTCTGTTTCTCTAAGAGTAAAATGGAGATAACAGTTCTTCAATGAGACAACATACGGAGTTCTCAGATAAAACTGGTAAGTGGAAGTTTAACAAAGTAACACAGTGTTATCACTATTTTATTACAATAGTTTATTACTATCAGCAAAGTAATAAACCATTTGTTCAGCAAATTGTCTTTGTATCTACCATGTGTTACTTATTCTAAGACAAAAACCTCTGCCTCCATGAACCTTGCATTGAAGAAAATAGACAAAAAGTAGATGCATAAAAAATATACCACCTGTTTTCGGTTTTTTTTTTTTTTTTTTTGAGACAGAGTCTGTTACCCAGACCGGAGTGCAGTGGCACGATCTCTGCTCACCGCAACCTCCTCCTCCCAGGAACAAGGAATTCTCACGTCTCAGCCTCCCAAGTAGCTGGGACTACAGGCACGCACCACCACCCCCAACTAATTTTTGTATTTTTAGTAGAGACCGGGTTTCACCATGCTGGCCACGCTGGTCTCGAACTCCTGACCTCAAGTGATCCTCCTGCCTCGGCCTCCCAAAGTGCTGGGATCACAGGCCTGAGCCACCACACTCAGCCTAAAAAATAATAATAATAATAAATTAAAAAAAAATACACCACCTGTATTCTAACAACCTGCCTGAAAAATAGGCAGGCACAGGGGACAAAGAATGGAGAAGGAATGCACATTTAAACAGCACAGTCAGAAAGGCCTCCCTGAGCAACACACTGAGGCATGGACCTGTTATCATCAGCATCAAAAAGTATTAGCCAAAAGGGGACAGGCTTTCTTTCTGGGGTGATGAATATGTTCTAAAATTGACTGTGGTGATGGCTGCACTAATCTGTGACTACACTAAAAGCCATTGATTATACATTTTAAATGGATGAACTGTGTGGTGTGTGAATTATATCTCAATAAGCTGCTAAAAGAATTAAAATATCAAAAAAATTAGCCAAAGGTTTAGGTTTATTCATACATAACTACATCAAAATCTTTTTTTTTTTTTTTGAGATGAAGTTTCGCTCTTGTTGCCCAGGCTGCAGTGCAATGGCGCAATCTTGGCTCACCACAACCTCCACGTCCCGGGTTCAAGCAATTCTCCTGCCTCAGCCTCCCAAGTAGCTAGGATTATAGGCATGTGCTACCACGCCCAGCTAATTTTTGTATTTTCAGTATGGACGGGGTTTCTCCATGTTGGCCAGGCTGGTCTCACCAAATTCTTTATAGAGGTGGAAAACAGTTCCTTTATCTAATGTAACGTTTATAAAACCAATAGGGGTGCACAAAGCAAGCTATGGCACACGTACCAGGCTTGTATTTGTATGGTGCCTGCCCCTCTTCTCCCTGGCCCTGGTGAGGTAGCAGTCTCGGGCACACCTGTTCTGTATCACAGGTGACTGGACAGGGATGGGCACCAGATCCCAGGGAAGGGAACAGACAGGTTGGCCAATGACCAGCGTGAGCCAGGCCTGACAGCCTCTTCCGAAACAAGGACAATGGTAATTAGCTGGGCCAACCAGATTCTCTTAGGAAGGTGACTGAAGAACAGGTTAAGTACCCAGGTGTGCAGTCGTGGAAGGTGAAGCTGAGGACACTCACCGTAGAGGCCCGTGAGTAAGCCAATGTTCAGAGGAAGCAGAGGCTATGAACGGATGGAAGTTGTCAATGCTACAGCAGATGGAAAGCTGGTAAAGGGAAATCTAGATGATGGACATGGCAGCAAAACTGGGAGGACCAGCTGGGTCACCAAGCCTTCTCTCAAAGCTACACTGCCCCAGCCAGGCGCGGTGGCTCACACCTGTAATCCGAGCACTTTGGAAGGCCGAGGCGGGCAGATTGCCTGAGCTCAGGAGTTCAAGACCAGCCTGGGCAACACTGTGAAACCCCATCTCCACTAAAATACAAAAGAAATTAGCTGGGCATGGCGGCATACGCCTGTAGTCCCAGCTTTCGGGAGGCTGAGGCAGGGGAATTGCTTGAACACGGGAGGCAGAGGTTGCAGTGAGCCCAGATGGCACCACTGCACTCCAGCCTGGGCCACAAAGCAAGACTCTGTCTCAAAAAAAAAAAAAAAAAAAAAAGGCTAGACTGTCCTGTGTTCCCATTAACTTTCAGGTTCTGATATCCAATGTTTGCCTCATCTCCTAAGCTGAAAAGATTATCATCTTTGATTTATATTTTTCCGTAAATTTAAAGAAGCCACTATAGCCCAGGTTCCCTCTGGCATCATTCATTTCTCTCTCTCTCTCGCTCTCACTCTCTCTGCAACTGCACTGCCACCAGCCTAGACCAACCAAGGCCCCTCTCCTCAAGGTGAGCCTTTTCCATTATACCAGGCATTCATGAATGCCCTTCCCTCTTCTTATAATCTGATGAAAAAAAAAAAAACAATTACACAACCTTCTGTGTTGTATTCCCATAACCAGACTGTAAATTCTAATAAGACAATACATTACACATTTGCATTTCTCCCTCTAACTCCCTAAGACCAATAACAATATAGTGGTCCCCCCTTATCCAGGGAGGATATATTCCAAGATCCCCAGTGAATGCCTAAAACCATGAATAGCACTGTAAACCTTATATACACTATTTCTTCCTATACATACAACCATACAGTGTGGATACCCTGGACAAAGGGATGATTCACATCCCAGGTGGGATGGAGCAGGATGGCACATGATTCCATCACACTACTCAGAACAGCACACAATTTAAAACTCATGAATTATTTCTGGAATTTTTCATGTACTATTTTCAGATCATGGGTAACTGAAACCACGGATAAGGGGGACTATGGTATAGTTCATACTAACAGTGCTCATCAAAGACCTGCTGATTAACTGAAGTTAATGGAGAAACACTCCTGAGATGCCCACTCTAGAGTGTGTAACTGTTTTTAGAAGATCCAGAAATGGTTTATTCAACAGCCATTCCAATATTTTATACTCCCCCCACCACCCACACCTTCCTCTACAACAAGGGCTGGACCACAAACAAATTTTTCCCAGACTTACTTGGGGCTAGGGAGAGCAATTAAGAACTGCGGCCCATGAGGTATTAGCAGAAGCTGACTGGAGAGTCCTGGGAAAGCCTTGGATACAGATCCTCCCTTTCTTTTTTTTCTTTTTTTTTTTTTTTGCCTCCTAGTAAGTGGGTGGGTGTAATGACTAGGCCATCTTGCAACCATGAGGAAAAAGGCAAGAAATTTTTAGAATCCTCACCACTGACAACTAGCCAGCAACCACCTACTATTGACTTATTATGTGACAGAAAAAAAAAATTACCAACAGGGTCAAGGTCTAAAAGCCAGTTGATAACTGGCTATTCTGTTACATGCAGCTCTTCTGTTACATTCATTACTGATGCATTGCTCCTCAACACATATGTGAAATAATACAAAACAAGGACAAAATACACAGCAAACAGCCACAGAGGCTGACTCATAATGCACTACACACACACACCCACAACCACTCACACACACCCACACCCCACCTTCTTTCGTGATAGTCCAGCTTCTAAAAGAGCCAAATAGAAAAATATCACCTACACTATATAAGGGCAAGAGAAGGACAAGAGGCAGTATCTATTTAACTGTGTTTATAAGAGCAAAAGTACAGCTACTTCCTAAAATATTCCAGCAGCTCGCCAAAGAAAAGGCCAATGATGTTAGTGTTTTCCAAAACAGCCCTCTCTTTCTTCTTGATAACATGGAACTGGTATTTTTTTTTCTTTCCCTTTTTTTGAGACGGAGTTTCACTCTTGTTGCCCAGGCTGGAGTGCAATGGCGTGATCTCGGCTCACCGCAACCTCCGCCTCCTGAGTTCAAGCGATTCTCCTGCCTCAGCCTCCCGAGTAGCTAGGGTCCCTTCCTGTTTACAAACAGTCAGATGGAACAAAACACCTTGCAGTTTTCTAGAATGAATTAACTGGGAAGAAATGCCATGAACACAGAACGCCCAGACTGAGTTGATCACAAAAGACTGGTTATGTAAGAGAAAATTTAACAAGTAAAAATAAGTAAAAATTTTAATGAGAACAAAATGATATTTTTGTTCTTAAAATAACAAAAACTTCAAATGTTACATCTTTGGTTTTACTTAAATAATAAGTTTGCTTTTATTATATCCTTATTGTTTGGAATGTTTTTAAAGCAGTCATTTTGAAAGAATTTTTTTTTTTTTTTGAGACGGAGTTTCACTCTTGTCGCCCAGACTGTAGTGCAACTGCGCAGTCTCGGTTCACTGCAACCTCCATTTCCTGGGTTCAAGCAATTCTCCTGCCTCAGCCTCTCAAGTAGCTGGGACTATAGGCGTCCGCTAATTTTTGCATTTTTTAGTAGAGACAGGGTTTCACCATGTTGGTCAGGCTGGTCTCGAGCTCCTGACCTCAGGTGATCCAGCCGCCTCCACCTCCCAAAGTGCTGGGATTACAGACGTGAGCTACCACGCCCAGCCGGATTTTAATATTTCTTCAGGGACTTCATTATAATTCTAACAGAAGAATGTACAACTTATGTAGCAAAATCATTTATATTTGTCTTTTTCCTGTTATTTTGCTTTATGTTAAACAAATTCAGTGCTAATGCACATGTGTAACAGTAAAATTTCACCCAAATTCTCTAGCTGGTGAAAGACAAAAAAAAAAATTGAATACAATTACATTCAGTATGTTGAATATAAACTATCATCAAGGAAAGACAACAGAAATTCATCCAAAGGAACTAAATTTCTAACAACCCCCACTGAGCTTTTCTTTCTATCTGGAGGCAGTTTGGGGCCCTCAGTAGTTTTGAACACTATCCCAACTGTGCCCCAGAACACTGACTCCTTTCTAAGCCTGTCTTAACGTTCTGAAGTTTCATCAACTCAACTAAGGCCAAAACAGCTTTCTAGCCCCTTTCACCTCCTGTGCATCAAAGTACTCAGCAGGAATTTGCAAGAGGAACTACAATAGCAACAAATGGTATGGAGTTACTTACAAAAGGCATCGTATGCCTTATGTAAATGACACCTGGAAACAGAACAAGAATTAAAGGCCCTGAATTCCCTCAACTTGCATCTGCTTCTTAGCTTAACCTAAATAAACATTCTAGACTTCTGGGACTTCCAACTCAAACATTCCAGGAGCCAGATGGGTACTGACTCAGTGCCTATGAGCAAGGCACTGTTCTAGACACTGCTGGAGGACGAAAGACAGACACTGCCCTCAGTAAGCCAGGAGTTTACTGGAACCTGGAACACAGGCAAGGTGAGGGGTATCAAAGTTTTTAGGAACGTTAGGTCTTTCTTAGAACGAGTAGTAGCAGATGAATGGAAGCCCCAAACTATGAAATAATGTCACATCATCTTTGCTCAATTTGTTAATCTCTCTAACCACAAATTAAGCATCAAGAGGAAGGACTCTCATACATGTGGAATTATTAAACGGTGCAGCCTCAATACTCTCTCACTCTCATCCCAATGTAAATTTTCAACATTCATGAATACGTGAGCATCATGAAAATAGTTTCGAAAGGGGAAAAAAATCATTCTCTCAAATATAATTTTCTCATTTACTGGTTCATTTCCTTAATTACTTGTTCACTGCAAACAAACATAAGAAAATTGACTTCAGGCCAGGGGCAGTGGCTCACGCCTGTAATCCCAGCACTCTGGGAGGCTGAGGCAGGCAGATCACCTGAGGTCAGGAGTTCAAGACCAACCTGGCCAACATGGTGAAACTCCATCTCCACTAAAAAAAAAAAAAAACCAAAAAATTAGCCAGGTACGGTGGTGCACACCTATAGCCCCAGCTACTCAGGAGGCTGAGGCAGGAGAATCGCTTGAACCCAGGAGGCAGAGGTTGTAGTGAGCCGAGATCACATCACTGTACTCCAGCCTGGACAACAGACTGTGTCTCAAAAAAAAAAAAGAAAAGAAAAGAAAATTGACTTCAGAGTAAACTCAACACTAGAAATGAGCTTCCTGAACTGACAGGACAGAGCAGATATATCTAAGTGGCCGCTGCAGGCATGTTTCATGTTTCCTTATCTATGGTGTAAGAAGGTTGGACATTCCTTCCAGCTCCAACACAGCAGTCAGGAGACGAGTTTTATTTCCAGCTTTCCATACGCAAATTGAGGTTTACTAAATTCAGTATTTACTGGCTAAACTCTGAAATGTTTTAAAACTGACTACAGTGTCTTCACTGATACTATTACTTTGCCATATGACTTTGGACAAAATTCTTAACCTTCTGGGTAGCAGGCTCCTCATAGGTGAATCTGGAGAAAATTTACTTCAGATTAAATACATTGAGAATACCATCACCAAAGAGAATAAAAATACTTCTAAAAATAAAAGGAATGGCTATTATTTGGGAAGAAAATAAAATGGCAACACAGGCATGAGATAAGCAGCAAATTTAATCAAAGGCCCAGATCAGCATTAATAGTAAAGCAGGCCAGGTGCGGCAGCTCACGCCTGTAATCCCGGCACTTTGGGAGGCCAAGGTGGGAGGATCACTTGAGGTCAGGAATTTGAGACCAGCCTGGCCAACATGGCAAAACTCCGTCTCTACTAAAATACAGAAATCAGCCAGGCATGGCGGCGCACACCTGTAATTCCAGCTACTCGGGAGGCTGAGGCACAAGAATCACTTGAGCCCAGGAGGTGGAGGTTGCAGTGAGCCAAGATCACGCCAGCCTAAGCAACAAATGAGACCCCGTCACCAAAAAAAAAAAAAAGATCAAACTGTGAGTACAGATTAAACCTGTGTACCCTCTATTAAATCATTAACAGTAACATTACTTTTTAAAGTCTGCTTTGTTTAAAAGCAAACAATAGCGTTTTTTTCAATTTTTTGTAATGCAAATAAAATAGCACAGCCACTATTCCAGATTATATGAAAATGACTTCCTTTCCTATAACTTTTAATAGCTTAAAGGAAGTTTCTATCACTTGATAGAAAATTTTTAATTTCCCGAAAGTAAGCTTTGCAGACATTACAACCCCACGACTTTACACAAGATAACACCCCAAATCAGATCTGTGAAATACTGTATCAATGACAATAATGCATGCTCTTCTATAATACTAAAGGCTTGGCCAGGCGTTGTGGCTCATGCCTGTAATTCCAGCACTTTGGGAGGCCAAGGCAGGCAGATCATGAGGTTAGGAGATCAAGACCATCCTGGCCAATATGGTGAAACCCTGTCTCTACTAAAAATACAAAATTAGCTGGGTGTGGTGGCGCACGCCTATAGTCCTAGCTACTCAGGAGGCTGAGGCAGGAGAATTGCTTGAACCTGGGAGTCAGAGGTGGCAGTGAGTCGAGATCATGCCACTGCACTCCAACCTGATGGCAGAGCAACACTCCATCTTAAAAAAAAAAAAAAAAAAAAACTAAAGGCTTCAGAAAGTGTATAACTTGCAGGAGCCTCAGCTACCTAGATGAGTACCCTCGGGCAAATGTCAACCTCTCTAAACCCACGTTCTTAAATTGCAAAATGGCAATTATTACGAGATTAACTATCAGAGGACTGCTGTGAGAAATGCTAACTCCTGTGAAAACACTGGGCACAGTCTCTGAAACACAAGTGCTCCAAAAAAAGCAAAAAAAGGCCAGGTGCAGTGGCTCACACCTGTAATCCCAGTACTTTAGGGGGCCGGAGGTAGGCACATCACTTGAGGCCAGGAGTTCAAGACCAGCCTGGCCAACATGGTGAAACCCCATCTCTACTAAAAATACAAAAAAAATGGCCAGGCGTGGTAGCATGCGCCTGTCATCCCAGCTACTCAGGAGGCTGAGACAGGAGAATTGCTTGAACCCAGGAGGCGGAGGTTGCAGTGAGCCGAGATCACGCCACTGCACCCTGGCCTGGGTGGAAGAACAAGACTCTGTCTCAAAAAAAAAAAAACAACAACTATTATCTACTCCTACTACAAACACCACCATTATTATCATTAATTCCAGTAAACTTGTTTTAGTACTTCTCAGATAATGTTTAACAATAGCTAAACTTATATATCAGGTCAATTAAAATCTAACATCTCTAATCTAAAACAATAGTGATCTACTCATTGTTTGTTTTTTTTGTTTTTGGTTTTGAGGTGGCGTCTCACTCGGTTGCCCAGGCTGGAGTGCAGTGGCCAGATCTGGGCTCACTGCAACCTCTGCCTTCCGGGTTCAAGAGATTCTCCTGCCTCAGCCTCCCACGTAGATGGGACTATAGGCACGCACCATCACACCCGGCTAATTTTTATATTTTTTAGCAGAGATGGGGTTTCACCATGTTGATCAGGCTAGTCTCCAACTCCTGACCTCACGCGACCTGCCCACAATGAGCCCTCCAAAGCTCATTGTTTTAAATTGAAGATATTTTATGGCCGGGCACCAGTGGCTCACGCCTGTAATCACAGCACTTTGGGAGGCTGAGGCAGGCGGATCACGAGGTCAGGAGTTTGATGCCAGCCTGGCCAATATGGTGAAACCCCATCTCTACTAAAAAATACAAAAATTAGCCAGGCGTGGTGGTGCGTGACTGTAGTCCCAGCTACTCAGGAGGCTGAGGCAGGAGAATCGCTTGAACCCAGGAGGCGGAGGTTGCAGTGAGCTGAGATCACGCCACTGCACTCCAGCCTGGGTTACAGAGTGAGATTACAACCCCCCCCAAAAAAAAAAAAAGATATTTTATATGTACTTCCATTTAAGCAAATCCAACACATAAAAACGGATATTAATGCACACAAAACAAATAGGTTGGGTGATGACTATTCCCTTTAAAGAAATCATCACCAATCCCTCTTAATTTAGTTATATGTAAACTACGATTAGATTATGCACACACAAACACAATGCACACACACAAAGCTGAATTATGTATTAATCCCGTTCCATTCTTTCTTCCTAATGTACACTCTGACTTTTGGTATGCATTCATTAAACTGACGCCACAGTCAGAAAGAAATTAAACACCTCCCTTCATTCTAGGTGACCCTCCAACACCTTCCAAGGGTCAAATGCTCCCTGATGCATTCACTTCCACCATGGTACAACTCCCTCTCCACTCCTTTCCATTTTGTTCTCACTGCATACATTAAACCGAGAAACTGTGTTGACTCAAAACTACACTTTCAAATTTAAAGCTTTTGGAATGAAAATTTTAAGGTCAAAAAATACAAAGGTCTTTACAAAGTTGCCTCTTTGTTTTCTGGACAAAGAAGCACTTTTTAAAATCTTTTTGTTCTTTGCTTGTCAAGATAAATCAGTCCTGCCACACTCAGGTAAACACTGCCAAAAAGCACTCAACCATCTTATTGCAAACAAAACACTGTTCGCTGTGGTTAAGTGATACATTCTGTTTCTGGATACATGGCTGTTCATCAACAGGTTAATTTGCATAGCCATTCAAGCCTTTTAGACAGTATCAATTAAGCCACAACAGTCGATTCTAAAAGATTTCAGAGTTTACATAACAAATATTTAGTTTGACCGTCTCAGTTCTCTTATTGCAATGAACAGAAAATAGTGCAAATAGCTACCTACTGTCAAATCCTTACGTTGGATTTTATCCTGCATACACAATAAACTCGAAAGATGGAAAATATTTCCAGAGACTATAATACAGTTTCAGAAGAAAATAATTTAGACAACTTTTCTAGATGCTTAAAGGATTTCTCAATTGATTTCAAATTTAAAATTAAATCAAGAACATACAAAATTAGAAAATACATATGTTCTAATTTCCATTCAAGAAATGTTTTCTTTGTTTAAAGGTAAAAAGAATGTAAAATTATTCAATCCATTCTGCTGGATTAATGATACCCACAAAAATTAGTTTTTCTTAACAATGCTTTGTTTCTTCAAAAATAAATAGGAGAACTATCAGTGTCAGAAATTTAAATTAAGCCAGTAAACTGCTATTTAATTCTTTAAATATTTTCTTGGCCTACAACAAGCTAAGGTGTTATAAATATTAAGTATTTTAATCTAAATTTTTTCCTCTGGTCAGGGGTTCTATTATAAGGCATAGATACCTCACTGTGCCAACAACCTTGTCCTTGTATCCAGGCAAGCTACAGGAATCACAGTCTTCATTTCCACCCTCTTGCCAATTTCATCTCTCTCACCTCCTCTATTATGGTTAAAATTAATCAACCAAGCAACGGGGAAAAAAATAGAAGGCATACTTATTTTGACTGTTTTCATATAGTCCTCATTTGTTTTGCCATGTGCAGTCCCTAGGCCCAGATCAAAACAGGTCTAATAAAGTGAGTTTCAAAAGTAAAAGTTATCTTATGTATAGGACATCAGCTTTCTTTTTTTAAGACACAGGGTCTCACTCTGCTGCCCAGGCTGGAATACAGTGGCATGATCACAGCTCACTGCAGCATCAATCTCCCGGATTCAAGCAATCCTCCCACCTCAGCCTCCCAAGTAGCTAGGACTACAGGTGTGTGCCCCCACGCCCCCAACCCTGTTTTTAGAAATAGGGTCTATGTTGCCCAGGCTGGTCTCAAACTCCTAACCTTAAGCAATCCTCCTGCCTCAGCCTCCCAAATTGCTGGAATTACAGGCCTGAGCCACAGTGCCCAGCCTATCTACTGCTTTTTGTGTGTTTAATGTACATATCTTGATGTGTTTGCAGATAAGCATACACCTGTGAAACCATCAAGCCACCATCATTATCAATGCTATCACATCCAAAAGTTTCCTCCCACTCCCTGTATCATTTTGTTTTTGTTTTCTTTTCCCTTTGTGGAAAGAGCACTTAATATAAGATCTACCCTCTTAGGAAAATTGTAAGTATACAATATTGTTAATCATATGCTCCATATTATACAGATCTCCAGATCTTATTTTCTAAAACTAAAACTTGGTACAAGACATCAGCTTTTTTTTACTAGTTTCTATACCCTTTGTTGTGAGCTGTGGCATTCTGTCCGAGCAATCACTTGCTGCCCACTTCTTCACCCGACTGGTAGGCACATGATTCAGGCTGGCCAAAGTACAACATCCACCACATCTCAGTGACTGGTCTATGCCGGGCAAGTGACCCAGGACTGATAAGGCCTTTATGTAGAGCAACCACAGGTCCAGGTATACTTGTAGCAATTCCAGTTCATGGTTATTGTCTTAGCATAACTGTACTTCTCAAGAGTATCTGGGTTTAGATTACATGGGCTCCCTATTTCTAAGGCAGAGTTTCTCAACCTCAGCACTACGAACATTTGGGGCTGGATCATTCTTCATTGTAGGGGAGCTGTCCTGTGCACTGCAGGGTGTTTAGCAGCATCACTGGCCTCTGCCCGCTAGAAACCATAGCATCTCCCTAAAGTAACAACCAAAATTGTCTCTAGACAGTCAAAATCACCCATTTGAGAACCACTGGTCTAGGGAAAAAGAGTCAGTATTCTCTGGAATTCCCAGTGCAGTAAGAAAGGTCTTTAGTCTTCAGTCTTCACCCACAAGCCAAAATTTCTTTTTTTTTTCTTTTGCTTCAACAAGGTTTTAGTCTGATTCCTCTCACTGACAGCTGAAATAAATGAGCATCCATAGTATTTTTATAACAATAATCTGAAGAAAGGGGAAGAAAAAGTTCAGATTAATTTTTAAACTCTATCCTTTCCACAAAAAAACAGGACACCAACTCTAGCTCTAGAAACACATGCAAAGAACTTCTCCACTCATATCCTCCCTCTGAAGCATCTGAAGGTCTCCACACTCCACATCCCTGAAGGGATGCTGTGTGGCCACCTCCATGGCGGTCAGGGTGTCCAGCCCTGAAGGGAAGACAAGGGCTATCTGCATACCACCCACTGATGGGTATCTTTTGTAAGCATTTATTTCTTCTAGGCATTGTTTCTTCAACTAGGTTGAACCTAAGTAGTTAGCTAGAAAAGAGCAAGAGAAGATATTTTTAGATAATAGATAATTATTCCATTTTTAACTCTTACAATTTCTATTCCTCCTCTTCTCTTGGACAAAGAGGCAGACACTTGGAAGTCCTACAATCTTCCCAGGTGCTGCCAGAGGCATTTTATTCCCTGTAGACATCCAAAGAGAATCAGCATGACTCCGGTGAGATAAAAGAGAAAATCGGTTTTAATACTTTGGGGGAAAAAAAAAAAAGATGAAGGACCGTTTGGGTCTTTTAAGTGCAACAGAACAAAGTGTGAAATAAAGCCTGAAACAGCGGCCTTTCTGGGTATCATGAGGGTTGTTTACCCAAACATTTAACTCCTTTTTCTCCCCTAACCCCATTACCTCTTCTCAGCTTAACATCTGTATGCCATCCCACTCAGTTCAAACAGACTATGAGGAAAACCACTCTTACAAGTCATGTAGTATTAATATCAACCAGAAAAAGAATGTGGTGGGGGAGAGATTAAAACAGAATTACTGAATCTTGTCATCTACCTCAGGGAAAATAAATCCATCAGTTGACAGTTTCCTCGATGTCCTGCCATAAATCTACAATTTGAGTGTGTAGACATCATTTACCATCTCCTCTGTCATGAAACAGGTGAAAGGTACACCCTCCCACCACTTCTTCACCTAGAATATGAATCCCACCTTCTATATTAAGAAGCACGCTGCCAGGCACGGTGGCTCACACCTACAATCCCAGCACTTTGGGAAGCTGAGGTGGGCGGATCAGCTGAGGTCAGGAGTTCAAGACCAGCCTGGCCAACATGGTGAAACCCCGTCTCTACTAAAAATACAAAAATTAACGGGGAGTGGTGGCAAGCGAGCTACTCAGGAGGCTGAGACAGGAGAATCACTTGAACCCAGGAGGTGGAGGTTGCAGTGAGCCAAGATCGCGCCGCTGCATTCCAGCCTGGGCAAAGAGCAAAACTCCATCTCAAAAAAAAAAAAAAAGCAGGCCTGGCGCAGTGACTCACACCTGTAACTCCAGCACTTTGGGAGGCCAAGGCGGGCGGATCACAAGGTTAAGAGATCAAGACCATCCTGGCCAACATGGTGAAACCTCGTCTCTACTAAAAATACAAAAATTAGCTGGGCATGGTGGTGCATGCCTGTAGTCCCAGCTACTCGGGAGGCTGAGGCAGAAGAATCGCTTTAACCCCGGAGGCAGAGGATGCAGTGAGCCAAGATCACGCCACAGCACTCCAGCCTGGCGACAGAGTGAGACTCTGTCTCAAAATAATTAAATAAATAAATAAGAAGCACTTTGTGGCAGGGCACGGTGCCTCACGCCTGTAATCCCAGCACTTTGGGAGGCAGAGGCGGGAAGATCACGAGGTCAGGAGTTCGAGATAAGCCTGACCAACATGGTGAAACCCCATCTCTACTAAAAAGATGCAAAAAATTAGCCAGGTGTGGTGGTGCACACCGGTAATCCCAGCTACTCAGGAGGCTGAGGCAGGAGAATCGCTTGAACCTGGGAAGTGGAGGTTGCCGTGAACCGAGATCACGCCACTGCACCCAGCCTACGCAACAACAGCGAAACTCCATCTCAAAAAAAAAAAAAAGGCCGGGCACAGTGGCTCACACCTGTAATCCCAGCACTTTGGGAGGCCGAGGCGGGCAGATCAAGAGGTCAGGAGATGGAGACCATCCTGGCTAACACGGTGAAACCCCGTCTCTACTAAAAATACAAAAAATTAGCAGGGCGTGGTTGTGGGCGCCTGTAGTCCCAGCTACTCGGGAGGCTGAGGCAGGAGAATGGCGTGAACCCAGGAGGCGGGGCTTGCAGTGAGCTGAGATTGCGCCACTGCACTCCAGCCTGGGTGACACAGCGAGACTCCGTCTCAAAACAAACAAACAAACAAACAAACACTTTGTGCTCTGAGATGGACCCCTGAATCTTCCATCTCCTCCTCTCCCACTGACCACGTAATCTGGGTCTACAGCCACACCACCCTGAACACATTCAACCCTGTCTGATCTCAGATGCTAAGCAGGGTCAAGCCTGCTTGAAGACAGGGTTGAATGTTTTGAAGTATTTGGATGGCAGGCCAAATAATTTAGGAGAGCTATCCGTACCCAAGTTCACTGACTTTCCTCACACTCCCTTCTCAGCCCTCTGCAAGCAGGCTCCCAGTTCTGCTTGGCCACCTAAACTACTCTCCCACTATTACCAATGACAGTGTGTGGCCAACACAATGTCACCTTGACTCAAGCTACTTGACCTCTCTGTGGCATGGCCTTGTCTACTCCCTCCTGCTCTCTGAACACTCTTTCTCCTTGGCTTTTGAGACCCTCTCCTGGTTTTCCATCTCTCTGTCAATGGCTACTGTTTCTCAGATTTCAAGTTCTTCTTTCACCTACCCCTTAAAAGATGGAGTTCCTCCGGATTTGCCCTGACCCTCTCCCTGCCTTCTCCCTCTACATTCTCTCTCGGCAGCCTCGGTATTCAGCTGCATGGCATCGTTTCCCATCCATATGGTGTGTCTCCAGAATCTTTATCTCCAGCTGTATTCCCCATTCCTGAAATACACACCCATAAAAGAAACACACTATTGAACATGTCTCCTGGCTACTACGAAATACCTTGCCCTCCACATCCAAAACCAAAAACTCATCCTCTCTCCCACAAAAGCTGCTGCTGTGGCAGGACCTCAGTGAACTGCACTCACCAGCCCACACCAGAACCTGAGGTGTCAGGGCAGCCCCCACACCCAATCACCCCCTATAGCCTGCAGCTGCTAAGTCTTGACTCCTCTTCTGCCACCAAAGTCTCTGGCCTGGATGACTGACCCCCCAACCTCCAGTCCTGCTTTCCTCCGATTCATTTGCACAACTGCACTCCGAGAAAGCTTTCTACAACAATTCAACTCACACCACTCCCCTACACAAAACTTTTCGATCACTTCCTACTGTCCTTAGAGTAAAGCCCTCAACCTGCTTTCCAAGGGCCTTCTTGACCCTCCCCCACCCCCTCGACAGCACCATTCTTATCCTCAATGCAGATTCCCTGGCCCACCTGAGCACCATTTTTCCATCCACAGGATGTGCTCTCTCTGACCTCTCAGATGCATTTTCCCTGCACTTGGAGAATACTTCTTCCCCACTCTCAGCAGGGAAAGCTCTGATCCCTCCTTTTGGTCTCAGCCTAGAAGTTTTATTTTCTTGAAGTCTTCTTGGAACCCCCAAACTAGGTAGTCCTGTTAACTACAGTCATCGCATCCCATACTGATTCAACAATGTGAATGTAATTGCTTTTTAAATAAATTTGCTGTCTCCTGCACTAGAACTCTTCTGCACTAATATACACGTTTCTTCTCACAAACCTCTAGCAACTAGCCCACCATAGCTAGAGTTCAGTGACAAGATGACACCACTCCACCACTGTCATAAATAAGGTTGTTCTAGTGATGACTGAATATATTTTTAATTTTTTTTCTACGCCTAGCAAACACAGAGAGAGTTCACTATGGTTCAGGCAATTTTTTTAAGTACTTTAAAAATAATTTAAGCCTTGCAACATTTTAAACATGTAACTATTATCCACTTTATTTATTTATGTATTTATTTATTTTTTTGAGAAGGAGTTTCACTCTTGTTGCCCAGGCTGGAGTGCAATGGCGCAATCTTGGCTCACCGCAACCTCTGCCTCCCGGATTCAAGCGATTCTCCTGCCTCAGCCTCCAGAGTAGCTGGGATTACAGGCATGCACCACCATGCCCAGTTAATTTTATATTTTTAGTAGAGATGTGGTTTCTCCATGTTTGTCAGGCTGGTCTCCAACTCCCGACCTCAGGTGATCCGCCCGCCTCAGCCTCCCAAAGTGCTGGAATTACAGGCGTGCACCACTGTGCCCAGCTGACTATTATCCACATTTTACAGAGGAGGAAATCAAGGCACAGAGAAGTTAAACAACTTGCCCAAGGTCACACAGTAAGTAAACCTGGTTTCAAAGACCTATCTATTTTAGTATGTTTGCTGTGCTGCCTTTGATTCGCATTTCACAAAATAAAAACAAAACTATCGGCTGGGCGCGGTGGCTTACACCTGTAATCTCAGCACTTTGAGGCTGAGGCGGGTGGATCACGAGGTCAAGCATTCGAGACCATCCTGGTCAACATGGTGAAACCCCATCTCCACTAAAAATACACAAAAATAGCCAGGCATGGTGGTGCACGCCTGTAATCCCAGCTACTCGGGAGGTTGAGGCAGGAGAATCGCTTGAACCCAGGAGGCAGAGGTTGCAGTGAGCCGAGATCATGCCACAGCACTGCAGCCTGGGTGACAGAGTGAGACTGTCTCCAAAAATAAAAATTAAAAAAAAAAAAAAAACTATCGATCAGTATGGCAGAGAATCTGCCCGATTCTCAAATAAATGTAATGTCATGTCAAGGACACTGTATTCCCTTGTACTTCTGGCTTTGTCCCCAAAACTTTAAAAAAAAAAAAAAGGCTTTCAGTAATACATCAGATTTCAACACTATTATGGATGATTTCTCCTATGTATAAATGAGAGGCCTATATTCAGCTCTGTGCTTCAAAATATGATTAGATTGGAAGAAAAAAACATGCGCTGGGCACAGTGGCTCATGCCTGTAATCCTAGAACTTTGGGAGGCCGAGAGAGGCGGATCACTGAGGTCAGGAGTTCAAGACCAGCCTGGCAAACATGGTGAAACCCCATCTCTACTAAAAATACAAAAAAATTAGCCAGGCGTGGTGGCAGGTGCCTATAATCCCAGCTACTCGGGATGCTGGGGCAGGAGAATCGCTTGAACCCGGGAGGCAGAGGTTGCAGTGAGTCGAGATTGTGCCATTGCACTCCAGCCTGAGCTGCAAAAGCGAGACTCCATCTCAAAAAAAAAAAAAAAAAAAAAAAAGTGTTCACAGACTATTTCTCCTGTAACTATGGGTAAAGCCACAACTGTGCTCAAGTTCAACCAAAGGAAAATAGTTATTTTAATAATAATAATAAAAATAATAGGCACCTACCATAGCCAAGCAGAGTCCTAAGATCTTTTAATATGTAATGTGAGGATTAAATACCACCACCAGTGAGGCAGAGTTCTTACTAGGGCCATTTTACTAATAAAGAAAAATGTAGGCACTGAAGGCTTAAATAACTTGCCCAAAGTCACACAGCTAATAAACGGTGAGGCCAACTTTACAGTCAGAAAAGAAAGCACTCATTTTTTTTTTTAAGAGACCATTCCACATCCTGTATTCTGACCTGAGGTGACACTGCTGTGGCCAAATTGAGTTCTTCCAGCCACACATCTCACCATGACTTGCCACCAAGAGTGAGGGTAGAAGATGCCTGTGGGTAAACAAGTCAACAAGTCAGGAGAAATCACACTCACCGTTGAAATATTAAGTGGCACTGGATTAATGTCTTTCTGAGGAAACACAGGGAGGAAATTCTAGTTGGACCAGGGAGTCAGGCCTAGCTATGGCAGCAACTTGGGGTGTGACTCCAGTCCATCTCAGAGTTTACAGAGATGCCTGCCTTTAGAATGCAAAGCGCCTGGTGTGTGTGTGTGTGTGTGTGTGTGTGTGTGTGTGTGCGTGTGTGTGTGTGTGTGTGTGTGTAAAGAGAACGATATCAAGATGCCTGCCTTTAGAATGTAAAGTGTCTGGTGTTTTTCTCTGTGTGTGTGTGTATGTGTTTATAAAGAGAACAATATCAAGGCCTTCTCAATACAAAAGCATCCCCCTGGCAATTACATTCCTGTGTTAGGATAAGTAAGGGAAGCAGACCTGCCAGTGTTTGCTTTGGGGCTTACCACAAGATACCATCCAGTCCCTGCCTGAAAATCATGTTCATCTGCCCCAACTAGCTTGACAGTTACCAGAATTCTCCATGTACATTGTGTTTATACAAACATCATTTTTCTCTTTCTAATCAGAAGTCTAATTTCAATGAAGCAAAATGGCTTTTAAAGATTTTTTGTTTCTGACTCAAACCAGTTCTCATATAGTCCTGAGACATGAACTGGCTTACTCTGATTATCCATGCTGGGCTGGTAACAAAATACCAAAAAGAAAATGGGTTAAATGTCTTTAAGATTCATGGATTTATTAATTACTGACTGTTTTGAAAGCTAGTATCCTAAATTTATAAAACAAATTTCAATAAGGCTTTCATCATGAATATTCCCTAAATATATTTAGTTTTATCATCCAAAAAATGCATAGGTAGAAGGTACATCATCATAGAACATCAATTAACAAAGTCCTTTTAAATGTCACTTGTAGGAAAAAAAGGTTGAACTAAATGAAATAAAGTTACATACATCCAATTGGATGAATCTCACAAATATATTCAGAGGGAAAAAAGTATAGGATGAAACCATTATATAAAGTTTAAACACATGCAAACACATTATATATTGTTTATGGATGTGCCCAACTGTATCAAAATGCCTAGGAACAATAAACACCAGATCTGAGATAGGTCCTACCCCTTGGGGAAAAGAATGGGTATACAAGATGCTTTCATTAAGCTGGGGGGAGGGGGAAAAATAAATGAATGTTTATTGTGAGACTATCTTTTTATATTTCTAAAGTATCTCAAACTTTTCAAAGGAAAAACAAGCCTAATACTAAAAGAATAAGTTAAAAGTTACTCTACTGAAGGGTAGGACAAGGAATGGGGAGGAAAAGAGGAAGGTGGAGATTGAGAGAGACAGAGTGGAGGTCTGTGTCTTGTAATGGATACTAAATCAACCCGACCTTGGAATGTCTATACTGTACTCATAATACAAATTAGCAATCAGTTTAAATTATAATAATGGCCCCAGAGGGGTCTTAAAATTTAACAAAATTTAAATCAGTCATCATACTAATGTAAAAAGAATATCCTAACTAGATCAAATGTACACACACTCTAGATAATCAAGATCGATTATCACTTCCCTAGCAGAAGACCACGGTTACACCCCTTTACAGAGACAGCTCATTACTGTGGTTCAGGGTTTTGGAGTGAAGACAAACCTAGGTTCACATTCCAGCTCCATCAATGACAAATTGTGATTTAGACAAGCTACTAATCTCTCTGAATTCACTGAGGTCAGGAGTTCAGGACCAGCCTGGCCAACATGGTGAAACTCCATCTCTACAAAAAATACAAAACGTAGCCAGGCCTGGTGGCACACACCTATAATACTAGCTACAGGGTGTGCAGCTGAGGCTGAGGCAGGAAACTTGCTTGAACCTGGGAGGCGGAGGTTGCAGTGAGCCAAGATCACACCACTGCACTCCAGCCTGGGCAACAGAGCAAGACTCTGTCTCAAAAAAAAAAAAAAAAAAAGTAACCCAGTAAGGCCAGACGCAGTGGCTCACACCTGTAATCCCAGGACTTTTGGAGGCCGAGGCAGCTGGATCACCTGATGTCAGGAGTTCGAGACCAGCCTGGCCAATGTGGTGAAACCCCATCTCTACAAAAAATACAAAAATTAGCCGGGTGTGGTGGCAGGCGCCTGTAATCCCAGCTACTTGGGAGGCTGAGGCGGGAGAATCGCTTGAACCTGGGAGGCGGAGGTTGCAGTGAACCAAGATCATGCCATTGCACTCCAGCCTGGGCAACAAAAGCGAAACTCCGTCAAAAAAAAAAAAAAAAGCCCAAGATATAAGGTGACAAACAGCTATTGAAGTCACAGAATTCAAAACAGCTTCTTTGGGAATTTGTCCAGAGCACTTTTGAGTATTCCACTGTAGAGAACAGGATTACCTAACAGCTCTTAGGAAAATCCCTCTTAGGGATGTCTCTGGTCGTCTTCTTTTATTGTGAATTTACCATAGCAAATACAAGCTGTTAGGATTTCCAGCATGTCAGACGCTAGAAACCCTAATTTTGAGTTCACGTCCTCAAAAAGTATCTCTGTAATTTGAAGTATTTGAAGGCTGCAGTCACTTATATTGTCATGTCAATACCTTGAGATGAACTCTGTCATCAACTCTTCCTTATCAGTCACTTGGAGGAAAGGCCTGCTGCTGACTGCCTGAACCTCGACTATAGATTGCTTACTAGTTTTGCAATGACCTTAGCAACACATTCTACTTTATCTTCAAATCTTTGTGAATCAAAAATAAATTCTAGAAAATATTTTCCCAAGATACCACTGAGCTCTGATTTGCCAATGTATTTTCTTTTCTTTTTTTTTTTTTTTTTGAGACAGAGTCTCGCTCTGTTGCCCAGGCTGGAGTGCAATGGCGTGATCTCAGCTCACTGCAACCTCCGTCTCCTGGATTCAAGCAACTCTCCTGCCTCGGCCTCCCGAGAAGCTAGGATTACAGGCGCCTGCCACCAGACCCGGCTAATTTTTTTTTGTATTTTTAGTAGAGATGGGGTTTCACCATGTTCTCCAGACTAGTCTTGAGCTCCTAACCTCAAGTGATCCACCCGCCTCGGCCTCCCAAAGTGCTAGGATTACAGACGTGAGCCACTGAGCCCAGCCACCAATGTGTTTTCAAGATTTTCCAGCATCCCGAACTACAATCAAAATTTGGAAGCCTTTCCAGGGTTTGACAATTTTGTCTCTCTTCTTGGTCACTGGTAATGGTGCTTTGGAGAAATATACTGTTAGGGGTAATAAACACTAAAAGGTTAGATACCTGGTCTAGGGTGCAGAACAGCTATTTTGAGGCAAGAACAGGGCCTTGATAATAAAATATATGCCTGTAATTTAGTTATGTCATCATAATTGTTAACCTTTGAGCACTTATACTAAATGCTTTACATGTATTAACAAATCCTACTTTTAATCCAATATAGTAGGTCGTATTATAATTTTTTTTGGGGGGGGGAGACAGAGTCTCACTCAGTTGCCCAGGCTGGAGTGCAGTGACGCGATCTCTGCTCGCTGAAAGCTCCACCTCCTGGGTCCACGCCATTCTCCTGCCTCAGCCTCCCGAGTAGCTGGGACTACAGGTGCCCTCCACTACGCCCGGCTAATTTATTTTTTATTTTTAGTAGAGATGGGGTTTCACCGTGTTAGCCAGGATGGTCTCGATCTCCTGACCTCGTGATCCGCCCGCCTCGGCCTCCCAAAGTGCTGGGATTATAGCCGTGAGCCACCGCGCCCAGCCCTACAATTTCTATTTTACTGACGAGAACACAGATATAGAAAAGCTAAGCAGCTTGAGCAAGGATCCCCTGTTAGCAGGTGGTTGAGCTTGGGTATGAACCCAGCCAGGCTAGTACCTCAGCTTATGCTCTTAATCTTCTATATTATATTCCATCAGCTATTTTAAAGATTAAACACAAAAATACCCTCCTCTCTGTATTCTTTATCCAAAAGTCTACAATGTACCCTAGTCCCCTCAAAAAAAAAAAAAACAACAACAACACAGCGACAAGGAGCTGGTCAAAGGAACCCCAGCAGATGGGAGGACAGAGAAAGGCAATGTGACAAAAAGACACTGAGAACATTAGATTGCTGACTGGCTAGTAAAAAATCTGTTCTAAATAACCATGGCTCAGCTGGTGGCCTGGTGGGAAGCTCTAAATAGGAACAACTCTAAATGGAGTCAAAGACCACCTGCAGTGAGTAAAGCATTTCAAGCTTTTCAAGCCTGTCTGGGTCCCCACCCTGGCTCAAGTCTGATTGTAATTATTTTCACAGCCGGTCTACATTCACACTGGAGACCAGCCACTGTAATAAAGCCCCAAGTGACAGTTGGACTTATCCCAGGTGATGCCCCAAATTGTAGGGGCTCTATGGTAACTTCTTCAAGGCAAAGAGTGTAGATGAGTATTCCTTTCCATTCGGGAAAAAATTACCCTGCAATTTATTAACTTTTTAAAATAGCATTTTATTTTCTGTATCTCTCTAAATTCCACTTGATGGGAGCATAATCACAAAATTTACAATTACACCACTTTATCAAAATTAGGCCATTAAGGCCAGGCGCAGTGGCTGACACCTGTAATCCCAGCACTTTGGGAGGCCGAGGTGGACGGATCACATGAGGCCAGGAGTTCAAGACCAACCACAGTGAAACCCTGTCTTTACAAAAAAAAAAAAAAAAAGTACAAAAATTAGCTGGGCATGGTGGCGCGTGCCCGTAATCCCAGCTACTTGGGAGGCTAAGGCACAAGAATCACTTGAACCCGGGAGACGGAGGTTGCCCTGAGCCAAGATTGCACCACTGCATTCTAGCCTAGGCAACAGGGCGAGACTCACATCTCAAATAAAATTTTAAAAATCTAAAAATAATAATAAATAAAAAACCTAGGGCATTAAGTAGCAGAAAACCCAACTCAAAACTGTCTTATGTCATTTAACAAGACATTCAAAGCATAGAAAATCCCACAGGTCTCCCAACAGCATCAAGAACCCAGATTCAGTTAGCGCGCTATGCCACTTACCCTCAGGCCCAAGATAGTGGGTAGCAGTCCCAGGCATCATGAGAGAATACAGAAAAGTAGAAAACCATCCTTCTTCGCGTCTCCTATGACAAAAGGAAGCCTCCCCCTGCAGTACCCAGACTTCCTGTCACGTCTCCTTGGTCAGAACTGGGATACAACCTCATTCTTCTAATAATTACCAACCCAGAAAATGGGTTTATCATAACGGACTTATAGTTTCTTAACCCTGACTGCTTTAACAGTTCCCCCAGGTGATTTTATTGAGCAGCTACGATTGAGAACCACTGAGTTAGATTAATCAGAATTACCCTGAAATGCCTTCCCCTGAGTCATCTGAAAAGGATGCAGACACTTGAATGAAATCTGGATTGTCAGAGGGGAAAAGGAATGTTGGCTGAACCAGCAGTAGTGTCTACACAACCATTTTACATTTGTGTTTCAAAACACTTTCACACCATTTTATTTATTCCTCAAGGCTTTCTGTATCAGTCCCATTTTACAAAAAAAAAGGAAACCAAGGCTCAAGTTTACAAAATAGGAAAATTATTTTTAGTCTTCCAAATCTCAGTGGGTTTAATGTAATGGCAACTTAAGAAATTTCCCCAAAAGAATATTTCTCTGAAACAGTAAACATAAAGACAGCCAAAGAGAACTTTTATGTTTTTCCTAAGAGGAACAAAGCAAAAACCATTAAAATGCCAAGGCTAGAAGTACCAAAACCAAGTCGGAAGACCTAAATTCTTGTCCAGGCTCTGCCACTAACAAGGCCCTTTACATCCTTTTCCATGCATGTTTAGTAACAGCAGACTCATTAATGAGGGCCCCTTTAGCTTCACACACACACACACACACACACACACACACACAGCTAGACAATTTAAGTTCACTACAGAGCATTTTATATCACTGTATTAGTGCTTAATAACTGTAAGGACTGTTAGTTTTAAAAAATTTTCTCTAAAGAACAAGATACATTTTCTCAAGACTGCCTAACGTAAAATTTATGAGAAAAGCATATATGGTTTATTGCTGTTTCTGGCAACTGTGCTATCTACCTGTATGAATCATAAGCAACTGAAACTACATAGACATCACGAAGGCTTACAAAAGTTTAAACTGCATTTAAAGAAGACACTGGTTATTTTAAGAAAAGAAAGTACTTTAAAAAGAAAACTAAAAAAGCCATTTGAACAAAGAATTCATTGAATTGAGTGAATAATCTCCAAATCCACCACTAAAATGACTGGCTCTTCTCTCTGGAGTTCCTCCCCACCCCTAGCGCTATCCCCAACTTCACCCTACACACAAATGTGCGATACTGTCTCTAAACCATCTCTTTGCTATTATGTCAGCCTTCTGCTGAAAAGCCTTCAGTAACTCTCCACAAGATAAAGTCCACATTCCTAACCTTGTTTTTATGGCCCTCCATAATCTAAAACTGACCTCTCCATCCATCCCAGTCTACTACTCCCTGAAAAACCACCATTCCAGCCAAACTAGTCTCTTCAAACACTCGAGTGTTCTGGTTTCTTCTGGTTTCCAATATGATAAGGTTCTACTCCTTATCACCAGTGAGTTCCAAAACTTTCACAAACCTCCTCCACTCTAACATACAAACCCTTGTCCCTGGAAAAGTTAGAATACTTGTCACTAAATGTTTAACCTTGTCACAGGTATGTGTCTATATCCTTTGTTTCTTCAAGAATTTAGCACAGTGCAGGAAGGAGTTCAAAAATGTTCCTTAGATTGAAGTAATTTCAACTACAGGACAGTAAACTCAAGGGCAAGGGCCTCTACCCCATTATAAATCCGTATCTAATTCCAGTATTTAGCAAATTATAGGTGCTAAATATTTGCAGATTGCTACCTAATTGAATTCAGCAGTAAGCCTTCAGGTCGCATAGGCCTCAAAACTCTAAATATTTATGGAAGACTTCAAAGCATCAAGCCATCAAAATTACATATTGAAATCTTCCAAGAATGTAATGCAAACAGGAGACACCGTGCAGGGCAATTAAAAATAGAAATCACTTAAATACACACTTCTCGAAATGCTCAAAAGGTCATTTTTGTAAAATAAAATATAAAATATCTGGAAATATAAATAATCTGACCTAGTGGGTTTTATTCTTTCTGTAGATCCTCCACCCAATGTCATCCCTTGACTCTCTGATGTTATACAAAAGCTCAACTGGTTAGATGAACCATTTACCTAGACTGCAGTTTCAAATAACCTCATCAAGCCATTTTCAAATGCTGCAGAACCTTATTAGTTCCCCTAAGAGGTAGACAGGGGAAGTTGGACGCAAAAGAATAAGACCTGCTCAATTTTCCTATAGCCACGCCCTAACCAGTGAAGAAGAATTAAATTCAGGTCCCCTGACTTTAGTCCAAGGCTCTTAGTCTTTGATAGGAACTAGAAGTAAACTTTATGGAGCAAGCGGGAAAAGGCATGTGAGCTACAGCTGTGTTCCTGTCACCTTCTGGGAAAGAATTTAAACATAAATTCTTAATGAACATAACGAGAAAAAAAGACACTTCCCAATTACTCTCAAAGCATGATTACAAGTTATGTTTCTTATGCTAAAGGACGAGAATCAAAATGAGTAAGATACTAATTCACAAATTCAAGAAAGTCTACAGTCTGGAGGAAAGCTGACATCTGGCCCCCCAGATGCACTGGCTGCTGCTGGAACCTAACGCATGTGTCCTGATGGCAGGAAAGCTAATATGCTGTCACAGAAATAGCTTTCTACCAGTGGCCAAACTGGCTTTGCCCTCTGCCTCTCTCCACACCTCTCTAGCTCCAGAGGGAACTACTACAACCAATGAGAGAGAAGGTACATTCTCCCGGCCACTGACTCTGGTTAACATCAAGTTACAGAAAGAGTCCTCAGTCCTCATTCTCTCGTGTTCACTCTGCACCCCCGCTCCCAACTCCTCCTTTCTATGCTCACTCCTCCATATGTATAGGCGCCCCCCTACTTCCCACCCAACACACATACCAGATGCCAAGGGCCTGGAGAGCCCTCAACCAAATAAGCCCACTTGTCACATGTCCCAGAGTCCCATTTCTGATTCAAGCAGCAGAGACTTAAAAACAAAACAAAAAAACCCTAAGTGAGTCCCAGTCCTGATTTTGCAACACCAAAGAGGTCAGAGAACCAAAAGGAACCTTGGAGATCATCCAGAGAAGTTGAGTGACTTGCCTCCAAAATTACAGGGATGGCTCACTAAATTCTTCCCACAGAAATGTACTTCAACTTATTCATTAAATGCATATTTACTGTACCAGGCACCATGCTGGGTGCCCGAGACAGTATAATCAATATGTTTTAATCGCCCTTACTGAAAAATGGGGCGGGGCGCGGTCGGGAGAACAGTGAGATGGGGGATTTTCCCCAGAGGTGGTATCTACAAACAAATGTACAAGGGACGAATACCTAAGGCTGAGAATTACTGAACTGAGAATCTAGGTGAGTGATGAAGGCCCTAAGAACCCAGCCCCTCAAGGCTGGATACTGCCCAAGTCCCTGTCTGCTGTATGGACAGGTCTTTTAAAGGGGGAAAGGGGACATTCACCGCCATCCTCCGAAGGGGTTATGGATCCAAGGGATGGTCAGGCTGCCCAGCTCCTCACTGGGGCTAATTCCGCCCCATTTTCCAGTAGCATCACTAACTCAGTATTTCTGCATGAATTTTGGCCCCTTCTCTCCTAGAAAGACTCTCCTCAACTACACTAAAATACAGTTATCTCTCCTGTATCTCGTGTCTTCTTCCGAGTTTAAGAGACAGAAGTTCAGGGGAGGAAGGCACCAAGCCTAACCGGGGTGGAATTCCCTATTTGCAAGCAGTGCCCGCCTAGGCTAGAGGGCAGGCTGTCCGCTCACCCTTCCAAACCCCAATCTTTGAACCCTCCTCAGCACGGCAGGGGAGGAATGTGCGGAAGCAGCATAAAGCCAGGTGGACTTTCTGGTTTGGCACGTGAAGGACCTGGAACAGGACTGTCGGGGAAGATCAGACAATGAGAGGGAAAAGGTGAAGCTTAAGGGGACTCTGGAAAACTCAACACTCCCGCAGGGTTTCAAAGAATCCCCAAGAAATTTCTTTTGAGAAGTCACAAAACAAAACTAGGCAAACAGATGCCTCGGTTTTGTAAGAGATTGTGAGTAGCTTTAGGCAGCAATGAAACCTGACTCCGGGCCAGGAGTGCCTAGGGTCGGTCCAGCGGAGCGCGCATTCAGCGAGGGGTGTTCGGCCGGGGCCAGGCGGGGCCCAGGCGGGGCCCGCTGGCAGCTGGTTCCCGCCGCCGCAGAGCCGCAGGGGCGGGAATGGGGACTCGCCGCGCTGCCTCGAGGAGGAATGATTCCAGGGACCCCCCGGGGTTCCGAGAGAGCTGGGCTGGTCCGGAATGAATTCCCCGTTCCTCTGGCTGCTGGCCCCGGACACAAGACCCTCCGTCTCCTGCCGAGAGAGGCTCCCCCAGCCGCCTCGCCACGCCGCAGCCCGTCCGCGCCCGCGTCCCCGCTTACTTTTCGTCGCAGCGATGAGGTTCTTCCCGTCCTTAATGAGCTCTTTGATGAACTTGTTGGTCCTCTCGAGTTCCGCTTCGTGAGCGCGGATCCTCTCCCGGAACCACGGGCTGTCGAGGTAGCAGTCGCTGAACTCCAGGGGCTGCAGCCCCATGACGGCAGCGGTCGCTGCGCGGTGCGCACGGCCGCGCGCTCCTGCCCGAGCCGAGCTCCGAGGCCGCTGCCAGGTGCGGCGCCGCGCGTTCAGGGAGCACAGAGGAGCTAGCAGGCCCGGGCGCGCGGCGAGCGCGGCACGGACATGTCCCGTAGAGCCGAGTCCTGCGGCGCGGAGGAGCTGCCACCGAGACCAGCGCTAGCTGCGGCGCCCCAATCCCGGCAGCCCCCGCCGAGCTCTGAGCGCCCGCGGCCCCGCCCCGCCCGGCCCCCGCGCGGCAGACACTCCCCGAGGCGCCACCCGGCCGGGCCCGCGCTCCCGCTCGTCCCCTTCTCTTTCCTCCGCCTTCCTTCTTCCTCCCTTCCCTTCCCTGGACGCCTCTTCCTTCTCTTCCCCACGCGCAGCTGCCCCTCCTCTTCCTTCCGAGGCGTCCTGGGGCTAGAATTTCGCCCCGCGGCTCCCCTCCACCCTGGGCGCTCTCCCCTCCCCTTTGCTTGGGCTCCCGGGGCCGGGGTGACTCACAGTCGGCTCCCCGCTGCACGGAACCCGACCGGGACCGAGAAGGAGCGTCTTAATTGCAGTCGTTAGTCCCCGCAGGCGGGCGACATAACTCTGAAGTGGCTGCCTTGCAGGAGATGATTAACTCATTTATCTCATTTATCCTGGGACGCCCCCAACCCCGAGCTGGGAACGAACTCGCACAGGGGGCTCTTTTCCTTATCCCGGTTCCTTTCCCAGTTTAAAGTGAGATGCGTGGTAAATCTCCGCTTGAGATCGAAGCCTTACAATGGCAAGAGCGTTTTCTTGGTGGCCCAGCAGCTCCTATTACACTTCTCTGCGTATCCGCACTAAATAACTTAGTTGAAGAGAGAGGGCTGGCTAAACCACAGAAAAGTTGTTTCTGTTGTGTTCAGCACATTAAATTTGCTGGGGTAGGTGAAGACGATCTTTATTATTCTAAAAATAACTACCGGAAAACATGCCAGGTAACGTGTGGTTTTCACCGCGTGGGGGTGACGATCAATGAGAATTTATGTCAGTGCCCTCAAAAAGCCTATTTTGTGTGTTATGAAACAACTCCAGTGTGTCCCAAAAAAAGTTAGGCATTTTAAAGTATTAAAATGTATACCTTAGGCCGGACGTGGTGGCTCACGCCTGTAATCCCAACACTTTGGGAGACGGAGGCGGGTAGATCACCTGAGGTCAGGAGTTGGAGACCAGCTGGCTAACATGGTGAAACCCCGTCTCTACTTAAAATACAAAAAGTACCCGGGTGCGGTGGCACGTGCCTGTAGTCCCAGCTGAGGCAGGAGAATCGCTTGAACCCAGGAGGCGGAGGTTGCAGTGAGTCGTGATGGTGCCACTGCACTCCAGCCTGGGCGACAGAGCGAGACAATGTCTCAAAAAAAAAAAAAAGTATTTCTTAAAAAAAAACACTAATAGTTCATTAGAGTAACGTTTCATAATCGCAATTTATTAAGCAATTATTATGTGCCGGGCACCCACTAGGAACTCCATACATCTACAAACTCGCGATATAGACTTACATGATATGATGGTAATATTAACGAGAAACTTCAAAGTAATTCCTCAAGACGTTCAGACTCTCAGCTGGGTAATTAAGAATCTGTTTGGACAGCATGTTGTAGGAGGGTAACCCTCCCGAACAAGTTAAATAAGCCTCCTACTCAATAAGCCCTTTTGTTACAAAACAGCACCAGGAGTGCCTAACCCACAGATAAACATTATTACTCTAATGTCCATCCTCCAGAGAGTTCAAAGTGTTTTACAAATAACTTTTAGGCGGTGAAAGCTTCAGTTCCTACTAAAACCAGCAGGAGACTGGAGTCTACAGAAAAGAGAATAAAAGAGGCAAATAAAGGGGAAGAAAGACAAGAAGAGAGGGGGTGTAAACAAAAATGAGGGCCTAGCGAAACAGCCAAGCACTGACCACACTCAATCCTCAGAGCAGAAACCCAAACCTTTTCTCATAGAGGGGCTGCTGAGACTTCTTCAATATTGAACATGGAGGTTACCGTGTGACCCAGCAAGTCCACGCTTAGATATATACCCAAAAGAAATGAAAATATATGTCCACGCAAATATTTACACACAAATATTCATAGCAGCATTATTCGTAATAGCCAAAAAGTAGAATCAACCAAAATGTCCTTTGTCAGCTGTGTAATGGATGCACAAAATGTTTGTCCATAAAATGAAATATTAATCTACAATAAAAAGGAATGAAGTACTGACACGTGCTACGGCACAATAACGGTGAAAACGTTATACTAAGTAAAAGAACCTAGCTGCAAAAGGCCAATACTATCTACTTATATTAAATGTCCAAAACAGGTAAATCTATAGAGGCAGAAAGATTAGTGGTTGCTAGAGACTGGGGGATAGAGTGGAGGGTATATGTAGTCAGGAGTTTATTTTCAGGGTGATGAAAATTATTAATATTTTTATTTTTCATAGAGATAGGGTCTCACTATGTTGCCCAGGCTTTTCTCAAACTCCTTAGTTCAAATGATGCTCCCACCTTGGTCTCCCAAATTGCTGGAGTTATGGGAGTGAGCCGCCGAGCCTGGCCGAAAACAATTTAAATTTACATTTTGGTAATGGTTGCACAATTCTGAATATACTCAAAATCACTTAATTGTATGTGATAAATGGGTGGATTTCTTTTGGTCTGTGAAATATATCTCAATAAAAAATTTTTTTTAAGATGAACTACTCTAGAACTGCTTCTCCTTTACCACATTAGACTTCAAGCCGTAAAAACTCTGGTTTATTCAGTGTGCCCAGTTCTTTAGATATTTGGAGAAAAAAAAAAGTTGTTTAAAACAATGTCAAAACATCATAAAAAATATTACTTATCACTTCACACACATGTACA
The DNA here is from genome assembly GCF_000001405.40 of Homo sapiens. Lineage (NCBI taxonomy): Eukaryota > Metazoa > Chordata > Mammalia > Primates > Hominidae > Homo > Homo sapiens. The sequence continues at coordinate 147,729,402 of NC_000004.12, read as the reverse complement.
CCCAGTGTTAAAGAGCTAGTGAATATGAATCTTAATTCATTACCAAATAGGTCCACAATAATTACCATGAGTGGAGGGGCCTGATTAATTTTGTTTTATTCAGCTATGCCTATGCAGTGTCTGGTATACAAGTGATCAGTAAATGTGGAATGAATAAGTATAACTAACTGAAGAGAAATCTCTGTACAGTGGACAGTGGAAAGATAGATATTTAGTAGTTCCAGCTCCAGCTTTACTACTTAACAGTTGTGCAACCTTAGCAAAGGTAATTTTCTGTAAACCTCAGACTTACCATCAGTGAAATGGAGATGATGACATTGCAGCTGCAGGTTGCTTGAGAAGATTTAATGAAATTGTGTTTGTAAAGTGCCTGCTGAAAATTATGATAATAATGAGACTCAAGGAAGAAGGAAGTGTGGAGGATGGGCTGAAGAGAGGGATGAGGGAGAGGAGGAGACAGATTACATTCCATCAATGTGGGAAAGATTTTCGGGGCAGGAGAGCCCTTAAATCATGGTTTTAAACCATGTAAGACAGAACTCAAGAAAAGTGGCCACAAAAGCAGATGCTACTGAGTTTCCAGGTTTCATCTTAATTAATCAATTATTCCCACAAATATTTACTGATCATTTATATGTATTAGGCACCGTATTAGGTGCTCATGATGCAGCAGCACACAAAACAGTCCTCACCGTGCTTTTGGTCTCTGGGGGAGACTGGCCTCATCCCAAAAAAAAAGAAAAAGAAAAATCACACACATATATATCCAATTGAAAATTGAAGCACCATGCAGTTAAAGTGAAGGGTGTGTGAGAGATTATAATTGGAACACCTGATGGAGATTGGGGCTGGGTCAAGGAAGGCCTCATTGAGGAAGTGATATGAAAATGATAATTTAATCAATGACCAGGAATATCAGTAGGAGTTAACTGTTAAATAGGGGTAGGAACAGAGTAGTACAGACATGGGACCAGCTTGTGCAGGCCCCTGAGATGGCACACTCAAGAGATGAACAGGTCGGTGGCTGAAGCCCAGTGAGAGAGACTGGCTCACAACTATGCCAGGTGGTGGAGGATAGGCAGGGTCAGATGGTGCAGAGCCTCTAAGTCTTATTTAGGATTTGGGACTGTATCCCAACACTGTTGGGAGCCTTTAAAGAGTTTTATGCATGTAGTAAAATGATCCGGATTGTGTTTTCTCTCTAGCTGCTGTGTGGAGAATGGAAATCCAGACAGAAGGTGGTTGGAGTTGTCTGGGCAAGAAATGGAATAGCTCAATCCTCCAAGGTGACCCTCCAAGGAAACAGCGAGAAATAGACAGAAATGAAGTATATTTTAGAAGGAGATTCTGGGACTTGACAATAGCCTGGATATTGGAAATGAGGAAGAAGGGGTCAGCGGTGGCCCCCAGGCTTGTGGCATGGTAAGTTAGGTGGATGGATATGCCACTTACTGAAAGGATAACATGAGGTAAGAAGCTGTCATGGCAGTGTTGGTGATGACTGGGTTGGAAGGATGCGTTTCAGTATAAACTCATGAAATGTTTGAGATGCCTGGGAGACATTCAAGTACTTAAGTCATGTAGGCACTGACACCCAAATGGCATTTTTATGCTTTACTCAGTGCTTGGATTAGTTAGGGATTTGAATCAATGCAAGCTGGTCAAGTTTCAGTCTACATGAAATAGAGGTTAACAGATAGGAAACCTTCCCTTGATGTAGGTTCTGCTGCATACCATACTGTAGTTTTTGTGTTGTGATGACTCACAAAGTACCTACCTGTAAAGTTAAATATGGGTCTACTGAATCCTTGGATATGTTTCAGGTTGTGAGTCAGAATTAGGTTCAGACACATTATAACAGAAAATCCAAAATCACTGGTTTTTAAACCATAAGGGGTTTAGATTTCCCTCTCTCTCATAAAAAGGAGTCCATGATTCCAGAGTCCCCAAGGAAGCACTGGCTTCCATCCTCAATGTCACCTCATGGTACAAGATGGCTCCTAGAGGTCCTTCTGGGAGGAAAGAAGGGAAAGGATAGAAGGGCCCCTGTCCTCACTGAATCAGCTTCTTTTCTCAGCATTCCTGTGCATCTCACACAACATTTTATTTTTTATCTCATTGACCAGATCTTAATCAAATGGCCACACCTCACTGCAAGGGAAGATGAAAAATGTGGTCTTTTTCCCGGGTACATAAGTGAAATGTGAATTTTCCTACAAAGAGAAAAGGGATAGTAGATTTTGAGCAGGAACCTAGCAGTCTCTGCTGCAGGCTGACACCTTTGTGAGTGAGGTATATAAATTACAGCTATGCCAAAAACTAAATTATGTAAATAGAAGAAATTTAAAATAATTATTTGGGTCTCTTGCAGACTGTGTAAAGCTGCTTTCTCTCACAAGTATTAAAAACAAAACACAAAAAGAAACAAAAATGCCAAAATAGCTTAATTATTGAAACACATCACTGAAAACCTCCACAGCGAGGTAGTTGAAGCTTCTGAAGCAGTTATCAGCACTCCAGCTCCATTTCTCTATGATTCTCTTGGCTCTGCTTGCCTTCTAGGAATTGACTTCAGCCTCCAGAAAGCTTCCTTCATGAGAACCAAATAGCATCAACATTTCCAGACTCACCTACAGGTGAGACAATACCCCTTCCTGAGCTAGAAAGTTGCTCCCTTATCACAACTACTTTAATCTGGGAATCAAAGCATTTCAGGAGACTGCCATTCCCTGAGTCCCTTGGACCTGGAGGCCTGCCGCTCAATTGATCACTGAGCCCAAGAAGGGGGTAATGCCAAGTAGCTTGGGCCATTAAGGGGTCACCTTTGAGCATGGGGCAGGCTGATCCAACAAGATATGAGGATACTACACAACGAGTTTGTGAACTGGTAACCTATAAAAGTATAATGGTGATGCTTGTACAACAATGTGAATATACTTAATGCCACTGAACTGCACGCTTAGAAAGAAAGCATAATGAAGGAAGAGTAAAGGACTCCTTCATCTCCCCCTTTATGTCACTCGTCTTCCTATAATAACCTTTTCTTTTTTTTTTTTTTTTTTTTTTGAGATGGAGTCTCTGTCTGTCACCCAGGCTAGAGTGCCGTGGCGCTATCTTGGCTCACTGCAACCCTCGCCTCCCTTCCGGGGTCAAGTGATTTTTCCGCCTCAGCCTACCAAGTAGCTGGGATTACAGGCATGCGCCATCATGCTCGGCTAATTTTTGTATTTTTAGTAGAGACGGGGTTTCACTATGTTGGCCAGGCTGGTCTTGAACTCCTGACCTCAGGTGATCCACCCGCCTCTACCTCCCAAAGTGCTGGGATTACAGGCGTGAGTCACTGCACCCAGCCATACCCTTTCCTTAAAGACATATGGTCTCACAGAATAATAATAATGGTCCAAATATGTTTGACATTTTAATTACACCTATATTTTTAAAAGAACCTTTTTCTTCATACCACCTCTATTGAGAGTTTGTGACTAGCAGTCTGAGTAATGAAATTTGAGAAAGGCTATGCTATGAACACTAAGCTGGGTATGCTCTGCTGAGAGTCACCCCAGGATCTCTGTATATTCCAGGATTGCAGTGGGTGCACCAGTGCAGTGTGGTGTGCAGAAACTACTACTTGTGCTGGGCGTGGTGGCTCTTGCCTATAATCCCAGCACTTTGGGAGGCTGAGGCGGGTGGATCACGAGGTCAGGAGTTCAAGACCAGCCTGGCCAATATGGTGAAACCCCGTCTCTACTAAAAATGCAGAAATTAGCTGAGTGTGGTGGCATGCGCCTGTAGTCCCAGCTGCTTGGGAGGCTGAGGCAGGAGAATTGCTTGAACCTGGGAGGCAGAGGTTGCAGTGAGCCGAGATCGTGGCCACTATACTCCAGACTGGGTGACAGAGCAAGACTCCATCTCCAAAAAAAAAAAACAGACATGAAGAAAAAAAAAAAAGAAACTACTACTTGTGCCTCCAGCATTTACTAAGCACCCATTATGTGCCAGGTACTATCCTAGAACTGGGACAGCAATAGCAAAAACAAACAAACAAACAAAAACCTAGCATGATTCATGATCTCATGGACTAATATCCTCCAATCAGAGTGAAAGAAAATATATCAAAACATTGCAAATATAAATGTCAAGTGAAATCTCTGGTAAGCACTAGGAAGAAGCCTGCTCTTCAGGGGACTTTGGACTATTCTGAGATGTCAGTGAGGATGTGACAACTGAGCTGAGACCTGAAGCACCAAGAGTGAATGGACAGAGGTGAAGTGGATGTGATGTGCAGAGGGAAGAAGCGTTCCCAGAGGAGGATTTGTGGAAGAACCAGTACAAGTAGCTGAAACTGTGGCCATGTGGCGGGAGCAGCACGGGCTGAGATGAGGCTGAAGAGGGAGTGAGGGCCCATCCTACCTGCTCAGCACCAGCCCTGCTTCTATCCTTGAGAACACTGAGCGTGGGCTTCGGGCTTCGCTGCTTTTTTTCTCAGGAGAGCTCACCTTTTCCAGTACTTCTGGGCATCAAAGCTTGGAAGAGTTTAGGACCTCAAGGAAGTTTTAGAACTAGTACAATTAACTAGGGATATTTGGTCAGCAAATATTGATTGAGTACACGGGGTGGGGAAAGCACTGTGGTAAGCAAGTGCTAAGGCGAAAAAGTCCCTCAACTCAAGCGTTTACAATCTGATATACTCTAGCCATGCAGAATAAGCTGACAAGAGGATAATTCTAAAACAAAGCACACTGCTGCTTCCTCCAGCCAGCCTGACAGCCTGGTTGAGAAGTGGGCGTTCCTACTGAAACTGGGATGGGGAAGAGGGAGGGTGGGTATGTGGGGGAGATTCTCCAGTCCTCCCACATTGAAATTCATATCTTCTCAGCTGGGTGCAGTGGCTCACGCCTGTAATCTCAACACTTCGCAAGGCTGAGGCGGGCAGATCACCTGAGCTCAGGAGTTCGAGACCAGCCTGACACACATGGAGAAACCCCATCTCTACTAAAAATACAAAATTAGCTGGGCGTGGTGGTGGGTGCCTGTAATCCCAGCTACTTGGGAGGCTGAGGCAAGAGAATCACTTGAACCCTGGAGGCGGAGGTTGCAGTGAGCCAAGATCGCACCATTGCACTCCAGCCTGGGTGACAGAGTAAGACTCCATCCCAAAAAATAAATAAATAAATAAATAAAAACTTAAAAAAGAAAAAGGCCAGGCATGGTGGCTCACACCTATAATCCCAGCACTTTGGGAGGCAGAGGTGGGAGGATCACGAGGTCAGCAGTTTGAGACCAGCCTGGCAAACATGGTGCAACCCCCTCTCTACTAAAAATACAAAAATTAGCTGGGTGTGGTGGTGGACGCCTGTATTCCCAGCTATTTGGGAAGCTGAGGTAGGAGAATCACTTGAACCCTGGAGGCAGAGGTTGCAGTGAGCCGAGATCGTGCCACTGCACTCCAGTCTGGGCAACAGAGCAAGACTCCATCTCAAAAAAAAAAAAAAAAAAAAAAAAGTATATGCTTAAGGCTATTTGTTGCAGTAAAGAAAAAAAGAATGCAGCAGCCACTTAACAATTAGAAAATAGTAAAATAAATCAGCATATATTAATTCAATAGGAATCCTGGGTTTATGTGCTTTGATGCCATTAAAATGATCGTTTTTACTCTAAATAATGGACACTGGCATTTCGGAATGCCCAGCATTCATTCCCACTTCCCAACTTTACCATGATTTCCACCGGGGTAATCATTTTCCCACATAACATGTAGTCTTTGTAAAATTCCTGTGCCTGCCTCATGCTAGGGAATCCAGAGAGATCCCTAGAGGTTTGTTCTATAAATCTTTCCTCTCAGACCTGCCACAGCCAAGGGCTGGGCACGTGACCTAAGCTTGGCCAACCAGACTTTCCCAAGACTTTGACTTTTGAACGTAGTAAAGCACTGACAGAAGAAACAGAGTTCATCTTTTCCAGCCAGGAGTGTTGAAATAGACCTGCTGCTGGGGAGGCTACCAGGCTTCTTCCAAAGCTGGTTCTTTAAGACTTCCTTAACACCTCCGTATGCTTCAAATCAAATACCCTTTTGCTTAAGTTGACAGAATCAGTGTTTCTTCCTTGCAACCAGAGATTAGTAGACTCCTAGATTGGTAGTAGAAGGAAACAGACCTTCAGGGAAGTCATGGGGTGTTTAGAATCGATTATCTGGCTGAGATTGAACAGAAAACAGAACACTCCCATTTATATTCTAAAAGGGGAATCTGGTGGTTCATGGCACACACTGGAGAAACAAGTCATTAAGTTATCATCTTAGATTATTTAGTTCTAAGTAGCATGACCTTAAATCCTCTTTTGTTTGGAACTGGTCTGCTTTATACCTATTGTCCTGGCATGCGCTTCGTTTGGCCTGTTTCCCCTGGATTTTGTGTGTTTGTTTGTTTGTTTGTTTGTTTGTTTGTTTTAAGAGACAAGGTCTCCCTCTGTTGCCCAGGCTGGAGTATCATGGCATAACCATAGTTCACTGCAGCCTTGAACTGCTGGGCCCAAGTGATCTTCCTGCCTCAGCCTCCCAAAGTGCTGAGATTACAGGCATGAGCCACCACACCTGGCCTGGATTTCTCATTTTTAAATGGGGTTCTACTACAAATAATGCATAGAAGCTTTTAAAAAGAGGTCGGGCATAGTGGCTCATGCCTGTAATCCCAGCACTTTGGGAGGCCAAGGTGGGCAGATTACTTGAGATCAGGAGTTCAACACCAGCCTGGCCAACATGGCAAAACCCCATCTCTATTAAAAATAGAAAAATAGCCAGGCATGGTGGTGGGTACTTGTAATCCCAACTACTTGGGAGGCTGAGGCAGGAGAATTGCTTGAATCCAGGAGGTGGAGGTTGCAGTGAGCTGAGATTGCACCACTGCACTCCAGCCTGGGTGACAGAGTGAGACTCTGTCTCAAAAAAAAATAAAAAGAAAAGAAAAAAGAGGCCAGGATGGGTTTGCTGGACCGTCATTCTGTTTTTAACTCCTACCATGGTCTCATCTAGTAGTGACATCTAGTAGTAGCGTGAGACACATGTGCAGTGAACAGAGTTCTCACTTTAACACGTGGATAATCTGACAGATGACCAAGGATAACCCATTTCACTCCTTTTTTTTTTTGAGATGGAGTTTCACTCTGTTGCCCAGGCTGGAGTGCAATGGCGTGATCTCAGCCTCCCAAGTTCAAGTGATTCTCCTGCCTCAGCCTCCCAAGTAGCTGGAATTACAGGCATGTGCCACCACTCCAGCTAATTTTGTATTTTTAGTAGAGATGGGGTTTCTCCATGTTGGTCAGGCTGGTCTCCAACTCCTGACCTCAGGTGATCCACCCACTTCAGCCTCCCAAAGTGCTGGGATTACAGGCGTGAGCCACCACACCCAGCCAACCCATCTTTCTTTTTCTGACGTTTCCAGAAGCAAGGTAACCAACACTTATTTTTAAGAATAGTAAGAAGGATACTTGCTGATAAAATGAAGCTCTCTGAGATACAATCGGGTAGAGACAGCTACCCCTTGCAGTATTATTGGCCAGAGGAGAAGCAGTTGATACTGCTAACCTTGCTGGCTATTTTGGTGTACCAACTAGTTTCAGAGTGGCCCGGGCAGTAACCTGCATGATGAACGAAGTTGCCAGGCCAGTCAGCAGGGTCAACAGGAAGCATAGAAAATTACAGGTTGAGTGTAAGATGTACAAGAAAATGGAGGCTGAGCAGAGCTGCCATAGAGCTCATAGAGAGTGGTAGAACCCTATTGCTATAGCTATTTGTCCTTTATTATATTATACAAATCTACAGCTATTAAAATCTTTATGGTTTGGTAATACTTTTTTTTTTTTGCAAAAACAAAAGCTTTTGGCAGAAATGTGTTAAAGGGAAGAGAGTATATTTAACGAAAAATGAAGTACTGATATCCCATTTCTCAAAAAAGCTGCTCATGAATTTTTAAAGAGTTTTTTGTGTTTTTGTGTTTTTTTTTTTTTAGACGGAGTCTTGCTCTGAAGCCCAGGCTGGAGTGCAGTGGCGCGATCTCGGCTCACTGCAAGCTCCACCTCCCAGGTTCATGCCATTCTCCCGCCTCAGCCTCCCGAGTAGCTGGGACTACAGGCACCCACCACCATGCCCAGCTAATTTTTTTGTATTTTTTTAGTAGAGGTGGGGTTTCACCGTGTTAGCCAGGATGGTCTCGATCTCCTGACCTTGTGATCTGCCCGCCTCAGCCTCCCAAAGTGCTGGGATTACAGGCATGAGCCACCGCACCCAACCTGTAAAGAGTTTTAACGTTTATCATCCACCATGGGGTTTCTTCTGTGACATGACTAATCACATGAAAACCAGAGGGTCCAAGGCTGCTGGAAAACATCTGCATCTACTTCAAAAAGTAGAAGTTATTAAGAAAGCTAGGCCCAAAGATGGCAATTTAACATGTTTAGCTACAACAGGATGTTTACATACCACTCTGTGAAACGTGACTTTTCACTTATGTCAAATGGCTGTTCTTCTAAATTAATTGTTTTATTTTATTTTCTTATTTCAGGATTTCTTGGGTAAAAATGAAACATTAATGTGTGATCTCCATTAATAGAAAATAAAACTTTGGGCCGGGCACTGTGGCTTATGCCTGTAATCCCAGCACTTTGGGAGGCTGAGGTGGGTGGATGACAAGGTCAGGAGTTCGAAACCAGCCTGGCCAAGATGATGAAACCCCGTCTCTACTAAAAATACAAAAATTAGTCATGTGTGGTGGCACATGCCTGTAATCCTAGCTACCCGGGAGGCTGAGGCAGGAGAATCGCTTGAACCTGGGAGGTGGAGGTTGCAGTGAGTCGAGATCGTGTCATTGCACTCCAGCCTGGGCAACAAGTGTGAAATTCTGTCTTAAAAAAAAAAAGAAAAGAGAACTTTCTAAGGAGTTATGAAGCCAGCTTTATATAATGCGGATGTGAATGAAGATATAGAGACTTCTGGTACTCACCCATATCCAGTTCTCTCTTCTAGGGCCCAAGGGAGGGATAGACTTTCTAGCCCCTGTTGTGTTACTCATTTTAACTGTGTTCTTCTGGCTCTAGTGGAAGGGAAATGCGTGATTTTTCAACCGAAGCATTTAATTTCTGGTGCAAGGCTCTCCGGTATGTTCTTGTCCTGCCTTTGTAACTATGAAATCCCCCAGTTCCTGATAGAAAATCTATGAAATGTTTGGACCCTGTATTAGCCTGGAACTCTGAAAGACTGTGTGAAGCAGAGACACTCACTGACTGGCACAGAATTTGTAACTTGAGTGAGAAATAGATTTCTGTAGTGTAAGCCAGAAGATTTTAGAATTGTTTGTTACCACAGAATAGCCTTTCCTATTCTGACTAATTCATTCGAATTCCAATATCTTAGGAAGAGGGAAGAGTACTACTGATGGGATTGAAGAACATGTAGCAAAAGAGTGGCAAAATTGAAGAAATATTTTTAACTTTTTCTTTGTTTCGTGGGTATAGAGTTTCTACTGGGATAATGAAAAAGTTCTGTAAATGGATAGTAGTGATGGTTGTACAACCTTATGAATGTACTTAATGCCACTGAATTATACACTTAAATATGGTTAAAGTGGTAAAATATGTATTATGTGTATTTACCACAATAAAAAATTACCAAAGAAGGGTTTTTCTACCAAAGTTTTCCATTATTGATAAGAGTTAGAAAGATAGGCACTCATATATTGTTGGTGAGACTATACATAGGTACATCTTTCTAGAGACAATTTTGATGGTGCTTATTAAAAGACTTTTGAAATGTTTTGCCCTTTGATTCATTTATTCCTCTTCTGAGAATTTAACCTAAATTTCTAAAAATAATTTACGAAGTTTTATGTAAAATGATCATAACTCCTACATGATTAAAAAAAACTAATGACAGGCTCACATCTGTAATCCTAACACTTTGGGAGGCTGAGGTGGGTGGATTGCTTGAGCCCAGGAGCTCAAGACCAGCCTGGGCAACATGGTGAAACCCTGCTTCTACAAAAAACAAGCTGAGTGTGGTGGTGCGCACCTGTAGTCCCAGCTACTCGGGAGGCTAAGGCAGGAAGATCACCTGAGCCTGGGAGGTGGAGGTTGCAGTGACCTGAGATGGCACCACTGCACTCCAGCCTGGGTGACAGAGAGAAACCCTGTCTCAAAAAAAAAAAAAAAAGAGAGAGAGAGAGAGAGACCATGTCTCCATATGTTGGTTGGGCTAGACTGCAGTGGCTATTCACAGGCTCAGTCATAGCCTCAATCTTAGCTCACTGTCACCACAAACTCCTGGGCACAAGCAGTCTTCCTGCCTCAGCTTCCCAAGTAGCTGGGACTATGGAACCTGCCACAGTGCTTGGCTTGCCAGCTTGATTTTTGTAAGCCAAAAATTTGAAACAGTTTAGACTTGACCAAGATGAATTGCTTAAGTAACTTAGAAAATATTAATATAATTGGGCACTATGTGGATCTTTGAAATTACAGTGTAGGAGAATACTTAATGACATAGGAGAAATGCTCCAATATAATGTTTAGTGAAAAAAGATACAAAGCCTAGGTCTTAAGTTGAGTAATGAGTTCTTAGGTGTTGAGTTTATTACGTTTTATTACTTAGATTTATGTAAGGTTAGTTTGACAGTATTGATTCTTAATGAATCTATGCTGACTTTCTGTTCATAAAATTACTTACTTTTTTTTTTTTTTTTGAGATGGATTCTTGCTCTGTCGCCCAGGCTGGAGTGCAGTTGCGCGATCTCGGCTCACTGCAACCTCCGCCTCCCGGGTTCAAGCGATTCTCTTGCCTCAGCCTCCCCAGTAGCTAGGATTATAGGCATGCACCACCACACCTGGCTAATTTTTGTATTTTTAGTAGAGACAGGGGTTTCACCATGTTGACCAGGCTGGCTGGTCTCGAACTCCTGACCTCATGATCTGCCTGCCTCGGCCTCCCAAAGTGCTGGGATTATAGGTGTGAGCCACCACACCCAACCCCCATAAAATTACTTTCTAAGACTTAACATTAGTTGCATGATTACAACCCAAGTTCTCTCAATATCTTAGGATATACTTTATCTGGGAATAAATTAAATACATTATTAAAATAACTAAGTGTTTTTAAAAGCTCCTCTTATTTCTTACCTGCCTTGGCTTTAGTTTCACTCTTGACCGTTCTTCTTTTAACCTTTCCATTTGAAGATAGTTACTGAGAGAACAGAAAAAAAGAGATGTTAGTTCTGCTTTCTCTGTTATCTTTTCAATATTACATCATCTTTCCCTGAACAGAGTCTTTTTGTTTTTGTTCTTCTGTAAGAGCATGACCTTGAAAAGACTCTTCTGGGGATTTTTGGTTATTTTTCACACCTCTAAACTCATCCTGGATTCTGCTTTTCCTGGTATTATTATTCAAGGGTCATGCTGCTGTCTAGTATCAGGTAAGTTTACACACCTGTCCATTGTCTCATATTTTGTGTTCAGTAGAGGAATGCTTCTACAATCACTCCTGGTTTTTTTAGATAACTCTCTTTTCTCCCTCCATATTGGGGTTATTTAAGACAACAGTATTTAACCTGAGTTATAGGAATCCCCAAATATATGTAAAGACTTTCCAAGGACAACTGGTATGGGTAATTTATTTCCAGATCCTCAACTTCTATTTCTCCTTTTTCCCAAAATTGATCTGCCTGAAAAAATGTCTTGCAGATTCTCCTTTTCCACCTCCCCTTTCACATTAACCTTTTTCCCAAGGAAGAGGAGAAGGTAGAAGAGAGCACTGCAAATTTATGTATCCTGTATCTTGGTCTCAAGATATAAAAATATCCATAGTACCAAAGGGATGATTTGAAATATTTTTTTCAACTGGAAGCCTTCTGTAGGAACTACCCCACCATCATGCTTTTTGTCTTTCCCTGCCTAATGCACATTTGTGTTAAGGACAAGTTATAGCCTTAGAAACTGCCCCTTTGCGAAGTTCTGAATATATATTATGGGGTGAGGTAGTAGGAGTAATGACAATTTCTCTTTATTGATTTACCTCTCCCATCCCTAAATATAATTAGAGAATGCATGGTTCTTAAGGAAGATATATGTGAAAGCAATTAAAGACAGTGTCTTTTAGAAATGCTGAACACTAAAAATGGCTCTCCTTTTTTCTAATTTGAACATAAGCATTTTTTCTTTACCCCCTTCAATCTTCTTTCCTAAAACGTGTTGTCAGCTGGAAAGAAAAGTACTTTGAACAGATTAGTCATGCTAATTATTTAAAATATAACTGAAATGTCTTCTAGTACTACTAAGATTTTTGAAACATACTGAAGAAAACCTGTGCAAAAAAATTTTACATGACTTATTTCAGATTAACTTTGCATTATTCAATAAGGAAGGTAAAACTGATTTATCAACTCATATCATGAAATAATTTATCCATTTACTGACAATCTTTCTGTGCCTCTGATTCTTCCTCTGCTAAATGGAACCTCTATACTAAACTATACCTCTTCACTGAGTTCTTTTAGACATTAAACGAGTCAACCTAGAATCTATGCAAAGCACATAGAACCTTACCTGGTGCATGGTAAGTGCTCTTCATGTTGAAATGCTCCTTCTTCTGAGTCTTGGTTCTCTTCTCTTTGTCTGTATCTCCCTTTGTAATCTCACTCAGTCTCCTGGCTTTACAAACCATCCATATGCTAATAATTTCCAAATTTATATTTCTAATGCCTGCCTGTTCACTCCAGAACTCCAGACTCATCTATTCAACAGCCTTCTGGACATCTCCATGTGGATACTTAATTGATATCTCAAACTTATTATCTCCAAACTGACCTCTTGTTCTTTTCTCTTTCCAAACCTGCTCCATCTTTAGCCTTTTCCCTGTCACTTGATGTCAACATCATCCTTCATTGTTCAAATCTAAAAAACTTGGAGTTAATCTGAACTCCTTTCTTTCTCTCATACCCCACGTGCAATCTGTCTTCCTGCAAAAATATATCCAGAATCTGACCACCATTCACTCCCACCACTGCTGTCTCCTGCTGCAAGCCACTATTATCTCTCTCCTGGATTACTGAAATAGACTCCCTGCTTTTATCTTTTCTTCTATCTTTGCTCCCTGCAGTCTATTTGAAGCATAGCAGCCAGAATGATTCTTCTAAAATGAAAATCAGATCATGTCATTCCTCTGCTTAAAAACCTTCAATACAGCCCCCCATACATAACACAACAACTTTTTAAAAAAGTTATATAGGCCAGGTGCGGTGCCTCACGTCTGTAATCCCAGCACTTTGGGAGGCCGAGGCAGGTGGATCACCTGAGGTCAGGAGTTTGAGACCAGCCTGGCCAACATAATGAAACCCGGTCTCTACTAAATATACAAAAATTAGCTGGGTGTGGTGGCATGCGCCTGTAATCTCAGCTACTCGGGAGGCTGAGGCAGGAGAATCTCTTGAACCCAGGAGGTGGAGGTTGCAGTGAGCCAAAATCCTGCCACTGCACTACAGACTGGGCGACAGAGCGAGACTCTTGTCTCCAAATAAATAATAAAAATAAAAAGTTGGCCAGGCACAGTGGGTCATGCTTACAATCCCAGCACTTTGGGAGGCCGAAGCGGGTGGATCACCTGAGGTCAGAAGTTCAAGACCAGCCTGGTCAACATGGTGAAACCCCGTCTCTACTAAAAATACAAAAATTAGCTGGGGGTGGTGGTGTGTGCCTGTAATCCTAGCTACTTGGGAGGCTGGGGCAGAAGAATCGCTTGAACCAGGGAGGTGAAAGTTGCAGTGAACCGAGATCTCACCATTGCACTCCAGCCTGGGCAACAAAAGTGAGACTCCGTCTCAAAATAAATAAATAAATAAAATAAAATAAAATAAAAGTTATATAAACTGGCCGCACATGGTGGCTCACTCCTCTAATCCCAGCACTTTGGGAGGCTGAGGTGGGCAGATCACTTGAGGTCAGGGGTTTGAGACCAGCCTGGCCAACATGGTGAAACTTCGTCTCTATTAAAAATACAAAAATTAGCCGTGTGTGGTGGCACATACTTGTAATCCCAGCTACTCAGGAGGCTGACGCAGGAGAATCGCTTGAACCCGGGAGGCAGAGGTTGTGGTGAGCCAAGATCGTATCACTGCACTCCAACCTGGGCAACAGGGCGAGACTCTGTCTCTAAATAAATAAATAAATAAATAAATAAATAAAAGGTTATATAAACTTACATTTGTGTACATACACATTAATTTTTCAAAACAGAGCAAAAATATGCACCAGATTATTTCCAATGATTATCTCATGGTGGTAACATTTGCCATTTGACTCAGTAACATTACTTCAAGAAACTTATCTATAGAATATAATCAGGCTGTACCCAAAGATTTAAGTTCAAGGATGTGAATCACAACAATATTTACACTAGGCAAAAATTTAAAATAGCCTAAGTGTCCAACAACAGGAAACTAATAAATTATGTTATAACTAGGAGAGATGATGAATAATCTTACAGTGTTGAACATGGTTTTTAAAAAATCAATCACATGTTGTTGGTGAAAAAAATTATAAAATAGAAAGTAAGGCTATGAGATCGACTTTGCAAATTAAAAAATATCTACAATGAAAGGAAAAGATTTGAAAGATATGCACCAAAATATTAACAACAGTCATTGCATAGGAATGACACACAGGTGGCCATGATCCAGGGCTGAGTAGCTGTGGAAGAGCCACTACTTGCTATTAGCCAACCTCCTTGGAATTCACAAACTCAGAACAAATGTGGAGATTTTAATCAACACTTCTTGCAATGCTCTGCAGTGTCAGCTTAAGCAACCGTCTCTTTTAAAGGCTGCAAATGCACTCATAGAGTATATCAAATGAATATAAAGATGTTTTAACTCTGAATTTGGTATAATAAAAATCATTCTTTTGTTTTGTTTTGGTTTTTGAGACTGAGTCTCACTCTGTTGCCCAGGCTGGAGTGCAATGGTGCGATCTCGGCTCACTGCAACTTCTGCCTCCTGGGTTCAAGCGATTCTTCTGCCTCAGCCTCCCGAGTAGCTGGGACTACAGGCATGCGCCACCATGCCTGGCTAATTTTTGTATTTTTAGTAGAGACGGGGTTTTGCCATGTTGGCCAGGCTGGTCTCAAATTCCTGACCTCAGGTGCTCTGCCTGCCTCAGCCTCCCAAAGTGCTGAGATTTACAGACGTGAGCCACCGTGACCAGCCACAGAAATTACTCTTATACAGCATACTTGGGAACTAGGGGGAAAAAAAATCCCCTAATGCTTTTAGGAATTTAGGCCCTCTAAATCTTTGCCAGATTAGGATAGGTTGAGCTATTTTTTTGCAATGACTGAAAAGAGTTTCCCAAGAGCTTCCTATCCGTTTTAATTTGTTTGAAAAAGCAGTTAAAAGTACAAGAAATATGTTACTTGTCCTGTTCAGTGCCTAATATCCAGTTTTTAACTCACAGTTTTCTTGGACTTTAAATATTGAGCTTAACTTAGTCCTTAGAATTTTGTTTTATGTGTCTCTCGTTACTTGCTGAATGAAGTGATCAAAAGAAGAGAAGAAATTCTAAATTCATAACTGTCTTTCTATCAGTCTATCAGGCCATCAGGCCTCAGCCATCTTTACCCAGACAACAAAAATAATATGATTAAGGAGTCTAAGAAGTCTTCTCTCTTTATTCTTTTTTTTTTCCTTCTAACTTTTATTTTAGGTTTGGGGGTACATGTGCAGGTTTGTTATGTGGGTAAATTGTGTGTTGCTGGGGTTCGATGTACAAAGATTTCATCACCCAGGTAGTGAGCACAGTACCCGGTAGGTAGTTTTCTGCTCCTCACCCTCCTTTCACCCTCCGCGCTCAAGTAAACCCCGTGTCTATTGTTCCCATCTCTGTGTCCATGTGTACTCAATGTTTAGCTCCCTCTTATAAGTGAGATCATGCTGTATTTGGTTTTCTGTTTCCACGTTAATTCGCTTGGGATAATGGCCTCCAGCTGATTCCATGTTGCTGCAATCTATTCTTTACATAACTAAAGCATAGATCCCACTTGAGCTATTTATTTATTTTCACTGAAAAGTAAAACAAACACAAAAGCAGAATACAAAGCTCATAAGCAATAGAATGAAATACAAGGCTATCAGAAGTGACCTAAAAGCAGCTGGGCGCAGTGGCTCACGCCTGTAATCCCAGCACTTTGGGAAGCCGAGGCGAGCGGATCACCTGAGGTCAGAAGTTTCAGACTAGCCTGGCCAACGTGGTGAAACCCCATCTTTACTAAAAATACAAAAAAATTAGCCGGGCATGGTGGTGCATGCCTGTAGTCCCAGCTACTCAGGAGGCTAAAGCAGGAGAATCGCTTGAACCCAGGAGGGAGAGGTTGCAATGAGCCGAGATCGCGCCACCGCACTCCAGCCTGGGTGACAGAGCAAGACTCTGTCTCAAAAAAAAAAAAAAAAGTGACCTAAAAGCCAAGCTTCTAGTCTTTTTTCCCCAAATTTCAGGTAATGAAATGCAACCATAAAAGGTATCAAGTATACAATAAAACAGATTGACCAGCACATTCCTTTATCACTTAGTTTTGTCATAAGGCATGGAGGCTGCCCCTTAAAATCCACGTTTAATAATGAGAATATAAAATTTTACAAGACTTTTGTTGCAAAACTAGAACTGTATTAGAACACAGCCACTTTGCTCTTTTGTAACATAAAACAGAATTTACCAATCAACGGTCCCCATGAAAGATGGAAAGATCTGATTATGTGCTTATGAAAGCTTAAGACTTTTTTTTTTTTTTTTTTTTTGAGACGGCGTTTCACTCTTGTTGCCCAGGCTGAAGTGCGATGGCACGATCTCAGCTCACCACAACCTCTGCCTCCCGGTTCAAGTGATTCTCCTGCCTCAGCCTCCTGAGTAGCTGGGATTACAGGCATGCGCCACCATGCCTGGCTAATTTTGTATTTTTAGTAGAGACGGGGGTTTCTCCATATTGGTCAGGCTGGTCTCGAACTCCCGACCTCAGGTGATCCACCTGCCTCCACCTCCCAAAGTGCTGGGATTACAGGCATGAGCCACCACGCCCGGCCAAAAGCTTAAGACTTTTGTTGTTTTTTGGGGTTTTGTTTTCTTGGATTTTTGGGTTTTTTTCCAGACTATTTTGGCATTCTTTGAAAAGAAGTTAAAATTCTTTTCAGAAGAATTTTCAGTAGAGACAGAAAAGTAGAAATTGCTAACATAAAATACGAGTTTCTCATCAGTATCAAAGCAACATTAACTGTAGGCTTACTTGGTGTGTGTGAAATAAGAGGAATGTCTGTTTTGGTCACCTCCAAAGAGATGTATATCGTGTATGTTTATTGAATTTAAAATCTGAATGTAATGACAGATTAAAAAAAAAACAAACCTCTAAAGAGTATAACAAAGAGACAATCATCCTCTCCTGGAGCTGTATTCAAATCTAAAGTGGAATTTTCTGAATTTATACTGTGGTTTGCAATTTAGAAATTGAGAATTCCTAAGAAATTTAGGAATTTCTTAGGAAGAAAACTACCCTGAAGTCTAAGCTGTTGCTGTTTTATTTGTGATAGTTAATTTTAAAACTATACTTAGCACAAATATGGAGTAGATATTTCATTGCTTTAAAAATGGACATGCTTTTCTAATTCAATAAGTGTAAAAAATAAAAATAAAATTGGACAGACTGCAATCTGTCTAACTACATAGGGGCTGAAAATTGCCATTATCAATAGATTAGATGATCAATGGATTAGATAATGGCAATTTTCGGCCCCTATATAGTTAGGGGCTACTTCAGTGGTATTTGCAATCACACAGAAGTAAAAGGAGCACTTGTTTTCAATACATAGTCATCAAAACTACACAAATAATTAATCCTGAACAAACTAAACTGCTGATATTTGACATTAGGTACTCCCTGCGAATTTAAAGGGCTTAAATAAAGAGGGGATAGGCCAGGTGTAGTGGCTCACATCTGTAATCCCAGCACTTTGGGACACCTGAGTTCGGGAGTTTGAGACCAGCCTAACATGGACAAACCCCATCTCTACTGAAAATACAAAAGTAGTTGGGTGTGGTGGTGTGCACCTGTAATCCCAGCTACTCAGGAGGCTGAGGCAGGAGAATCACTTGAACCCAGGAGGCAGAGGTTGCGGTGAGCCGAGATCATGCCATTGCACTCTAGCCTGGGCAACAAGAGCGAAACTCTGTCTCAAAAAAATGGTCATAATAAAAATAAAAAAAAAAAAGATGGTATAAATACTCACTGGTATATTGAGGATAAATTTCATGGACTCTTTATGTCCTTAGTACTGCTCTTGGTTGCTAAGCCTCTGCTATGGTTTGAATATTTGCCCCCTCCAAAACTCATGTTGAAACGTAATCCACAATGTGGCAGTATTGAGAGGGCCTTTAACAGGTGACAGTCTCTTAAGAACTCTTCCCCTCATGAAATGATTAGTCCATTCATGAATTCACAAATTCATGGCTTAATCGATTAATGGATTTTCATGCAAGTGGGACCAGTGGCTTTAAGAGAAGAGGAAGAGAAACCTGAGCTGGCTCAGCTCCTTCACCGTATGATGGCTCTTTTAAAAAAAAAAGATAAATTAGGCCAGGCGCAGTGGCTCACGCCTGTAATCCCAGCACTTTGGGAGGCCGAGGTGGGTGGATCACAAGGTCAGGAGATCGAGACCATCCTGGCTAACAAGGTGAAACCCCGTCTCTACTAAAAATACAAAAAATTAGCCGGGCGTGGTGGCAGGCGCCTGTAGTCCCAGCTACTAGGGAGGCTGAGGCAGGAGAATGGCATGAACGCAGGAGGAGGAGCTTGCAGTGAGCTGAGATCGTGCCACAGCACTCCAGCCTGGGCGACAGAGCGAGACTCCTCAAAAAAAAAAAAAAAAAAAAAAGATAAATTATAAAAAGGCTTTATTTAAAAAAAAAAGATATTCATTTTCAGGTATTCTGTTAAGCATAGAAAATGGACTAAGTCAGTTCCTTTCCCACAGAAACTTAACCTTCTATGAGAACTTTGCAATTTACATATTTAAATTAAGTTGGTCCAAGGTTTCGCCCATCTTTCTTTTCCTTCTTTTTTCCTGGGGATTTATGTTGTATAGACCTCAGAGGCATCTGACTCAGGATGTGCTGGCATGGGCCATTCCCGCTAGCCTTTGGCGGTCAGCCCCTTTCCCTGCAGCTCTGTGTCTGCTAGCCTCACTCCCACCACAAGGCCCTGCCCACTTTTACCCACTTCTGTATTGCTTTGGTGGGGAGGCTTCTGAAACTGTGGGATGTTCAGTGTCCTGGAGAGTGGGGAGGAGTATCTGTTTGAGACACCTTCCTCCGTGTGTGGTGAGCGGGGGCCTCTCAGTGAGGCCTGCTGGAAGCAAGGCGAAGACCCTCTCTGCTCTAAAGTCTTCACTATCCCCCTGGGGAATTTCCTGCCTTCTTAGCTGATTGAGGAAAGTGGGAAGGGGGTACAGTTCTTTCCTGGGCACCTACCAGCATCTACATTCTAGTCACATTGTTAGAAAGGGGTCCCAATCCAGACCCCAAGAGAGGGCTCTTGGATCTCACGCAAGAAAGAATTCGAGAGAAATCCATAAAGTGAAAGCAAGTTTATTAGGAAAGTAAAGGAATAAAGAATGGCTGCTCCATAGGCAGAGCAGCCCCGTGGGCCGCTGCTTGGGCTGTTCTTATGGTTATTCTCTCTCTCTCTCTCTCTCTCTCTTTCTCTTTCTCTCTCTCTCTCTCTCTCTCCCTCTTTCTTTCTCTCTCTCTCTTTCTCTCTTTCGAGTCTCACTCTGTTGCCCAAGCTGGAATGCAGTGGTGCAATGCAGTGAGCTCACCACAGCCTCTGCCTCCAGGGTTCAAATGCTTCTCGAGCCTCAACCTCCCAAATAGCTGGAATTACAGGCACGCGCCACCAGGCCCCATTAATTTTTGCATTTTTAGCAGAGACGGAGGTTTCGCCATATTGGACAGGCAAATCTCAAACTCCTGACCTCAAGTGATCCGCCTGCCTCGGCCTCCCAAAGTGCTGGGATTACAGGCGTGAGCCACTGTTCCCAGCCTTATTTCTTGGTCACATGCTAAACAAGGGGTGGATTATTTATAAATTTTCCGGGAAAGGGGTGGGCAATTCCCAGAATTGAGGGTTCCTCCCCTTTTTAAATCATATAGGGTAACTTCCTGACATTGCCATGGCATTTGTAAACTGTCATGGCACTGGTGGGAGTGTCTTTTAGCATGCTAATGCATTATAATTAGCATATAATGAACAGCGAGGATGACCAGAAGTCATTCTCGTCACTGTCTCGGTTTTGGTGGGTTTTGGTGGGTTTTCACCAGCTTCCTTACCACAACCTGTTTTATCAGCAAGGTCTTTGTGACCTGTACCTTGTGCTGACCTCCTTTCTCATCCTGTAACTTAGAATGCCTAACCTGTTGGGAATGCAGCCCAGTAGCTCTCAGCCTCATTTTACCCAGCCCCTATTCAAGATGGAGGCACTCTGGTTCAAATGCCTCTGACAACATGCCCTCAGATTCTCTTTCAGCAAGTTGAACTTTTATTTTCTTTTGGTAAACAACTTCATACCTCCTGATGATTTGGTTTATGGTATAATCACTCCGCCCTGAGTCCTCCCAGCTCTAACTTATTTAGAACTTTGAAAACTTGTTTCCTCTCTTAAAACAAAACAAAACAAAACAAAACAAAACAAAAACCTGGCTCTTATAATAAAAAGCCTACTGTTTCACCTTTGATTTTAAAATTCCATTCAGAAACGCAGTTGTCATCTTCGTTCTTGGCTATGTCACCCTTATCCTGAAGCAACCAATTGCTTTGATTTAGTGGGTGAAGAGGGATGCCTGGTGGTTGGGAGAGAAACTGTAAAACCTGTGAAGAAGAGAAATAGTAATTATGATATCCGATTGTATCCCACTACATTAATCAGGAAGTGTGTTTATTAGCAAATATGTGATAAATGGCAATCAAGGGTGATACAGGCCCCCTAGTGGGCATTTGGAACTGTGCATGACATTTCTAGTCACAGTGACTTCGGGATTTAGTGGCATTTAGTAGGCATAGGGCAGGGATAGTAAATATACTGAAATGTGCAGAACAAGTCCATATACAATGTCAATAGCTCCCTGATAAAAATACGAAAAACATTCTTCTCTGCTGGGGCTTTTCCAGTCTCTGGCCCCATCCATGTTACTATAGGACACAGCCCCAGGGCCCTCTGCTTAGGCATCAGGTCCTACTTGCTTACTTCTGAGACCTGACTCTTCCTCTCCACAATTCCCTGGGACTAGCCTGACTCCCCCACACCGCCCCGCCCCATAACATCTTTGTGTCTGTCCAGCCTGAGTTGTTTGGGAGAAAAGCAAGGTGTCTCACCAGGAGGTATGTTTAGGTGTTCTGTCCTTTAACTTCAGGTTCCTCTTGTATCCTAAATCCATGAAGTGGCTTAAGGATTTTGACTCTGAACTTGCTTAGCCAGTTTCCTATAGAAATGCACAGAAATGGCCGGGTGCGGTGGCTCAACCCTCTAATCCCGGCACTTTGGGAGGCCGAGGCGGGCGGATCACAAGGTCAGGAGATCGAGACCATCCTGGCTAACACGGTGAAACCCCGTCTGTACTAAAAATACAAAAAATTAGCCGGGCGTGGTGGCAGGTGCCTGTAGTCCCAGCTGCCTGGGAGGCTGAGGCAGGAGAATGACGTGAACCCGGGAGGCGGAGCTTGCAGTGAGCTGAGATCACGCCGCTGCAGTCCGGCCTGGGCGAAAGAGCGAGACTCTGTCTCAAAAAAAAAAAAAAAAAAGAAATGCACAGAAATTATTCTCCTGGTTCCCACTGTCATTCCGATCATTGCTATGTGCAAGAGAAAAATGTGAAAGATCTTAAATTTCAGGCTGGGCGCAGTGTCTCATACTTATAATCCTGGCACTTTGGGAGGCCAAGGTGGGCAGATCACCTGAGGTTGGGAGTTTGAGACCAGCATGGCCAACATAGTGAAACCCCATCTCTACTAAAAATACAAAAATTAGCCAGGCGTGGTGGCACGTGCCTGTAGTCCCAGCTACTCGGGAGGCTGTGGCAAGGGAATCACTTGAACCTGGGAGGCGGAGGTTGCAGTGGGCTGAGATCATGCTATTGCCTGGACATTCATGAAAAGAGATCAAAATATGAACACTAACAGGAGTTTGAAAGAAGTTCATTTCAGTCCTCATAGATGACTTTGGGGGGATGGGTTCAAGACTTCATTAAAGGAAGTCACTGTAGATGTGGTGGAAATGGCAAAATTGGAAGTGGAGCCTGAAGACGTGACTGAATTGCTGCAATCTCATGACAGAACGTGAACAGATGCTTCTTATAGATGAGCAAAGAAAGTGGTTTCTTGAGATGGAATCTACTCCTGGTGAAGATATTGTGAACATTGTCAAAATGACAACAAACCATTTAGAATATTTATGAAATATTATCTAAATATTCTAACTTGGTTACTAAAGGAGCAGCAGAGTTTGAGAGGATTGACTCCAAGTTTTAAAGTTCTACTGTGAGTAAAATGCTATGAAACAGCATCATGTGCTACAGAGAAATCTTTCTCGAAAGGAAGAGTCAATTAATATAGCAAATTTTATTGTTGTCTTATTTAGAAATTGCCACAGCCACCCCAACTTTCAGCAACATCTACCATGATCGATCAGTCAGCAGCAATCAACATTGAGGCAAGAGCCTCCATGAGCAGAAACTGCGACTTGCTGAAGGCTCAGGTGATGGTTTGCCTTTTTTTTTTTTAGCAATAAAGCATTTTTTAATTAAGGCATGCACGTTTTTTTAAAGACATAATGCTATTGCATACCTAATAGACTACAGGGTAGTGTAAACATAACTTTTTTTTTTTTTTTTTGATACAGAGTCTTGCTCTGTCACCCAGGCTGGAGTGCAATTGTGATCTTGGCTCACTGCAACCTCCGCCTCCCAGGTTCAAGCAATTCTCCTGCCTCAGCCTCCCAAGTAGCTGGGATTACAGGCATGCACCATCACGCCCGGCTAATTTTTGTATTTTTATTAGAGATGGGGTTTCACTATGTTGGCCAGGCTTGTCTCAAACTCCTGACCTCAGGTGATCTGCCCACCTTGGCCTTCCAAAGTGCTGGAATTACAGGCATGAGCCACTGCACCTGGCCAGAAATTTAAGATCTTTCACATTTTTCCCCCTGGCTGGTCTTGAACTCCTAGGCTCAAGTGATCCTCCCATCACAGCCTCCCAAAGCGCTGGGATTACAGGGGTAAGCCACCACACCTGGCCTAAAAATGATATTTTAAAACAATAATGACCAGCCTGGGCAACATAGGGAGACCTCATCTCTACAAATAATAAAATTAAAATTAAAATTAAAATTAAGATGTCTTTTTTTATTATTGAGGTATGATGAAACCAACAGAGCAGGAGATGATTTGCAATATAGTGTCAACCTAAAATAGTCAAAAAGCTTAGGATCTAGTTAAAAGAGTTTATTTAAAAGCCAAGTGTGAGGGCAGCCATCTGGGTAGCAGAGCTACACCAAAGAATGGTGATTGGCACTTGTAATCCCAGCTACTCAGGAGGCTGAGGCAGGAGAATCACTTGACCCTGGGAGGCAGGGGTTGTAGTGAGCCGAGATCACGCCACTGCACTCCAGCCTGGGTGACAGAGCACTACTCTGTCACACACACACACACACACACACACACACACACACACACACACAAAATGGTGATTAGTTGCTGGGTGCCGTGGCTCACACCTGTAATCCCAGCACTTTGGGACGCCAAGGCAGGTGAATCACCTGAGATCAGGAGTTTGAGACCAGTCCGGCCGACATGGAGAAACCCCGTCTGTACTAAAAATACAAAAATTAGCTGAGTGTGGTGGTGGGCCCCTGTAATCCCAGTTGCTTGGGAGTCTGAGGCAGGAGAATTGCTTCAACCCAGGAACCTGGGAGATGGAGGTTGCCATAACCCGAGATTGCACCACTGCACTCCAGCCTCGGGGGGGAAAATAAAAGAATGGTGATTAGTGACCTGATGTGGAGAAAAATGAGAAATGAGGATGGTTTATATAGGCAAAATAGAGGTGTTGAACAAAATAACATTTTCTATATGAAGACTAACATATAGATATGAGATTTGATGGGCTACTATTGATTACACTCTAACAGGGTTGTTTAACATTTTATTGTAACAGTCATAGGGTCTCTATTTTTACAGCATTTAGTCTAGGTTTGAATTAAGAATAGGGATTCTGGTTAATGTATAACATCTCAACACAAAGTTTAGAAAGCAATGGTCATGCACCACAGAAGAAAAACAGTCGTGTTATGTGAGTCAGCTTTTAGGGTTTAACTTTTCTCTTTATCAAAATAAATTTGGAAGTCCTACACTTTTATTTATTTATTATTTAGTATTTATTTATTTTACAGTAGGTTCATTGATGGTAACAAATGCATTACTCTGGTATGGGATGTTGATATTAAAAGAGGCTGCATGTTGCTGGGTCAGGGTCATGTGAAAATTTTCTGTACTTTCCATTCAATTTCGTTGTGAACCTAAAATTGGTCTAAAGAATAAAGTCTTCTTAAAAATTGCCAATTCCAAGGTCATGATGATTTGCACCTATGTTTTCTTCTATAAGTTTTGTAGTTTTTGTTATTATATTTAGATTGTTGATCCACTTTGAAGTTTTGTATATTTTTAAGGCAAGTTTTCAACTTCAGAATTATTTTAGATATGGATACCCACTTGTTTCAACAGCATTTGTGAAAAAGACAATTCTTTCCCCACCAGATGGTTTTGGTACCCTTGACAAGAATCAAGTGATCAGGCTGGGCGCAGTGGCTCACGCCTGTAATCCCAGCACTTTGGGAGGCTGAGGCGGGTGGATCACGAGGTCAGGAGATCGAGACCATCCTGGCTAACATGGTGAAACCCCGTCTCTACTAAAATACAAAAAATTAGCTGGGCGTGGTGGCGGACACCTGTAGTCCCAGCTACTTGGGAGGCTGAGGCAGGAGAATGGCGTGAACCCGGTAGGCGGAGCTTGCAGTGAGCTGCGATCGTGCCACTGCACTCCAGCCTGGGCCACAGAGTGGGACTCCGTCTCAAAAAAAAAAAAAAAAAAAATCAAGCGATCGCTGGCTGGGCATGGTGACTTATACCTATAATCCAAGCACTTTGGGAGGCTGAGGTGGGAGGATCACTTGAGCCCAGGAATTTGAGACCAGCCTGCACAACACGACAAAACCCTGTCTCTATAAAAAATAACAAAATTAGCCGGGTGTGGTGGCATGCACCTGTAGTCCCAGCAACTTGGGGAGCTGAGGTGGGAGGATTGCTTGAGCCTGGGAGGTCAAAGCTGCAGTGAGCCGTGATTGTGCCTCTGCACTCCAGCCTGGGTGACAAAGCAAGACCCTGTCTCAAAACAAAAACAAAAACAAAAACAAAAATCAACTGATCATAAAAGCATGGGTTCATTTATGAACTCACAGTTTTATTCCGTTGATCTAGCCTTGTGTTAGTATCACACTCTCTTGATGGCTATAGCTTTGTAGTAAGCTTTCAAAATGAAGAAGAGTGAGGACTCCAACTGTGTTCTTTCTCAAGTTTTTTTGGCTATTCTGTGTCCTTTCCAATTCCATATAAATTTTAGGATCAACTTTTCTATTTCTTAACAAGACAATTGGCATTTTTGTTGTTGTTGTTTGAGGCAGTCTCACTCTGTCACCCAGGCTGTAGTGCAGCCTCCGCAGTGAGGTACAGTGAGGTACCTGAACCCTCCTGGGTTCAAGTGATTCTCGTGTCTCAGCCTCCCGATTAGCTGGGATTACAGGTGCCCGCCACCATGCCTGGCTAATTTTTGTATTTTTTACTAGAGACGGGGATTCGCTATGTTAGTCAGGCTGGTCTCAAACTCCTGACCTCAGGTGATCCACCTGCCTCGACCTCCCAAAGAGCTGGGATTACAGGTGTGAGCCACCGTGTCTGGTCGACAGTTGGAATTTTGACAGCGATTGCACTGAATTTATAGAACACTTTGGAGTATCACCATCTTAACAATAGTAAGTCTTATAATCTGTGAACAGTAGATGCCTTTCCATATATTTAGATCTTTAATTTCTTTCAGCAATATTTTTTAGTGTTTAGTGTACAACCCTACTATGTTGAATTTATTCCCAAGTATTTTATTCTTTTAATGCTTTCATAAGTGGGATTGTTTTATTATTTCATTTTCAGATTGTTCATTATTAATGCATAGAAATGCAACTGATTTCTAAATATTGTATTCTGCAATGTTCTTGAACTTGTTTAGTAACTCTAAGAGTTTTTTTTGTAGATCCTTTAGAGTTTTCTCTATGTAAGATTATTTCACTTGCAAACAGTGATAATTTTATTTCTTCCTTTCAAATCTGTATACCTTTGATTTCTTTTTCTTGTTTAATTGCCCTAGCTAGAATCTTCAGCACAATGTTGAATAGAATGGTGACAGTTGACATCCTTGTCTTATTTCTGATTTTAGGAGGAATGCTTTTAATGTTTCACTATTACATATGTTATCTCTGGGCTTTTTATAGATGCTATTTAGCAGACTTAGAAAGCTTTCTTCTATTTCTAGTTTCTTATGTGCTATTGTCATAAAAAGGATTTAGATTCTGTCACTTTTTCTGGGTCTATTGATAGGATTGCATGGGTTTTCTCCCCCTTCATTCTATTTCTTTGATATGTTACATTGATTAAGTTTTATAAGTTAAATCAGCCTAGCATTCCTGGGATAAATCCCACTTGATTATCATGTATAATCCTTTTTATATGCTGCTGGATTTGGTTTGCTAGCTTTTCATTGAGAATATTTGCGTATATATGCATAAGATATATTATTCTCTAATTTTCTTTTCTTCAAATATTGTGTCTGGCTTTAGTATCAGGGTATTACTGGACTCATAGACTGAGTTCAGTGTTCCTTTCCCTTCTATTTTTTTGGAAGACTTTTAGAAAAACTTGTGTTAATATTAAATTTTTTTAAATTGACACATTGTAATTGTACATAAGGATTGCGTACGATTTGATAGTTCAATGCACGTATATATTATATAATTATTACATTAGGGTACTTAGCACATCCATCATCTCATGCATTGATCTTCTTTGTGCTTACTACATTTAAACACTCTCTTCTAGCTATTTTGTAATATGCAATACCCTATGGTTAACCATAGTTACCCTACTGTGCAATAAAATACCAGAAGTTATGAAATTATTCCTCCAATCTAATTGTAGCTTTGTACCTTTCGACCAAAGTCATCCCCTCCTCCTCTCTTCCTACCCTCCTCTCTTCCTACCCTCCTCTCTTCCTACCCTCCTCTCTTCCTGCCCATCTCCAGTTTCTGATAACCACTGCTCTACTCTCTCCTTTTTTTTTTTTGAAATGGAGTCTCACTCTGTCGTGCAGCTGGAGTGCAGTGGTGACCTTGGCTCACTGC
The DNA here is from genome assembly GCF_000001405.40 of Homo sapiens. Taxonomy (NCBI): domain Eukaryota; kingdom Metazoa; phylum Chordata; class Mammalia; order Primates; family Hominidae; genus Homo; species Homo sapiens. The sequence goes on along the minus strand of NC_000004.12, from coordinate 147,701,842 downwards.
AATCTTCGCCTCCCGGGTTCAAGTGATTCTCTTGCCTCAGCCTCCTGAGTAGCTGGGATTACAAGTGCCCGCCACCATGCCCAGCTAATTTTTGTATTTTTAGTAGAGATGGGGTTTCACCATGTTGGCCAGGCTGGTCTCCAACTCCTGACCTCAAGTGATCCACTCAACTTGGCCTCCCAAAATGCTGGGATTATAGGCATGAGCCACCGCGCCCAGCCTTCAACTGTGCAGATTCATCTTTTGGGGGGCGGGGTGAAACATGGGTTTGTGTGCCCCCATGTCTCGGTCATTCTGTCAGGCCTAGACTCCAGGAAGCTGGTGTAGTGGTGCTGTAGGCACCTGTGTTTTTGTGGTAGAATGATGACAGGGCCTCAGGGATAGAGAGAGGCAGTGGATATTGGCCTCCAGGGCAGGACACACTTTAGCAGTGGGTCCATATTCAAGATGGCACCATGCTGCAGCACTTTAGGTTGTGGGGATGTGGGTGCACAATATGGGCTCCTACTCTGGAGCAATGCAGCCATGTAAATTCCTGGCAACTCTCTAAACTGGATATGGAACCTGTGAAAACTGGGGGACCCTCCTGTAGAAGGACTACTGACATCTGTGGTGGTAATGAAGTCTCCAGCTTATCTTTTCCCCATAGAAAGACTTCCCTGGCTCTGAGCCAATCCTGTTGATGGAGAGAGTGTTGTAGATGCAAGGTGCCTTGTGCTTTCCAGTGTACTTCTTCAGTCACTTGAGTTGAAATAGTGCTGTTTATTTATTGTTCTATTCCTTTTTTTTGGAGACGGAGTCTCGCTTCGTCACCAGGCTGGAGTGCAGTGGTGCGATCTTGGCTCACTGCAACCTCTGCCTCTTGGGTTCAAGAGATTCTCCTGCCTCAGCCTCCCTAGTAGCTGGGACTACAGGCAGGTACCACCACACCCATCTAATTTTTTGTATTTTTAGTAAAGACAGGGTTTCACCATGTTAACCAGGATGGTGTTCTATTCCATTTTTATGGGGAATATGAGCATCAGGCAACTCTTGGCTGTCTTGCTGATGTCAGTTTGTGTTAATCTTATTAAACTATTTGATAGAGTCACTAGTGAAGTCATCTGGTCCTGGGATTTGTTTGTTTGTTTTTTGAGACACGGTCTCACCATATCACGCAGCCTAGAGTGCAGTGGCATGATTATGGTTCACTCCAGCCTCAACCTCTTGGGCTCAAGTGATCCTCCCACCTCAGTCTCTTGAGTAGCTAGGGACTACAGGCAAGTGTCACCACGACTGGCTAATTAAAAAAAAAAAATTATTTTTGGTAGAGACAGGGTCTTGCCATGTTGCCTAGTCTGGTCTCAAACTCTTGAACTGAAGCAATACATCCACCTTGCCTTCCTAAAGTGCTAGGATTACAGGCATGAGCCACTGTACCAAGCCGAGTCCTGGCTTTTTTTGCTGAAAGTTTTTAAAAATTAGCTTTATCTCTTTCCTTGTTATAGGTTTATTTAGATTTTCTATTTTTTCATAGGTCAGTTTTGCTAATTTGTGTATTTCTAGGAATTTGTACATTTAATCTAGGTTGTCTAATTTGTTGTCATACAATTTTTTCCTAGCATTTCATTATAATTATTTTTATTTCTGTAAGAATGGTAGTAATGTCTCATATTTCATTTACGATTTTAGTAATTTGACTCTTTTCTCTTTTTTTTTTGTTCAGACTAGCTAAAGGTGCCAGTTTTGTTAATCTTTTCAAGAAATTGGTTTTTAGTTTCATTTATCTTCTCTATTGTTTTTCTATTTTCTAAATAATTTATTTCCACACTTTTGCTTGCTTTGGATTTAGTTTGCTCTTGTTTTTAAAATTTATTTTTTTTGAGGTAGAGTCTATTCTATTTTATTATTATTTTTCTGTTCTATTATTAATAAATAATTCTATTCTATTTTATTGTTAATTTTCATCTCTTTTTTTTTTTTTGAGACAGGGTCTCACTTTGTTGCCCAGACTGGAGTGCAGTGGCACAATCTCGGCTCACTGCAACATCTGCCTCCTGGGTTCAAGTGATTCCCCTGCCTCAGCCTTCCAAGTAGCTGGGACTACAGACGCATGCCACCACATCTGGCTAATTTTATGTATTTTGGTAGAAATGGGGTTTCACCATGTTGGCCAGGATGGTCTTGATCTCCTGACCTCATGATCCTCCCGCCTTGGCCTCCCAAAATGCTAGGATTACAGGTGTGAGCCACCGCCCCCGACCAGTTTATGCATTTTTAGTAGAGATGGGGTTTTGCCACGTTGGCCAGGCTGGTCTCAAACTCCTCACCTCAAGTGATCCACCCGCCTCGGCCTCCTAAAGTGCTGGGATTACAGTTATGAGCCACCACACCCAGCCTGATTTTAATTTTTAAATCTTATTTAGACGTATTTTATGAGCTAATTATAGACTATTGCAGAGAATTTTCTATGTGCACTTGAGAAGTGTGTATTCTGTTGTTGAGTGGATCATTATACACATGTTTAAGTCCAGTTGATATATAGTGATGTTCATATCTTCTATTTCTTTATGGATTTTCTGTCTAATCGTTGTATCCATTATTAAATGTAAGGTATTGAGGTCCCCTGACTATCGTTTTAAATTGTCCTTTTCTTTTTTAATGTAGTCAGTTTTAGCCTCACGTATTTCAGGGCTCTCTTGTTGGGTGCATATATACTTATAATTGTTATGTCTTTTGATGAATTGACCCTTTTACCATTATATAATGTTCTTCTTTGTCTAACAATTTTTGTTTTAAAGTCTATTTTGTCTGGTATTAGTATAGCCACAACAGCTCTATTATCAGTACTGTTTGCCTGAAATACATTTTCCATTCTTTTGCTTTCAACTGATTTGTGTATTTAATCTAAAGTGAATCTCTTGAAGATAGCATATAGTTGGGAGTTGGGTTCTGTTTTTGTTTTTTTTTTTTTTGAGACGGAGTCTCACTCTTGTCACCAAGGCAGGAGTGCAATGGTGCTATCTCGGCTTACTACAACCTCCACCTCCTGGGTTCAAGTGATTCTCCTGCCTCACCCTCCCGAGTACCTGGGATTACAGGTGTGTTCCACAAATTCCGGCTACATTTTTTTTGGTATTTTTAGTAGAGACAAGGTTTCACCATGTTGGCCAGGCTGGTCTCGAACTCTTCAGGTGATCTACCCACCTTGGCTTCCCAAAGTGCTGGGATTACAGGCGTGAGCCACCATACCGGCCTGGATTCTGTGTTTTTTGTTTGTTTGTTTGTTTGAGACGAAGTCTTGCTCTTATCCCCCAGGCTGGAGTGCAATGGCGCAATCTCGGCTCAGTGCAACCTCCGCCTCCCAGGTTCAAACGATTCTTTTGCCTCAGCCTCCTGGGTAGCTGGGATTACAGGTGCCTGCCACCTCACCCAGCTAATTTTTGTATTTTTAGTAGAGACGGGGTTTTACCATGTTGGCCAGGCTGGTCTCGAACTCCTGACCTCAGGTGGTCCACCCACCTCGGCCCCCCAAAGTGCTGGGATTACAGGCATGAGCCACTGAGCCCGGCCTCTGTTTTTTTGTTTTGTTTTTTGAGATGGTGTCTCGCTCTGTCGCCCAGGCTGGAATGCAGTGGCAAGATCTTGGCTCACTGCAAGCTCCGTCTCCCAGGTTCACACCATTCTCCCGCCTCAGCCTCCCTAGTAGCTGGGACTTCAGGTGCCCACCACCACACCTGGCTAATTTTGTTTTTGTATTTTTAGTAGAGATGGGGTTTCACCGTGTTAGCCAGGATGGTCTCGATCTCCTGACCTCGTGATCCTTCCGCCTTGTCCTCCCAAAGTGCTGGGATTACAGGTGTGAGCCACCGCGCCCAGCCCAGCCTGTTTTTAAAAATCACTGTGACGTGACAGTTTTATATTTTTATCTCTTCATTGATATTCTCAATTTGACAAGACATGATTCGTATATTTACTTTAGTTCTTAAGACATGGCTTAGCTATTGATCATATTTAAAATAGCCTGTTTAAAGTCTGCCTAAAAAAGCCCAAATGTCTAGGCTTTCTCAGGCATAGTTTCTATAAATTTATTTTTCCTGTTTATAGACCATATTTTTTTTTATTTCTTGGCATGCCTTATAATTTCTTGTTGAAAACTGGACATTTTAAATATTATAATATGGCAATTCTAGAAATCAGCTCCTCCCCCTTCCCTAGGGTGTGTTGTTGTGCTAGTATTGTAGTTATAGTTTGTTTAGTGAATTTTCTGAACTAATTTTATAGTCTGTTCTTTGTTACATGTGGATCCTGAAGTCTCTGTTACATTAGCTTACTGGTCAGCTAATGAGAGAACAGAGATTTTCTTAAACACCTAGAACCAAAAAATCTTCCAGTCTTTGCAGTGGGGCTCTGTGTATTCGTTGTGACATGCTTTCAAGACTCACCAGGCATTTTACAACTCTGCCTTAGCCTTCACATGCTACTTTTTTAGAGCCTCATGGTCAGGAGGAGGGGTAAGTTTAGGGTCTTTTTCAGCTTTCCCGGGGTATTTGCATAGCCCTAAGCATGCATTTGACCTTCTTGATTCTCAGGAATCTGTCAGAACTTTTGAAAACCCTTATAGACCATCTCATTCTCCAGCCTTCCCTCCTAAGCATTTTGATTAGTCTATTGATTGACCTAGCTATTGTCTATCACCACAGGCAGCAGGAACCTATTTAGACATCTTAGGAAAATATTTAGACGTTAGACTAAATATTTTCAGCAAATGCCCTGTGGCAAGAAGCTTTAGCCCTAGGCTAGTTAGAAGTTAGGTGAAATAAAGACAAGCCTTTCAATCAGTATTCCAGGGAGCCACCAAACAGGTCAGAACAGATAATTTGTACATGATGTGCATATTTCCATCTCTGGTACCAGGAATTTGGGCTGTTATTTTCATGCTACTACTGATCTGAGGAGTGGGAGATAGAACAGAGCTTAAGCTGACAGAGGAACAGTGTAGTAAATTGTAATATCGTCCTCTAGTATTCACTCTGTTCTTTCCATGAATATGCAAACTGAAGTGCCCTCTTCCTTGCAGGAAGAGTGGATATCCCTTTCCCTTTGGGGTTGGACTTAACCACAATAATATGCTTTCACCAATAGAGTGTGAGAGGACATTTTTATTTTATTTATTTATTTATTTATTGAGATGGAGTCTTGCTCTGTTGTCCAGGCTGGAGTGCAGTGGCGCGATCTCCTCTCACTGTAACCTCTGCCTCCCTGATTCAAGCATTTCTCCTGCCTCAGCCTCCTGAGTAGCTGGGATTACAGGTGCGTGCCACTACACCTGGCTAATTTTTTGTATTTTTAGTAGAGATGGGGTTTCACCGTGTTAGCCAGGATGGTCTCGATCTCCCGACCTTGTGATCTGCCTGTCTTGGCCTCCCGAAGTGCTGAGATTACAGGTGTGAGCCACTGCACCCGATCTAGAGAGGACATGACATACATACAGTTTTGCAGAAACTTTAAGAAGCATCATGATTTTTTAGCAGTTCCATGGCTTTCCCTCTCTGCCATGAGAATGAGCAGGTTTCACATAGGAACTGCTTTTTCAATCTGCAATCCAGGATGAGAGAATACATGGTGCAGAGTCATAGCCTTCTCAAAATCTGAGCAGCATTGTAGGCAATTTGTAGTCTACATGTAATATAAGCAAGAAATAGTCCTTTCTTTTCTAAGGTACTTATTATGGTCTAAATGTGTCCAAAATTCATGTTAAAATTTACTCACCTGTGTTATAGTATTCAAAGTTGAGGCCTTTAGGAGATCGATTAAGTCATGAGGACTTCTGCACTTGTAAATATGATTAGTGATGCTTTAAAAGGGCTGGTGGTGGACAGGTGCGGTGGCTTATTCCTGTAATCCAGCATGTTGGGAGGCCAAGGCAGGCGGATCACCTGAAGTCAGGAGTTCGAGACCAGCCTGGCCAACATGGTGAAACCCCGTCTCTACTAAAAATACAAAAATTAGCTGGGCATGGTGGGGGGGGCGCCAGTAATTCCAGCTACTTGGGAGACTGAAGAGATTCGCTGGAATCCGCGAGGTGGAGCTTTCAGTGAGCAGAGATCGTGCCGTTGCACTTCAGCCTGGGCAACAGAGCGAGACTCTGTCTCAAAAAAAAAAAAAAAAAAATGCCGGTGGAAACAACCCAGGCCATTTTTGGCCTTTTCCATCCTTTCTGCCATGTGAAGACACAGAGTTTATCACTTCTACAGGATATAGCATCGAAGGTGCCATCTTGGTAGCAGAGCCTGGGCCCTTACCAGACACCAAAGCTGCCATCGGTCTGATCTTCAACTTATCAGCCTCCAGAACTGTAAGAAAGAAATTTCTATTATTTATAAGTTATCCAGTCTCAGCTATTTTTTACCAATTGACTAAGACAGCACTGAATTTTCAGAGTTGTTTGTTATGTAGTATAATCTAATAAAAGCTGACTAATGTAAACAGTTCCCAGAAAAAGAGGGAAAGATACTGGCTGGTAAAACATTAAATTACTTAAAACATTGCCTACTATACAGAATGCATTCAACAAATATCAATATATTAAATTATATTTTTATATAGATAACTAGCACTTTTTATTAGAATCAAAACACAGACTGTCCTGGAGAAAAACCACAAAATTCTAACTTTTCAACTTTTACTTTTATCAAGTCATTAAAAAATCCTTATCGTAAAGATGAATTATAATATACAGTAGATCCCCCCTTTCTGTGGTTTCGGTTACCCATGATATAGTGCAATAAGATATTTAGAGAGAGAGAGAAAGAGAGGCCATATTCACATAACATTTATTATAGTATATTATTATAATAATAATATTAATTTCTTTTGAGACACAGTTTTGCTCTTGTTGCCCAGCCTGGAGTGCAATGACGCAATCTTAGCTCACTGCAACCTCCGCCTCCCGGGTTCAAGCTATTCTTCTGTTTCAGGCTCCCAAGTAACTGGAATTACAGGCATGCACCACCATGCCCGGCTAATTTTATATTTTTAGTACAGATGGGGTTTCACCATGTTGATCAGGCTGGTCTTGAACTCCTGACCTCAGATGATCCATCTGCCTCGACCTCCTAAAGAGCTGGGATTACAGGTGTCAGCCACCGGGTCCGCCCTATTATAACTATTCTATTTTATTATTAATTTTCATCTCTTTTTTTTTTTGAGACAGGGTCTCACTCCATTGCCCAGACTGGAGTGCAGTGGTGCGATCTTGGTTCACCACAACCTCTGTCTTCCAGGCTCAAGCAATTCTCCTGCCTCAGTCTCCTGAGTAGCTGGGATTACAGGCGCGCACCACCATGCCCAGCTAATTTTTGCGTTTTTAGTAGAGACAGGGTTTCACCATGTTGGCCAGGCTGGTCTTGAACTCCTTACCTCAAATGATCTACCTGCCTAAGCCTCCCAAAGTGCTAGGATTACAGGCAGGAGCCACTGCGCCCAGCCTAATTTTCATCTTTTACCGTGCCTAATTAAACTTTATCATAGGAATGTATGTATAAGAAAAAACATAGTCTATATAGAGTTTGTTATTATTCGTGGTTTCAGGCATCACCTGAGGGTCATGGAATGTATCCTTCATGGATAAGGAGAACTACTATATTGAGAAAAATGTAATTATTCACATTTTTTATATTTATTTATTCTATATGCTATTGCTCTAACTAGATTTATGAGAGACCCTGGTCCTACTGGCAACTCATTTATAAGCCATTTCTTAAGATTGTTCATTTCTATAAAATCTTATTCATTTTATCCAATATCTTACTTTCTTCTATTAGCAATTTCAGAGGAGGCTTTGCCACTCTTTCCTCATTCTGCATTTTGTGATGCATATTTCCTCCTTCTACACACTTTTCCAGGAGAATTATAATCATTGCTACAACTTCAACCTACCAACTTAGTTAAAACTTCCAGCTGGGTGCAGTGGCTCATGCCTGTAATCCCAGCACTTTGGGAGGTTAAGGCAAGAGGATCACTGGAGCCCAGAGGTTCCAGACTGGCCCATTCAACGTGGAGAGACCACATCTCTACAAAAACCACAAAAATTAGACAGGTGTGATGGCGTGTTCCTGTAGTCTCGGCTACTCTGGAGACTGAGGTAGGAGGATTACTTGAGCCTGCGAGGTTGAAGCTGCAGTTTGCCATGATTGCACCAAGCCTGGGCAACACAGCAAGATTCCATCTCTAAAAACAAACAAACAAACAAAACCCATCCAAATACTTATATCTAGACCAGATATTTCCAGTGAGGTCTAAACATACTTTCTTACCTGCCCACTGGACATCTTCACTTGATGTCCAGATACCTCAAACACAGCCATTTAACTGATAAGCTATGGGTCACATTTGTTAGTTTTCTTTAAGGTCTTGTGATTCATGGTGACATCTGTCCCTGAATAAAGAATCTTATGACTTCCTCAAATTGTTGACCTACTGATTAATGTATAACCTACTAACACTAAAAAGAATGCCAATTTATTTTTCAATCATAAAGTTTTTTTTTTTTTTTTTGAGACAGAGTCTCGTTCTGTTGCCCAGGCTGGAGTGAAGTGGCATGATCTCCACTCACTGCAAACTCCGCCTCCCAGGTTCAAGCGATTCTCGTGCCTCAGTGTCCCCAGTAGTTGGGATTACAGGCACGCCCCACCGTGCCCCGTTGATTTTTTGTATTTTCAGTAAAGACGGGGTTTTGCCATGTTTCCCAGGCTGGTCTCGAACTCCTGAGCTCAGGCAATCCATCCGCCTCAGCCACCCAAAGTGCTAGGATTACAGGTATGAGCCACCGTGCCTGGCCAGAATCATAAAGTTTTACTGATTGTATTGCACGCAGACATTTTAGCCTATATGTTGCAGTCTGTGGCCAATGATTATAACCTCTGTGTTACACCCATCAATGAAAAAACACAACTCCGGTATGAGAAGTCCCCCTACCTTCTCCTACACTGTCTTATAAAAGCTTTCCAACTTGTAACAGACTCTGGAACACTCCCAACTTTGTTGATGTGTCTTCCTGGGTCAATCTTCGTATTTGGCTTTCAGTAAACCTTTATCAAATTATTTCTCTCTCAACAGCCTTAATTTTGGTTGACATAACTAATCATTTTTCTCTTCAAATCTGTTCATCTCCCTTCTCTACACTTCATATCCTGGTTAATGGCACCACCTGGTTGCTTATGCCAAAAGTACTGGCATCATCTTCAATTTTTCCCTTTTTCTTTTTTTTTTTTTTTGAGACAGAGTTTCAGTGTTGTTACCCAGGCTGGAATGCAATGACACAATCTTGGCTCACTGCAACCTCCGCCTCCCGGGGTTCAAGCGATTTTCCTGCCTCAGTCTCCCAAGTAGCTGGGATTATAGGCACCCGCAACCACGCCTGGCTAATTTTTGTGTTTTTAATAGAGACAGGGTCTCACCATGTTGGTCAGGCTGCTGTCGAACTCCTGACCTCAGGTGATCCACCTGCTTCAGCCTCCCAAGGTGCTGGGATTACAGGCGTGAGCCACTGCGCCCGGCCTAATTCTCCCTTTTTCTTATGTCCCTGCTACTCCTATCATGTAGTTGTTTTAAGTCCTGTAGTCTTTGTTTTTGTCACATCTTTCAATTCTTCCTCTTTCTCTAGTTCTCCTTAGCGCCTCCATTTCAGGTTAATCAGATATTTAATGATTTCTTTTGTTCTAGTTATTATTTTGAATGCTAGTGATGAAAAATGAATAAGACATACTTCCTTGAGGCCTAGGAACTCACTTTCTAGTCAGGAGGACAAACAGACCATTTGGACATAATAGGTTAAGTGCTGAGACAGCATTATGATCAGGGGACAATGAGAAATTTTAAAAAGGATGCTTTGCCTAAACCAGGTGATCTGGTTTGGCTCTGTCTCCCCACCCAAATCTCATGTTGAATTGTAATCCCCACATGTCAGGGGAGGAGCCTAGTGGGAGGTGATTGGATCATGGGGGCAGATTACCCCCTTGCTATTCTCGTTCTCATGAGATTTGATGGTTTAAAAGTGTGCGGCACTTCCCCCTTCGTTCTCTCTTCTGCCTCCACGTAAAGAAGGTACTTGTTTCCCCTTCATTTTCTGCCATGGTTATAAGTTTCCTAAGGCCTCACAGTCATGCTTCCAGTTAAGCCTGTGGAACTGTGTGTCAATTAAATCTCTTCTCTTCGTCAATTACCCAGTCTCAGGTAGTTCTTTATAGCAGAGTGAGAATGGACCTGGTACAGAGTAGCGCTCAAGTGGATTTTCCCTCATATCATCTCTGAACTCTGCTGTCATATTATTATAGGACCTTGTACACTGAGAACACTCAGATTCCAAACCCAGCATTAGTCTGGCCATTATTACAATTTTATATTTAAATTGACTTCTAGATTTTGAAATTGCATATGGAATAATTAGAAAAGGGCTGTTATAAAACAACAAAGTATCCTAATTTTAGTTAAATATATTGAATAAGCTGGAAATACTTAGCAGTGAGAATGTATCAAAGTAAATTTCAATCCCAACAGTTGGTCTGTAGCCATAGTATTTTGTTGATCCAATTATAAAATTTTCTCTTCAACAGGTAATTCAGTAAGATGAACATTCTATTCCTCATCGTATAATAATTACTTAAATTCAAAATAATTCAATTGAGAGAATCCTCACAATTCTAACAGGTCATAAAAATTATATTTTCACTCCCTACATTGGCCTTATGTCTTATAACATATCTCTTAAAGAGAGTATCTTTAATTTTTTTTTTTTGAGACAGAGTCTCACTCTGTCTCTTTTTCTTATGTCCCTGCTACTCCTATCATGTAGTTGTTTTAAGTCCTGTAGTCTTTGTTTTTGTCACATTTTTCAATTCTTCCTTTCTCTAGTTCTCCTTAGCGCCTCCATTTCAGGTTAATCAGATATTTAATGACTTCTTTTGCAGTGGTGCGATCTTGGCTCACTACAACCTCCACCTCCCAGGTTCAAGTGATTATTGTGCCTCAGCCTCACAAGTAGCTGGGACTACAGGTGCGTGCTACCATGCCCGGCTAATTTTTGTATTTTTAGTAGAGACGGGGTTTTGCCTTGTTGAACCAGGCTGGTCTCCAACTTCTGACCTCAGGTGATCCACTTGCCTCAGCCTCCCAAAGTGCTGAGATTACAGGTATGAGCCACCACACATCTTTAAATCTATAGATAACCATAGCAAAAATACTCATGCCCAGCCCTGTTCCAGGCTAGCTAAATTAGCATCTCTGGGGATGAGGTCTAGGCACTGATACTGTTTAAAAGCTCCCTAAATAATCCTAAAATGCACAAAGGGTTGCGAACAGGGCTCCAAACCAAAAATAAAACAAACCAGATCACAGAAAAATGTATAAACCTCACAGGGCACAGTGGCTCACACCTGCAGTCCTAGGACTTTTGCAGGCTGAGGTGGGAGGATTGCTTGAGGCTAGGAGTTCGAGGGCAGCCTGGGCTGCATGCTAAGACTCTATCTGTACAATAAATTAAAAAATTAGTTGTGTGTGGTGGTGTGGACCTGTAGTCCCAGCTACTCAGGAGGCTGAGGTAGAAGGATCACTTGATCTAAGAGTTTGAGGCTGCAGTGAGCTATAATCGTGCCACTGCACTCCATCCTGGGCAGCAGAGTGATAGATACCTTGTCTCTAAAAAGAAAAAAGAAAAAGAAAAAGAAAAAAAGAATGAACCAGGCTGGGCGCAGTGCCTCATGCCTGAAATCCCACCACTTTGGGAGATCAAGGCGAGTGGATCATGAGGTCAGGAGTTCAAGATCAGCCTGGCCAAGATGGTGAAACCCCTAAAAATACCAAAAAAAAAAAAAAAAATTAGCAGGCCATGGTGGTGGGCGCCTGTAATCCCAGCTACTCAGGAGGCTGAGGCAGAGAATTGTTTGAACATGGGAGGTGGAGTACACAGTGAGCCAAGATAGCGCCACTGCACTCCAGCCTGGGTGACAGAGTGAGACTCCATCTCAAAAAAAAAAAAAAAAAAAAAAAAAAGAACTTCCACATTTATAAACACAGGATAGTTTGTGTCCAACAAGCTGTTTGTCCCTTGTTAATATGCTATATTTTTCTTTTTTATTAATTAATTTATTTAGAGACCGAGTCTGGCTCTGTCACCCAGGCTGGAGTGCAGTGGCATGATTGGGGCTCACTGCCACCTCCATCTCCATCTCCCAGGCTCAAACTATCCTCCCACCCCAGCCTCCCGAATATCTGGGACTACAGGCTCACGCCACCACGCCCAGCTAATTTTTGTATTTTTAGTAGAGACAAGGTTTTCACCATGTTGCCCAGGCTGGTCTTGAACTCCTGACCTCAAGTCATCTGACCACCTTGGCCTCCCAAAGTGCTGGGATTAAGGCATGAGCCACTGCTCCCGGCTCCTTTTTAATACACTTTCTACGAGCATTTTTCCCACCTGTTAACCTTAAACTTTTGCACATTGGAAATTTGACTAAGAGCCCTTCAGCTGGTTTTACTTCTGTGTTTGGCATGTGTGGTTTGCTGACAAGGTGCCCAGAATACGATGAAACACAACCACATTTGGACCTGCCTCCCAGTCAGCAGTGGTCTTCTATATCATTGAGGTTTTTCTTAGAATCCTAAAAGAGGGTAAAAAGGAAATGCAAAGGAAGGAACCAAATAGACTCTCAGAGGTAAAGATAATAGTTGTGAGGGGCAAAACGGCTATTGTCAACAAAAAAGTGATGCTTTCAATGTCTCTAAAGAAATCTTTGATTTAGAATAAAAAAGTAGGCCAGGCACGATGGCTCATGCCTGTAATCCCAGCACTTTGGGAGGCCGAGGCGGGTGGATCACAAGGTCAGGAGATCGAGACCACCTTGGCTAACACGGTGAAACCCCATCTCTACTAAAAATACAAAAAAAATTAGCCAGGCATGGTGGCGGGCGTCTGTAGTCCCAGCTATTCCGGAGGCTGAGGCAGCAGAATGGCGTGAACCGGGAGGCAGAGCTTGCAGTGAGCCAAGATCGTGCCACTGCACTCCAGCCTGGGCAATAGAGCAAGACTCTGTCTCGAAAAAAAAAAAAGAATAAAAAAGTATAACCTACATTCTGCCTTTGTTTTTCATTGTACTTCTGGGTTCTCTGAATATAGGGCTCTTCCAAAAGGCATGAAAGGTAATTACAATAAATTCAGTTAATCTTCATAAAGATGAAGAATCTTAAGTAACTCAGCCTCAACCAGTACTGAGGTAATAAAGGAACAAAAAATAGTAATCAAAATATATTTACTATTCCAGTTTATCTACTTATTTGAGACACGGTCTTGCTCTGTTCCTAGAGTGCAGTGGTGCAATCATAGCTTACTGAAGCTTCGAACTCCTGGGAGATCCTCCCATTTCAGACTCCTGAGTAGCTAGGACCACTGATGTGTGTCACCACATCCAGCTAACTTTTTTATTTTAAATTTTTTGTAGAAGTGGAATCTTGCTATGCTGCTCAGGCTGGTCTTGAACTCCTGGCCTGAAGTGATTCTCCAGCCTTAGCCTCTCAAAGCTCTGGGATTACAGGCATGAGTCACCGCACCCAGCCAATTCCAGTTTCTTTTTTTTCCTTCTGTTTCTGGTTTGCTCTGTTTTTTTATTTTTTAATTATACTTTAAGTTCTAGGGTACATGTGCACAACGTGCAGGTTTGTTACATATGTATATATGTGCCATGTTGGTGTGCTGCACCCATGAACTCGCCACTTACGTTAGGTTTATCTCCTAATGCTATCCCTCCCCCGTTCCTCCCACCCCACGACAGGCCCAGGTGTGTGATGTTCCCCTTCCTGTGTCCAAGTGTTCTCATTGTTCAATTCCCACCTATGAGTGAGAACATGTGGTGTTTGGTTTTCTATCCTTGCAATAGTTTGCTCAGAATGATGGTTTCCAGCTTCATCCATGTCCCTACAAAGGACATGAGCTCATCCTTTTTTATGGCTGCATAGTATTCCATGGTGTATATGTGCCACATTTTTTCTTTTTTTTTTTTTTTTGAGACGAGTCTCGCTCTGTCACCCAGGCTGGAGTGCAGTGGCATGATCTCGGCTCACTGCAAGCTCCACCTCCCGGGTTCACACCATTCTCCTGCCTCAGCCTCCCAAGTAGCTGGGACTACAGGTGCCTGCCACCATGCCTGGCTAATTTTTTATACTTTTAGTAGAGACGGGGTTTCACCGTGTTAGCCAGGATGGTCTCGATCTCCTGACCTCGTGATCCGACTGCCTTGGCCTCCCAAAGTGCTGGGATTATAGGCGTGAGCCACCGTGCCCGGCCATGTGCCACATTTTCTTAATCCAATCTATCACTGATGGGCATTTGGGTTGGTTCCAAGTCTTTGCTATTGTGAATAGTGCCGCAATAAACATACGAGTGCATGTGTCTATAGCAGCATGATTTATAATCCTTTAGGTGTATACCCAGTAATGGGATGGCTGGGTCAAATGGTATTTCTAGTTCTAGATCCTTGAGGAATCACCACACTGTCTTCCACAATGGTTGAACTAGTTTACAGTCCCACCAACAGTGTAAAATTGTTCCTATTTCTCCACATCCTCTCCAGCACCTGTTGTTTCCTGACTTTTTAATGATCGCCATTCTAACTGGTGTGAGATGGTATCTCATTGTGGTTATGATTTGCATTTCTCTGATGGCCAGTGACAATGAGCATTTTTTCCTGTGTCTGTTGGCTGCACAAATGTCTTCTTTTGAGAAGTGTCTGTTCATAGCCTTCGCCCAATTTTTGATGGGGTTGTTTGATTTTTTCTTGTAAATTTGTTTAAGTTCTTTGTAGATTCTGGATATTAGCCCTTTGTCAGATGGGTAGATTGCAAAAATTTTCTCCCATTCTGTAGGTTGCCTGTTCACTCTGATGGTAGTTTCTTTTGCTATGCAGAAGCTCTTTAGTTTAATTAGATCCCATTTGTCAATTTTGGCTTTTGTTGCCATTGCTTTTGGTGTTTTAGTCATGATGTCCTTGCCCATGCCTATGTCCTGAATGGTATTGCCTAGGATTTCTTTTAGCGTTTTTATGGTTTTAGGTCTAACATTTAAGTCTTTAATCCATCTTCAATTAATTTTTGTATAAGGTGTAAGGAAGGGATCTAGTTTCAGCTTTCTACATATGGCTAGCCAGTTTGCCCAGCACCATTTATTAAATAGGGAATCCTTTCCCCATTTCTTGTTTTTGTCAGGTTTGTGAAAGATCAGATGGTTGTAGATGTGTGGTATTGTTTCTAATGGCTCTGTTCTGTACCATTGGTCTATATCTCTGTTTTGGTACCAGTACCTTGCTGTTTTGGTTACTATAGCCTTATAGTATAGTTTGAAGTCAGGTAGCATGATGCCTCCAGCTTTGTTCTTTTGGCTTAGGATTGTCGTGACAATGCGGGCTCTTTTTTGGTTCTATATGAACTTTAAAGTAGTTTTTTCAAATTCTGTGAAGAAAGTTATTGTTAGCTTGATGGGGATGGCACTGAATCTGTAAATTACCTTGGGCGGTGTGGCCATTTTCACGATATTGATTCTTCCTATCCATGAGCATGGAATGTTCTTCCATTTGTTTGTGTCCTCTCTTATTTCATTGAGCAGTGGTTTGTAATTCTCCTTGAAGAGGTCCTTCACGTCCCTTGTAAGTTGGATTCCTAGGTATTTTATTCTTTTTGAAGCAATTGTGAATGGGAATTCACTCATGATTTGGCTCTCTGTCTGTTATTGGTGTATAGAAATGCCTGTGATTTTTGCACATTGATTTTGTATCCTGACACTTTGCTGAAGTTGCTTATCAGCTTAAGGAGATTTTGGGCTGAGATGATGGGGTTTTCTAAATATACAATCATGTCATCTGCAAACAGGGACAATTTGACTTCCTCTTTTCCTAATTGAATACCCTTTATTTCTTTCTCCTGCCTGTTTGCCCTGGCCAGAACTTCCAACACTATGTTGAATAGGAGTGGTGAGAGAGGGCATCCCTGTCTTGTGCCAGTTTTCAAAGGGAATGCTTCCAGTTTTTGCCCATTCAGTATGATATTGGCTGTGGGTCTGTCATAAATAGCTCTTATTATTTTGAGATACATCCCATCAATACCTAATTTATTGAGAGTTTTTAGCATGAAAGGCTGTTGCCAATTCCAGTTTCTTAAGGTGACCAGATGTTCCATGTTATTTGTGTCATTCCATTTTTTCAAATGACCTATTCTATGTACAGAAAATCTTGAAGTTATAGATAAACCACGAAAAAATGCAAATAATTGGCCTGGTGCAGTGGCTCATGCCTGTAATCCCAGCACTTTGGGGGGCTGAGGCGGGCGGATCACCTGAGGTCAGGAGCTTGAGACCAGCCTGACCAACATGGAGAAACCCTGTCTCTACTAAAAAGACAAAATTACCCGGGCGTGGTGGTGCATGCCTGTAATCCCAGCTACTCGGAAGGCTGAGGCAGGAGAATCGCTTGAACTTGGGAGGTAGAGGTTGCAGTGAGCCGAGATCGCACCACTGCACTCCAGCCTGGCGACAGAGTGAGGCTCTGTCTCAAAAAAAAAAAAAAAAAAAAAAAAAAAAAAAAGAAAAAAAAGAAAAGAAAGAAAAGAAAGAAGAAAAAATCAAAGTCCTTACTTTGCATCATAATCCGCTAGGTGCAAAGGTCACAAAAGTGATTAAGAATAGCTCACAATGTAGTGAGCTGGAACCTGAAAAACGGATTAGGATTTACACAGGCGAGTGCTCAGAAAAAAGGGTAGTTCAGATAATTGGATCAGAAGAGAAGGCAAAAATGCATGACGTGTTTTTGAGAATTAGAGGAGCCCTCAAAATGTATTAGTGTGATATGCAAAATGCTCGATTTAAGATATTATCCATTAATGAATTTGAAAATGGGGACAAAAATAACTTTTCAGCCGTAATAACTATGCTCCCCTCCCTTTGAGTTTCGAATCTGTATCTTAGAGGCCACACTTGAATGTGGAAAAACTTTGTATTAATGTAAACACTATACAGTGATAAGACACGAACAGTGAAATAACCCCTAAGCTCATCTTATAACTGAACAGATAGGTGGTCAGAGAACTTGGATTTGAACCATGCCTATGCCACTAGCTGGTTGTGTGACCTCCAGCAAGTCACTTCTCAAGATACCACGTTTGCCATCATTAAGACGAGTGTGATCCAAAGGTCCACCTAGCCAGGTTTTGTGAGAATGATTTGAAATGCCTGTGAAAGCATTTCCTCTACCACGTCTGAGATGCTTTTGTTATCTCCAGGTTCTTTCAGGTCTTGAAATTTTGTGCATCACGATCCAAAATGTCTTAAGCATCATCACAAATGCTTGACCGTCCCTCATGAGCGGGTGGCGCTTCGCGCTGCCTGGGTCTGTACAACAGGGTCTTGCAGTCGAAAGCCACACACTCCCGGAGTGCAAGAGGGAGAGAAAGCTCTGCTTTCAGCCGGGAAAAAAAAAGGGCGCAAGACCGGACAGGTCCTGCCACAGACGTTCTCCTATGCTCACGCACAGTGGTCGCTCCTGCGGGAATGGGCAGCAGTGACGTGCCCACGTCGGGCGCGCTGACGTTCGCGTAGCGTGCGCCGCTGGCCAGGTGCGCAATAGTGGGGTATGCGTCACGGTCTGCGCCGCCCGCGGGGCCAGGACGGGGCGGAGCTTCCGCCTGGGCTGGGGTTGGCGAGTTCACCCGCGGCGGAGGGTAACTTTGCTGTGCTGTTTTTTGAGCAGTTGTCTGGTCCCTGGAAGTGTAGCATCGAGAGAGTTTTCTAATTACGTTTACAAAATATCTTCCCTTTGGCCATACAAGTGGTGACTGCCATGTCGAACTCGCGGCCCAGGTCCCGCCGAGACGCCGGGGGTGGCGCTGGGGCAGCCGGCCGGGACGAGCTGGTGTCGCGGTCCTTGCAGAGCGCAGAGCACTGTCTGGGCGTCCAGGACTTCGGCACTGCCTATGCCCACTACCTCCTCGTGCTCAGCCTGGCGCCGGAGCTGAAACACGACGTGAAGGTGAGGGTCCTTTTTTCTCACTTGCTGGCAGATCCAACGTCCTCGTAAAAAAAAAAAAAAAAACAGAAAAAAAAAAAAGCGGAGGGGCTAGGGTGCCTGGGTGGGTGGTTGCTGTTAATATTTAGGGCCCTTTTTTCTCACTTGCTGGCCGATCCAACGTCCTCGTAAAAAAAAAGAAAAGAAAAAAGGCGGAGGGGCTAGGGTGCTTGGTTGGGTGTTTGCTATTAATGTTTACTGTTCAACCTTGACATCTTTCGTTTATTCACACCTACGACCAGCCCAGAGGAAAATCCTGCCGTCTTCACCTTCGAAATATGTCCAGAATCTTACCAGTTCTCACCATCTTCCCCTTTACTACCCTGGTTCGAGCTTCAGTCATCTGCCGGCTGTTGCAGTCGGCTCTCAACTGAGCTCTCTCCTGCAGTCTGTGTCAACATAGCTAGCTTTTTGCAACAAAAGTCAAATGTTGTCATTTCTCAGTTTCAAAACTTTCATCTCGTTTAAAATTTTAAAGGCCCTCGAATTGGAAATGAGGTCTCACGTGATCCTCTTCTCCTTATATCTAATTTAAGCATGCCCTGGCTTGAGGGCTTTTGGATTTGTTATATTGTGTGTAGTAGGAATATAGTGGGCCTCTAGTTGAATAAAGTGTGTAATTAGCCTAAAGTGATTATCATTTAATGATGCGTTCTTTAAACTTCAATTATTGGATTATTTGCAACAATTACTCTGTTGAAATGCTGTTCTTTTTTGAAGTACTTTTAGAATCTAAATTACGAAAAATGATTTAACTTAAAATTGCAATTACTTTGCTTCATTTAGACTGAGGGTTTGTCAACCTCAGCACTATTGACATTTTGAATGGGATAATTCTTTGTTATGGGGGAGGGGAGGTGTCCTGTGCATTGCAGTATGTTTGGCAGCATCCTTGATCTCTACCCACTAAATGTCAGTAGCGTCTAGATGTTTGTAGTTCATGTAAACTTAGTGTAAATTTCAGGACCAGCTGTCCTACTTGAGGAGGAGATGATATGTTGAGATACAGTTTGCTTCTCTTGGTAGGCAGCAATAGAAAAATGGATCAACTCAAGTGATCTTTCCTCAGTTACTTGTTTCTTAGTTTCCTCTTCTGTGAAACAGGGACGCAGCCTCTCTTAAAAATGTTTACTGGGTATTAAAAGTATATTTAGACTGGGTGTGCTGGCTCAGGCCTGTAATCCCAGCACTTTGGGAGGCGGAGGCGGGTGGATCACAAGGTCAGGAGTTTGAGACCAGCCTGGCCAATATGGTGAAAACCTGTCTCTACTAAAAATTAAAAAATTAGGCCGGGCGCGGTGGCTCACGCCTGTAATCCCAGCACTTTGGGAGGCAGAGACGGGTGGATCACCTGAGGTCAGTAGTTCGAGACCAGCCTCAACATGGAGAAACCCCGTCTCTACTAAAAGTACAAAATTAGCTGGGCGTGGTGGTGCATGCCTGTAATCACAGCTACTCGAGAGGCTGAGGCAGGAGAATTGCTTGAACCTGGGAGGCAGAGGTTGTGGTGAGCCGAGATCACGCCATTGCGCTCCAGCCTGGGCAACAAGAGCGAAACTCTGTCTCAGAAAAAAAAATAAAAATAAAAAATTAGCTGGGCGTGGTGGCATGTGCCTGTAGTCCCAGCTACTCAGGAGGCTGACGCAGAAGAATTGCTTGAACTCGGGAGGCGGAGGTTGCAGTAAGTCCAGATTGTGCCATTGCACTCCAGCCTGGGCGACAGTGTATGACTCCATCTCAAAAAGAAAAAATAAAAAAGTATATTTAAAATTTGTAGTGCAATGCCTGACATTCAGTAGGGTAAGCAACTAGTCTGTTTCCTGCCGAACAAAGTCTGTGTTTGTTTGTATGGGCCCCCTGTAAAATGCTCATTGCCTGCTACTCTATTCCCCATACCCAAACTCCGGCCACACCAAGCCACTTATCTGTAGACCCTCTGATCCATTTCATATAATCTGTGCGGGGTTTTTTTTTTTTTTATAGAGTCTCACTGTATCACGCAGGCTGGAATGCAGTGGTGCGATCTCGGTTCACTGCAACCTCCACCTCCTGGGTTCAAGCAATTCTCCTGCCTCAGCCTCCTGAGTAGCAGGGATTATAGGTGTTCGCCACCGTGCTTGGCTAATTTTTATATTTTTAGTAGAGATGGGGTTTCACCGTGTTGGCCATGCTGGTCTTCAACTCCTGACCTCAGGTGATCTGCCTGCCTTGGCCTCCCAAAGGGCTGGGATTACAGGCATGAGCCACCGTGCCCGGCCAGAATCTCCTTTCTTATCCTTGTCTCTCTAGTAAACTCCCTCAAGATTCAGTTCCAAATATCAACGCTTTTGTATAAAATATGTGAAGATGATTTAAAATGTTTTAATGACTAAAGCTTTCCCTCTTTCCACAGTATTGCAGCATGGAGAATGGATGGAGGGAGATGCAGTTGGAATTAGAGTGACAGCGTTAAGGCTGTTGCTGTAGTCCAGCAAGTGGTTACAAGGGCCAGATTAGGTTGTAACTGTGGGAATGGAGAGGAGGTAACAGATTTAAAGATATTGAGAGAGCATTGGCTAGGTTTGAAACAGTGTATGTGGAGTTAAGGTACCATTATAAGGTGACTTTGTGGTTTGAGGTTGAGTGGTGTCTTAATCTTATAGCCTGTGTCAGAGGAGTATGATGAGTTCAGTGTAGAACATTTTGAACTTTTCCAAAATTAAATTTCTCTCTATAGGGCCTCTGTGAGGATAAGAACAAGATTTATGTTGCTTCAGTTCTTTGCACAAGGATTGTTCAGGAAATATTTGAGTTGGACTACATTTGCAATGGCTGGAGATCCATTGCCGGGTTGAAATGACTAATAGGAAGCTGTATCTATGAGTCTGAGGTTCAGAAGAGAAGGTCTTGACTAGAGATGTAAATGTAGCATCCATTAACACATGGGTGATAATAAATGCGTTAGGGATGGATGAGTGAAAAAAGAAGAGGGCCAAGGACAAACTCCAAAAACACAGGAGCCGACAAAAGTGAGGCAGTTCTGGAGAATAAGGAGAATGTGATACAGCAGCTAAGAGTGGGGGGAGTTTAGAGAGTGGTCAGACTAATTCTGCTTATTATTGCCATGTAGGTGGTAAAATTCATTCATTTGTGCACTTGTTCAGAAAACAGTGCCTACTAAAGTTAAATGAAGTTTAAGGTGATTGTTCAATAGTGATTAAGTTCGATTGCTTGGAATCTTCAACTAATGATGTATATTCTTTCATCTTTTATGTTATTGACTAATTCATAATTTTTTTCTTATTTGTAAAGGAAACTTTTCAGTACACACTTTTCAGATGGGCTGAAGAGCTTGATGCTCTCAGTCGGATACAAGACTTACTTGGTTGCTATGAGCAGGCCTTGGAACTGTTTCCTGATGATGAAGTGATTTGCAATAGTATGGGGGAGCATCTCTTCAGGTTTGTAGTGATTTTAGTATTACTTGTTAAGAATTATTCTGTATTAGTCTGGATAGGGATAAATCATACTGTAATTTTAACAGGGAAAGTTTAATATGGAGAATTATTAAGGAGAATTGAAAAGAATAGCAGATATATAATAATCATAGCAGTTTTAATATTTTGTAATATACGGCATAATAGCCACTGCCCTTAGGAGTAAGACAGAATATCCAAGGAAGAGTTCCCCTCACTGGGCTGAGTGCCACCCCTTATTGGAGAGGGCACAGCTGTGATTCTTAGGATGGCAGAAAAGTCACTGTAGTGCCTTGCCAGGGAACTTCTTGTAAATTTGTTTTCTGGACCTGGGTATAGTTTTGCCTCTTGGGATGCCAGAGAAAGCCTCATGGGGAAGTATCTTATCAGAGGTACTCCATTACAAAACCATGTAGTAGGGTAAGAAGCCTTGGGGAAGCTGCTGACCCTTGGATGCTGCTAGCTGCCATGCATTTCAGGAGCTTGGTGCTAGACAAGCCCTGTGCAGGAAGCAAAACTCTTTCTTGCTACAGTGTCTCTCCAGCACTGTTTTTTTTGGGGGCAGAGTCTCACTTTGTAGCCCAGGCTGGAGTGAAGTGGCGTGATCTCAGCTCACTGCAACCTCTCCACCTTCTGGGTTCAAGTGATTCTCGTTCCTCAGCCTCCTGAGAAGCTGGCATTACAGGCGCCTGCCACCCCACCCAGGTAATTTTTGTATTTTTAGTAGAGACAGGGTTTCACCATGTTGGCCAGGCTGGTCTCGAACTCCTGACCTCAAGCGATCCACCCGCCTCAGCCTCCCAAACTGCTGGGATTACAGGTGTGAGCCACTGCGCCTGGCCTCCAGCACTTTTTTTTTTTTGAGACAGTGTGTCACTGTGTCGCTCAGGTTGGAGTGCAGTAGCACCATCATGGCTCATGGCAACCTTGACCTCCCAGGCTCTGGTGATCTCACCTCAGCAGCGCCCCCACCTGCACTCCAGTAGCTGGAATTGCAGTACATGCCACCACACCTGGCTAATTTTTTGTCTTGTTTGTAGAGACAGGATTTTGCCATGTTGTTGCCCAAGCTGGTCTGGAACTCCTGGGCTCAAGCGATCCTCTGGCCTTGGCCTCCCAAAGCACTGGGATTACAGACTTGAGCCACTGCACGCGGCCTCTCCGCACTTTTTACCAACAAAGCTTACCCTTGTGCCAACTGGTGGGAGAATATTAAAGGGCCAGATACAGTTTTCACAGAGCAGGCAAAAAAGGGTGAATTTGGCAATAAGTTGATAACTTACATGTTGGGAGTCTTGGAACCACTCCCAGATTTGCTGATTTGCTGGAAGGGCTCACAGGCCTCACCATGTAGTCCTAGTCATGGCTCTTGTGTAT
The DNA here is from genome assembly GCF_000001405.40 of Homo sapiens. NCBI lineage: Eukaryota > Metazoa > Chordata > Mammalia > Primates > Hominidae > Homo > Homo sapiens. Next base: position 147,678,930 of record NC_000004.12, on the reverse strand, counting down.
TACTGTGAATGGATACAAAGCAAAATTTGCAAAGGGTAAATGTGTATGGGGCAAAGTGTAAAGGAAAACCAGGTGCAAGCCTCCAAAGTTCCTTTTTCAGTGAAGTCACGCAGGATGCACTTCATTCCCACGGTGAGTTATGACAGTACACGTGAAATGTTGCCAACCAGGGAAACTCATTAGAGGCTCAGTGCCCAGGGTTTCTACTGGGAGCTGGACACTTGGGTACCCTCTGCCTGGCATATACTAAAATCCTAGATTCCCAGAAGAAAAGCAGGTCAGCTGTTGAGCATAAACCACATTGTTTGTATAATCAGTTTAGGAATACTATCAGTTAGGATAGTGAGAACCCTCCCCAAATCCAAATTCCCAGATGCCAGCCAAGGGACAGTTTTGTAATCAGGCCTTTCAAAGGATGGCAGTCAGGCCTGCTATGTTAACTCTGCATACTAGTACATGTGCGTGAAGAATTCTGTGAAAGTACAGGAAATAAAATGAATGGTTAACATTGCTTCTGAGTTTGAACGTTTCAGAGTGATGGGGACTCAGCATGGTTCTGCCAAGTTTGAAAGTGACAATTGCTCACATTCGTAGGAATTTAGTTAATCTCATTTTAAATGTTCCTTTTAGGTATTTTCATGCATTTCCTCACTAATTGCTTTCTCTTTCCCTCAAATCACATCCAGCTAAAAAAAACCTTAATGTTATGAATAATGAACTACAAAATTCCTAAGTGACCACAGAATTTCTCTTATTAAACGTATCTCGAGTTCATTAGTTCTTAACAATCAATCTGCTACCTTTGTCTCTGGTGCCCATGGGGCCCTTGCGTGGCTCACTAGACTGTGCAGGGCTAGGGCTCTGGGAATGCAGTGTATGTACTCTGTACAGTTTTAAGACATTAAATTAATAGAGCAATCAACTCAGTATTATGCTTTTTTTTTTCAGTGTGGAGAAATAATGTTTTATAAATAACTTTTAAGAAGAACATGGATCATTAACCTGACAAATGTACTCCCCTGTGATAATTAATGTAAACTCTTTATATGGTCATTCACAATAAGTTGTATGAATATTTATTACAATTTTGGATCGTATGTCTCTCCTCAGAAAAAATTTTGAGATTTGATGTGTAGAATTTTTTGTTAACAGTTGCTTATTTGAAAAAATTCTAGGTCGGGCATGGTGGCTCATGCCTATATTCCCAGCACTTTGGGAGGCCGAAGCAGGCAGATCAGTTGAGGTCAGGAGTTCGAGACCAGCCTGGCCAACATAGTGCAACCCTGTTTCTACTAAAAAAAATGCAAAAAGTAAACGGGTGTGGTGGCACGTGTCTGTAGTCCCAGCTACTCGGGAGGCTGAGGTAGGAAAATTGCTTGAACCTGAAAGGTGGAGGTTGCAGTGAGCCAAAATTGCGCGACTGCACTCCAGCCTGGGTGACAGAGAGAGACTCCATCTCAAAAAAAAAAAAAAAAAAAAAAAAAATTCTACCTGTCAAGACAGAATGACTTTCTGTTGAGGCTGCTTAATAAATTGAAAATATAAACAAAGTAGTAGTGAGTTTTTTATGTATACATAAGTGTTTTTGTAAATGAAATGTAACTTTTTCATAGAACAGCCTTTTTTTTCTTTGGAATTTTTGTGTACTCTCCATAGAAACTTTATAGTTAGGAAAAACTGGTGAAAACAAAAAATTTTTGTTTTGGGTTTGTTTTAATACATCTAATTTCACTGCCTTGTACAAAATAATGGGAGAATTCTTGTTTAGGAAACATGATTATAATGTCCTATTTTATATAGAAAGATCCCTTTACATGTTCAGTAATTGTTCTCTAGTATCATTCTTTTCCTTATTTGGTTATATTAAGTTTTTTTTTTTTTTTTTTTGAGACGGAGTCTTGCTTTGTCACCCAGGCTGGAGTGCAGTGGCAGGATCTCAGCTCACTGCAACCTCCGCCTCCCAGGTTCAAGCAATTTTCATGCCTCAGCCTCCGGAGTAGCTGGAATTACAGGCACATGCCACCACGCCCGGCTAATTTTTGTATTTTTAGTAGAGATGGGGTTTCACCATGTTGCCCAGGCTGGTCTCGACCTCCTGACCTCTAGTGATCCACCCGCCTCGGTCTCCCAAAGTGGCGCCCAAAGACATGAGCTATGACGTGCAGCCAAGTTGTATTAAGTTTTATTCAATGAAAAGTTCTATATAAGAAACACTTTGCCAAACTTTATTAGCTAGTCTCAGTAATGTAACTGCAAGGCATTTTAATAGTCTTAATTAACATGGCCTAGGGAGTGACAATGAATTCTCCTTTAAAAAACAAATATTTGATAGTTTTTAATTGTAGAGTATGTTAATAATTAGAAAAATAAGGCAGATAATTAACTGAGGGTTACTTGTTCATGTTAACAGCTAACCTGATCAGCTACAGCATCCATTTTCTACAAATTAGCAACCTCTTTCCACCTAAATGAAATTTGTTTGAAAATATTTTTAAAAATCTTTTTTTATGAATAATCTCCTCAAATTAGTTAAAAAAATCTATATTTTAATTCCAAAGTTTTCTTTTGTTCTTTATATAATGAGAGTTACTCTATAGGATTCAATTATATTTCCAGATTATACACATACGGTGATCATAACATTCCAAGACTTATGTTTCAGGATAAACTCAATTTAACAGAAAAGTGGAACTCTACATACTTTTGACAGATTGTAACTTTTGGTGACCTGTTGTTGTAGGACATTAGTCTGAGCAGTTACCAGTCATTGAGACAAAAAATACTTGGTATTAGTTTGCTTTGGGGAGATGTAACTAAGCAAAATTTCTAATTTGGACGGTAGCAGTTCAGAATTCGGGATAGTGTGAATGTGGCTTTTGCTATAGAATTTACCTTTGTTCTTGACTTACAATGGTTCTTGTTCTATACTCCTTTTGTCATCAAAAATAGCGTATCATTTACTCCCCACCAAAAGAATCTTCCAGGAGAAAAATATTTCCAAAGTAAATGATAGCTGCTTCTCCTGACACTTATTTGTGTAATAAAATGTGTCTGGAGTGTCTCAACTTCACAACCTTTTGTTAGTCCAGTAGCATCAGATTTAAACAAAATGTATTTAAATTGCTAATCAAGAAGATAATGTTTTTCCTAGTTAAAAGAAAAAGGGCATTCTGGCATTCTTATGTTTCACTGATACGTTGTATCATATCAGTGATACATATTGGGTCTTTCAATGAGATATGCTTTAATGGAGTAGATTATATATTTTTTAGATTAGAATTTCAGTTTAAGGAAATTGATAATGTATTAAATATCAAACCTAAGGGAAGCACAAACCCAGGAAATTATTAGGGGTGTGTTTAATACCCATTGCTGAATTAGTCTCACAAAAAATAATGATTACATACAATGTACATGGTACTATACTATGTACAATGGTAGTTGCAAATAAGAACAAGATAGTTCTACCTTCAAGATAACTTAAAATAACATATATTAACTGAAAACATTGAAATTTTCACCTAAATCATGAATGTCTCTTATTTGACATAGGACCATTGTTTTTTGTTAGAGTGCAGTCCCGTTTGGACTTCTAGAATGTCTCTTTTGCTTAAACCATACCTGGAATGAATAGTATGATTAAGTTTCTCTAGCTGGGCACGGTGGCTCACGCCTGTAATCTCAGCACTTTGGGAGGCCGAGGTGGGTGAATCACCTGAGGTCGGGAGTTTGCGACCAGCCTGACCAACATGGAGAAACCCCATCTCTACTAAAAATACAAAATTAGCCGGACGTGGTGGCGCATTCCTGTAATCCCAGCTACTTGGGAGGCTGAGGCAGGAGAATCGCTTGAACCTGGGAGGCAGAGGTTGCAGTGAGCCGAGATCGTGCCATTGCACTCCAGCCTGGGCAACAAAAGCGAAACTCTGTCTCAAAAAAAAGAAAAAAAAAGTTTCTCTAAACTTGGCAGAATGCTTAAAGGTACTTATGAAGAACTGTGAATGAAGAGGGTTCTACTAGCTCAGTTCTGTTCCATGTGTGGTCCACACATTGCTGCTCACCCACAGATTACTGGTTAATGACAGGTAAGTATAGAAATTGAGAGTAAGTGTTTGGAAATGGGTGTAGCAACTTGACATTGCTGTAAATCCAAGCATATGGTTAGGAAACTGTAATGCAGAAGAGAGTATATAGATCAGTTTGGGTGCTGGTGAAATCTGATATTACGTGAGCTCCATATGAATCATGTGCAATACAGCCATATCAGTCTGCAAACAATTAGATGTTTAAGAAAGGGAGGATTCTCTCCTTCTCAGTATTGCACTTGACTAGTCTTAAAAATAAAAAATTAAGAAGAAAAGGGAGGAGAGGTTCTTCATTACAGATAGTTTGAGAAGCACTGTTCTAGAGGGTTGGATAGGTTTTTTTTTCTCCTTTTATTTTTTATTTGCTCACATATAATTAAATAGTACTTAATTTTAAGTGACTTGCCTTTGATTTTCTTCCAGAGCATTTATTTAGCTTAGTGTCTGTAGGCACAATGGTTCCCTTTCTGCGGTGATATTTATTTACTTAGTATGATATTTAGTTAAAATACGTAATTATAATAACAAGTACAACTGACATAAACTGATCTGGCAGCAAATACAACTGACTCTTGATGACTATTCAACTCAGTTGCTGAGACAAAAGGCATGCCGGCCCCCACAAAGAGGAGCCTACTAAGCCATAGGCATTAGTGTGTTGTACAGAGGGAATGGAGTTGGCTAAATGGAGGATGACTGTGAGAGCTTCTGCTATACATTAGTATAACAGTAATTTATAGTCAGGTACTTGTTTGTCTCCCGGAATATATAAATGTAGTGGTTCAGAAAAGAAAGAAATACTGAGGCTTGCAGTCCTCACAGACAGCTTCCCAAAAGAGGTAGCACTTGGATTGGCAGGATTTGGGGTGCTGGCATGGAATTCCCAGGCCAAGTGAGTGGCATAAACAAAGGTACTGCAGTTGGTAGCATATAGTTGAATATATTTTGTCTTTTGTCATTTTTTACTCTAGAATGGGCTTTAGGGATGAAGCAGCTGGGTATTTTCATAAAGCAGTGAAGCTAAACCCTGATTTCAGTGATGCAAAGGAGAATTTTTATCGTGTTGCAAACTGGTTGGTGGAACGCTGGCACTTTATCATGCTTAATGACACCAAGAGGAATACAATTTATAATGCAGCAATCCAAAAGGCAGTTTGTTTGGGGTCCAAAAGTGTTTTGGACATTGGAGCAGGAACTGGAATACTAAGGTTGGTAGTAATTGCATTTTAATGGTATATACATGTATTCTAATGTAAATTAAAGATTTTGCCAGATATGGAAAATTTAACATTGGAATTTAAAAGTATTTCTTATAATCTTGTTAGGGTTATTTATGTAACTATTATGTTTTTTACTATAACTTTTATCAAGAACTGGACATAACTGCTAAGAAAAATTTGGGATTATTGAAATTTTGAATAATGAATTTGAGTCTTTTTTATGTTAACATTCTGATGGAATCTAGTTGTCTAAGTTAAAGCCCATTAGTATTCATTAAAGATACAATGCCAGTTGTGTCTTTAATAGAGTAGATCCCATGGTTTATTGTATGATTTGTTTCTAGACAAGAATATTAGTTTATTTTTTAATGCAGAGTGAGTAATGGTTGTGTTAAAGAATAAAAGGAAAAACCCCACATTTTAGCATCATCATTTCCTTAAAATTTGAGAAAATACAGTAGATTATTTTTTCTTGATGGAGAACTTTTTTCCCTTGTAGCATGTTTGCTAAAAAAGCTGGAGCACATTCCGTGTATGCCTGTGAGTTATCCAAGACCATGTATGAACTTGCCTGTGATGTCGTGGCAGCAAACAAGATGGAAGCAGGGATCAAACTCTTACATACGAAGTCACTTGACATAGAGATTCCAAAACATATTCCCGAAAGGTATTATCATGTAAACTAATTTTAGTGTTTATACTTCTCTATTTTTAAAAAACTAAGATATATTTCTAGCTTTTAGTCCAAACAAAATGCTACAAAACCCTTATTTTGTAAAGATATGGATATAGGATAAGATAGTTTATTATAAGACATATTTAAATAAAATTATATTCTTTATTAAAAATATTTAAAGATCTTGAGAAAAATTTGTGGCAAGGGATCAAATAAACTTGATCTTAGCAAGTTACTTTACCTTTGTTAATTTCAGTGTTCTCATTGTAAAAATGGATAATTCATCCTGTGTGGTCAATAACTGCTAAAAAGTTGTACTTAAAAAGAAAACACAAGCAGTTCAGATTCAATGGACTTATCACATTTTGTGTTAATATACTTGTTTAAAATGAAAGCTTTGGAAATGTCAGCTGTCAGTATATTTTGGCATGGGCCCTTTAAATGATTTGAATATAAGTCATATAAGTCTTGGCTTTTTAGTATGTTTTCTCACTCCGATCCATATCACAAGGGTGATGGAATTTTAGAGCTAGAAGGAATTTGAAAATGATCTGGTTCCACACTAGTCATTTTAGAGACAAAGTTTTCTTTATGTAGCACTTACTTTACCTGTCTCTTCTGGGTTTAACTTCCAATCTTACTTCAATTCAGTTTGTATTGAAAGAAGATGTTTTTGTGCCTTATATCAACTATGACTTTAAAAAGTTTTCTTCCATACATATAATAGTATTTATCTTAACATAGTACCTAACACTTTTCAATCGTCTCTACATTTATTCTCATGAAAAAATTCCTATTAGATTAATGCAAATGTCATACCCATTTTATAGAAAAAAACACTAAAAACACTGTCCTCAGTTGTCTTGTTCCACTTGGGCTGCCATAACGAAATACCACAGACTGGGTAGCTTTAACAATAGGCATTTATTTTCTCACAGTTCTGGAGGCTGGAAGACCATGATCAAGGTGTTGGCAAGTTTGGTTTCTTGTGAGGATTCTCTTCCTGGATTGCAGATTCTGCTTTCTTGTTGTGTCTTTACACGGCCTTTCCTTCTCCAGTATAGTCAGTTTCGGGGTTAAGGCCTTCAGTATGAATTTTGAGAGGGACATGAGTCAGCATGAATCAAAGTTACCTTAATTTAATCTACCTTTTTCTCACAGATAATGTTGTAGAAAGATCTATTGGTTTTGAACCAGGAGCTATGGATTCCAGATTAGACTATTATTAATTTATTTTGACCTTAAGCAAATGTCTAGACCTCAAGGTATTGGACCAGATGATTTGAAACACCTTTCACATTCTAAGTGTATGCAATCATAAATACTGGATATTTTCTGTATATAAGAAGTTGGGTTTAGCCACTGTGGAGGATACCAAAGTCATTCTTACCCTCAAGGAACTTACAGTCTAGATAGGAAGATAAAGAATATTCATGAAACTTTTCTTATCTTCTAACTACATAAATGAGTGATACTGGCAATAAATGCTGAAGGAGTTCAGAGAAGGGAGAAACTATTTTCGTATGTCTTTGAGTAAAGTTTTCTAGAAAGAAAGAATGGACAGAAGA